>NC_000007.14:106256779-106881779 GCF_000001405.40 Homo sapiens
GTTTTCAACTTAAAAATGGGTTTATTGAGACACAACCCCATGCTAAGTTGAGAGGAACATCTGTATTATCCTTTAGGTACACCAACAGGCCCAGCTTTTTAAAGGTATTTTTCTGGCCAGGCGCAATGGCTCACGCCTGTAATCCCAGCACTTTGGGAGGCCGAGGCAGGCAGATCACCTGAGGTCAGCAGTTCGAGACCAGCCTGGCTAACATGGTGAAACCCTATTTCTACTAAAAATCCAAAAAGTAGCCGGGCGTGGTGGCACACGCCCGTAATCCCAGCTACCCGAGAAGCAGAGGTTGCAGTGAGCTGAGATTGTGCCACTGCACTCCAGCTTGGGCAACAAGAGCAAAACTCCATCTCAAAAAAAAAAAAGAGAAAAAGATATTTTTCCTTCCTGAGTACATCTGCATTAACACAAAACGATTCAATCCTCTAATTGTTCTGTTTAAGTTTCACTAATGCCAAAGAGTATTTATCTCAATATTCTTGTTTATGTAGTTTATTCATGTACAGTTTTGGGCTGATTCTCAACTATACAGATGCACATACAGGCTGGGAATGGTGGCTCACACCTGTAATCTCAGCACTTTAGGAGGCCTGAGTCAAGGAGTTCGAGGCCAAACAGTTGAGACTGTTTCCCAGACTGGGAAACAGTGAGACCCCCATCTCTACAAAACATTAAAAAAAAAAAAAAAAAAGAGTCAGGTGTGGTGGCACACACTTGCAGTCCCAGCTCCTCAGGAGGCTGAGGTGGGAGGACCACCTGACCCTGGGAGGTTGAGGCTGCAGTGAGCTGTGACTGCACCACTGCACTAAGCCTGGGTGACAGACTGAGTCCCTGTCAAAAAAAAAAAATCGCACATACATTCCTAAAGTTTATATAAACAAGGAAAGAAAAGAAGGAAAAGAAAGCCGAAGAGCTTTGATTTTTGAAAGGAAAGTTTTGAGTACCTGACTGAACACCCAACTTGAACTCCGTTCAACTTGCCTGAACAATCCAACAGCTGACTGCTGGAACAAGGAAAGGTAGGCACAGCAACAGGCAGGCTAATGGGATTTCTGAAACAGATACAGTACCCTGCCATGTTCTTTCACCTGCAAGGGGGAGGGGTGTGTGTGTGTGTCTGTGTATACACGTAAGTGCTAAAGTGCCTGAAAGGCACCTGGGAACAGTACTTAACTGACACCAAGGTAAGAGACTGTCAGTTCAGCTGAGCTAAGGGGAAAACGGCAATTAGGTGTGTCAGCTGAGATTGCTATGTGTAAGGTCCTCCCCCTTCTCCCTGCAGACTTTTCTTCTATTTCTTTTTTCCTTTCCACATGAAAGCCCCTATGTCCCAACACCAAATGTCTTAGCTGAAGGAATTCCCACTTCTCTTAAGCAAGGCAGTTTGGAAGAGGTAGTGGAAGAAACCTCATCTCTGTTATTACAAGAGATCTATTCCGGACGCCTCATATTGGAACTCTAAATACACCATCACCGCAGAAATACTGTTTGATTTGGAAGTGAGAAGTATTATGTACAACAATCTTTGGAAAACTACTATAATTTGGGTACTGACCTTACTCTATCTCCACCAAACTCTTTCGAACAGAAAAAAACTTGTGTTTCATAGCTGTAGATACCATCTGAGATTCGTATACATCAAAATGTCAGTGGTTTCTGAATGCAAATGGCCTACATTATGTTAGTGATATTCTACAGAGTATTTTAGGTGTTATGATGAAATTATGGCCCTTAAGAACCTTATTTAGTAAACGAGGCAAAAATTTTAAGACAATACAGGCATACTTTGAAAATACTGTGGGCTTGCTTCCAGACCACTGCAATAAAGCAAGTCACGGGAATTTTTTGATTTCCCATTGCATATAAAAGTTATGTTTATACTACATTGTAGTCTATTAAGTGTGCAATAGCATTATGTCTTAAAAATACATACCTTAATTAAAAATACTTCATTGCTAAATAATGCTAATGGTCACTTGAGCCTTCAGTGAGTCATCTTTTTGTTGGTGGAGGGTCTTGCCCTGTTGTTGATGGCTGCTGACTGATCAGGGTTGCTGAAGGTTTTGGGGTGACTGTGGCAATGCCTTAAAATGACAACAATGAAGTTTGTCACGTCAATTGACTCTATCACGAAAGATTTATCTGTAGCTTGCGATGCTGTTTGGTACGATAGCGTTCACCCACACAAGAACTTCTTTCAAAATTGGGAGTGCATCCTCTCAAACCCTGCTTTGGTTTTATCAACTGATTTTACTGATATTCGAAGTCCTTTGTTGTCATTTCAACGATGTTCACAGCATCTTTGCCAGCAGTAGATTTCATCTCAAGAAACCACTTTCTGTATCCACCCATATGAAGCAAATCCTCATCTGTTCAAGTTTAATCATGAGACTGCAGCAATTCAGTCAGATCTTCAGGCTCCACCACTTCTAGTTATCTAGCTATTTCTACCACATTTGTAGTTACTTCCTCCACTGAAGTCTTGAAGTCAAATCAAGACTCAGTTATCTGTGAAGGTTGGAATCAATTTCTTCCAAACTCCTGTTAATGCTGACATTTTAACGTCCTCCCATGAAGCATGATGTTCTTAAATGGCATCTAGAATGGTGAACCCTTTCAGCTACAGACTTAAGAATATATTTCTTCTTTTTTTTGAGACGGAGTTTCACTCTGTTGCCCAGGCTGGAGTGCAGTGGCGTGATCTTGGCACACTACAGCCTCTGCCTCCCTTCAAGCAATTCTCCTGCCTCAGCCTCCTGAGTAGCTGGGACTACAGGCATGCATTGCCCCACCCAGCTAATTTTTGTATTTTTAGTAGAGACGGGGTTTCACCACGTTGGCCAGGATGATCTTGATCTCCTGATTGCGTGATCTGCCTGTCTCGGTCTCCCAAAGTGTGGGATTACAGGCGTGAGCCACCACACCCGGCCAAGAATATATTTCCTAAATAATAGCATCTGAAATTACTCTTTGATGGATAGGCTGTCGAACGGACGTTGTGTTAGCAGGCATGAAAAACAACATTAACCTCTTTGTACATCTCCATCAGATCTCAGATGCCATCTGCAATGATATTTCGAAACAATCTTTTTTTTTTTTTTTTTTCCTGAGCAGTCGGTCCCAACAGTGGGCTTAAAATACTCAGTACACTATGATGTAAACAGACATGCTGTCATCCAGGCTTTGTTGTTCCATTTATAAAGCACAGGCAGAGTAGATTCAGCAAATTCTAAGGGTCCTAGGATTATCAGAATGATAAATGAGCACTAGCTTCCACTTAAAAGTGACCAGCTGCATTATCCACTAATGAGAGTTAGCATGTCCTTTCAAAGCAGATGTTGTCTTCTCTCTAGTTATGAAAGTCCTAGACGGCACCTTCTTCCAATGGAAGGCTGTTTCCTCTACACTGACAATCTGTTTAGTCACCTGCATCAATGATCTTAGCTAGATCTTCTGGGTAACTTGCAGCAGCTTCTACATCAGCACTTGCTGCTTCATTCTGCACTCATGGAGATGGCTTCTTTCCCTAAACCACAGGAACCAACCTCTGCTAGCTTCCAATTTTTCTTCTGCAGCTTCATCACCTCTCTTAGGCTTCACAGAATTGAAACGAGGGCCTTGCTCTGGATTAGGCTTTAGCCTAAGGAAATGTTGTGGTTGCTTTGATCTTCTATTCAGACCATTCAAACTTTCTCCCTAGCAGCAATAAAGCTGTTTCACTTTCTTATTCATATGCTTAGTGGAGTAGCACTTTGATTTTTCTTCAAGAACTTTTCCTTTGCATTCACAACTTGGCCTACTGTTTGCCTTAAGAGGCCTATTTTAGCTTTCAGCATGCCTTCCTCACTAAACTTAATCATGTCTAGGTTTTGATTTAAAATGAGAGGGATGTGACTTTTCCATTCACTTGAATACTCAGAGGCCACTGTGGGGTTATTAATTGACCTAATTTAAATACTGTTGTGTCTCAGGGCATAGGGAAACTTGAAGTGAGCAGAGAAAGGGAATGGGTAACTGGTGAAGGAGTCACAACACACACAGTATTTATCAATTAAGTTCACTGCCTTATCTGGGTGTGCCCTGTGGTGCCCTAAAACAATCACAGTAGTAACATCGAAGATCACTAATCACAGATCACCATAACAGATATAATGACAAAGTCTGAAATATTGTGAGAATTTACCAGTATGTGTCACACAGACATGAAGTGAATACATGTTGGAAAAATAGCACCAACAGACTTGCTCAACACAGGGTGGCCACAACCTTCAATTTGTAAAAAAATGCAATGTTTGCAAAGCACAATAAAATGAGGTACGCCTGCATAACACTTATACTATCTGGCTAAATCTAATACTGATGACAGTCAATGCTTAATTTAGAAGAGGTGGCAGCTATTCTATAATTTCTGAAAAAGCACCCATTAATATTATGAGTTTTACAGATTTGTGAAGCTCCAGTCTATGAAAACTCAGACCTATGCCAGCAGAGTCAAGGCTTTGTTTTATATTCCAAGGAATATTTCTTGACTGACATTTCCTTGTTTCACAATGATACTTCTTTAGATTCATCATTCAGGGTGGCCAATGACAACTGGAAGAGTAAGTATGGCTTGGCTGGCACCTCTGTATTTTAAACTACTATTATTTCTAAACTTTAAGCAATGCACAGAGATTTATACCAACATAAACACTTACAAAGACTTAAAATTGTATTTATATTGTGTTCTTTATCAAACATAAACAAACTTAATTATAAGAAATGCCTTATTGAAACTTTTAATATAAAACACATACCTCTTGTAAGGTATTAATATCTACTCCATCCCCTTGAATAACTCTAAGATAAGGTGGCAGCAACTTGTAACCCTTTGAGTTCTCAGTAACAGGAAACTTCTTACCTAAAATCTCCAAAACCTATATGGAAAAATACACATGCAACACAAATAACTAAAGCTGAAAACAAGTATAAGAGCTTTTCAAAGTTAAATGATTTTGCTTTGATAATCGAGAATATAAAAATTAACTACTTTAAAAATTTTATAACACTATGTATATGCTCTCTAAAATTTGGTCCAGTGTACTTTAAAGGGTTAAAGTACATTAAAAACAAGCATGTTATTTCCTATGAAGTGAATTCACATCATAAAGTGGCTCAAAACAAGTTTTTCCCCTTAGACCTTTCAAATTATATGGATTCAAGGAAAAAAAAATCCTTAATATTAAATAAGTATATTTTAAAGAAGTATATAAAGCATTATTTAACAAACTCATGATTATACTTTTAATTTGGACTTATTCTGCTTGTGCCCAATGACTTTGGTTTTTGTCTGATATATAACTCCAATATGAATCCAGTTCAATCACAAAGTTCAGAGAAACTGTGAAAGGCAGACACAGCATCTAGAACCCATAGTCTCTAAGTTCTCCTTTGCTCTTAAAGCCAAACTGCACAATACACAAATCATCTTACTCATTCACTAACTACTAAAAGTTTTGTACACCAAATTAAAATTTCTCAGAAAGCTTGGTCATATAAACAAAAGAAATACATTCTCTTCCCACAACAATCATTTCTTTTTCCTAAATAAACTGATTAAAGATTCTAACAAAGAGAAAATTCCCCATTGATGAAATCAGTTTCTCATAACTAGCTGTGTACATTTTTTATTACGTAACAGTAAAAACATGAAACCTATCAAGTTTGCTAAAACCAAATATTGCAGGCTAAGACAAGACTTTCAGATTGGCCTATCATTTAATAGAATAAGAAAAGACCTCCTTAATTCTGTTTCCCTTTCTTAAGGGGTAAGTATCATCTGCTCATTAACTGACAAATGGTGTGGTCAAGTAGCAAGGCTGCAGCCAAAAGACCTACACTGGATATCTGACTCCTTATCTTTCATGTTGTGTGACCTTGAGCAAGTTACTTTAACCTTTTTAAGCCTCTGTTTTTTTCTTCTATAACAGAGACAGTAATATTTATCACTGTTTTTTTTTGTAGAGATTAAATGGCGTATCTTATGTAAATCACCTAAAATATTTTTCTAGTAGTAGGCATCAAATAAGCCTGCTATTACTACTTTTTGAAGAAGATAAACCAAGTCCTTGAACATTAACAACAAAAAGTAACACTGCTACATTATGAATCAACAGTATTTCTAAAGAACCTCCACTTGAAGAGTATTTTTGAATTATTTTTATTCCACATCACCCTGTTCCTATTTCTTCTGTGCTAACAACTTCAAAGGTCTAGCAGTGACTTATGCTGAAAAAGAAACAAACTGCAAATAAGTTTGGTGCCCAAATCATAGGATTAATTAAAATGGCAATGCTGTTAATTAATTTTGCAGGTAAGCAGAAAACAAAATATCTATTCAAATGTCTAATTGACAGTAAAACAATCCATAAGTCTTGGTATCCTTCTGTGCTATTACTGTGTGACCTCAGGCAAATCTATTACTCTCTCTGGGCTGCAACTCTAAAATAAAGGGGACTGGTCCACACAGCTCTGAAATTGTGTGTATATAAATGAAAAGTAGTATTGATGCAGCTGGCCTACAGAGGGATTCTAATAATAAAGTTACATATGAAAATTTACCTTTAACACAGTGTCAAGAGGGTTTCCAGAATCAGGTCTGATTATTAGTGGTGCCTGTGTACTTCTTGATACTATTAAATGTCTTAGATCTTCACCCCATATTTTCTCACACGCATTATAAATGTCATAGCTATCGCTGACCACAGATACAGGCACTGATGAAAACTGTGTTACAATATGTTCAAAAGCATCTTTTTCATGGTCTTTCCCCCAAGCTGTTATGGTACTAGAAAAAAAAATGAAAACACAGATTTACTTAGGCAGACACTTGATCTATCCCTGAATCACCTTTAATCATATCTCATGTTTACTATACCAAACCATCAACATCACAGAGAAGGTGAGTGACTTAGTTTAATGAATATACATCGTAAGGCAAATGAAGTAGCTGGGTCAACCATACCTTACCCAATTAGTTTTTAACGCTTTAAGTAGCCTTACTCCTCTTCAATGGTTAAGTTTCTAACCTCGTATTTTCAACCAATTATCTGTGTGTGTGTGTGTTTTCTGGTATTCCTGAATCTACTCATTTAAAATCAGTCTAACTAAAAAGCACTTGCTGAGTGCCCTTTATACTGTATGTCAAGATGTTAGAATGAATACATATTTCCATTATTTTGTTAGGCAATGAGAGCACCTGGCTCCCTTCTGTGAATTTTTGAAACTATATACCAATAATAGTACAGACATACATTTTGTTTTTTTACCTTTCAAAATCTTATACTTAGAGGCAATTATTTATACTATACCATACATACATATAGTCAACTACCTGTTATATTTTCAAGTGGCTAGTAATAGGAAGTCATGTATTTTGTTTGCAGATTATCTACTACGAATTAATATATGCCCAGGGAATAAGAATTCAAATACTTAGTTTAAGCAAAACATAATTAAGATGGAAAATAAAGTATGAGAGTTTCTATTGGATAAGAATGGTTATAGTGATTTTTGCAATGTCCTTAATATCAGTTCTTACGGGATAGATTTGTATTCAATATGTAATTATAGATTGGGTATCGCTTATTTGAAATGCTTGGGACCAGAAGTATTCTGAATTTCAAATTTTTTCAGATTTTGGAATATGTGCATTATACTTATCAGTTAAGCATCCCCAGTTCTGAAATCTGAAATCCAGTTCTGAAATCTGAAATGCTCCAATGAGCATTTCCTTTGAGCAAAAAGTTTCAGATTTTGGAGCATTTTGGATTTGGGATGCTCAACCTGTGTAAATATTTGTTAATATATAATGTAAATAATTTTAAAAGATCTCAAACAACTTAATTTTGAAAATTACCATTTAATTATGCCAAGCAATTGGTCATTCTCCCTAATTTTCTAGTCCGCCTCTAATCTGTTCTCCTCAGTAAATAATAAAAAGATAGCACATTCATTTATTATAAAGCCCAAGTAGGTATAAGTTTAACTCATAACTGTTTGAAGAGTCAGACTTTATGTCTGAAATAATCACTTTATACAATGTGTGTGTGTGTTTTTTTTTTTAAAGGACTAGACTTAGAACCTTTCCCCATACTGTCAATGGTATACCTGGGGTAGTGCAGCATGCACATTTCAAGATTGTAAAGACTACTACCCGAATCCAAAATTGAGAGAGAACCTGTTTATATAAAACTCATTAGTGAACACTCTTCTTAACAGCTACAGAGGCTGCCAGTAGCTATGATGTCAATTCTCTACTTCATGCATCTGTAGGCTAAATGGAAAATTAAGATATGACTGAAGAGAAGCTCCTCTTCATATTCAGGTCTGCAACTTTTCTCTTTAAAAAGGAGAGAATTAAGATCAATGAATACCAATACTGGAGAACTTTACAACGTATGAATTAACTCCTACAGTTAAGGGGTCACTACTTATAACGTTGTATCAGTAAGTCACCTAACGATCTACTTGTATCATGTCTAGCAAACTTCACTGTCCCCATCTTACTTGCTTTCTCCATGACACCTGAATTTTCCTGATGCTTTCTTTCTCTTGACTTCAATGACATCTCCCATGTTTCACCTTTTTTCCCCTATTTCTATGGTTCCCTTTTCAGTCTTCCCAGATGCTGTGCTCTCCTTCTTTAATCTAACCTGTCAGATGGCAATATTTCTCATAGTTCTGACTTAGGCACTTGTCTTCTGTAACATACCTTGTGTGAAACACTCAAAAGCTTAAAAAAAAAAAAAAAAAAAAAGTCCCTGCATGAGGGTTTCCAGTATCTGTATCTTAGCCTCTGTTTTTCTTCCAGGCTCTGGATCTACTTTGTTAGATAGAAAGTTGAATATCTTCATCTCAGCATCCCACAGATACTTGCTCTGGCACTCTCTGTCTAGTCCAATCATAACCTCTATTCTTCTAGTACAGTATGTGATATATGAAGATCATAAATAATCAATGAATTCTACCAATGCCATAAATCCTAATTTCAAGCACCAAATTAAATTTGATACCTTTCCAAAGTTTGAGAAAAAAAGCTTCTGTAATTAAATATTTTTAGGTGCAGATTCATCTATTAAGATACATACAATAGTGGTAAACCTCTAAATTTATAGAGTTCTCTTATTTTAAAGTTATTTAGATAGTAGCTCATTTATCATCAATGACCTTGTCATGTTGGAGATGTAAAACTTTAGCTCCTCCTTTTGTTTGGTTGGATGGAAGAAATGAAGAACAGAGAGATAAGTGACTTGCCCAAGGCCACCCACTATGTCAGCCGGAAGGTCACCCAGGTTTCCCAACTTTCAGTCCAATCCTCTTTTTGCTATACTACGCTGTTGTTTAAAAGACATTCTATTAAGAACATGTGAGGCATTTGAATATATAAGGAGTCAAATTTTACAAATGCAATCAATATGAGACCATAAAAATAAAATGGATTTTTATCCCTTGCCCACATACAGTATCCTTTTCATTTTAACAAGTCCTAAAGAAGATATTATCCTTGTCCTCCGTATCATGATGTTACTACTTTGAAATAACCATCAACGAAGAGTCTAATATGTGCATACTATGTTAGATTTTTAAAAGATGTATGTACATCTAAGGCCAAACTAAAAATAACTCTTAAAACTTTGTTAAAGACACTCTTATTTTCCCAGTTTCCTAGTCTTGAAAGTTGTATGTAAAAGTGTTCAACAAGGCCTTACTAATACAATGCTCATAAACGTCAGCTGAATCTATTTTCTACTGAGTCCCAACTCAAATTACCAACTTTGAGCAATTTTATCTCCCAAGCCATTGCTCATGTTTACCTATTTCTTTCCATTTATTTAGCACCTTGGTCTGGACTTCATTACCTTAAGACTGCTGGAATAGCTTCCTATAAAGACTACCTTCTGATTTTTCCTTTTTTCAATCCATAGGATAGATATCCTGCTATAAAAATATAAAAAAGTCCCCTAAGATATTTATCTCATAACATCACGTCTTTGCTCAAAAATGTCAGTGCCTGCTTCCATTTGAAAATGCCTGATTTAGAATAGCTAGCATGATGTGCACATAGTTAACATTCAGTGTCAAAATATGAGCGCCCTTACTAACCTGAACCTGTCTTCTCAGTCTCCCCTACGCTCCCTACAAAATCTGTGTTTCAGCCCTTATTCTCTAAACATTCTCCCTCCTCTTTCATTCTTGTGCTTTCATCACAATGCTTGATACAAGATAAGCATGCAATAAATATTTACTCAGAGAATGAATAAGTGCCCAATGTTGGCTATTAAATTTTACCAATCCTTCAAGAAGTGAAGATTTTGTATATTTCTATAAAAGCTTTCTTGATCCTGCTAGTGAAGGAATATGATTCTTCCTCTCCTTCCCTTGCAACACTACAGCATTTTAATTGTACCTCCTTACGAGGAGTTAACCAACAGAGCAGACTATTACTAGTGTATTATTTTCATCCTGAGAATAGGGTCAGTTTTTTAAAAATATCCTTCTAACCCTTGTTGCACCCAGTAGACTGCCTTGCATATGAACACCAGTCAACTAATATGCCTCAAATAGTAGCAACAATAAAGCTTAGCTTGATTCTAAACTCACTGCTGGTTTTAGCACTCTGCAATTTTAAGTATTAGCAGAACTTAAATATTCCCTAATGATTATAGTAAATAATTTTGTTATAAAAGTCAGTGATAAGGTTTGGCAAACATTTAAAAAACCTGATTTACGCCGGGCGCGGTGGCTCACGCCTGTAATCCCAGCACTTTGGGAGGCCGAGGCAGGCGGATCACGAGGTCAGGAGATCGAGACCATCCTGACTAAAACGGTGAAACCCCGTCTCTACTAAAAATACAAAAAATTAGCCGGGCGTAGTGGCGGGCGCCTGTAGTCCCAGCTACTTGGGAGGCTGAGGCAGGAGAATGGCGTGAACCTGGGAGGCGGAGCTTGCAGTGAGCCGAGATCCCGCCACTGCACTCCAGCCTGGGCGACAGAGCGAGACTCCGTCTCAAAAAAAAAAAAAAAAAAAAAAAAAAAAAAAAAAAACAACCTGATTTACTTTTAATAAAGTTAGCTCTAGGACCAGAGCAGCTGCAGTTTAGATTGTAATTTCTTTCTTGGGTAACTGGAGATAGTTTACTGAAAGCAGACAAGGAAGCGTAAAAAGAATCTGAACACCCTTTCTTTCCTCAACAGGTCCTGCTTTCTCATCTACAACTGAAGGTACAGTACAGATGACAATTTCTAGGGCAAATATAGATAAGGTCATGTAGGAGGACAGGGAAAAGGCAAAAAGTGGCTGGTACTTACAGTGAGTGCTTCTAAATTTAATGAATAAAATCTACCTACATATGACAATACAGTAATTGAAAAAAAATTCCTTAAAAGAAAACTTCTATGGCAATATAAGTATTGGAAAAAAGCTCTTAAACTGTTTCTTCTAGCATGGATAAAATTTCTCTGCCTCTCTAAGACTAATGTTTATACTTTTGTATAAATACTGAATTTGTGTTGCTCAAGTTCATGAAGATGTACTGTAGGTACCTGGCTCTGCAGTTAGGTAAAATGTCACTGAGTTACAAATACAAGAGTGAAAAAATTAGTAGTTTTAAAAAATGAACAGAATTTTTTACCTGTGTTCTGCTGCTGGAACAGAATAGCCTGGAACAGGATCTTTCGTTCCATAATATTTTTTAATTAGAGCAAGTCCTGCTACTGTATCTGTTCCTTTGAAGTTAACCAAGTGAGCAGATGCTCCTATGCCAGCAGTCTGGAAAATCAATCATAAACCAAAATCCAAAACAGAAAGAAACCCACATTAATAATACCAGGATGCAGCCAACCACATTTAAGGAATATAGCATAGCTCCCATAAGAATTGTCTTTCTCTTAGGAAAGTATTTATTGTCAGACATAACAGTTCCTAATGACAAAGATTCAGTTTTTCCTAAATATTTTAAAAAATCAACTATTATCTCCTCAAAGAGACCTATTTAACAGTGTCCCACCCCCACTTTTCATCACTCTCTCTTCCCTTACCCTGCCTTGAGCTTCTTTATGGCATTATTTCACATCTGATATATTATGTCTGTTTCTGGCTATCCATCTGTCCATCCATCTAATATATAAAGGACAGGGACATCTGTTGAAGGACATATCCCATGTACCCTGAACACAGTAGTAGGTACTGAATATGTATCTGTTGGTTGAATCTTTGGAATTTTAGAACCAAGATCAATCTCAATAACGTCCCCAAAAGTTTACAGTGGTACTCTAACCAACAATCCACATTATATTAAATGAGGTTGGTTTCAGTTACTTACCTCTTGGGAAGAGACTCCTCTGTAGCCAAAATCATGTAACTTGTATTCCAGACCATCTAAGTTACCAGAAGTTTCTAACAAATATTTGGCCAATATTTTCTTCTGCTCTCTAGAATTTGTGGCCACTGTGATTGGATACCAGGACTGAACAAGAATAGTCTGTAGTAACAAAATTAACCACAAATATTAAGACATAAAATACTGCATTCTTTCTGAGGAAAATCCTAGCTTTTTTTTTTTTTTGGAGGTATGTCCTGAACTTCCATACTATTAACTAGACACAGAACTGCGCAGCAGGATGCCTGCTGTGTGCATTCCAGATATAGTACATAGCTCAGCTCTCAAATCAGCAACAAAGAAGATAAGCACACCAGGTCCACATAGCAGAGAACTTCACATTATCAAGTTTCTATCCAAAGCTTCAAAGAAGCAAATAATATTTTGAAAGACTATGTGATAAAAGGATCAATTTTTAGAAAGTTTCATGATCTGTCATGGATCAATAGTTTATAAAGGACACTGAAACTTGGATGTTGAGGCAATGTCAAATTGCCCCAAGTTTCTAAATGCTTACTCTTCATTTCTGTACTTAATGTGGACTTGGATCAAATAGGGCATGAACCAGCATTGGTCCGTGGACTGCATTTTGACTAGTATTGGTTTAAAGAAGTTGTTCGTTTACTCCTCGAGGTAGTCTCAGATCTAATTTTCTCTTGGATTAATATGACAACTAATACTTGAAGCACTTTAGCTTACTACTAGAGAATTCTATCTACTGAGTTATGCTTTATGTACTTAGCTTTTATCAAATATATAAGTATTTGATAAAATACTCACGTAAGTTACAGGAAACACTTCCGCATATGTTGTATAATCAAGGTCACTGTCTACTTTGTAATTCAGTGACTATTAAGTTCCCAATGAGAAAATGAAAGAATTGCTGGGTTCCTACTTTCTGATAAGAACAGTTCCTTGATTTCCCCTTTTTTCTTGGTTGTCAGGAAGCTCCACAGAAAAGTCTGTCTAATCACAGCAACCGTAATAATTATCATGGCTTAGAAATTCACTTCTTCATTCTAAGATCATAATTTTCTATTTTCATTTTATAAACCAGATTGTTATTTGAAGCAGCTTCAAATCTGTTTGAAAAAGAGCTGCTAAGATGATGCAATGTCTGTGCTGAACCAAAAAGATATTAACTAAATTTTACAAAGCAAGCTTTTACTGAATACCAGCTAAGTGATATATAAATAAAACAAATAAAAAGATTAACCTTGAACTTGCCAATCTAGTCATCTTTTTAAAAAACTACTTTGTAGCATTAGACTCCTGTGACTGATTAAATATGGCCTTTGCAGCTCTTCTCATCAAGAGATGGAATCTCCTTTCTTATCCCTTGAGTCTGTGCTGTCCTTATGATTCGCTTTTGACGAACAGAATGTGGAGAAAGTCATGTGTGACTCCCAAGCCCCAGTTTCAAGAGGTTTTGCAGCTTCTACTCTCATTCTCTTAGAACCCCAAGACTACCATGCTCTGAAGAAACCTCTTCTGGAGTGAGACCCGGTAGTCCCAGCTATCTGACCTGAGGCCCCAGACATGGGAATGAGGCCATTAAAGGATGTCCAGCCCTGGCTGAACCCTCAGCTAAATGCAGATGCCTAAGTCTAAGCAAGAGCAGCAGACGACCATCCAGTCAACCACAGAATCAGGAGAAATAATAGTTGCTTTAAGCCATTAAGTTTTGGGGTAGTTTGTTACACAATAGAAAATCAGTACAATTCTTAAACTCTATAACCAATCACCTCCAACATCTGACCATTCTGCTTCTGAAATTACTCTTTCAATTCCACTGCCAATGCCCATGATTATCCTACCTCTCTTCTTTAGTCTAATTATTCTTCATATTGCCAGTGGTTACCATTCTAAAACAAGTTTTTTTTCTTTTTTTCCAGGTTGCATCTTTCCTTAAAAGCCATTAACGGTCATCTACTGTCCATGGGGCGGAGGTGGAGCTGATTCATACAGAATTTGAGAATCTTGCCTTGCTTACCATCTAAAGGTTTATCTTATACATTTTTCACTTTTATGCTGCAGTCCCCATAGGACTATCTGTCATTCTAAGAACACTGTGCCATTTCTTCAGCTCTTCCTTCTCCTTATTAAAAGCTTATTTATTTTCCATTTCATGATTCCTTTAGACAGAATTACCTATTTCCTGCTACCAACTCAGCACTAATTCTTAATGATATTAGTGGTTAGTTCAGAATGAATTGCCAACTCTCACTCAAAGGCCCTTTAAGTAAAACATCTTACTCTAACTTCTGTGCCCAGCATTTTTTGGGTACATAGCTGGTACTTAATCAATATGTTATTTCAGTCCTAAATATTAATTTAGTTTTAGTATACGGTATAGACTATTTAAAACCTTTATTTAACTGTACCTTTTTTTTGAGTGTATTATTAGTTAATGGCCCATAAAAAGTCTATTAATTTCCTGTCAACTTAGCAAAATGTGTTTCAAACACCCTCTTGGACCTCTTATATTTCGATGTTTTCCAATTTTTATAAGTGAGCCTCAAATGTACTATTTTACAATATAATAGCAAATTACTTTAACCGATAAACTAATTAGTCAGTTCTAAGAACTAAGTAAATGCCACCAGATAGTAAGGTGTTATTTCTATAGTAACTTTCGAGGGTATTTCCTCTCACGGATTAAATCTATTATTAAACTGTTCAGAAGCTAGGTAGAGTATTATTATCAAAACTCTGACCATGTGAAAACATATGACTACTTAGGTATACATACAAGAAAAACAAAAAAAAGGCTCGCAGTATAAACCCAAAGCCCAAAATGTACCCTTCCTGAGAAATTAAACAATATGAACAGCAGATCTTGTTTTATTTAGATGAGAAACTGAAAAGTAACAGATGGTAGATCCTAAGACCTAAACTGATGAGAGAAAAATGAAGAAAGTAGTTACTAGAAGTTGGAATAAAGTTCCTTTAGTCTAACTTGAACATTTATCATTCATCGAATGTCGTAAGTTACTAGAAATGTGCTGTTTTTCTAAGTTTGCTCTAAAATAATACACACTTAAAATGGCAATGAATTAGATGAAAGCCAACTAGGTTTTAAAAACAATCACTCTCAATAATTTGATTTAAACAAAATCTCAGAACATTCTATTCTACTAGAAGAAACCTTAAAGATTATTTAGTCTGTCATTTTATAGATGAGGAAATTGAAGCCTGGAAAGGTTAAGTAAATTATAGGAGATTATATAGCTTTATTAGTAACAAATTCTAAACTGTAATCTCAGTTCAATGGTCTTTATTCAATTAATGTTAAATAAGAATTAAAAAAACAATTTACCTCAATCCAATTTGTAAGCCAGTAACACTCTGGATCTGTGTTTTCCACCGTGAAGAGAACATTTCCTCTGGGAATGACAAAGCCCTCAGGAACAGCTTTTATTTCTATTGGAAGATGCCCATCATACTTCTGGCAGGATAAAATGATAAATTTATTTATTCAACAGATGATACTCAATTCCCTGCTGTTTTACTAAAGGTTCTTTACGTTTTATAGAAGCTAAATTTACTGTCATAGAAATTGCAATTGTAGATGTTACTGTAATCTAGTCAGAATATCCTTATCCTTCTAAAATAAAACTAGTTAAAATTATTAACATACGTACTGATATTAATTTTTAAGTTTAATGCTGCCACGTGCTTCTGCTAAGAACATTTATCACTACAAGTGGCAGAAAATTCCAAACTCATCAAAACCAAACTGTTGCTTCTTCCCTGCTTTTTCAGAAAATGAGAAAGGATGACTTTATTCCAACATATTCTAAAAGTATTCCAAGAACACTACCTTTATTCTAAATTCGTTATTTTCACAAAATAAAGGCTGCAGATTGAAAGATAAAGGATTGCTATTAAAGAACAAAAGAAAACAAAACGAGAGAGAAGGAGAGCTAGGGAAATCCCTGCAGAAGAACCGAAATAGGTTCCCTCTATTCTGGTCGTGGACCTGAAACTATGAGACAGGCCAAACACAGAATCTTGGCAATTAACACTCGAGTATGACTTAACTGACTTCCTCTTAATGTAATAATTGCCTCCAAAATTAGGCTGAAGGTTATTTGTTATGTGACACTGTACCTCCCTTTTAAAGCTAAGAGCTGTGCCTAACTTTTCACTAGGAAGGCAAGCTGTTTCAGAAATCCTGATAATTTATTTATGTGATTTGGGACAAGGTAATTAAATACAAGAAAAATCTGTTTAATACAAGCACTGGAGGCACAGTGTATAGCAAAAAGAACATTGCCCTACAGGTCCTAGTTTGGACTCAAAAGCAGCGGGGAGACCCTGGACTAGTCACTTGCCATCTCTCGGTCTCAGATTCTGTTTGTAAAATGGGGTTAGACCAGATTATCTCTAGAGAACCTTTAGTTCCCCAAGATTTTCTGATCATATAATCAAACGACTTATTGCCCTGGCCACTGGACAGTATAGTAATAAGCATAGTACCTAACTTATTACTGTATTTATCCTTACAACAAACCTCACAGAAGAGAAATGGAGCAAGTACAGGTGATAGCTCACAGATTCTATTGACCTTATTTAAGATACAGGAAAAGTGCAGCACAGAGTACTTACCTGACTTTTTCAAGACCCATAAGTACCAAATAGTATAGCTCAGTATTGTCATATAGGCATGAAAGTTAAAGTATTTCTAATTATTCTGTGTTTGACAGTCTTTTCAATGTAAGAAACTTTCGTTTGTGAGACTTAAAAGTAACACTCAACATCAAGATACGCCAACAGATTCCATTCCCAACTGATCATTGTAATAAAAGGAAACCACCACGGGATATTTAACTCTTATAATTCTATTACCATGTCTTTGAGTGCCTTAATATTTAGGCAATGAATTCAAACATACTAGATATAAATATAATACAATCAAGACTAAAAATCAACTTTGTGGATCAGCACCAAGCCATTCTCACTATACAGTGAGAAACTTCCCAGAATTATGTGTAGTGATAGACTCACAGCATCTATTTTCAGTCAAGAAAACAGACCTACATTTTGAAATTGCCAAATAACCATGCCCTTTCCTACCTATAGTGTATTTTCAAGAATGAATTATCTTTCTCAAAAATGTTATTTAAGTTATAATTCATTTTTATTAATTACTTAGACTTGCTGTAGATTCTATATGCTAATGATTTAACATGGGGGATGCGGGGAGAGGGATAAAATGTCAACCTTAACTTTTCAAAAGGATATATTGGCTATAATATAACTTTTCAAAAGGATATATAATGGCTATGAAATAGCCATTATATTCAGATCACAAACAAAAAAGAACTGTAATGATACTCTAATCTCTTATTCAAATTCTGGCCGGGGATGGTGGCTCACACCTGTAATCCCAGCACTTTGGGAGGCCAAGGTGGGCAGATCACTTGAAGTCAGGAGTTTGAGACCAGCCTGGCCAACACAGTAAAACCCCATCTCTACTAAAAATACAAAAATTAGCCAGGTGTGGTGGTGCGTGCCTGTAGTCCCAGCTACTAAGGAGGCTAAGGCAGGAGAATAGCTTGAACCTAGGAAGCAGAGGTTGCAGTGAGCCGAGATTGTGCCACTGCACTCCAGCCTGGGTGACAGAGTGACACTTTCTCTCAAAAAACACAAAACAAAAACAAATTCCTTTGCAAGAAGTTTTGAACTGAAAGAAAAACCAAAACAGATCAAAAGATGAAACCATCTTTTACCTCAAGAATGTAGTTCCATCCCTTTTCATTAAAGACATCATCTTGGAAATGTTCTTTGTAGACATCTTTGGCTTCCTGGATTTTCTCTTTGGTTACTACTTTACCTAGAAGAATATACATGTCCTGTTTACATTTCTAAAGGTGCATTCTGTGAGTTGCTGAACTGTCACAGACTTAATATCTTTGGCTATTTCACCCATTCTATGGATTAAAAATATAACTAAGAGGTTAAATGCTCACCCAGAGTCAACAGCAGAGTCAGAAAAGGAATTTGTACTTTTAATAACTCAAAGTATAAATGTTTATTTATTGTAAAAGCAGATGTGTAATAGAAAAAATTATTACTTGCACAGCTTTTAAAAATGATATTAACTTAATTTTTTTCTCTCGATTAATTTTGGTACTTTTCAACTTTGAGATGACTCAAAAGCTTCTTACATCCAAATGAAACGTCTCACTTCGTTCGTAAAGAATGTGGCATCTTTAGGGTTGGTAAGTCAGTAATTTCCACAATTACTAAATGTCTGCCCCCCAAACAACACACTTTTAATTAACTTTTCTTATCCGTAAATGAGGATAAAAGTCGAGTACCCACTTATATGATGTTTGTGAGGACAAAATGAGTTAAGACATACGAACCACTTACAATAATGCTGGCCTAGAATAGGTAATCAATACATTTTAGTTATAATTAAAAATGAGTAATATTTTACAAAGTTCTTAAGTTGTATGACTAAATTAAAGTGTGCTATCAGTTGCTGGTAACTTAATACAAGATAACTAGTAAACTCGTTTAAAGTATCTTGGGGCCAGGCGTGGTGGCTCATGTCTGTAATCCCAGCATTTTGGGAGGCCAAGGCGGGCGGGTCGCTTGAGAGCTCAAAAGTTTGAGACCAGCCTGGTCAACATGGTGAGACCCTGTCACTATAAAAAAGTAGCCAGGCATGGTGGTGCGAGCCTGTGGTCCCAGTTACTTGAGAGGCTGAGCAGGAAGGATCTCTGGAGCCTGGGAGGCAGAGGTTGCAGTGAGCCAAGATTGCACCACTGCACTCCAGCCTGGGTGACTGAGTGAGACCCTGTCTAAAAACAAAACAAAACAAAAAAACTTTGGTATTAACTTTGGTATTCTTGCCACTAATAATTACTTCTGATATCTAGCTAGGTTTTCAGTAGTATAAGACTATCTGAACTGCCTAATCTTAAAAGAGTCAAGATTATAGAAAAGAGTTATTGGCCTAAAATTCACCTTACTGTTTTCAATTCTGAAATTGTTTAATTCAAAAGGTTAGAGATAAACTTTTCCAACATGTATAATGTGTTTGGGAACTGTTTTCCCCCTAGAAATGGCCTTTCAAATAAGAAAGCACAGAAATTGGGGGATTTTTGTTTTAATATGCATTTGCAACTAAGTCCAGAGACACAGGTAGTTTTTAAAAATAGGTCTTCAAGGTAAAACTGGCTAATATAAAAATATTCTGATTGCTACCATAATTCAAAAGGAGTTTCCAGTTCATTAACAACTCCTTTACTTTGAATTAATGACTAAAGTATAACAAACAAGATTAGCCTCCAAAAATTAATGACTTTTCTAAACTTATTTCAAAACTTTTAGTTCGGCCAGGAGTGGTGGCTCACGCCTGTAATCACAGCACTTTGGTGGGCCGAGACAGGTGGATCACCTGAGGTCGAGAGTTCAAGACCAGCCTGACCAACATGGAGAAAGCCCGTCTTCACTAAAAACACAAAATTAGTTGGGTGTGGTGGTGCATGCCTGTAATCCCATCTACTCGGGAGGCAGAGGCAGGAGAATTGCCTGAAACCAGGAGGCGGAGGTTGCGCTGAGTTGAGATCATGCCATTGCACTCCAGCCTGGCCAACAAGAGCGAAACTCGGTTTCCAAAAAAAAAAAAAAACCTTTTATTTCAGAAAACTTTTCTCATACTTAGAACATCAAACACACACCAAATTATATGATTTAATGCATCCAAATTAACAGATTTGTTAAAAATTCTAAAAGAACTCCTAAAGGAGTTAAGAGTAATAAGCAGTGTTTAAAATATACTAGGAAAAGTAATACCTTTTAAGTACTTATTAAGAATGTACTGCAACCCATAAAATACTGTTTCCTCATATTTCACCTTCCTTAATTTGGAGTTTTCTGTCTTCTTTTCACGGCATTCAAAGTAGGAATAAACTTTGCTTGTGTTGGGTGGATATTGTTTATAGTGAGTAACCTATGTAAAGAAATACACTTCTGTTAGAAAACACCGATGAGTAGACTATAAATCACAACAGAAAAGGCTTGAAGTTATTTCAAAACCAGAGAAACTATATTTCTTGTTTGCTATTAACCAGTTTCTTTTCCTGGCTATACCAAATAAAAAATAAGTATCTAAGATATTTTCAGAGTTCAGTATCTTAAAACCACAGGAGAGCGTTAAATTTTACATACAAGCACACTAAATCTACTACAAGGCCTCTAGGTTGGAAAAGTATTTCATTTGGTTTTGGGGAACAGTCCTTCATCCAGGCGAAGAGAGAGAGAAGCAGCTGCCTAATGGGCACACACAACAGAAAGGAATGAACTGAAAGACAGCAGAATTTGGTACTGCTAATATCTCAATGTGGTATGTTCCAAAAGTCAATGACTTAACATGACTACTTTACTTGTACAATGAGGTACTGAGGATGATCACTTTTAGCCTTCACAGTGACACTATGAAAACCTGGATGACAGCAACGGCGGTGGCAGCAAAGTAAAGCAGCAAAGTAAAAAAAAATCCTGTTTTGTAATCTCCCTTTGTCAAATCACCCACCTAACTGGAAAATAAATTCTTAAACATCAAATCCTTATGAGTTTAAAATACGAAGAGGTCTTCCTTAGCACAAATTTCTTTTCCATGAACTTGGGTAAGAGCCACCATGTAAAAAATTTATCTGCTTTTAAGAAAGAAAAAGTAAAAAGTGAGTGTTCATTATACTTTTAATATGGTTAAAACATGGAAATAAATTCAAACATTTTACCAATAAAAAATAAAGTGGAAGAATAATGTGTATCTGCCCAATTTCAAGAGTAGGAATAACAGTGCCTTGAGGTTTAAGATACAGGGTGAATCATGGCAATGGCGGAATAAATCTTTGCAGACCATTTTTCATGAGTGATCACTGTGAACATAAATCATTTTTCCTGTTTAGCTTTGATCTCAAGTTCAGGAAAGCCAATGCTGTCTTTGGGTACACAGTCTCAATCTCAGTAAAACTTGGCTCTATCCTCAAGAATCTTCATAGCTTAGTACAAGAATCCTAAGATGAATATATTTCCATTGATGATTCTGAATGAATGTGCTGTTTCCTTGCCAATGGTAGCATACTTGCAACTCTATAAAAATAGCCCCTAATGCAGCACACAGACAACCTTGGAGGTAAATCTTTATAGTAACAAGTGATCTGAGAGTTTAAGTCAAGCAGGAGACTTGGAGCTGTTTTCCTTAAGTACAACAGATAGTGATATACTAAAAGGTACAGGGAAGACTCATCAAAAGCTAGAAGTATATGTCAGGGCTTATTAAGGTTAGAATCCAGGGACTGATCCCACTTTAATAAAATTTAAGAAGTAGCTAAGCAAGATAGCTAATACAGAATCTGCAGCAATGAAATTTATGTCAATTCACTAAAATGCAAAAACAAATATATTTATGAATGAGTCTGTAGTAATAAATATGACCACTACCTCAACTACTTATGAAACTGAAGAAAAAGACACCTCTACCTAAAAACACACCCAAGATGTATGTAAAAATGAAAATGTCCAGTTTACAATGTAAATAACTCCAACTTCTTTAGTGGGACTAAGTAGTGAGATAGAAGAAAAGCACACACGATGAAGTAAAACTTGAAAAATGGTGTGGATCTTATAGCACAAGTTTGTAAGTCTGATTCATAGTTTTATTTCTCCACAGTTTGACCCTTACTGTTCAGGTACTTAATGATGCATTCTTTATCAGATTTAAAATTACTAGAAGGCAAGTTATTTTCTTTTTCTGAGAAGACGAAGAGTCAAAAGCAAAATGGAAATGTCTCTAAGCTATTTAACTCTGTATCTTGGTCTAAAAGTATACTGAAAATGTTCTTTGTACAAATACAGCTCCAGTTCTGGACAATAATTAAATATTTATAATTTTAAAGCTTCAGCTATGTTCTCTAATTATAGTACTTTAAAAACCTACCTTTACTTAGAATGCCTTCTCTGAAAACAAATACCATTTAAAATACAAAAATGTCTGAACTGCTTAATTAGAAACGAAGTATGAACTCTAAAAATCTTTGGAGAACCTTAAGAGTATCGTTTTAGAATATAGCTAACGCATCTAAGTTATCTAGGCAAACTCGCAGGTAATTAGCCAAGAAACACCATTTATTAACTATCTACTAACACCCAACAAGTTTACAGAAGAATACAGAGCATGTTTAGGTCTACTTATAGGGGTATATGTACATGTTGTTTAATGGGAAAATGTTTTTAAAGCAGAGCTTTTTAAGAAAGTATTTCTAACAATGTAGTCAAAAGGATTTATAATGATTCTAGTTTTGCTAGCTTACTGTCCTCTTCATTTTACTTTCTACTAAACAGGCCATTTTGAACCTTCACCAGAAAATTGGATGATATAGCATAAATTCAAATCAACTGTTATTTTATAAATACTTCATTCACAAATACATACTCTGTACCTACTTCAGACACTGAGGATGAGAAAGTAAATAGAATGACATGGTCTCTATTTTCAAAGGACTAATAAGGGCTGAAGAAGGAAGAAAAAAAATATATTAATTTCAGATCAAGATAGATGCTATGAAAATGTAAGAGAATGATGGGCTAGAGGGGGCCAGGAAGACTTCTTTGAGAAGGTGACATGTGAGCAAGACCTAAATGACAAGGAGACAGGAAATGCTTTGGCATAAGGGACAGAACAGAAGGCAGGCCAATGTGGTAGGTACTTAAAAGTATGGGGGCGGGGTGGGGACAGTAAGAACACGATAAGGTCAGAGGTAGGCAGAAATGAGATCATGTAAGGCTTACAGACTACCCCAAGGAGCCTGGATTTTATACCAAGTGCAATGGGAAGCCATTATGTTTTAAGCTGGGGTGAATATGACATGATTCACCTTTTAAAAGGATTAGCCTAGTGGTGGATAAGAATGGATTATAGGGTGACCAAAGAGTGCAGGAGTTAGGGGCTATTAGGTTAGATGGGAGAATTTGCCCAGTGTTTTTGGAGGTAAAGGGGAACTACGCCGATAAATTGGATGTGGAAGATGATAATGAGGGAGAAGAATTAATACCTCCCACATTTTTGGTTGAGCAACTGCATTAATAAGAGTGCCATTTATAGAGATGGGGAAGGCTATCAAATGGTAGGGAAATGAAGTGCTCAATTTTAAATGTTAAGTAACGCTAACAAAAAGTTTCATAGTATTCTAAAGTTAACACAGAAAGCTCTTAAATCATGTTAACTTTTTTAGCACTGACTTGACTTCTATTACTAAAGAAAATGGTTCTACAATAAATACAAAATTATTCCGTAGATGTAAACCAAACAAAATACCTAATAAGATCCCAGCAAACCTTCCCAGTGAAAATGCTTCCTAAACTGGCATGGCCCTCCTGCTGTTAAAAGAACACCATCTGAACATCAATACATATGTGGTAAAGAACTGGCCGGGCACGGTGGCTCATGCCTGTAATCCCAGCACTTTGGGAGGCCAAGACGGGTGGATCACGAGGTCGGGAGATGGAGACCATCCTGGCTAACATGGTGAAACCCCGTCTCTACTAAAAATACAAAAAACTAGCCGGGCGTGGTGGCACGCGCCTGTAGTCCCAGCTACTCAGGAGACTGAGGCAAGAGAATCGCTTGAACCTGGGAGGTGGAGGTTGCCGTGAGCTGAGATCGTGCCACTGCACTCCAGCCTGGGCAACAGAGCAACACTCCGTCTCAAAAAAAAAACAAACATAAGCACAAACAGAAAAATGTAGTTCTTTTAACATAACTCTTCAGTTGTGTGATTAATTTACTTCATGAAAGGATAAACTTCTAAAAATTATTACATACTAGATAACAGTAACTGGTATTATTTTAATGCCTAGAACAAAAACGGTCTAGCCCTAAGTCAAATGATGGACAGCTGTTTCCATTAAGGAGTGCTGGCCAACCAACTGTAACAAAAAATTAGATTCCCAAGGCTAAATATCCTTGTTCCAAGTATGACAGTTTTTTTAAAAAAGTATGAGATATGACACATATATTTCAGTTGAACAGAATCCTTTTGGGAAAAGAAAGCCTAGTTTTCTCTAGATGCTTCTCTAGATGTCCCATAGGGCTGATTTGATGTCTTAGGGTTGATTTGAAGATCTTTCCTCCCACAATGGGATCACATGACCAAATGCAAGTACTACTATCTTACTTTTTCAGTTATACTTTTTAACTGCTAAAAAATCACAAGTCAACATTTAAAAAATAAGCTGTATATGTAAGATCACATGGGATAACATACCCAAGGTCACAGGGCAAGTTATGTTAGCTATATAATATCTAAGGGCAATCAGAAGAGGATACACTCTGCCCAACACTGGCTAAGACTTTCTGCTGCTTCAAAGCTAATGTGCTAGAAACAGCAAAAACCATAACCGATTCTTCTTTTCAGTATTATTTAAGATTTCTTAAACCCTGGAAATCTGTCTGTTGCCCCCAAAAATAATTCACTGCTATTTGGCTTTGAAGCAATACTCACTCATAAACATGACTTAAGGATTTTGGGTTATTTGGGGAAGGAGAGAAATTGCAAAATCACCTATAATCATATTGCCTCTTCCCTTAAAACCTCTTGCATGGAGTTTCTAATGACTTGTATCTCTTTTGCCACACCTTTAAACCAGATTTCATTAACTCACAACGAGAACACCAGCTCAATTATTAATGACCTAAATTAATCTCCCTATGAAGTATATTCATGATTTATATATTTTATTTATGGTGCTCAAGTTTTTCCTATATAACAAAACATAATGGAAAAATTGAAATATATGTACAATGTCACATATATCTTTATGAATGCATAGGCAGTCTCTGGGGTACAAGCTGCAACAGTACCCCACTCATGAGGCTCAGGTTGACTCAGGAGCCACCGTGACAATACCGAAGCATCCGCTCAGAAGCAGTGAAAGACAAGCAACAAAAATTTGTTACTTGGCCATTAGAGGAAGCAAAATTTTCTTTTTTTTTGAAAAAAAGCTGCCTTGAATTCCTAATCACCATATATAAATTTCACAGCTCTTTGAAACTTCTATAAAATCAACTTCTGTCCCTCCTGGATTTCAAAATACTACTTATCTTTGTCTTCTTTTATAATACCCAATAGGTCACCAACATTTATTAAATGAATGGTTAAAAATATGCTGAATTCTAGATAACCAGCTTACAGATGACCCTTTGAGAAGCAACCTACACCGGACAGCACATTTCATAACTAATGGATAATGCGGTTTAAACGGTGTCCTTACTTCTAACAAGAACCACGATGAAAATAGAGGAACCACAGTCGTCAGTGTCCTTAATTCCTTACTATATACAATAAAGTATGAGTTTACAGAAGTGAATGTATATACTTCAAATGCTCCTTTGGTCCAAATAGTTCTGGACTCTCTTGACAGGATACAAGACAAAACAAAACTCCCATTGTCATGTGCTTGCTACCATACCATCTACTTGCAAAATAACTTTCGTAGTGCTTAGGCAATCAATTATTCTTTCTTCAGTTTTAGAAAGAAGAAATCAACAATATTTTGCTCTCTTCATCAACACATCTGAAACTACTAGAGTTCCCAACTTTGGCCAATAGTTTGTAAGCACTGATAAGGATATGTAACATTCTCGTGTAATTTCTAAATAAGTTTCATTACTTCTAACCTCAAGATTATCATTTTTGTCCTTTTTCCTAAGATAAAAAGACAAAAATGTAAAATAGGTTATAAGGACCCCTAAAAACATAAGGGAAATGAAACCTAAGACTTAAATGTGACTGTGGAATACACAATCTATTTTAGCATACTGCGGTAAGCCACTGGTATAAAACATATCGACTTGATTGAACCCTCTAGAGGTGACTTTTGGGGAAAAAATGAAAAATCTAAGATGAAAATATTCTGAAGTTTCATATTATAAAGGATATAAAACACACCAGTCTGACTTGAAAGTTGACAGAAGTAAAATTTATTAAATAGGTGCAAATTCTAATAGTGCAATTAAGTATGGCTCACTAGATTAGAAACCTTTAAGATAATTCACTATTCTAACTAAAAGCACCCCAGAAAACTGATGTTAAAGTAATTTTACATTCCTTATGTATAATGGTTAGAGGAACTGCAAACTAAAGGAAGTTGCATTCTTCTGTTTTTAAAATTTAGACTATTCAACCTCCCTTTACATTTGGCTAACATGTAAAAAAAAA
The DNA here is from genome assembly GCF_000001405.40 of Homo sapiens. Classification (NCBI taxonomy): domain Eukaryota; kingdom Metazoa; phylum Chordata; class Mammalia; order Primates; family Hominidae; genus Homo; species Homo sapiens. The sequence goes on from NC_000007.14 coordinate 106,283,451, forward strand.
ATCTGACAGTTATTTTAGATTTAGTTAAGAAAAAAATTCTACAAAACTATCAATGAGGCTATTCTAAAATCACTATTTAAAATTTTGAAAACACTATGATTGAACCAAGAGAACACAAGAGGAGGTTTTAGGACCAAGTAAAGGACCATACTTGAGGTATTATCACGTATACTTGACAATATTCAAGAATCATACTTGATAGTGTTCGGATTTTGCAATACTTTAAACTTGCATCTAAAAGACAACTTGTTGATGGATCTTGGCTCGATTTCAAGAACCTATCTAAATATCATAAACAGCATTTTAAGCTGATTGGAAAAAAACAGACAAAACTTAAGTAAAATGGAATTCTCTAAAATACTTTCTCGGAATATCGGAGGAGGGCTAAAAACAAAGGAAAAAAAAAGAATCAAAACAAAAACATGAGAGTACTATGTTTTACCACTGTATTCCAAACCACTATGCTGCTCAAGTAAAATTTACTTTACCTCTTCCCTTCACTACTGCGTGCTTCATATCAACTGAATGTGGCAGCTACCCACACAAGTGTTCAATGGGCATGTGAACGCAACGCTGTGCCATTTCCCTCTCCACATGTTCTCTAGGGTTAAAACTACAGTTCCTTTAAATCCTCGTGTTTCATTTTCCTTTTCACAGAAATCCTGTAATGACCCTAAAGCAGATAAGAGCAGAGCGGCCTCTACACCCAGGGATAAGGAGCACGAGCAATCACTAGGTGCCAAGGAGTTTGAAACGGAGCCCGGCGGAGTGGGACAGGGGAATCCACTACGGCTACCGGGGCCAGGCGAGTGTCCTCCGCGCCGGAGCCGCAGAGGACCGCGGCTGCTCCGGCGCCCGCGCCAGGACTTCTCCCACCTCGCGCCCCGGGAGACTTACCTGCCCAGCCAGGGGCGAGCGCGCCGGGCTGGCCCGGGGGAAAGCCCCGCTCACTCTCCACTGCGGGTCCCCGGGGCCGTTACCTAACTGGTCCCAGCTCCAGGCCAAGAGGCCGCGCTTCAGGGAAGGGCATGCGCTCGCCGGCGACGCCCAAGCCCCGAGCCCCGAGCCCCGAGCACCGGCGCCCGGGAGTCCGCTGGGGCCCGCCTCAGCCCCCCGCCGCGCCGCCGCCGCCGCGCGCCCCCAGGCCCCGCCTCCACCGCCCAGCCCTCCATCCTCCTCAAGCCACCTCCTGCCCACTGCGGCGCCTCCTCACCTGCCCCAGCCGCCGCCGCCCGCGCCTCCCCCGGGCCTCCCCGCGCCGCGACCCTAGCCCCAGCCCCAGCCCCAACCCCAGCCCCAGCCGCCCCCGCCCCCCTGCCGCGCGCTCGTCCCCAGCGCGCCCCGCTCCTCCTCATCTGCCCGGGCCCCGAGCTTTACCTTGTAGGAGTCGGTGGCCAGGAGGATGTTGAACTCGGCTTCTGCCGCAGGATTCATCTCGGGCCGGAGGACAGGGGCCGCGCGCCGCGAGCTCCCTGGCGCGGCTGCGAGGAAGGAGAAAAATGAGCTTCACCGCGCTCCGTTGCTTAAGTCACTGCTCGGTCGGCGGAGGAGGGGGAGAGGGGGAAACGGAGAGAGGGGAGGGGTCAGAGGAGGGCGGGCCCGGGAGCCGTGACGCGGCGCGGGTGACGGCTGCGGCGGCTCGCGTGCTCGCAGTCTGGGAGCTCTGGCGGACTCCCCACCTCGGTTCCCCCGCCTTCACCCCGTCACCCTCCGGGGGCCGAGAAAGGGCGGGGCGCGGCAGCGCGCTGCGCAGTGCGCGGAGGCGGGGCGGGGAGGAGGACGTGATGCACGCGCTCTTCCTCCCAGACGCCAGCTCTGGGAAGCTGGAGGCAGCGGGGCAGCCCCGGCGCGTGACCCGGGCGCTTACCTAAGTTCGAGTTCCCGGCACGGGCGCGGGAGGGCGGGGCCTGGAGGGGGCGTTCCCAGCTTTGCCAGTGCCACGAGGAGCCGGTTCGCCCGCCCCGCCTGGGACCTTCCGTCCTACCCAGTCCTGGCCGGTTTTCTGGGTCCTCCTGAAGTCACGCCACCCGGCTAGGGGGCGAGGAGCCTCCTACTGCCCATCTTCCCGTCCACCACGCGCAGTTACTCACCTTTGTCTCCGGCCTGGATTAAGGATCCAGCCTTTCGCCTCCATCCCTCTTGTCCCTCCTGATCCTCCTGACCCTGTCTTTAAGATCCCAGGAGCTGCGGTGAGGAGTGAGGCTGAGGGGCCCCTTTCATCTGATGCAGCGACTCCGCTTTCCTCCGGCGGCTCTGTCTATGGCTGAGCTCTTTGATCCTTTGAGAGATGGTTTGACTTTTCCCGAGCAAAGAGCCTGCGTTGAAAAGCGGGGGTGGAATTCAGTCCTCACAGATAATGAGGGGACAAGACCTAATTGAACCGAGTATTGCCGGGAAGGAAAAGGCAACGGGCCAAGCCTTTGACAGGGTGCGACACTGACTTTTATCATCGTTATAGTCTTTAAATCCTGGGAAACGAGTTGGCAACCCCAAAATAAAGAAGTGTAATGACGTCTGATGACTTCACCCAAATACAGACCATTCCAAGAAAGACTTGCGCAGTTCTCATGCGTGGTTGCGTTTTTGCATAAAACTAAGATTCCCTTTGTCCGCATGTTTAATAGCTTAAAAATAAATTGAGGTTTTTATCGGATAAAAGTAGCCAGGAAAAAGTGATACAGTGAAAACGATTACAGGATATTTATAGACTTGTCTTTCAAGTTATTAGAAGTCTCATTCTATCTGGGGGCAGTGATGGTGGTGGTGGTAGTGGAACTTGTGAATTGAGATTCATAGTGGAACTTGTGAATTGAGATTCATCTCGAAACTGGAGGCATGGCTGAGACTTCTAATAAAGACAACCTCAGTCAACACTATGTCTTGAAGTCAGTATATATTTTTGACAATCACCTCATCTACACGTAGATACAATACAGGGCAAAGATCATGGAAGTGGAAGGTATCACCAGGCACTCACCAATGTAGTAAATACTAGTACACTTACAATTATTTTCAGCAACGAGGTTTGAAACAAGAGGGCTTATGTATTTATTGGTTGATCTTCCCTGTGTTTTACCGGGGAAAATTATTTGTAAACGCATTTAAACAAATTATTATTTCTATTTTGAGACGGAGTCTCGCTCTGTCGCCCAGGCTGGAGTGCAGTGGCTGGATCTCGGCTCACTGCAAGCTCCGCCTCCCTGGTTCACGCCATCCTCCTGCCTCAGTCTCCCAAGCAGCTGGGACTACAGGCGCCCGCCACCACGCCCGGCTAATTTTTTGTATTTTTAGTAGAGATGGGGTTTCACCGTCTTAGCCAGGATGGTCTCGATCTCCTGACCTCGTGATCCTCCCGCCTCGGCCTCCCAAAGTGCTGGGATTACAGACGTGAGCCACCGCGCCCGGCCTAAACAAATTATTTTTTAATATTTGATTTTGGGAGTTTTTTTATATTATTTCAAGGAGTGCAATTCAAAGAAGGAAAAAGATAATTTTTGTCCTTAATTTGGTGTTTTTTCCTTCATTTAAAATTTATATAACCTACTTTACTTATAGTACAAATTCTTATTTGTTTAGCTTCCTGGAATTCATGTATCTATAAATGACCGTTGTTCTATGCTGCTTTATGCAGAAAAGAAAGTAGGATTCTGATTATAATGTGGGCTTTGTTTATGGTAGTATTTTTTTAAGATGCAAAATTTGATCTTGCAATCTTTGAGTTGAATTTGCAGTTTTAAAATAAAAAGGTCTTATATCTGTGCAAAGAAAAAATATTGTATTGACATTGCTTGTTAAATTAAGGAGTGAGGCCTGCACAAGTATTAGTAATGTGAATCCTCACAGTAGTCTCCAGAGAAAAAAAATGACAATGAAGTCATGTTACCAATAGGACAATCACCATTTGCCTGAGATAGAAATAGGCACATTCTCTATGTAACTACATGCTTAAGCTGGAGCAATTCAGAATTAATTGGGGTTTAGAACTATGAAATTATCACTGAAAACAGAGCCAAGATTTCATTTTAAAATGGCCTCCCCTGAAAGACAGTTTAACAGCTAGCATTAAGGTTGGACGTGGTGGCTCACACCTGTAATCCCAGCACTTTGGGAGGCTGAGGCGGGCTGATCACTTGAGCCCAGGATTTTGAGACCAGCCTGGGCAACATGGTGAAAACCCATCTCTACAAAAAATACAAAAATTAGCTGGACGTGGTGGCATGTGCCTGTAGTCCCAGCTTCTCTGAAAGGAGACTGACGTGGGAGGATTGCCTGAGCCCGGGGAGGTTGTAGCATGTAGAGGACCTGAGAAACTGTTTTTCATAGGTCACAACAACATGACAAATAATAACACATAGACTCAAATGGGCCCCCTCACTTGATTCAAAGCCCTGGATTATTATACCATCCTACCAAATAGCAATCAGGCACTGCCAATTGGGCATGCAGCTCCTTGTCTCCCTCCCTCAGAGTGCTATGAAAGACCTAGGGCTCATATATTTGTTCAGGCAAAGTGAGTGTATCTGTGCCACTCCTGTTGCCACACACCCTTGCAGACAGCCTCGGGTGCACCTTTATATTTCAAAGTTGCCTCAGATACTCCAATCTGACCTGATTTGACCTCAGTAAAAAACACTGGTGAAGTAGGTATGGAACTCACCTACCTGCAACCCCTGACGATGGTCTTATCCATCTCCCTTTATAATCTCCTCTAGACTCGCCAATTAGCAACAGTTGTCACAAAGACAAATGTGAAAAAGAGAGCTTTTAAAAATTAAACTTGGACTTTTTTTCTTATTCAAACTTCCAAGGCCCTTTGGGAACCTCCCAGAGTTTTAATTTCCTAGGGAAAGGCCTCATCCACAGAAAGACACGGTCTTCACAGATTCAATGATTTATCAGTGTTACACTCTGTAATGACTCAGTCGGCTAAGCCTGTACAATCACACAAAGAGAGGCACAGGAAACTATGGAGTCCTCGTCTAAATGTACAAAAATGATAGAGCAACTGTCATCCACACACAGTAAGAATGAGTGCACATATATAGACTATCCACAGACATTCCATTGCAAAATGTAATTATGCCCTTTCTATGGTGTCTTTGTGGTCTGACTGTGCTGCACTCTCCTAACCGGCAATGCTGAGTCGATCATCTATCTGACTTGAAACTGTCTTCAAATTTCACACAGGACGTCTATCGCAATCTATGTTTGCTGCATGGCAAGTCTCGATTTTCCCGTCTCTATTAGTTGTGTTTTTGTTTTCCATTATATTCAAGCATACATTTTTCTAATTCCAACCAAATTCAATGGGAAATAAAGATAAACAAAAATAAAAGGTTTAAATTCACCTTTAAAAGTAAGGTAAACATGCACATTATGATGCCACATGTGGGGATTCCAATGTCATCATTACTTACAAATTTTGCTAATGGCCCAAATTTAAGAGTTGCTAGCCCATATCAATGACTGAGAGAATAAGACCGTTTGAAGTATATAGGAATGTCAAGAGCTTTGAAATCAGTGTTTTCCTAAGTGAGGTCTGCTTATCATTGATGTACATGAAATAACTATCAATGGTACTAAGATACATGTTTTTGTCTTTAATAATTATGTACTTATCTTAAATGAGTTTTGTTTTGTTTGTTTTTTGAGATGGAGTCTCGCTCTATCACCCAGGCTGGAGTGCTGTGGTCCGATCTCAGCTCACTGCAACCTCTACTTCTCAGGTTCAAGTGATTCTCGTGCCTCAGTCTCTTGAGTAGCTGGGACTACAGGCATGTACCACTATGCTTGGCTAACTTTTATATTTTTAGTAGAGAAGGGGTTTCACCATGCTGGCCAGGCTGGTCTTGAACTCTTGACCTCAAGTGATCTGCCCACCTTGGCCTCCCAAAATGCTAGGATTACAGGCATAAGCCACTGCCTTTGGCCTCTAATGAGTATTTAAAAATGTAACTAGCACATAAAACCTGATTTTTTGTGGGAGGGGTATTATTACTTAGGATGAAGCTGAAGGAGGTGGGCACTCAGACTGGTGAACTTTCTATTTCTTTTTCTTACCTTTCCCTAACCTATATGCTGTTTTCACATCCTCCATATAAGACTGGTTTTCTTGAGGAAGCTGAACATGAAAGGCTATATGTCTGATTCCATTTATTTGAAATTCTGGAAAGGGCAAAGTTATAATGAAAGAGAGCAGATCAGTGGTTGTCAGAGACTGGGATTATGAGAAGCAGAATGACTGCAAGCAGGTCTGAGGAAACTTCTTGGGGTGATGAGAATGATATATGTGGTTATACGACTGTATACATTTGTCAAAATTCACTGAATTCTAAGCTTAAAGTTGGTGAATAGCATATAAATTAGATCTTAATAAAACTGAACTAAAAAAGACTGATTTTCTTGTAATCATTTTAAATATTTTCCCCTCTTCTCCCATTTTGTTTCCTCTGTTTCCATTCTTACCTTGTGTTGTTACCATGTTGCTTTACGTGATAGGGGATGAGCACCATTTTTGCCCTCCTCCAAGGAAGGACAGTTCTTGAAGTTGCTGAATGTTTTCAGATGCCAAAAGGAGTCTGAAAAATCCTGCTATTGAGTAGGAAGCAGAAAAGGGAACAATCTCAATGTGACTCAATTCAGGAGGAATGTATGAACACCTAGTATACAGACAGTACCATACAAAGAAGCACTGGAGGACTTTAAAAAGAAATGTTATCTTTTTCTCAGCTCTTTTTTCCAAGCAAGTGTGAAATGACTGGGGTCTGGATTGGGGAGGGGGAGACACAACAGGATAGGTAGTTAATTCATTATTCCCAGGAAACTCAGCATTCGAGTCAATTAATATAAAGCTGCACATGGACATAACCCTTGACTACAGGGACAGTGTCTCAGGAACAATTAAGACCTGAATAATCATAAACCAGTCCCCACCCAGCTTCCACACCCTGGACTCTTCTAGATCAAGAACTGCCCCACCTGTGAAACCTTGAACTGCAGCAATGCATTTCTTGATCAGTTCGTCCTGCCTTTCTAGGTCACTCACTCCCCTCCCAATACACCTAATCTTAGCTCCCAAGACCTTTGTCTCTTGCTCAGCATTTGCCCACATGACTTTCCTTCCTTTCTTATTACCTAGCCCGACCGTATTACTTCGTATTGTCAACATCATCTCTGGCTCCTGTGTCTCCTAGCCCTCCGGTCCCCCAGATCCTTACCTTTTTTGCTCTTAGAGTATCCAGGAGACTGAGCACTGACAGGGAACATAGCCATGAGGTTGCCAACCATAGTGACACATGTAATGCTGACAGGCAATCCATTTATTTCCCCCATTCAGCTTTCCTTCTCTTTTTGTTTAGTGGTGATTTGAAATATTTACCTCTCTCCTCAAACTCCTTACCTTCAAACAACTTTCTCTTGGCAGATGATGTAGTCCCCTATGCCAGTAAGAAAAACCAAGGCCATCAGGTGGAAATTCTCTAAATTGTAATATCTACAAGACCAAAGGTCTGTCTTATTTAGAGGTCTATGAGAAAAGTGTAGCACCAGGTGCAAAGTAGGGGCTTACTCAATATTTATTGAGTGAATGAAGGAGCAACTTTTTCACCGGCAAAAGCAGGATGGCCCAGTAGTAGATTATATTTTTTGCCCAAAGTCAAAGCCCCTGTCTACTGGGTTGTTCTCCATATTCACAGCCCCTCTCTATGTCCCTGTTCTTGTGAACTCAGACATGATCGTGGGAGTTGCTTCGGCCATGAAATGTGTACCGAGATGGTGTGTTTCCCTTCCCAGCAGCAGCTTTAAGAGCTTGTGCATGGTTTGGCATTCTCTCTTTTCCTTCTGCCACCGAGACTGCAGTATTCCAGATATGAGCCAATCCTCTCACTTAAATCCTGAAATGTGGACAACATGGAATCAAGTCAGAGCCAACTGGTTCCGGACACGGGTATGAAAGAGAAATAAATCTTTTCTGTTGTAAGCCACAGAGATTGTGGGATTGTTGCCACAGTATGACCTGGTTAACCTTGACAGGTACAGGGCTCCACACACACTGTTTTCTTTCTTCTCCTGGCTCAGGAAGCGAAATGTTCCTCCTTTTGCCCCAGGTTAATCTCCCCAACCTCCACCAGTCTCATTGGGTCCCTTCCCTCAGTTGTCACTTCTCTCTTCTGAACTTTTCAAGCACTCCCTTTCTGTTGACTTCTCCTTAGCACATAGACATATGTGAATATCTCCCATCTTAACAAAACCAAATGAATAATCAAACTCTTCTTAGACACCACTTCCTTTTCCAGTTATCCCAACTTCTCTCTATTTTTCCAAAAAAGAGGTTTCCACCTCCCATCTGTATTTTCTTTTCTTACCTATTCTGGTCTATGTGGCTGTGGCACTGACACTTTGGCCATACAAGTGAGACAGCCAGGCGAGAGGGGGTCCCTGGAGAAACTCCAACCAGCCTGCCCACTGAGGGGGAGACTTGGGAAGTTCGCACCCTTTGCAGTGGGGAGAAGCCTGGCCCCTCCTCTTCTTGAGTAGAACCTGGGATTCAAACAGCCAGGTGGGAAGCACTCTAGCCGGGATTCTGGTCTTGTGAGAGTCCCTGTTTCCCCCTTTTCTTCCTTTTCACCCAATAAAACCCTGTCTTACTCACGGTTCAAATTGTCTGAGAGCCTGAAATTTCATGGCCATGGGACAAAGAATGCCATCTTTAGCTGAACTAAGGAAAAGTCCTGCAACACAAGCTGGTTGTATTTTGCAGATATTGGCTAGTAACACCAGGAAAAAATAATAATTTGTTGTCTTTGCCTCTTCTAACCATTATTCCTCGTTTTTTTCTTCTGAAACCAGGGCAAGAGAGCATTTCCTCCAAAGGAAAGCTGAACCTATTATTACTTCACAGTAGTACAGCATGGACCTTGGCTGTAGGTTCCAGAAGAAATCACTGTTTCCTACCTCAAAATTTACACACACAACGGGGAGTCCTAGGCCTAGGCTATACACCTCTTTCTTTCCTGATGGTGAGTTTCCTATTCATCTATAACATCTGTTAATCAGAGGCTAGGGAACACTGTGTATCACATATTTGTCTGGGGTGTTAATCATATTATACTGTCCTGGGGCCACCTATCAGTCCCAAAATACTTTTCTCTATTATTCATAGAATGTCGGGGGGCTCCTCATGCAAAGAAGAATGGCTGTGGCCTTCTCTGAAATTCAGAATTTTGGAGTTAGACACATGGACTGGATTCTGCACAGATATATTACACTGTAAGTTGCATGTAAGGAAATTGATCTGCTCTTCAAATTTATTTAAACTCAGTAAGAATGAACATGGCACTATCCTAAAAACTGACAGCATGTCTGTGCATACTGTTTAATTAAAATAACCCAACATAATTAAAGCCCCTGGCTCTTGCCAAGGGTTTTTAAATGTTCTGTTCTGCTGAACTGCACCTATGATGCTATAGACACATAGTCATCATTCTAGATTTTCTTTTGTTTCCCCCGGTCATACCAACTTTGTGGAATAACCAACAATTTGTGAAACAAACACAATGGTTTAGGACGTAAAGTCCTCTCTTTCCCTTCCAAATTATCCCAGCCCCTCTGATACGGTTTGGATTTGTGTCTCTGCCCAAATTTCATGTTGAATTGTAATCCCCAGTGTTGGAGGAGGGGCCTGGTGGGAGGTGACTGGATCATGGGGGCAGATTTTCCCCTTGCTGTTCTCGTGATAGTGAGTGAATTCTCAAAGATCTGGTTGTTTAAAAGCTTGCAGCACCTCCCCTCTTCTCTCTCCCTCCTGCTCCAGCCACATAAGACCTGCCTACTTCCCCTTTGATTTCTGCCACGATGCTAAGACTCCTGAGGCCTCCACAGCCGTGCTTCCTGTACAACCTGCAGAACCATGAGCCAATTAAACCTTTTATTTATAAATCATCAGTCTCAGGTAGTTCTTTATAGCAGTGTGAGAATGGACTAATACACCTTCCCTTCTCACTGTCTCTAAGACAGGAGTTCCCAGTCCCTGAGCTGTGGATTGGCACCTGTCAGTGGTCTGTTAGGGACCCTGTGGTGGGTGCACAGCAGGAGGCGAGCAGTGGGCAAGCAAGCACTACTGTCTGAGCTCCGCCTCCTGTCAGATCAACTGCGTTAGATTCACATAGGAGCATGACCCCTATTGTGAACTGTGCATGCAAGGGGTCTAGGATGCATGCTTCTTATGAGAATCTAATGCCTGATGATCTGAGGTAGAACAGTTTCATCCTGAAACCATCCAACCCTCCACCCCCGCCCCACCCTGCCCACTGTGGAAAAATTGCCTTCCACAAAACCAGTCCTTCATGCCAAAAAGGTTGGGGGCTGCTTCTCTGAGACTTATTTCAATGCATTGATCACTTTTGGATTTTGGGGTCATTCTCATTGCTCTTTATTCTGATGCAGGGTGGCCTCTTCTAGCCTGACTGCCATCCTTCTGCAGCCACATTTCCTACAGCTGTGCTCATCTGGTAGTTTCATGCTTTGTAAATTGTACTGCTGAATAAGGCTCTTAGTCCATCAGTGACTGTCACTCTTAAACACATTTCAAAAGTATTCTGGCTTTCATGGTTCTCTCACCTCAGATACCCTTAGGACAACTTTCCAAGAGTTTACCTAGAGGATATTTGAATGGTACCATCCTGTTTTAATAAAAAGGTCCCTCCTCACTTTTCTGTTAGGATGCTTTTGGTTGTAACACAATAGCACATTAAAGGTGGCTTAAGGAATAGAGAGCTAATTTCCTCCACAACAGGAAGTCTTGAGGTAGGCTTTCCTAGGGTTGGGTCAGTAACTCAAAAATATCAGGATTCTTGGCTCTTTCCTATTCTTTTCCTTCTGTTATCCTCAATGTATTGAAGATTTGTCCGTGTGTGGTCACAAGATGCTTACCATAGCTCTAAGCATCATGGCCTCACACAAAAACACAGAAGCAAGAAGGGAAACTGGTGTTTTGTTTTGTGTACATCTCTCTCTCTTTTTATTAGATGTGAAAACCTTTCCCAGAAGCCTCTAGCATATTTCCCTTGGGCCCTACTGGCCAATATTGGATAAGCACCCATGCTGTATCTGCAAGGGAGGCTGAACAGGGAGAAAGCTGGCATACTTAGTTTCTACAATGGGAGGAAAGCTCTGCCAGCAAGGAAGAAGGGAGTTAGGAATGGCCATCGTGTGAGCAACATCAGTGATCACCACATCACTGCCAACTAAGATCCCAGGTGCCTTGGGTGTCTCCTGCCTCAGAGTGAATTCTATGTCTAAATAAAGGAACCTGCCCCTACAGTTGGCCTCCCACGTCTCCTTTGTTAGGAAGTAATAATCTCACCTTTCCAGACAGTTCCACCATTCCCAAAGACCTCTTAATAATTTCTTCCCACAGCCCAAGGCAGTCTTAGGGCAAATAGAACTCCTAGTGACTTTCCTGGTACTCCAGAATCAACCTGAGCAGGATATGTAGATTAATATCCTACTTCTTCATTCTTCTGTCCTCCCATCCCCCAACCCAATTTTTGCTAATTTAAAGCAACAGAAAGCCATGTTTACTCCTTATGCAGGCTCAGAAAAATTGTGTATGGGCTAGCAAAAATATTTGTACTTTTTTCCAGGATGATCATTAATATCTCTGAGGAGTAATGACAAAGACGACTTACTCTCATATACACTTATTGACCTAATCTTGTTTCTTTATAACCTTACATCATGTGTGCATTATATCATTATACAGAATCTAACACAGTATCAGCTCTCATGTTGTCAATAACTGTTGTTAGGTACAATCTAAATCCTTTTTAACATATCATGCCTAGATTTTAAAAACTTAATGTTGGTGAAACCCTGTCTCTACTAAAAATACCAAAAAAATTAGCTGGGCGTGGTGGTGTGTGCCTGTAGTTCCAGCTACTTGGGAGGCTGAGGCAGGAGAATCACTTGAACCTGGGAGGCAGAGGTTGCAGTGAGCCGAGATTGCGCCACTGCACTCCAGCCTGGCGACAGAGCGAGACTCTGTCTCAAAAAACAAACAAACAAACAAAAAAACTTAATGTGAGCTCTTTTTGTCATTACTACCATCTGAAAGCATTTATTAGGCATCTAATTCCATGTGGTACTATTCTGGCTGGTATATAAAACAAAGCAATGCAACAAATTTTGCCTAGGAGTTTAATATCAAATGTACACAGAGTAATTAATAGACTTAAAAATTCACAATTATCAAATGACAAAGAGGGAAAGCAAGCTCAGGCTGGTCTCAAAGTGGTGGCACATCTCAGAAAGGCCTTTATGCAATTTCATTAATATCTCTTGAGTACTTACTATGCTCAAGACCCTGTTGGGCCTATAGGGATTGATGTGATAAAAATCTCTGCCTTCTAGGGGCAAATAATCTTATAGGGAAACATATATTACCCAATAATAAGTTTTCCTCCTTCTAAAGGACAGTTTTCTGTCCCCTCAGGTATACTTTAGCCTTGCTCTGCTGAAATCTTACCATGAACCATTACTCACTTTGTCACTTCCAGCACCTTATGATGCACAGGCTGTATTTTCCTTTGAGGTCATGATGCCATGTTTGCAGGGGCCTTCTGGCAGGGAAAGATGGGACAGGCTTTGCTTCTTTTAAGGCCATGTCCTTCCTTAGATTGCATTCCCCCTCATAAATTATGGATTAAGATGCAGTTATACTTAGTTGGCTGTCACAAAACCCAAAAACACGGTGGCTTCAATAACATTTAATTTACTTTGAGAATAAGCAGTGCAAGAATGGCATAATGGTTCAGGAATCTATGCTCTGTCTTCTTGCTGTGCCATTCTGAACTCCAGGCCTTCATGCTGTGGTCTAAGTTGGCTGCTCCAAACTTTGCATGAATATGGCTGCTGTGTGCAGCACAGAATATAGCAGGTAAGGGAGAAAGCATGGAAATGAGTCAAGTCATCACTGTAGCCTATGTGAGAGAGGATGGTGGCTTAGACTAAGATGGTAGATGTGGAAAGAGAAAGAAATGGGCAGATCTGAGATATTTGGAAGTAGCATCAACTGGATTTGTTGCTACTGTGAGGGGGACTGTGAGGGAAGATTCATGAGGGTTGTGCAGAGGGAAGAATGCAATCAATGATGACTTTTAGGTTCTGGCTTTAACTACTGGGTGATTCCATTAAATGAGTTGTAGGAAAGGAGAGATTTAGGGGATCAAATCAAGCGTTCGGTGTAGGCATTTTAAGCTTGAGATTCCTATCAGACAATTATGAGAATACCTGCTTGCCTACTGAGTTTTTGACTATTATCTGGATTTCTCCTTCTTATGTCCTAATGCCTAAATGGGTGCTCAATCCCAAAGGCTTCCATAATTAGGAATAAATCTGTGCCCCTATCCATTCTTCAGTTTTGTTGCTGGAATTTCCTGGCTGCATGTTTGTAGCCAGGAAACATACCAGAGTTTCAGTATGTTTCAGACCAGAGTTTGTAGCTCTCAATTTCCCCAGCTCCATTCTGCATGGTGCTGGGTTCCCATTTCCCTCTCTCTTCCTGACCCTGTGTTTCTGCAGTTGTAGGATGCCTTGGGACCAAGTCAACACAAGTCAAGCTTTTGGGAATAGACTAATGATTTTTTCAAATGAAAGAAGATCTTGGAAATTTTTGTCTTGTATAATTTTCTTTTTTTTTGGTGTTGTCCATTCATTGGGTATAGGCAAATTAAATAAATACATTTTTAGAAAATGGCCAAACAGTAAATAAATGTTAATAAGTTGGGTATTTATTATTGGTAATTTCCTATTTTGATAATAAATATCTATTGCAAATGAAGGCAGAAGCAAAAGGGAAGCTACTGTGTTCTTTATATAAAAAATCACAAGCATTCTTATACACCAATAACAGACAAACAGAGAGCCAAATCATGAGTGAACTCCCATTCACAATTGCTTCAAAGAGAATAAAATACCTAGGAATCCACCTTACAAGGGACGTGAAGGACCTCTTCAAGGAGAACTACAAACCACTGCTCAACTAAATAAAAGAGGACACAAGCAAATGGAAGAACATTCCATGCTCATGGGTAGGAAGAATCAATATCATGAAAACGGCCATACTGCCCAAAGTAATTTATAGATTCAATGCCATCCCCATCAAGCTACCAATGACTTCCTTCACAGAATTGGAAAAAACCACTTTAAAGTTCATATGGAACCAAAAAGGAGCCTGCATTGCCAAGTCAATCCTAAGCCAAAAGAACAAAGCTGGAGGCATCACACTACCTGACTTCAAACTATACTACAAGGCTACAGTAACCAAAACAGCATGGTAGTGGTCCCAAAACAGAGATATAGATCAATGGAACAGAACAGAGCCCTCAGAAATAACGCCGCATATCTACAACTATCTGATCTTTGACAAACCTGAGAAAAACAAGCAATGGGGAAAGGATTCCCTATTTAATAAACGGTGCTGGGAAAACTGGCTAGCCATATGTAGAAAGCTGAAACTGGATCCCTTCCTTACACCTTATACAAAAATCAATTCAAAGACTTAAACGTTCGACCTAAAACCATAAAAATCCTAGAAGAAAACCTAGGCATTACCATTCAGGACATAGGCATGGGCAAGGACTTCATGTCTAAAACACCAAAAGCAATGGCAACAAAAGCCAAAACTGACAAATGGGATCTAATTAAACTAAAGAGCTTCTGCACAGCAAAAGAAGCTACCATCAGAGTGAACAGGCAACCCACAAAATGGGAGAAAATTTTCGCAACCTACTCATCTGACAAAGGGCTAATATCCAGAATCTACAATGAACTCAAACAAATTTACAAGAAAAAAACAAACAACCCCATCAAAAAGTGGGCGAAGGACATGAACAGACACTTCTCAAAAGAAGACATTTATGCAGCCAAAAGACACATGAAAAAATGCTCACCATCACTGGCCATCAGAGAAATGCAAATCAAAACCACAATGAGATATCGTCTGACACCAGTTAGAATGGCAATCATTAAAAAGTCAGGAAACAACAGGTGCTGGAGAGGATGTGGAGAAATAGGAACACTTTTACACTGTTCGTGGGACTGTCAACTAGTTCAACCATTGTGGAAGTCAGTGTGGCGATTCCTCAGGGATCTAGAACTAGAAATACCATTTGACCCAGCCATCCCATTACTGGGTATATACCCAAAGGACTATAAATCATGCTGCTATAAAGACACATGCACACGTATGTTTATGGCGGCACTATTCACAATAGCAAAGACTTGGAACCAACCCAAATGTCCAACAATGATAGACTGGATTAAGAAAATGTGGCACATATACACCATGGAATATTATGCAGCCATAAAAAAGGAGGAGTTCATGTCCTTTGTAGGGACATGGATGAAATTGGAAATCATCATTCTCAGTAAACTATCGCAAGAACAAAAAACCAAACACTGCATATTCTCACTCGTAGGTGGGAATTGAACAATGAGAACATATGGACACAGGAAGGGGAACATCACACTCTGGGGACTGTTGTGGGGTGGGGGGAGGGGGAAGGGATAGCATTGGGAGATATACCTAATGCTAGATGACGGGTTAGTGGGTGCAGTGCACCAGCATGGCACATGTATACATATGTAACTAACCTGCACATTGTGCACATGTACCCTAAAACTTAAAGTATAATTAAATATATATATATATATATATATATATAAAGGACATCTTCGTGGCCTTAGAGCATGCAGATGTAGTTCTACCAGGTTGCTCAAAGCTCATCAAGACTGAGAAATGCTAACTAAACTGGCAAGCAACTGATTGGTCTTTTTGAGGGAAAATTTAAGAAATTGTAATGTGGGCCGGGCACAGTGGCTCATGCCTGTAATCCCAGCACTTTGGGAGGCTGAGGCGAGCGGATCATGAGGTCAGGAGATGGAGACCATCCTGGCCAACATGGTGAAACCCCATCCCTACTAAAATACAAAAAATTAGCCAGGCATGGTGGTGCATGCCTGTAATCCAGCTGCTCGGGAGGCTGAGGCAGGGGAATCACTTGAACCCGGGAGGCAGAGATTGCAGTGAGCTGAGATCACGCCATTGCACTCCAGCTGGGTGACAAGAGTGAAACTCCATCTCCCAAAAAAACACAAAAAGAACCCCAAAGAAATTGTAATGTAAAATAAACCTGACTTGACAATGAGATCCTGTTATCTGTACTGAAGGTATCCTCTGAAAACCAGTTTACATATCAATAATCTGCTTGATAGGTGCAGAATAAGATGTAATATAGAGTGTTAAATGTCCTCAAAATATGTGTTCATTAACCCTTGTAAGTCTGGGAAACTAGCTTTCTTTAGTCCAGGGATATTTCTGTCAAAGTTAGCACTGTTGAGCAGTGGTTTGTAGTTTTCTTTGAAGAGGTCCTTCACATCCCTTGTAAGTTGTATTCCTAGGTATTTTATTCTCTTTGTAGCAATTTTGAATAGGAGTTCAGTATGATTTGGCTCTCTGTTTGTCTACTATTGGTGTGTAGGAATGCCTGTTATTTTGCACATTGATTCTGTATCCTGAGACTTTGCTGAAGTTGCTTATTAGCTTAAGGAGATTTTGGGCTGAGACCATGGGGTTTTCTAAATATAAAATCAAGTCATCTGCAAACAGAGACAATTTGACTTCCTCTCTTCCTATTTGAATACATTTTATTTCTTTCTCTTGCCTGATTGCCCTGGCCAGAACTTCCAACACTATGTTGAATAGGAGTGGTGAGAAAGGGCATCCTTGCTTTGTGCTGGTTTTCAAAGGGAATGCTTCCAGTTTTTGCCCATTCAGTATGATATTGGCTTTGGGTTTGTCCTAAATAGCTCTTTTTATTTTGAGATACAGTCCATCGATACCCAGTTTATTGAGAGTTTTTAGCATGAAGAGCTGTTGAATTTTGTTGAATGCCTTGTCTGCATCTATTGAGATAATCATGTGGTTTTTGTCATTGGTGTTGTTTATGTGATGGATTACATTTATTGATTTGTGTATGTTGAACCAGCCTTGCATCCCAGGGATGAAGCCGACTTGATTGTGGTGGATAAGGTTTTTGACGTGCTGCTGGATTCGGTTTGCCAGTATTTTATTGAGGATTTTTGCATCTATGTTCCGGGGATATTGGCCTGAAATTTTCTTTTTTTGTGTGTGTCTCTGCCAGGTTTTTGTATCAGGATGATGCTGCCCTCATAAAATGAGTTAGGGAGGATTCCCTCTTTTTCTATTGTTTGGAATAGTGTCAGAAGGAATGATACCAGCTCCTCTTTGGACCTTTGGTAGAATTCAGCTGTGATCCCGTCTGGTCCTGAGCTTTGTTTGGTTGGTAGGCTATTAATTACTGCCTCAATTTCAGAACTTGTTATTGGTCTATTCAGGGATTTGAATTCTTCCTGGTTTAGACTTGGGAGGGTATATGTATCCAGGAATTTATCCATTTCTTCTAGATTTTGTAGTTTATTTGTGTAGAGGTGTTTATAGTATTCTGTGATGGTAGTTTGTATTTCTGTGGGATCCGTGGTGATATCCTCTTTATCATTTTTTATTGTGTCTATTTGATTCTTCTCTCTTTTCTTATTAGTCTGGGTAGCAGTCTATCTATTTTGTTAATCTTTTCAAAAAACCAAGTCCTAGATTCATTGATGTCTTGAAGGGTATTTTGTGTCTCTATCTCCCTCAGTTCTGCTCTGGTCTTATTTATTTCTTGTCTTCCTCTAGGTTTTGAATTTGTTTGCTCTTGCTTTCTTAGTTCTTTCAATTGTGATGTTAGGGTGTCGATTTTAGATCTTTCCCACTTTCTCCTGTGGGCATTTAGTGCTATAAATTTCCCTCTAAACACTGCTTTAGCTGTGTCTCAGAGATTCTGCTACATTGTGTCTTTATTCTCATTGGTTTCAAAGAACTTATTTATTTCTGCCTTAATTTTGTCATTTCCCCAGTAGTCATTCAGGAGCAGGTTGTTCAGTTTGCATGTAGTGGTGAGGTTTTGAGTGAGTTTCTTAATCCTGAGTTCTATTTTGGTAGCACTGTGGCCTGAGAGACTATTTGTTATGATTTCTGTTCTTTTGTATTTGTTGAGGAGTGTTTTACTTCTAATTATGAAGTCAATTTTAGAATAAGTGCAATATGGTGTTGAGAAGAATATATATTCTGTTGATTTGGGGTGGAGAGTTCTGTAGATGTCTATTAGGTCTGCTTGGTCCAGAGCTGAGTTCAAGTCCTGGATATTCTTGTTAATTTTCTGTTTTCGTTGATCTGTCTAATATTGACAGTGGGATATTAATGTCTCCCACTATTATTGTCGGGGACTCTAAGTCTCTCTGTAGGCCTTTAAGAACTTGCATTACTGGCTGGGCACGGTGGCTCACACCTGTAATCCCAGCACATTGGGAGGTCGAGGCAGGAGGATCACCTGAGGTTGGGAGTTCGAGACCAGCCTGACCAACATGGAGAAACCCCATCTCTAGTAAAAATACAAAATTAGCCGGGTGTGGTGGCATGAATGCCTGTAATCACAGCTACATGGGAGGCAGAGGCAGGAGAATCGCTTGAAACAGGAGGGGGAGGTTGCAGTCAACTGAGATCAAGCCAATGCCCTCCAGCCTGGGCAACAAGAGCAAAACTCTGTATCAAAAAAAAAAGAAAAAAAAGAACTTGCATTATGAATCTGGGTCCTCCTGTATTGGGTGCATATATTTTTAGGATAGTTAGCTCTTCTTGTTGCATTGATCCCTTTACCACTATGTAATGTCCTTCTTTGTCTTTTTTGATCTTTGTTGGTTTAAAGTCTGTTTTATCAGAGACTAGGATTGCAACCCCTGCATTTCTTTGCTGTCCGTTTGCTTGGTAAATATTCCTCCATCTCTTTATTTTGAGCCTATGTATGTCTTTGCATGTGAGATGGGTCTCCTGAATACAGCACACTCATGGGTCTTGACTCTTTATCCAATTTGCCAGTCTTTGTCTTTTAATTGGGGCATTTAGCCCACTTACATTTAAGGTTAATATTGTTATGTGTGATTTTGATCCTGTCATTATGATGTTAGCTGGTTATTTTGCCCGTTAATTGATGCCGTTTCTTCATAGTGTTGATGGTCTTTACAATTTGGTATGTTTTTGCAGTGACTGGTACCAGTTTTTTCTTTCCATATTTAGTACTTCCTTCAGGAGCTCTCATAAGGCCGGCCTGGTGGTGCCAAAATGTCTCAGCATTTGTTTGTCTGTAAAGGATTTTATTTCTCCTTCACTTATGATGCTTAGTTTGGCTGGATATGAAGTTCTGGGTTGCAAATTCTTTTCTTTAAGAAAGGTGAATATTGACCCCCACCCTCTTCTGGCTTGTGTGGTTTCTGCAGAGAGATCCGCTGTTAGTCTGAGGGGCTTCCCTTGGTGGGTAACCCAACCTTTCTCTGTGGCTGCCCTTAACATTTTTTCCTTTATTTCAACCTTGGTGAATCTGACAATTATGTGTCTTGGGGTTGCTTTTCTTGAGGAGTATCTTAGTGGTATTCTCTGTATTTCCTGAATTTGAATGTTGGCCTGTCTTGCTAGGTTGGGGAAGTTCTCCTGAATAATATCCTGAAGAGTGTTTTCCAACTTGGTTCCATTCTCCCTGTCACTTTGAGGCAGGAATCAAATGTAGGTTTGGTCTTTTCACATAGTCTCATATTTCTTGAAGGTTTTGTTCATTCTTTTTCATTCTTTTTTCTCTAATCTTGTCTTCATGCTTTATTTCATTAAGTTGATCTTCAATCTCTGATATCCTTTCTTCCACTTGATCGATTCGGCTATTGATACTTGTGCATACTTCATGAAGTACTTGTGCTGTGTTTTTCAGCTCCATCAGGTTATTTATGTTCTTCTCTAAACTGGTTATTCTAGTTAGCACTTCCTCTAACTTTTTTTCAAGGTCTTAGCTTCCTTGCATTGGGTTAGAACATGCTCCTTTAGCTCGGAGGAGTTTGTCGTTACCCACCTTATGAAGCCTACTTCTGTCAATTAATCAAACTCATTCTCCGTCCAGTTTTATTCCCTTGCTGGTGAGGAGTTGTGATCCTTTGGAGGGGAAGAAGAGTTCTGGTTTTTGGAATTTTCAGCCTTTTTGTGCTGATTTTTTCCTCATCTTCGTGGATTTATCTACCTTTGGTCTTTGATGTTGGTGACCTTCAGATGGGGTTTCTTTGTGGACATCCTTTTCATTGATGTTGATGCTGTTCCTTTCTGTTGGGTAGTTTTCCTTCTAATAGTCAGGCCTCTCTGCTGCAGGTCTGCTGGAGTTTGCTGGTGGTCTACTCCAGACCCTGTTTGCCTGGGTATCACCAGTGGAGACTGTAGAACAGCAAAGATTGCTGCCTGTTCCTTCCTCCTAAAGCTTCGTCCCAGAGGGGCACCCGCCAGATGCCAGCCAGAGCTCTCCTTTATGAAGTGTCTGTTGGCTCCTACTGGGAGGTGTCTTCCAGTCAGGAGGCACACGGGTCAGGGACCCCCTTGAGGAAGCAGTCTGTCCCTTGGCAGAGCTTGAGCACTGTTCTGGGAGATCCGCTGCTCTCTTCAGAGCTGGCAGGCAGGAACATTTAAGTCTGCTGAAGCTGTACCCACAGCTGCCCCTTCCCCCAGGTGCTCTGTCCCAGGGAGATGGGAGTTTTATCTATAAGTCCCTGTCTGGGGCTGCTGCCTTTCTTTCAGAGATGCCCTGCCCAGAGAGGTGGAATCTAGAGAGGCAGTCTGGCTACAGTGGCTTTGCCGAGCTGTGGTGGGCTCTGCCCAGTTCAAACTTCCTGGTGGCTTTGTTTACACTGTGAGGGGAAAACCGCCTATTGTAGCCTCCCCTAACCAAGCTCAAGCGTCCCAGATCGACTTCAGACTGCTGTGCTGGCAGCGAGAATTTCAAGCCAGTGGATCTTAGCTTGCTGGGCTCTGTGGGGGTGGGATCTGCTGAGCTAGACCACTTGGCTCCCTGGCTTCAGCCCCCTTTCCAGGGGAGTGAACAGTTCTGTCTCACTGGCATTCCAGGTGCCACCGGGGTATGAAAAAAAAAAAAAAAAAAACAACAACAACTCCTGTAGCTAGCTCTGTGTCTGCCCAAATGGCCATCCAGTTTTGTGCTTGAAACCCAGGTCCCTGGTGGCATAGGCACTGGAGGGAATCTCTTAGTCTGCAGGCTGAGAAGACCCTGGGAAAAGCACAATATCTGGGCTGGAGTGCACTATTCCTCATGGCACAGTCCCTCACAGCTTCCCTTGGCTAGGGGAGGGAGTTCCCCAACCCCTTGAACTTCCTGGATATGGTGATGCCCCACCCTGTTTTGGGGCTCACCCTCTGTGAGCTGCATCCACTGTCTAACCAGTCCCAATGAGATGAGCCAGATACCTCGGTTGGAAATGCAGGAATCACCCACCTTCTGTGTTGATCTTGCTGGGAGCTGCAGACCAGAGCTGTTCCTGTTCAGCCATCTTGCCCGCAACCCCATCAATTTCTTTCTGTATTAGTTAACATTTTCAATTTTATGCTTTCCCTGTCATATTGTCAGATTAAGCATTTTTACTGTTCTACTTTTTTCATAGATTTTTCTTCCATTAATATAAAATATTCCCCTTTTTTTATGTAATGATTTTTCATCTTGAATTTTATTGCATGCAAATTAACATCACGGTATTTTCTTTTTATTGGCATTTACTTTAGCTATTTTCTTTCCAAAACTTTATTTCAATTGTTCTGGGTCATTTTATTTTAGATACGTCTCTAATAAAAAGCATATGACTGGATTTTTTAAAAAAAATACTGAGTTTTTTTTCCTGTCAATAGAAGAACTTAATTCATTCATATTATTGGGGCACATCCTGACATTTTCTCTTATGCTCCCCAGTTAATATTCCCCCTTGTTAATTTTTTTCCTTTCCTCTGGAGATCAAGAGAAAATCCTAAAAGTTGCCAGAGGAAAGAGGGTAAGTTGCTTACTGAAGAATAAGAAGCAGAATGCTAATGGACTTTGCATCAGCAATGCGAAATACTGGAGGACAACAAGCAGTATCTCTAGTTCTGAAGGAGAATTAATTTTAAATTAGAATTTTTAGTCAGTCACAATTGAATTCAAATATAAGAGGTGGAAATGACATTTTTGAACATGCCAATACTGTCTACTGCTTAGTATAGAGTCGAGCAAGCCATGCTAAAAGGGCAGAAGTCTCATCTGAGGTCCCGTTCTTTTTACTGCAGTCTTTCATATTCTTGCCCAAGCATGTCCTTGCATTTGTGGATCTTGAGCGTGGAGCAGGGGTCAGCCACTATGGCCTTTGGGCAAAACCTACTCTGCTGCCTATTTTTGTAAAGGTTTTTGTAAAGGATGTTTGGTTGAAACACATCAATGTTTGTTCACGTATGCATCTGTGCTGCCTTCTCCTGCCCTGGAAGAGTTAATTGCTACAGAGACTGCCTGACTCACAGGGCTGAGACTAGGTGAGGAAAGAGAGGTGCCCAGGGTGCAATATGGATGCACTCCTTTTTAAGGCTGGCCCTGCACTTGCATGACCCCGAGCATTAACACTGCCTTGAATTGTACTCACCAGCTTCCTCACACTTAGTCCCTACTCTGCCCAAAATACTTTCAATGTGATCCTTAACAGAAATTGTTCCCCAACACCTGGTTTAAAGTATTACCACAATTGTTTGCATTCCTGGGATGGTTTTCTCTTGTACAAAGTATAGACCATAGTTTCCTACCTTCAGCTTTCTCTCTCACATGCTTTTTATTTGTGATCCATTATTTTTTAAAAACATTTTTTTCTACGTGTTTTGGGTAGGAGGATGGTAGATCTATTTTACAAAGAGATCTAATGACAATTTAGTCTAAAAGATAGCATTTTAATATAAACTGCTATTCTTTTCTTGTTCCATTCAACAACCCCCTCACCCCCACAACTTTTCCTGTAGAATCTATTATTGGAAGTTTTACCTTTTCAGAGCAAATCTGACAGTTTTGCAGCAGACATGGCATGGAGTTATATATTCTTTCCCAACCACCCGCCTGTCAAGTTCCTAAAAGGTTCATAAATATGTCACTAGAAATTGTATTCATATTGATTTTTTTCCTTGAGTCCTTTTGTATTTATTGCCAAGGCATAGAATTAATATCATTCTTACCCTCGTATTGGCTGCCTGCCTTGCACAGTAAAATGTCATTACTGACTTGTTTATGTATTTAGCATCTACTTTGTGCCAAGTACAAGTGCCGTGCAAGGGGCTAGGGCTGGTGATGAGAAAACTGACCCTGTTCCCGCTCTCACTGAGCTTACAGTCTAGTGTGTGAGGCAGCGATTAAGTATTAGTTATAAGCTGTGGTGAGTGGTATGAAAGAATGATACAAGAGGTGCAATAATGTCTAAAGGGTGATCCTGACCTAGTCTGAGACTGCTTCCCTGAGAAAGTGATGTGGGAGCTGAAATCTGCAAGAGGAGAAATCAACTAGATACACTTAAGGAGAAGAAAAAAGAGTATTTGGGGAGAATGAGCACTTTATGCAAGTGTCCTGAGGCAGGACAGAAATGACAGAAAGATAAAGTGACCAGAAGAAAGATAAAGTGACCAGAGGGCTGACAGTCACTTCCATGAGGAAAGAGTATGGACAAAAAAAGGCTAGAAAAGTGGTCAGTGGCCACATCATATACATGATGTAAATTTTGGCCCTATTTTTTAGAGCAATTGAAATTCATCAAAAGCTTTTAAGCTGGGAAATGGTTGATGATATTTAAATAATAATTAAAAGTCAGTATTGTAAATGCCAGAGGAGAAAAGAGAGTGGGTGTGGGTACAATTATGTTAGGAGTTATGGTAGGAAATGGGAAATGGTCCAGACTTAATGGCTTCCTTTTGCTTGATGATCTGTGAATCAATGTCGTCTGCTGAGAGCAAGGAGGGAACAGATGTGAGGCGAATGGAGAATTGAAGTCGATTTTGTGGGGCATGGGAGAGGAAGTTGACCAGAGGCACGTGTTGAATTTTGAGCGGCCTAGATTTGTAGCAATTGCTACAAATGTATGACAATCAACTTTAGGTCAGGACCACCTTTTAGACGTGATTGCACCTCTTGTGTTGTTCTTTCACACCACTCACCAGGGCAGCATGATTTCCTTTAGTAGACCTCTTCTGGCTGAGTGTAAGCTGTTTGGATAGGAAAAATTGGCTGACTGGTCAGGGAGCCCCTTTAATTTAATATGTGCCTCAAAGCTCCTAGCACAATGCTAGGCCTAGAGTAGCTACTAGTAAATATTTGTTAACCAGTTCTTCCCAAATGCTTTTGAAAAAGACCTGGTCAGCTCTACCCACCATTTCTTCTCCATTCCTCCTCGGAGAGCCACTTGGCCTCCCATATTCTCAGCATCCTGTCCATGCTCAGAAAAGTTAGGTGTTCTGGAACCTTGTTCAGTAGATGCATGTTGATGACTGTTTTTTTGTTTATTGTTTTTGGCTCAGTGAATGAAAATAAAATGGAGCAGGACCATTTAGGTCATTTGCTCCTGCTATCATTATTCTAACATTATGTACAAGGCCATTTTCTTTTTAAAATACATTTGTGGCATGTGCTTTTTAGGGGATGGAGTCCTTTAAGTCAAGGACTCTTTGCCAATGTTGTTTTATATCTCCCCTAGCTGTCTTTGTGGGATTCAATGTTTTGGCTAAAGTCTTGATCACAGCCAATTGGGGAAGATGAGGTACAGGCAGTTCTCCCTTTTCATCGTTGCTGCTGCCTTATTTGGCACTACCAGTGCTTCTCTGTTACCCTGAAGGCAGTGGTTTCTGCATAGACTGAAATGGTGAAAAACAACAGCATCTGAGCAACTGAAATAATACTCATGCTGTCAAGAATTTATCCTACTTCTAGGTGACTGAAAACATGGTTTTCAGAATACATTACATCTAAAGATGAGCTAATCTGTAACTGAAGATTGGTATCCCATCTTTTATCAGCCAGCAAGAAATACAAGGACCCACTGAACATTAACCAGGTAAGACATTTTACAATTAAGTAGAAAAATGTACCATTTCAAAAAAAAGGTCCCTGCTGTATCTTTTTTTGCATGTTGCTTAATAATATTATTCTGCTAAGCAAAGGTGAAAAATCTAAGAAAAAGACAATGTGAGATAAAAGACTGGACTAACCCAGTAACAAAGTACTTATGATTCTTATAATCTGTTTTTTTTTTTTTTTAACAAAGGAAATCTCAGAATGACATTTGTACCTCAGGCCTAGAAAGCAATACATCCAAATTAAAAGTCAGTGTTCTTCAAGAAGAAGAAAAATGGAATGAATTTCATGTAATATCTAGCATGAGTAAGAGGCTTGACTCCATTTGTAACCGGGTCTCACTCTGTTGCCCAGGCTGGAGTGTAGTGGCACAATCATGGCTCACTGCAACCTTGACCTCCTGGCCTCAAGCTATTCTCTGACCTCAGACTCCTGAGTGGCTGGGACCACAGGTGTATGGACCTCCTGGGCTCAAGTGATCCTCCCACCTTGACCTCCCAAAGTGCTAGAATTATAGGCATGAGCCACCATACGCAGTGGAAGATATTTCTTCTCAAAACAAACAAACAAAAAACTAGATGCAATCAGAACTACCAGAAAAACAAAGACCTACACAAAAAAGTCAGAATCTAAATATGCAATTTAAATATGCATAATGACTTTCAAAAATTGAGAGAGAAGAAGAAAGAAGAATCCATTTGACCTCAACTCCAAAACATTCTTCTTTGAGTGGCACAGGGGTTGTGATGTTGGCACTATACAAAAGAAACGGCACACTTCACCATGACTGTGCTTCTTCTCTATAGAAGGTCATTGCTCCTGAAGAGCAGCTCATCCCTTCCACAAAGCTTACCCTGGAAATTCTGGCAACTACTCCTTCTGTAGTTACTTCTGGCCTAGAGATTGCCAACCATGGCTGAATCACCATACCTTGCTGGTTTCCCTTAACCCTGCTCACACTTTTGTAAAACATCCTTCATGAAACTCTCTTCAATCACCTCTCTTGAGAGTATCTGTCAGTACACTGACACCATGAGGAAGAAAGTGAGACAGTGCTTTAAATTCCACCCAGTGATGACTGCAGGCCATGAGGTCATGGGAGATGAGAAACATGCATCAGGCCCCATGTCCTTAGGCCTCTCATAGTGTGCTCATCTTGTTGTGGCACATATGATTCCAATGTGTGTGTTTATAGGTACAAATGATTCCTAAACACAAACATACTATTACTACCTTAGACTTAAGTGAATAAACAGAAAGCAGTTCTCATAGTCAGATGTATTAGTCCATTTTTACATTGCTATAAAGAACTACCTGAGATTGGATAATTTATAAAGAAAAGAGTTTTAATCAACTTACAGTTCTGTGTGGCTGGGAAGGCCTCAGGAAACTTACAATCATGGTACAAAGTGAAGGGGAAGCAAGGCATGTCTTACATGGTGGCAGGAGAAGGAGAGTGAAGGGAAGTGCCACACTTTTCAACCATCAGTTCTTGTGAGCCCTCACTCACTATTAGAAAAACAGCATGGAGAAAACTGCCCCCATGATCTAATCACCTCCTACCAGGTCCCTCCTGTATTACAATTCAAGATGAGATTTAGGTGAAGACACAGAGCCAAACCTTATAATCACAATTAAAGCATTTAGTACTGTGATACAAGCTACTAGAAGGCTCCTTTTCTACATCTTGGCAAACAGAGAAGGCTACATCCATCCCTGTTCATCCCCAGCTTGGAGCCCTTCTGCAGGCTGTGCACAGGCTCCCCCATCACATGCAATGGTCCTGCGTCTCTCTGTGCCAGAGGAAAAATTGGTTATGTTGGACTTACTGAGCAACTATTCAGTCTTGAACTTTATAGACTGAGAAAATAAAATGTTGAACCACAGCCAAACCTTCCAAATCAATCTTCTCATGTTGGGTTATGAGAAGGGACTTGTTAGATGTTTCTGTGCGATACCAACACATCTCAGCAAAAGCCCAATCCAGACACCAGGCTCACTGACTGATGATTGAACTTTCCAGTTTTTATGAAAACACCTGTGTTTGTCCATTTTGCATTGCTAAAAAGGAATACTTGAGGTTGGGTAATTTATAAAGAAAAGGGGTTTATTTGGTTCATGGTTCTGTAAGCTGTACGAACATGGCTCCAGCATCTGCTTGGCTTCTGGGAAGACCTCAGAGAAGCTTTTACTCATGGTGGAAGGCAAAGGGAGGGCAGGCTTGGCACATAGTGAGACAGGGAGCAAGGGCAATTCCAGGCTTTTAGACAATCAGATCTCACGGTAACTAGTAAGAGTGAGAACACACTCATTACCATGTGGCGGCCCCAAGCCATTAATGAGGGACCCACTCTCATGACCCAAACACCTCCAACTAGGCCCTACCTCCAATACTGGAGATCACATTTCAACATGAGATTTGGAGGGGATAAATATCCAAAACTACATCAACACCTCTCTTGGTGCTGAAGACCACCCTTGCCTCTTGCCCTCTCAGATCCCACTTCCACGTTGGTATCCCTTCCCTCACTTGGTCAGCATCAAGGCCTTTCTACGTCTGCCTCACCCCTAGCCCAGGGGTAGCCACGCTGCACACATCAGCTTCTTCTAACCCTGCTTTCAAGTGCACATTTAAATTAGTGGCTCAGTTGTGAAGTAGGCAACACAGATTTCCAGGCTCCCCATTCTGCGTCATTTTCCCCTTTCTTTCTGGCTTCTCCCCCATATCAAGCTTCCAAGGTCTTTTTGTTTGGAAACATACCAATGCTACCCAAAGGATGTTTTTTTCAATTATTTATATTTGATCTGAAGGTCCATTCTAGTAAGGATAAGTCCTCACATTAAATGCATACAATTTGCCTGTGGGACTTTGGTATGGTTATGGCTGTCATACATTCTCCCTTCTTAGCCCAGTGTGGGTGTGCCCAGACTCCACTACTGGTTGCTGATAGAGCACCATTCTCTTTCTCAATTTAAAGCAATTAAAGAGCCCATTTCTACCCAGCACCACTCTGGTGTTGTGGCCCAGTCTATGACCCTTAATCCTATTTTACCAATAGGTGAAACCACAATAATAGCTAGCATTTTCTCAGTGCTTTACATTTATTAATTTATATATTACTTATACAAGTTATATGTAACTTACACTTGGTAGTTATACAAGGTAGATTCTATTATCCTAATTTTACAGGTGATAAAATTGAGGTACAGAAAGGCTACATACTTGTTTAAAGTCAGTAAGAGGTGGTAGGTTTCAAACCCACTCAATCTGGCTTCACAGTCCATATACTGGCACTCGATAAATGCCACATATCCTCTGGGCCAAGCTTAAATATCGCCCTTTCGGTTCTTTTTCTGCCTTATACGATGGGACAAATCTCTACCCTCTGCACCCTCATTAACCTGTACATGCCTCTATAGTAGTCCTCATCTCATTGCACAGGGTTATTTTACAAGAATGCTTTCTAGTTAGATGTGCCTTGAAGGTGAGACCATGCTTCCTTTTGGTATCTCAGTACAGTGCATGGCAGGCTATATAAATTCTACAAATGTTGGCTGAATAAATCAAACTTTTCCTGGTTCCTTCCGCATCCTTCAAAACTCCTATTCTATATCTCTTTCTAATAGGTTGCTGTATGATTTGTACATTTTTTCTTTAAATCAATGCATCAGTATCAATGGCTGATTAGAGTTCAAGTTTTGATGGGGAACTTTAATGCCTTAATAGGATATAATAGCTAAGGGTGGGAGGTTTAGGCACTGTGATACAATGGCAGGGGAGAGATTCGTCATCAGCTGGTATGAGCCTGAGGCTAAAATCTTACCTTGTAACTGGCTATTCGTTCTGTCCATTCTTAGGGCATAACTTGGTTACAATAACTGGAAGTTAGTGAATTTATTTCCTTTTCGTAAAATGAGAGATTTGAACCAAATGATGTCAGTGTTCCTCTTCAGCTCAAAATTCTGTATTTGTAGGAAATTATAGAAGTAAATAAATATATTTTGAGAAGCTGATAAAAATAGGTGGAATTAATGCAGGAGTTTCTAGGAAATTGTATAAAATGTTAGTGGTAAAAGTGTCATCTGAAACTACTTGGAAAGAAATGTATTTACAGAGTTAGGTATGTGCAAAATTAAATATTTACAAGGCTATGTGTAAGCATTAAAGTAAAAACATGGTTCCGAATATGGTAAGGATGAAGAACTTGATTTCATAATAAATACTGAATTACTATACTTCCTTCTTGGGAACACCAGCCAAGGGTTAGAAATTTTAAGGATAAAGCCATTTTAAAAATTATTGCTAGAAAGTTTTCATTTTACAAAAATTACCTAATTTGCTGTTCATACCAAGATAGAGTTTGTGTTTATATAAACAACATAAATTTAAATTAGATTTTTAAAAAAGTTCTTAATTGGTAGTGTAAGGTCCCCTCTGTGCATCTTCTAAGTGGTTTACATGGAAATATTCTTGAAAAAGCCCAAATAGATGAATAGTTGCCACAGCCTTGCAGTGCTATGCAATTCAAGTTTTAAGAAGATTTGAAAAAAGATAGGGTGGGAGAAGGAAACAGACATTCATTAAGTATGTCGACCAGTCATGTTCCAAGCATTGTGCTGGGTAGTTTACATATGCTGTTCCATTTAACATGCACAGTCACTTTGCCTGGTGTTTATACCATCCCCACTTAAAAATTTAGAGACTAAGTCTGTTCCTTCTTCCTAATGCTACTGTTTATTTCCTTTCTTTTCTCTTGAACACGGGCATTTTATGTTTTTAGGACAAGTTATTCTAAATAATAAAAAGAGCAACAACCGCTGTTTATTGGGCATTTTCTATGTACTAGGCATTGTGACAAACATTTTACAAAAATTTCATAATTTACTCTTTATACCAATCCTTTGAGGTGGGGATTACTTCACAAGAACAGAGAGATTAGATACCTTGTGCTGAATTACATGTCTAGCAAGCAGTGGAGTGGGGTTTGAAACTGGAACCATTGACTCCAGCCGCTCTACACTAGTGTCTCTGTGGTTTCCATGTGGTCCACTCAATACTGTGATGAGCTGGTTCACAGGAATGTCAATAAGAAAGAAAAATAATGATGTAAATAACAAAGTATGTCATGAAAACCATTTAATGTTGGTTAATTAAATTATACAACATCTGTGGAGCTGGAAAAGAAAAATTTCAGGTTTTACAAATAGTGCCTAATAAAACAATTGAAAACACAGTAAGCATGATTTTATCAGAGTTGAAAGTACACAAAGTGCACACAAAAATTCAGAAGTACCTTTAGTCCACGTTGTATTTTCTTCCTGTTTAGTCACTTCCTTTAGGGAAATATTGACAAATCCCTTACAGCCCCCCATTTAAAACAGTTTAACCAGTAGATTCTTGAAATTCTGAACAGGGTCTTTAGTGATTAATTAATTGAATGCTTTTTATATTCGATTCTTATTCTCTCTGTGAGGCACAGCTCTAATGTTTATAAACCTAACTTTGTTCAACCCCCAATAAAGATAGGTTGGCCTAGTATACACGGAAATAGGATGTCTTACATTGAAAGTGCCTTTATTATGTACATTTTATGCTGTTCTTTTCTTTCAATTTCTCTTTCTCCAGCTTTTCTCTTATACAGTTCCTTAAACTTACTTCTCCATTCTTCTTTCTGGTTTTTCTCAAATCTTTGTTCACTTCCTCAAAAATAAAACTGAAGTCATTCTCCAAGGGTTCTTTCTGGTCCTGTGTCTGTACTTCCACCTTAGAGTCAGTAGTCTCTTATGTAAGTTTCCGTATCCTGACTCTAACTTCCCTGAACAAGCTCTTAACTTTCTCCTTTCTCTCTCTCCTTTTCTTATTTTTTTTTTGTTGTTATCAATTGTCTTTGATAGAAGTTTGTCTTTTTAAAAAACATTTTTATTCCACTCTCCTTGTCCTTTAATTGCTTCTGCCCATTTGGTTGGCAAGACTGAATAGCCCATTTCTGCTTCTCGTTTTCTGTATGCTTCAAATTAAAGAAAGTGTTAATTTTAAACCTGATCCCCTTTCTGTCAATCTCCTCTTCTCCCAAGAATGGAGGCTTGGCTTCTATTGGCTTATGGTACCCTTGTTTCTTCCTGGGTGATTATAGAATAATGGGCATCAGATTGACCTGGAGAATTTTCCCATATGTCTGATCTTCCCATTTCTTTTACATCTACTCTGATATCCTGGGAATAGGGTGGTATAGGGGGTGAACAGCAGACACAAGGTTTTTTTGACAAAGCTCCATGTGATTTTCCTGCTGAGACCTTCTCTCTTCCAGCCTACCACTGATTGGGATCCTCTACTCCAGAAGCTCCTACTTCCTGGGTAAGACATAGATACATGTGTTTAAGGCAGGATTCTGCCAGTTGATGAATGAGCCATCAGTTTAGCAAGCAGTGAGCGGAGTGCTTTAGGGGGCAAGATGTGAGTGGTGCATGAAAGGGATCATATGCCTCTTTTCCATTTGCTACCAGGAAATTCATGTAGGGTTGAGCCAAGATTCATTCTATTATTAAGTTGGTGCAAATGTAATTGCGGTTTTTGTTATTAAAAAAATGGCAAAAATTACAATTACTTTGCATTAACTGAATACAATCAATAGTAATTCTTCATACTGCATTTCTGCATACTTACTTAAATTTCAAGTGAAAAACACACACACAAAATGTTGTTCTGAGTTCACATAGCCTTTGGTTTGCATACAGAGTCTGCCCTAAATTCTCCAAGAATTGGAAGTCCACTGCGTCCAAAGAAATATACTGAAACAAATAATCTTCAGGCAATGCCTAGAGATGTGTCTACCAGTTTCTCTGACTTGGACTAGAGCCTTGGATAAAAGTAAAAAAGAGACATTGTCCATTTCCAGTGAAATTGAAGGACTCAACACCAGTATCTGATGATGTATCAAGTCAACTATATCCTCCAGAAGAACAGGAAGAACTTGATTTTTTATTTGATGAACAGACGCAACAAATAGAAGAAAAAGAAACACATTTACTGATTGGTCTCGTAATGATTCAGATTATGAAATTGATGAGCTGAATTTCAACAAGATGTTGATTTGAACTCAGCTATCATTTTACCTGAGAAAACATCCTGGATAAGATCAAACAGGCAACCACAGGTTTCAGGCAAAAATGGCCTATGTCATTATGAATAAGACTTGTGGATGGAAGAGGATGAAAACAAACATACAGCCATAAAGAAATCGACACGCTGATCTAAAATTCACATGGAAATCCAAGGGAACCAGAATAGCCAAAATAATCTTGAAAAAAATGAATGAAGTTGAAAGACTCGTACCTCCTGATTTTAAAACTTACTATAAAGTTAAAGTTATCAAGACAGTGTGGTACTGGCATAAAAACAGACATATAGGTCAGTGGAACAGAATTAAGAGTCCAGAAACAAACCATGTGGTCAACTGATTTTTTACAAGGATGCTAAGACTATTTAATGGGACAGAAGACTGTAGTCTTTTCAACAAATGGTGCTGGGACAACTGGATAGCCACAAACAAAAGAATGAAATTGGATTCTTACCACACACAATATACAAAAATTAATTCAAAGTGGATGAAACACCTAACTCAAAGAGCCTAAAACTATAATACTCTTAGAAGAAAACATAGGCATAAGTCTTTTTGAACTTGGTTAAAACATTTATGACACCAAAAGCACAAATGACAAAAGAAAAAAATGGATTAGATTTCATAAAAATTTAAAATTTTCAGCCAGGTGGTGGCTCATGCCTGTAATTCCAACACTTTCCGAGGCAGGGGGATCACTTGAGCCCAGGAGTTCAAGACAAGCCTGGGCAACATGGAGAAACCTCATCTCTACAAAAAAATTTAAAAATTAGCTGGGTGTAGTGGTGTGTACCTGTAGTCCCAGGTACTCAGGAGGCTGAGGTGGGAGGATCAATTGAGCCCACGTGGTCAAGGCTGCAGTGAGCTATTATCATGCTGCTGCGCTCCAGCCTGGGTGACAGAGAGAGACCCTGTCTCAAAGAAAATACAAATTAAAAACTTTCGTACTTCAAAAGACACCATCAAGAAAGTGAAAAGGCAACCCAAGAATGCGAGAAAATATTTGCAAGTCATGTCTGATAAGGGAATTAAATGCATAAACAACTTTTACAACTCAATAATAAAAAGACAAATAACTCAATTTAAAAATGGGCAAATAATCTGAATAGATATTTCTCAAAAGGAGATTTACAAGTGAACAATAGCACATGAAAAGATGTTTGGCATCATTAGCCACCAGGGGAGTACAAATAGAAACCACAATGAGATACCACACTACCTAGCACTGGCTGGCATAGCTATAATCAAAATGACAGATACTAACAAGTTTTGGCAAGGATGGAAAGAAATTGAAACACTCATAACCTGGTGGTGGGAATGTAAAATGGAAAACAGTCTGGCAGTTCCTCAGAAGGCTAAACATAGTTATCCAGCACCTCTTATCATAGGTATATACCCAAGAGAAATGAAAATATGTGTCTAAACAAAAACTTGTACATGAATATTCTTAGCAGCATTGTGAAAGTGGAAAGAACTCCAATGTATACCAACTGATGAATGGATAATTAAAATGTGGTATATCCATGTAATGGAATATTATTTGGCAATAAAAACAAATGAAGTACTGATACATACTACAACATGAAAACCATATGCTAAGTGAAAGAAGCCACTCACAAAGGACAACTTATTGTATGATTCCATTTATATGAAATGCCCAGAATAAGGCAAGCCATAGAGACATAGAGCTGGTGGTGGGGAGCAGGCAGAGAGGAAATGGGGAATCAATGCTAAGGTTTCTTTTTTGTGGTGATGAAAATGTTCAAAATTGATTATGTTGATGGTTACACAGCCCTGCTTATACACTAAGAACCCCACGGAATTGAATACTTTAAATGGATAAATTATATCATATTTGAATCGTATCTTAATAAAGCTGCTACAAAAATTTTTTAAATTGCTGTTATGTTTATATAGAATAAGTCCCATAAAAATGTTCTGAAGACATTTTTCTGTGTAGAATATTAAGCCAATACTAGTGACAGCAGGCTGATGCCAAAATATTCATATATATTAAACTAGAATGCTGGAGAAAGCTTAAGGAAAAAGGTACATTAAACAGAGTAGAATTGAAAACTACCTCTTCTCTCTGGTTTCACATAAAGTTTCTATCCTCAGCATGCTGTATGAATTATAAGAAATCAGAAGTAAAGAGTAGAAATGCTATTCCATGTGGTTTGGGGTGAAGAAAATAAACTTTTGCATCAAACACGTGTTCAAATACTAACTCAGTTTATTGTGGGGCAATAAATGACAAAGTTATTTACCTAATGGTAGGGCAATGGTTGAGGAAAACTGTTGAACTGTTTCCCATACATAGTCTGGGGATATGTGGGTATTTTGTTTGTATGTTTTTTGTCTGGCTAGTGTCCTTTTATCCTTCTTTTGTACCAGAATCTAGAAATATCCTTGGGAGAAACATCTTTCTCCTTCTGTCAGTTCCTGTACTTTGGTGAACTTGAATTCCTTCCTGCTTTTCCATGTAGGTGCCTGTAGCCTGGATGATCAGCACATTCCGAGGTTTAGGGATGGGGCCAAATCAAATGTAGCCAGTAGGATTAATCTTATGGCCTTTGTTTGATTGTGAAAGTGGACTTCCCTCTGCTGCTGTGGGTGAGCTCGAATCTGACAGGACAAATGTCTGGAGTTCTCGGACTTCCTGCCCAACTCATGAAGTCTGAGCGTGTGGCCAGTGCTGTTGTGAGAGAGCGGAAACATGCAAAGGTCCTGGGTCCTAGGGACATCATTATGGCCCTTGTTAAAGGCACAACAGCATGAGCCCTGGACTTTCAGTTATAAGCCGAGACTTTTGCTTTCAAGCTTAAATAAGTATTGGAAATTACCTGTACCCAAATGAATCCAAAGGTAACATTACTTGCTGTTCCAGTTACTATGGCTTGTAGCAAATGGACCCAAAACTTCATGGTTTAACACAAGAACACATCTATTTTGCTCACAAATCAGCAATCTGGGTGGGGATTGGAGTGGCTCATTTCTGCTCTATTCAGCGTTAGTTGTGGCTGGAAGCTGGGGCTGGACTCATCTGGAGGTTTACTCCCTTACATCTGGTGCCTGGGCTGGGACAGCTCAAACAGCTGGGACTGGAGAAGTTGGGGCTCCATGGGTCTCTCTCTACATAGTCTGCCCATGTGCTCTCTCCAGTATGGCAGCTTCAGAGTGGCTGGATTTCCTACATGTCAGCTGAGGGCCCCCAGGGCACGTGTCCCAAGGGAGGAGAGCAGGGGAGAAGCTCTATCATCTTTTTTGTCTTGCCCTCAGAAGTCATGGAGAATCACATACACCATAGTCCCAGGCCCACCCAGATTGGAGAGGAGCAAACGTGGACCCCACGTTTTGATGGAAGAGTGTCAACATCATACTACAGGAATTTATGGATTGGGATATACTGGCATAGCCATTTTTGAAAATACAATTGGCCACACACTATGAGGTATTTGTAAAGATTAAATAAAAATTTTGTCATGAGACTATCCTGCAAAAATATGATATAGAGCTGGAGACCCAAATGGGCTGAGAGAC
Organism: Homo sapiens; assembly: GCF_000001405.40. Lineage (NCBI taxonomy): Eukaryota > Metazoa > Chordata > Mammalia > Primates > Hominidae > Homo > Homo sapiens. The sequence continues at coordinate 106,319,167 of NC_000007.14, forward strand.
TCTAAGGAGACTGTGTGAACTGGAAAAAATTATCTGGCCAAGCCAGGGAAATGCTAGTGAGGAGAGATCAAAGAGGGAGTTGAGTGGAGAAAAGCAATACCCAAGTTTTATCATGTCTAGCTCTAAAAGCAAAAACCACAGAGGCTTGATAAAGGAAATGTACAAATAACATTTATTTATAAATCTGTTGTTTCTACATATGCTAGCATTTCTGATTAAAGCTGTTTATTTTTGCAGTCATGCTTGCATAACAGCAGAGGATAAATGAACATGGTGCCAGCCTCTTCTCTTGGTTCAAAACTTCCTATGATAGAAGTTTTACTCTGTTAATCCTGTGACTGAAGCAGAATGCCAACATTAATATTCCTAAAATGTATCTTCAATATTTTTTTGAGAAATCAATATAAGGATTTTGGAAGCTAATGCCATAAAATTACAAATAAAGTTACAAAGTGACAGCAAATGTTGGATACTTATATTAAATATGAATCAGAATATTGCTTGGGGGTTAAGACAGAATGACAAAGTGAGTAAAGCCAAGACTAACACAAAATTTACTGATGAGGCCATTGCAATTAAATTGAGTTACAGTAATAAAAAACCCTTTAGATTCAACGTCTAAAACAATGCAAAGGAACTAGCTCTCCAACTTTGTAAAGTCATTCTGCCCCCTCTAAACTTCAATTTCCTCATGGACAAAATGAAAGTGTCTGATTAGAGCAGGGGTTTCCAATCTTTTGGCTTGCCTTGACCCAAGACGAAGAAGAAACCAATTCTCTTTTTCCAATAGGATTGGAAAAAGAATTGCTAATTCTTCTTTTTCCAATAGGATTGGAAAAAGAATTGCTAATTCTTCTTTTTCCAATAGGATTGGAAAAAGAATTGCTAATTCTTCTTTTTCCAGTAGGATTGGAAAAAGAAGAATTGCCTTGGGCCACAAATAAAATACACTAACACTAACGATAGCCAATGAGCTAAAACAAACAAGCAAACAAACACAACAGCATCTTGCTTCCAAGATGGCCAAATAGGAACAGCTCCAGTCTATAGCTCCAGGTGTGAGCAACACAGAAGATGGGTGATTTCTGCATTTCCAACTGAGGTACCGGGTTCATCTCACTGGGGCTTGTCAGACAGTGGGTGCAGCCCACGGAGCATGAGCCAAAGCAGGGAGGGGCATCACCTCACCTGGGAAGTGCAAGGGGTTGGGGAAGTCCCTTTCCTAGCCAAGGGAAGCTGTGACAGATGGTACCTGGAAAATCGGGACACTCCCACCATGACACTGCACTTTTCCAACAGCCTTAGCAAATGGCACACCAGGAGATTATATCCCATGCATGGCTCAGAGGGTCCCACGCCCACAGAACCTCGCTCACTGCTAGCACAGCAGTCTGAGAGCAAACTGCAAGGTGGCGCGAGGCTGGGAGAGGGGCCTCCACCATTGCTGAGGCTTGAGTAGGTAAACAAGGAGGCTAGGAAGCTCGAACTGGGTGGAGCCCACTGCAGCTTAAGCAGGGCTGCCTGCCTCTCTAAACTCCACTTCTTGGGGCAGGGCATAGCTGAACAAAAGGCAGCAGAAACTTCTGCAGACTTAAACGTCCCTGTCTGACAGCTTTGAAGAGAGTAGTGGTTCTCCCAGCACGGAATTTGAGATCTGAGAAAGGACAGACTGCCTCCTCAAGTGGGTCCCTGACCCCCACGTAGCCTAATTGGGAGGCACCTCCGAGTAGGGGCTGACTGACACCTCATATGGCCAGGTGGCCGGGTGACCCTCTGAGATGAAGCTTCCAGAGGAAGGATCAGGCAGCAACATTTGCCATTCTGCAGCCTCCGCTGCAAAAGGGGTCTGGAGTGGACCTCCAGCAAACTACAACAGACCTGCAGCTGAGGGTCCTGACTGTTAGAAGGAAAGCTAACAAACAGAAAGGACATCCACACCAAAACCCCATCTGTACGTCACCATCATCAAAGACCAAAGGTAGATAAAACCACAAAGATGGGGAAAAAGCAGAGCAGAAAAGCTAAAAATTCTAAAAATCAGAGCACCTTTTCTCCTCCAAAGGAATGCAGCTCCTCGCCAGCAATGGAACAAAGCTGGACAGAGAATGACTTTGATGAGTTGAGAGAAGGCTTCAGACGATTGGTATTAACAAACTTCTCTGAGCTAAAGGAGGACGTTTGAACCCATCGCAAAGAAGCTAAAAACCTTGAAAAAAGATTAGATGAATGGCTAACTAGATAACCAGTGCAGAGAAGTCCTTAAAGGACCTGATGGAGCTGAAAACCATGGCATGAGAACTACGTGACACATGCACAAGCTTCAGCAGCCGATTTGATCAAGTGGAAGCAAGGGTATCAGTGATTGAAGAACAAATGAATGAAATGAAGTGAGAAGAGACGTTTAAAGAAAAAAGAGTAAAAAGAAATGAACAAAGCCTCCAAGAAATATGGGACTATGTGGAAAGACCAAATCTACATCTGATCAGTGTACCGAAAGTGACAGGGAGAATGGAACCAAGTTGGAAAACACTCTTCAGGATATTATCCAGGAGAACTTCCCCAACCTAGCAAGGCAGGCCAACATTCAAATTCAGGAAATACAGAGAACGCCACAAAGATACTCCTCGAGAAGAGCAACTCCAAGACACATAATTGTCAGATTCACCAAAGTTGAAATGAAGGAAAAAATGTTAAGGGCAGCCAGAGAGAAAAGTCAGGTTACCCACAAAGGGAAGCCCATCAGACTAACAGCGGATCTCTTGGCAGAAACAATGATCAATGAAACAGATCAATGAGACAGAAAGTTAACAAGGATATCCCGGAATTGAACTCAGCTCTGCACCATGCGGACCTAACAGACATCTACAGAACTCTCTACCCCAAATCAACAGAATATATTTTCTTCTCAGCACCACATCGCACTTATTCCAAAATTGACCATATAGTTGGAAGAAAAGCACTCCTCAGCAAATGTAAAATAACAGATATTATAACAAACTGTCTCTCAGACCACAGTGCAATCAAACTAGAACTCAGGATTAAGAAACTCACTCAAAACTGCTCAACTACATGGAAACTGAACAACCTGCTCCTGAATGACTACTGGGTACATAACAAAATGAAGGCAGAAATAAAGATGTTCTTTGACACCAATGAGAACAAAGACACAACATACCAGAATCTCTGGGACACATTTAAATCATTGTGTAGAGGGAAATTTATAGCACTTAATGCCCGCAAGAGAAAGCAGGAAAGATCTAAAATTGACACCCTAACATCACAATTAAAAGAACTAGAGAAGCAAGAGCAAACACATTCAAAAGCTAGCAGAAGGCAAGAAATAACTAAGATCAGAGCAGAACTGAAGGAGATAGAGACACAAAAAACCCTTCAAAAAATCAATGAATCCAGGAGCTGGCTTTTTGAAAAGATCAACAAAATTGATAGACCATTAGCAAGACTAATACACAAGAGAAGAGAGAAGAATCAAATACAAGTAGTAAAAGGTGATAAAGGGGATATCACCACCGATCCCACAGAAATACAAACTACCATCAGAGAATACTACAAACACCTCTACACAAATAAACTAGAAAATCTAGAAGAAATGGATAAATTCCTCGACACATACACTCTCCCAAGACTAAATCAGGAAGAAGTTGAATCTCTGAATAGACCAATAACAGGAGCTGAAATTGTGGCAATAATCAATAGCTTACCAACCAAAAAGAATCCAGGACCAGATGGATTCACAGCTGAATTCTACCAGAGGTACAAGGAGGAACTGGTACCATTCCTTCTGAAACTATTCCAATCAATAGAAAAAGAGGGAATCCTCCCTAACTCATTTTATGAGGCCAGCATCATCCTGATACCAAAGCCGGGCAGAGACACAACCAAAGAAGACAATTTTAGACCAATATCCTTGATGAACATTGATGCAAAAATCCTCAGTAAAATACTAGCAAACTGAGTCCAGCAGCACATCAAAAAGCTTATCCACCATGATCAAGGGGACTTCATCCCTGGGATGCGAGGCTGGTTCAATATACGCAAATCAATAAATGTAATCCAGCATATAAACAGAACCAAAGACAAAAACCACATGATTATCTCAGTAGATGCAGAAAAGGCCTTTGACAAAATTCAACAACCCTTCATGCTAAAAACTCTCAATCAATCAGGTATTGATGGGACGTATTTCAAAATAATAAGAACTATCTATGACAAACCCACAGCCGATATCATACTGAATGGGCAAACACTGGAAGCATTCCCTTTGAAAACTGGCACAAGACAGGGATGCCCTCTCTCACCACTCCTATTCAACATAGTGTTGGAAGTTCTGGCCAGGGCAATCAGGCAGGAGAAGGAAATAAAGGGTATTCAAATAGGAAAAGAGGAAGTCAAATTGTCCCTGTTTGCAGACGACATGATTGTATATCTAGAAAACCCCATTGTCTCAGCCCAAAATCTCCTTAAGCTGATAAGCAACTTCAGCAAAGTCTCAGGATACAAAATCAATGTACAAAAATCACAAGCATTCTTATACACCAACAACAGACAAACAGAGAGCCAAATCATGAGTGAACTCCTATTCACAATTGCTTCAAAGAGAATAAAATACCTAGGAATCCAACTTACAAGGGATGTGAAGGACCTCTTCAAGGAGAACTACAAACCACTGCTCAAGGAAATAAAAGAGGATACAAACAAATGGAAGAATCTTCCATGCTCATCGGTAGGAAGAATCAATATCATGAAAATGGCCATACTGCCCAAGGTAATTTACAGATTCAATGCCATCCCCATCAAGCTACCAATGACTTCCTTCACAGAATTGGAAAAAACTACTTTAAAGTTCATATGGAACCAAAAAAGAGCCCGCATCGCCAAGTCAATCTTAAGCCAAAAGAACAAAGCCGGAGGCATCACACTACCTGACTTCAAACTATACTACAAGGCTACAGTAACCAAAACAGCATGGTAGTGGTACCAAAACAGAGATATAGATCAATGGTACAGAACAGAGCCCTCAGAAATAATGCTGCATATCTACAACTATCTGATCTTTGACAAACCTGAGAAAAACAAGCAATGGGGAAAGGATTCCCTATTTAATAAATGGTGCTGGGAAAACTGGCTAGCCATATGTAGAAAGCTGAAACTGGATCCCTTCCTTACACCTTATACAAATCAATTCAAGATGGATTAAAGACTTAAATGTTCGACCTAAAACCATAAAAACCCTAGAAGAAAACCTAGGCATTACCATTCAGGACATAGGCATGGGCAAGGACTTCATGTCTAAAACACCAAAAGCAATGGCAACAAAAGCCAAAACTGACAAATGGGATCTAATTAAACTAAAGAGCTTCTGCACAGCAAAAGAAACTACCATCAGAGTGAACAGGCAACCCACAAAATGGGAGAAAATTTTCACAACCTACTCACCTGACAAAGGGCTAATATCCAGAATCTACAATGAACTCAAACAAATTTACAAGAAAAAAACAAACAACCCCATCAAAAAGTGGGCGAAGGACATGAACAGACACTTCTCAAAAGAAGACATTTATGCAGCCAAAAACACATGAAAAATGCTCACCATCACTGGCTATCAGAGAAATGCAAATCAAAACCACAATGAGATACCATCTCATGCCAGTTAGAATGGCGATCATTAAAAAGTCAGGAAACAACAAGTGCTGGAGAGGATGTGGAGAAATAGGAACACTTTTACACTGTTGGTGGGACTGTCAACTAGTTCAACCATTGTGGAAGTCAGTGTGGCGATTCCTCAGGGATCTAGAACTAGAAATACCATTTGACCCAGCCATCCCATTACTGGGTATATATCCAAAGGACTATAAATCATGCTGCTTTAAAGACACATGCATACGTATGTTTATTGCGGCATTATTCTCAATAGCAAAGACTTGGAACCAACCCAAATGTCCAACAATGATAGACTGGATTAAGAAAATGTGGCACATATACACCATGGAATACTATGCAGCCATAAAAAATGATGAGTTCATGTCCTTTGTAGGAACATGGATGAAATTGGAAATCAGCATTCTCAGTAAACTATTGCAAGAACAAAAAACCAAACACTGCATATTCTCACTCATAGGCGGGAATTGAACAATGAGAACACATGGACACAGGAAGGGGAACATCACACTCTGGGGACTGTTGTGGGGTGGGGGGAGGGGTGAGGGATAGAATTGGGAGACATACCTAATGCTAGATGACGAGTTAGTGGGTGCAGCACACCAGCATGGCACATGTATACATATGTAACTAACCTGCACATTGTGCACAAGTACCCTAAAACTTAAAGTATAATAATAATAAATAAATAAATAAATAAAAAAGAAATTAGTGGTGTTGAGGAATAGTTCTCTTTTATTGTAAGAGAATGGCTGACTTTTTTTTTATTACTTCCAAGGCTTTCATTTTTAAGTGTCTGAAACAAGAAGATAGCATAAATAAGTAGGCTTTAACATCACCATGCCAAATTATGCATATTTATTATGTGCCCTGAGAGAACATGACCTTTTAGAGAGGGACTTATATTTTATTCACCTATATACTCTGGTCTATAGTGTAATGGCTAGCACACAGAAAGCTGTCAATAAATGTTTGATTTTGTAGTGTTTCTGTGTCCAGAGGGAGTGGCCCTCCTATAGGTACAGGTGTGCAAAGATGGTTCCCCATGTTCAGGTTGGAGTAGAGGGACCAGTCCCAGCCACCACACACCTAATCCCTTCACTGGACATCAGTGCTGACAAGGTGGGAGGCCAAGCAGGGTGGGGAAGCTGGGAGGAGATCATGGGACAGCTTTAAGGATGACTTTTTCCTTTTTGTATGTTCTCATCACAAAGAGAAAGGTACAACCTGCTGTTAGTGTACCCATTGAAAGTGTTTCTGAGAATATAAATTTGGACTAGCATTTTAAATTGCACTATCCTTATATCCAGATGCTGCATTTTCAAAAGAACCTTCTTTTTTTTTTTTTTTTTGGTGTTGTTGAGACTGGGTCTTACACTATCACCCAGGCTGTAGTGCAGTGGCACCATCAAAATTCATTGCAGCCTCTAAAACTCCTGGGCTAGAGGAATCCCCTTGCCTTAGCACCCCCAAATAGCTCCTTCTTTCTATTAGAAAATTTATACATAAAGCCTGGCCAGTAACTTGGTCTCCATTTATTCTTTTCTCCAACTATCTATTAATGATCCTATACTTTTAAACTGTGTTAATTATTGTTTAAATTAGCTATCATATGGGTCAAAATGTAAAGAATCTAATCTAAAGAAGTTTCTCTGTTACCATTGGAGCCTGGCTATTCCATTTCCTTACAGGCAACCAGCATTATTAGCTTCTTGTCTATCCTTTCTTAGTCTTTTGAGTAAATATGAACAATTAAATCTCAAATCTCTTCTTAACTAAGAATGGGGCTGTTACTAAGGTCATTTGTTTGTTTCGTGTGGGGTTAACAGTGTAAGGATTTGGCCTTGTCTTTCCTTTTATGGTTTTCTGTTTTGATCTCCCATATTTCAGATTTGTAAAACAAGCTCTGAGCAGCCAGTGGTCCATTCCCATGTGCTCTCTGTCCCTCTGTCCTCAAGGGCAGAGTGAGCAATGTCACTACGTCTTTTCATGAAGTCACAGTAAAGCAAATATTACTGTACTGGGGCAGGGCCTTTCGAGTTATTTTCCATCCCACTCTCAACTTTTATTAATCTTCAGAGTCACTCTGGCAAAAGGTTTCTCTGGCTTCATATCCAGAGATGAAAATCTAAGCTTGTCCCTCATTCAAATTAGTGGGATCTGTCTCTTTACTGTTTTCCTCGCTTCTCTGTAATCTGAAAGAATGTTGTTTTTTCAAAAGTCCATTACCAAACAATGATTCAGGGCTCCTAAACTGTTTTAATAAAGAAAATTTTCTATTTGTCATTTCTCCCATACTTTGTCCGTGAGTGGGTGTGAGGGCAGGCTGGACTTGGAAAAACACTTTAACATGGACTTGTTGACTGGATTCCATTATTTTGTGTGCCCAGAATTCACCCATTTCCTTTCCTGTGTATTCCCTCCTCCTTCTAGGAACTGTCCTTTCTTCTTCTCCACATGCTTAATTGGGAGCTGCTAGGTGAGTTCAAATGTAGGTTAGACCCTGGCCACAATTTGTTGGTGCAGGAGTGAACGCCGGATCTAAAATGGATCAATTGTTCTCTTCCCAGGGAATTTGGACTTTGGTATAAGACTCAAGTCAGTCTCTTTCCAAATGGCTGAACCTACCATTAAGGTAAAATTCAGGAGCTTTGGGCTCCTGAATGCTCCTAGGTTTGCTGTTACAAGGGTGGAAGAAATAGAGACAGAAAAAATGATGTAAGAAGAGATTGAAGGCTGCTGATGGTGTTCCAGGCCCTGGATTTGGCCGTCACTGCCCTTGCCTTCCATGAGACATCTCAGTCTTCGGAGTCAGCTAGTTCAGATTGGTTTTCTGTTACTTGCAAGCCAGAGTGTACCAAACACAGGGGCATGCCAGCAACAGCAGCCCTGAGCTCTCCTGGGTGAGGTTTTGAAATTTCACTCGCAAGATTCCCTGCAACATTTTCTCCCTTCTGCCAGTTAGAGTTTGGACTCAGATCATGTTTGTAATTGAAAATATCTAACTGAAATTAAATGTTTCTGAAATTTTTTTTCTCATAAACGTTGAATTACAGTAGAATGTCACTGATACTTCTCTCGTGGCCAGAAAAATGTTTGTAATTTTCAGTTTGTGTTTGTTTTCTCTAAGCACGTCCCCTTTCTCCTATTCAAACAAACCCTCAGCAGTATTCAGAGAACAGTTACTGAGTCTTTGGACTCTTATATGTGCAAACACCTAAACCCAGAAAAGAGATTATGCGAAGTGCTTCTGAGGAAAGCATAGCAAAATTAAAACAGAAATCCTACTCCTGCCCGAGGGATCTAGGAGCAGAAAAAAACTTTATTTACCAAGCATAGCCCTGGGGAGGCAAGACCCCAGGAAAAAATGTGGAAATATCTGGGGAGACAGGCTGTTGTAGACAGTTTTGATGAGATGTGTATACTCTAGAGAGGCAAGGAAGCAGCAGAAAGATGCCCATGCCCGCATGCATGTCAGCGAAGTAGGACAGAGGAAGGCTGGACTTAAAGGGGCTGTGAAGACAGGAAATCTCAGCCCTGACCTGCAAGGGTTGTGTTCAAGGACTGTAACTATAGATATCCCAGTGAACACTCATGGAGACAGAGAACTGAAGGACAAGACGCCACAACCTCCAAACCCACCATTCAATGTCCTAGCTCCATTGGAGTCTCCTGGAAACTAAGACAAAACTTTGGAAAAAGAGACCCTAAATTGACTGAGAGTAAGTTTCTATTACCCTAGCAGACTGTAGGAAAGAAAGAGAAATTAAGTGGAATGATAAAAAATAAAGCCATATTTTGTGCTCACTTGCATTTCTGGACGAAGATTCATACATTGCTTTATTGTGTAGTTAGGGCAAACAATGTGTTCCCAAACACAACAATATTTGGTTACAGTCTATAATGACAATCTAAGAAGCTTTTGTTTATTCTGGTCATAATAACTAAAAACTTTTGAGCACTTCTATCATGCCAAGCATTGTGCTAAGGACTTCATACTTATTATCATGTTGAGTATTTAAAACAACACAAAACGGTAGAAATTCTAATTATCAGTATTTTGTGGATGAGAAATACAAGTCATTGAGATGATAAAAAATTTTCCCATAACAGACATTATAAAGATTTCCATTTTATTTGTGATGATCGCTTCCTTCAAGGGACTATTTAGATGGGATGTCTATGCCAGAATAAGAGTTCCCTTGGGATTCCAAATTAACTACACAGTATACAAAGCCAAGATATCATTAAGTGTCTTTTAAAAATTGTTCATTAGCATGAAAAGACCTTTACTGAGGGAAAATTTGGACCAGAAACTGCCAGGAACTTGGGTTAACAAGGGCAACTTCTCCTTCAAAGAAACCCAGCCACGGTGGAGTTGTTAAGAGGTTTGTTGTCAAGAGATGATCTAATTTCTCAAGCACACTAGCCATTAAGTCAGAAAACTACAGATTTTAGAACTTGAAAGGACCACCAAAATTCAGTTCAGCAAGTGATTGCCTTAGATAAACAGGTCACCACAATCCTACATTATTGGTGGGTGCAATTAAGGCCCTGAGTGATCAAGGGGTGTGGAAACTAATTGTCTTGCCATTTAATAAATACTTTTTCCATGGCAACCACGTTGTCCCTCATTTCCTGCAGAAGAGAATTCTTTCTTTTATGGAAAATTCTTGAGAGAATTTAGATTCTATGAGATGACAAAAAGCAAAGAATGAAGAACCATACTACTCCATACTGGCATTTGGTTCAGCCACAACACAATACCAGTGTATTAGTCAGAGTTTTCCAGAGAACCAATAGGATATCTCATCTGTATCTAATCTGTAGGTATCTATATCTATTCATCTCTCTCTCTTTCTCATATAATAGAGAACTATGTGTCTCAAAGGCTGGAAACTCAGGCTGGTCTCCTACATTGCAGTCCCTTTTTTGGGAAATCCTCAGACTTTACTCTTAAGACCTCTAACTGATTGGAGGCTAATCTGCTTTATTCTAAGTTTACTGGTTTAAATGTGAATCTCATCAAAAAAAATACCTTCACAGCAATCATTGACCCAAGAAGCTTGAAAGGCTTCTCTAGTTTAGGGTTTCACCAAAGACAGGTTGCATGGAATTTTAGTAAGCATTCCACCCAAAAAGTTTCTGTGATCAATGTTTTTTGGCTTAAACAATGTCAAACACTTTTATTTATTAGAGAAAGCCTTTATTATGCTCAAAATGCTGGGAATTCCCCATGTGGGGGTTATGGTTTGCAGTGATCCCTGGTTTTTATACTCAATCTTTTTTGTGTGAGTCATCTCTCTGAACAAGCATTTTTGGAAGCAGACACACTGATTAAAATAAATCTCTCTATTTTGTAGCTGACAAAACCAAGGCCAAGAGAGGGGAAGGGCTCTGGCTCACAGAGAGTTGGTGGCAGTCACAGACCAAAGTTTACTGACTTCAGTGTTCTTTCCAAATGCAAAATGTAAAAAGTTGAGAATAAATGGAGAGGATTGGAGCCATTCCTAGGGAGGTGTTTGACCCAAGGCAGGCAGCTCTGGTGGGTTTTGTACCTCTCCAGCATTTCTGAATAGCTGAAGTTAGGCCTGATTCATGCAGAGATGGGAGATGGGTACATGGTAGAAATGGAAGCCCCACTGGCTCTGTTTTGATGATGGTCATGTCTGTAGACTATCAGAAGATAGAGCCATCTCCTTTTCTCCCTGAGTCAAATTTCTCTGAGTAACAGCCCATTTGTCAGCAGGTGGTGGTGGGAGAAGGGGTTGAGTGAACCAGTCTTGGGGTTTGAGACAATTGCCTCCATTTGCTATACCTTGAAGATGACAATGGTAGCAATTTCCACCTAGTTGAAACATATCATCAGAAGAAAGGTTATTAATATATGAGGGCATATCAGTCAAGGAAGCTATTTAGCATTACAATTAATAGGGGAATATCTTCAGAAGCTCCTTTCCAGGAGAGTCAAAAAGCCTTATTAGATTAATTCTTTTTCCTTGGCTATTGGCTAGGGCAGATGATTTAAAAGCTATTATGCTAAATTTATTTTGTTATATTCTCTTTCAGGAATAGACATCCCCCAGTATGTGTGAATTTCTTAGATTCATTTACATCTTTACTTTAAATCTTTCTGGGAACTCTTCGGTGATCCCAGGTCATATAACTTCATATAACCTCGTTCATATTTTCTTCTGTGATAGAAGCATCAAATATAGGTGCCAGTATCTAATTTATTATTACTGGTTTTCCCAGTGTTCTCAAGCAAGTGTGGAGGAGACTGGGACATAAACTAAAACCATAAAGTCATCCTAGGGGATGAGACCAGTATTGTAAAGATATTCATATTTTGTCTGACAATGGCCTGTGGTGGTTCTTCACAAACTAGCCTTGAAAATTAGGAGATAATCACCCGTGCACCCCCTTTTTCTAATTGTTAAAGACCCAATCCTCAAATCATCTTATTTCCCCTTACATTTTCCTCTTAGAGCTAAGAGCATCTACATATTTAATATCCATGACATAAAGCAGCTCTTGTTGGGGTTCTCACCACTGCACCCTCTCTGGGTCAATCATGGATTCTGAAAGATGCAGCAAAATGGACACTTTCAGCATATGCACTTTCTTTAAACCTGGGGTCTTAGCTTCGGTTCCCTAGCAGCAGAGCCTGCAGCAGGAATTCTAGCACAAATAATTTATTAACAGCATGATATCAGGTGAATTCAGTAAGGGAATGAGAGAAGTGGCATAGCACAGGGGAAGAAGCTAAGCAAGATGTGGTTTCAGCTGGATGATTTCAGCTGGAATTTAGGCGCAGTCTGAATTAATGGGAAGCTTTGGAGCAAGACTAGTACCATGGAATTGTCAAACATTGAGGCTAGATGGGCTTTGTGTATCCCTATATCAGTCAGTTAATGGCTGCAGGTTGCCCTGGGGGGAAGGGGTAACTTCTTATCAGTTCTGGTTGAGGGAGCTACCACAGCAGTTCGTGGAGGATATGGCAGCTGGGGGATTGGTGCATTGGTTCAGTAAAAGGTACCTGGGTAGGTCACCAAGAACAGCTATAACTAGGCAGACTTATTCTGAATCCCCACTTCCCTGTTTATTCTTCTGACTTTAGCATACATTAGCATAAAGATAACATATACTGCACTCCCTCAGCCCAGAAAACAGACCCAGCTCTTGGCATTCAGCTCCCTCCTTCACCATAACCCACATAACCTAAACACTAACTGGAGCTCCTAATTTTAAATCCCCAAATTTACCCTCACATCTTTAAGCCTTGAACTCCCTCATCTCCTCTCTGTTTATTAACCATTTACTCCATTGACAAGAGTTTCTGCTCACCACCCAGATTCGGTTTTGGTAGGGCAGTGCATTAATTATTTATTGCAATGTAAGAAATTACCTCCAAACAGAGTGTTTTAAAACAATGATAAACGTTTATTTTCTTATAGTTGGGCTTGGCTGGGTTGTTCTTCTAGCTCAGGGTGTTTTTTTGATTTTTCTTTTGACAAACATAACATCTGTTTTTCAGATGTTGGCTGGGGCGGCAATCATTTTGAGGCAGGAGAATAGGGCCTGGAGGCAGGGAACCTAAGGTCTTCTTAGAACTGAATCAAATGGAAACACTTCAGCTATGATAGGAAATATCCTCTTCATTTACATTGGGCATACGACTAGTAAATGACTTCGTAATTTTACTTCATCCTCTTCACTTACATAGGTGTACACCAAGTAACCAACAGAAACCTCTAGAGGGTATTTAAACACCAGAAAATTCTGTAACTGTGCTGTTGAGACCCTATACTCATGCTCACTCCCACTCTGTGGGTGTACTTTCATTTTTCCATAAATCTCTGCCTTTTTGCTTCTTTCTTTCCTTGCTTTGTGTGTTTTGTCCAGTTCTTTGTTCAGGATGCCAAGAACCTGGACACACTCCACCGGTAACATATTTTGGCAAGCCAGACAGGAGGTAATCCCAAAGTTTGGGATTTATTTTTCTCCTTTTCTTTTCTGCTCCATACAGGGGAATCTCTCTCTCTCTTTTCCTTTCCAACTCGGGCCCCTTGGTGGGCAGTGCCTAAACACAGAGGCAACTGCAGATTTCTGGCCGGGGCCGCTCTGAAGGAATATTTTCTATTTTTTCCGGTTGTGGTCCCTAATCCCTACATGTGGTACAGCTCAGGGTGAACTGACAAGCGTTTCATGTGACTGAAACCTTCTTTTCTTATGTTAAATTCTTCCCTTACGCTACTCAACTGGCTAAGGGCAGAAGAAACCCACCCAGCCTCCAGTTCCTATCATTAAAGTTCATGGCTATCACTAATGGAATGGGAAGCACGGGAAAGCATGGCGTTATCAAATTATAAGGATGCTAGAAGTTGAGGCCTTCATCCAGGGACAAAAGGAAAGCTCATAGTAGGCTATCCCCTCTGGAGGGAAAGCATGCAAAGTGGCACTGGTGCCCACCTAAGGTCAGAGACATCTGACACTCTAAGATTGGACCCTAAAGGGGGATTCCCTGGGGGATCCTCCAGACCCCAACCTCTCCAAAGCGGACGCCCTTGGCAGAGGTCCTGAGGTCTAGTGCTAAGCCCCCCTTAGAATTTTCTCTTGCAGTTGCAATACTGTGTGGACCCCATATTGTTTGGAATCTGAAGTTTGCTGTTGAATGGGAAAGTGGGACGGAGTTTTATGTGTCTAGGCTTTTGTGCTGCTTTTCTAAGCAGGGGGCCTGGTGAACGTGTTATGCTTTCCTTTGGTACCGTTTGGCCCCAGTGTTCTTTGGAGTCTGGGGAAGTTTGGCCTCTAAAAATCAAACTGCCATGGAAACTGCTATACCCGAAATTTTGGTTCACAGCCTTCATTGGATTACCTATTGGGGCAAACAAAGTAAAACCAGTGAGCTTGTATTGCTATCTCATGGCTAGGGTTCCAAGGTAAAAGCTATTGAATCTTCATTTGTGTGTGTGTATATATATATGTCTAGATGTGTTTATTTGTATGTACACTTGTTATACGTTGTGTCTACCAAATTGGCCTATAAAAGAGCACTCATAAATCAAGTAAATAAGTCTGAGCAATTTTCAAGTTCACATGACTTAAGTATAACTTTACTAAACAAGCTGGTTTTTAAATTATTGATAAAATAAAAATAGAAATGCCTTCAGAATTGTTAGCATACATTTTTATCTGGATTTTATTTTTATTTTTATTTGAGACAAAGTCTTGCTCTGTCTCCCAGGCTGGAGTGCAGTGGCGCGATCTCGGCTCACCGCAAGCTCTGCCTCCCAGGTTCACGCCATTCTCTTGCCTCAGCCTCCCAAGTAGCTGGGACTATAGGCGCCCGCCACCACGCCCTGCTAATTTTTTGTATTTTTAGTAGAGACGGGGTTTCACCCTGTTAGCCAGATGGTCTCCATCTCCTCACCTCGTGATCCACCTGCCTTGGTCTTCCAAAGTGCTGGGATTACAGGCATGAGCCACCACATCTTGTCGTTATCTGGGTTTTATATTTGTCTCTGCTAGATATTCTGAGGTATCAGGGTTTGGCATAGAAAGTTATAAAACTATAAACCCAGCCAAAACAAAATGATCTTGGTTTGCCTGCCCTTTTTTTTTTTTGACAAATGATAGTAATTTAACATTAGCTAAATCTTCTGAGCTGTTGGCCAAAATATCTATGTACTTAACTTTGAGGCTCTTACTTAGGTTTGGGTGAGCACCTGATGTTCACTGGCTATTAAAAATGTGGTTAACAAGGAAATAACTCACTTTAAATAATAGTGTCTAATATCTCAGTTTACAGAAGTAATCTAGATAAACTGTTTAAAAATGAAATAAGTACATGTAAATGGGATAAATGTTTTAGGTGAACTTTTTGTGTAAATTAAAATCTTAAAATTATGTTTGATGCTCATTGAATATCTGGGTCATTTCCAATTAAGAAAGGGTTGTGATATGGGGAAATATGTTTCTAAATACTGTGGAATTATTCTTATCTATAAATGTCCATATCTCGTAGCTCAAGATTTCTTGCTTTTTAGGATTTCACTAAAGTTTTAGGTTACTAAGGATAAGAATTCTAGTTAACACATAATTTTGTATACAAAATGTACCAGAAAGGGTTGTGTTATTAATGAGAAAAAGAATAATTTCATCTAATTCAGAAGTTATATAAAAGTTCCAGTTACAGACTTCAAAAGGTTATTTATGAAATAATGTACTACGTAACTAGTAGGTAGGGGAGAAAAATGTGGAAAAAGTTTAGATAATATTCTTTAAAACCTGATAGGGAATTGGAGACATTTCACTAATTAACATTTTCATAGTTAAAGCTGTTAGTCTTGACTGATAAAATAAGAAGTATTGTAAAGAAACGCATTGGCAGTTTGGCAATTCTTTTTTTTAAATACAGTTAAGCATGAAGCTGGATTTAGTGTGGAGCCAAATTTCGTATACATAATTGCATTGCTTCCCCCTATGTTTACTGTTTTGTGTGGATAGTGCTGGCACTGGAGTACTTATTGGTCATGTGCCTAGAGTGAATTTCTTGGTTGTACAGGATGTATGGTGATATTGGTGGACTTGAGGATACTTAATTGTGTATCAGGAATAAAATATTCATTATGTGAGTTTTTTTGGGACCCTGGGTAACACTATAGTCTCCAAGGTAGATTGAGTAGGAACATTTAGGGTTGGTGTCCTGTTTACTTGTCTTTGCTTCCAATTTTCATTTGTTTGCTGTTTATTCTCCTCTGGCTTTCCTTGTGTGTGCATATATAAAACCATTTATTTTTTTGTTTTGTTTTTTAGTTTCTAGTGGAAGGCTTTTATTTGGTTCTGTGGATAGTTATTTTGTTTCCTATGCATTCCTAGCAAGTCATCATTTGTTTTGTTTATCTGGAATTCCTAGGCTACCTTTGTCAGGCCCGCAGGAATTGATGGAGCACAAAAACTTTCTATCCTTAAACTAACTTTTTGGAATTTAGGCTTCCTGATACTTTAAGGGTGTTGAGTGTACTTTCTTAAATAGAATTTGAGTCAATATTTCTCTCTCTGCCTAATTTCTCCAAAATTTGTAAACTATGTGTGACTATTCTTAATTCATTGCAATGTGATTGTTTGCATACACAGTTGAGCAGGGTTGCTAGGGCTGCTCAGGGAGAGAGAACCCAGAAACCTGGCATGCTGGCAAAAGGGTAAGAATTTCTTACCATTCAGACTCTGGCCTCTCTCTCTCTTTCTTTCTCTCTGTGCAAACTGGTTAAATGAATAGTAAAAGTCACTGTTTATCTCCTCTGTAAAGTTTTGATTAATATAAAAAAGAATTCTGAGGCTGGTCTTAAGCTGTAGTGAATCTGGTGTGCTTTATGTGTCTTTCTGTATTGTTCTGTCACAAAAAGGGGTACATTAGGATAAAATGCGTGCCTAGGACTCCATAGGCTTGCTGTTCAAGATGGCCCAGCAAACTGGACAGTCATGTCCTTGGGAGCTTGACCTCGTAACCATGTGGCCATGCTTTCTTTCTCTTTTCACAATGGCAGCTGGGTTTAGGGTTCAATTCCTGGCTTAGGGAATGAGTCCTTTATCTTCTATCTATGTATTTATGTGTGTTGTGTAATATAAAAGAACTTTAATTAATTGGTTTAATAATAAGAGCTTAAATCAAATATTTTGTCAGAAAAGTAAAAAGTTTAATGCCTTTTATTTAGTTCATGTGGCTTAAGTAATCTTTGGGAAATAAAGACAGTTTTAAAGATTATTGGTAAAATAAAAATATCTTCAAAAATGTAAAAATTTGGTCTAAATTATACAGGTCAGATACCAGGTTTGCTAAATGTTTAAGGTCATAAACTGCTTGTTTGACTTTTAAAAATTATTCAATTTATTTTGGAGTATTAGATTCTAGGTAAGACCTGGAGACATGTGAAATTAGTCATGTCACCTAGCTATGCAAAGAAGTTTATAAAGAAAAGAAATCTTACATAAGAAAGGATCTTATATGGTAAATTCTTGTCCTAAAGTAAAATAACAGGTTGTTTAAAAGGAGAGATGTTTAGGACAAGTCAGAAAGTCCAAGCATATTATAGATGGTCTGTGTAAATCATGAAATAATTTATGAAAGAGAATTTATGCAAGAAATGTTGTACAGTTTAAAGGTGATTAGGCCTCCTAAATGCTTCATAAAATGCCACTGTGACTCTTAACTGTACAACTTGCCTGCTTTACAGCTAGGTAAAGCCTGGGACACATGGAGTTAGATGCTGGAAAGGGTCAGACCTTATCTGGACTTCTGGGTGGGTCCTAGGCTCCACCCCTAGTACATAATTAAAATCCCAAACTTATCAAGGTTTTCACCAAAAGTAAATGTCGCCAAGAGTTAGCATTGTAACATGTAATTGAGCCTACTGAAGAAACAGTTTTACATGAAAGGTATGTAAGAAAAGTGAAATATGTTTTTGGTAAAAGATTATAAGAAAGCATGGGAATGTGGGTTTTTTTGTTGTGCCTAAAGGGCTAAAAGATTGTTTTAAGTTAGAATAAAGCTAAAGGTTTGAACAGGTTGTGGAAGGTTTGCAAACAATTAATCTTGTAAAAAATTATGTGTGTGAACATATTGACTAAATTTAAAGGGTTATTTTCTGGTTTGTCTGTAAATTGAACATTGAAATAAAAACACAAACATGGTTTTCTTAAAGCACTGATCTGCTCTTTACTAAAAATTTATAGAGGGTTATAAAAGATTTATGAGATTCTCATTGTATGGTCAAACTGATTAAGATCGGAAAGATTTGTCTATAAGGTTTTATTAAAAATTGGGGTTGACATTAATAGTACACTAATGCAAGGGTGAAATGTGGCTTTCTCTCCTGAACAAGATTTTCATGTAATATTAAAAGACACTGAAAGATTTTTATTTGCCTTTTGAATAAACTACCAACAAAAAAAGAAGGGAAAGACAAGAGACAGATTGTTTGGAAAGCTAAGTCTTCCCTCTTTCAATGAGTGAAGGTTTTTGCCTAAAAAAGAGGTTTTTTTGATAATCATTTTGGCTAAATGAATGACTTATGGTAACCTGGAGTTCTATTTCATAATATCAAGTGTTTTAAGCCTCTAACATATTTGATAGGCTTCCCAAAATCAAATTGCAGCTTCAAAATTGTCTTTTCTGACCTCTAACTTTGAGATGCTGCGAAGGGCCCCTGAATCATCCAAAAGAGAGGTGAGAAGAATCATTTGACACGTTTAGTTACATGGGAAGTATTGACAAAAACTTAAAAAATTTAGTCTTCTTCAGGTTATAGTTTAGTGAATGATATTATATATTTTCCAAAATTGTATGGGATTTCTAAAATTCTAAGATGTCTGAGTATATGCCATCAATCATAATTATGGTTATTATGTTAAATGATTGTAAACCACAGAAATAACCAAATTTCCTTGTCAATTGTGTTTTTAACTGTAACTATTTAAAGTTATTTCCACAGTTAATTGTTTAATGCTGATGCAGTTTCTGAAAACGTCACAAGCACACAAAATCCTAGAATATGGTGTCTTTTAGGAAGTTGATTAAAGGATGGAAAGGACTCTAAAAAGCACTCTTGAATACAGGTTTCTGAGAACTTTAGAATCATATCATTTGAACTGGGTAAGAATTCCTGGAACTTTAATGAAAAGACTGACTGGGTTATAAAACTGCTAACCTAGGTAGAACAAAAATTAATTAAATACCAAGAAAATACTTTGCCAGATTTTTATGCTAAATCGGCTGTTACTGAAATTGTTTAGATATACAATTTGAATGAATTCCATGGTCTAAGTCAAATTACCTATGATAACCCATCAGTTACCAGTGTTATTCACCTAATTTGGTGAAACAACTGGTATTCAAGAGCATATAAGTCTAATGTTCATTAAGCATGGATTCATGGAAAATGAGGATGGCCACCTTGTCCTTCTCAAGTCCTTAAAGCTTTTATTATTAAAAGTTCAGCCAGGTGTGGTGGCTCACACCTGTAATCCCAGCACTTTGGGAGGCTGAGGTGGGCAGATCATGAGGTCAGGAGTTCAAGCCCAGTCTGGCCAATATGGTGAAACCCCATCTCTACCAAAAATACAAAAAAATTAGCTGGGTGTGGTGGCATGCACCTTTAGTCCCAGCTACTTGGGAGGCTGAGGCAGAAGAATCACTTGAACCCAGGAGGTGGAGGTTGCAGTGAGCCAAGATTGCCCTGGACGAAGATTCATCTTTGATGTAAACATCTTTTTCCAAGATCACAGATTAAGACTTCTACTATCATGAGACTCTTATCCTTGAATATTTTTTGTTTATGCCTCTATGAACAATAGAAATGAAAAAGGGATCTGTTTTGTGCACTTATGGGGTATACTTTTATTTGTGAAGGATTTTGCAGCCAGCCTTATACATGGATAATCTTATACTCTGATAGATAAAAGATGAAGACCCAGTGTAGGTGAGAAACTTTAATGCTACATACGTTGCCTCATAATCAGTCAGAAACAGAAGATTGGTTCACTCCTATTAACCCACTCATGGGTTAAAAAGAACATTCCCAGGAGGCCTTCACTCTTCTATAAGAGAAGGGCATCATTTATTAGGTCTATTTTCCATTTGGAAGGATTTGGAATAAAAGAGGTAATGATTAAAAATGTATCCCTCACAATAGGTTCTATAGCAGATTCTACTGTAAAGTCTATAGTTACACAACAGACTTTAAATTATCTTGTGAAAGTTATGCTAAAGAATAGAATTGGCCAAAGAGAAAAGTATCTATGCAGCTGCTGGCAGTCATGGCCTATGGTGGAAAACATCAGGTATTATAGAGTTTCAGTTGTAGTGGATTAACAAAGAGACTGTTTAGTTAAGTGAGTAGACTGCTTATCTAGCTCATTCTTTGATCTATTTGATTTTAGGTGGTTTGGTTTATGGGGACCCTGGATAAGGAACATACTTCAAACTCTTGGTATTATCCTTTTGATAGTCATAATAATAGTCTCCCTGGTGCATTGTATTCTCTCAAAGGTTTTACATGCTTGCATGCAGCCATCTCTAGAATGTCAAATGGTCTCTCTTCAAGTGGAATGACAAAAGCTGAATGAAATATGTGACCACAAGGACACTGTAACCTATGAATGGCATGCTGAGACCAGAAACCCAAAATGATGGTAACTGAGAGTGGTACTAAGGCTCTAAGTTTTGATCATACTCTCACCTAAGTGAGAACCTGACCAAAAGGGGGGAATTTTTAAAAACAAAATTGTGGTAGGCCATTGTTTTGGACTGAGCTCATGCATTAGACCTCATCAGATCAAACCAAACAAAATGGAGTTGCTTGGGCTAAGACTTTAAGGCGATACATTGTATTAGTCCATTCTCACACTGCTGATAAAGATATACCTGAGACTGGGCAATTTACAAAAGAAAGAGAGGTTTAATGGATTTACAGTTCCACGTGTCTGGGGAGGCCTCACAAGTATGGTGGAAGGCAAGGAGGAGCAAGTCACATCTTATATGGATGGCAGTAGGCAAAGCAAGAGCTTGTGCAGGGAAACTCCACCTTATGAAACTGTAAGAGCTCTTGAGACTTATTCACTATCATGAGAACAACATGGGAAAGACCTGCCCCCATGATTCAATTACCTCCCACCAGATCTCTCCCATAATACGTGGGTATTCAAGATGAGATTTGTGTGAGGACACAGCCAAACCATATCATTCCGCCCCAGCCCCTCCCAAATCTCATGTCCTCACATTTCAAAACCAATTATGCCTTCCTAACAGTCCCCCAAAGTGTTAACTCATTTCAACATTAACTCAAAAATCCACAGTCCAAAGTTTCATCTGAGACAAGGCAAGTCCCTCCTGCCTGTGAGACTTTAAAATCAAAAGCAAGTTAGTTACTTCCTAGATACAATGGGGGATAAGCATTGGGTAAATACAACCATTCCAAATGGGAGAAATTGGCCCAAACAAATGGGCTACAGGTCCCATGCAAGTCCAAAATCCAGCAGGGTAATCAAATCTTAAAGCTCCAAAATGATCTCCTTTGACCCCGTGTCTCACATCCAGGTCATGCTGATGCAAGAGGTGGGTTTCCATGGTCTTGACAGCTGCACCCCTTGTGGTTTTGCAGGGTACAGCCTCCCTCCCAGATGCTTTCACAGGATGGCATTGAGTGTCTGCAGCTTTTCCAGGCTCATGGTGCAAACTATTGGTGGATCTACCATTCTGGGGTCTGGAGGATGGTGACTCTCTTCTCATAGCTCCACTAGGTGGTGCCCCAGTAGGGACTCTGTGTGGGGGATCTGACCCCACATTTCCCTTCTGCACTGCCCTAGCAGAGATTCTCCATGAGGGCCCCACCCCTGCAGCAAATTTCTGAGCATCAAGACATTTCCATACATCCTCTGAAATCTAGGCGGAGGTCCCCAAACCCCAGTTCTTGACTTCTGGGCACTCATAGGCTCAACACCACCAACTTATAGGCTCAACAAGCAAGATGGCTGCATGCAAGCATGCCTTCTGCAGCCATGGCCTGAGCTCTATGTTGGCCCCTTTCAGCCATGGCTGGAGTGGCTGGGATGCAGGGCACCAAGTCCCCAGGATGCACACAGCACAGGGACACTGGGCTTGGCCCATGAAATGATTTTTTACTCCTAGGTCTCCATGCCTGTGATGGGAGGGGCTGCTGTGAAGACCTCTGACATGCCCTGGAGACATTTTCCCCAGGGTCTTGAGGATTAACATTCGGCTCCTTGTTACTTATGCAAATTTCTGCAGCCGGCTTGAATTTCTCAGAGAAATTGGATTTTCTTGTCTATTGCATTTTCAGGCTGCAAATTTTCTTAACTCTTATGCTCTGCTTCCCTTATAAAACTTAATGCATTTAACAGCACCCAAGTGACCTCTTGAATGCTTTGTTGCTTAGAAATTTCTTCTGCCAGATACTCTAAATCATCTCTCTGAAGTTCAAAGTTCCACCAATCTCTACAGCAGGGGCAAAATGCCACCAGTCTATTTGCTAAAACATAGCTAGAGTCACCTTTCCTCCAGTTCCCAACAAGTTCCTAATTTCCATCTGAAACCACCTCAACCTGAGCTTTTTTGTCCATATCACTATCAGCATTATGGGCAAGGTCATTCAACAAGTCTCTAGGAAGTTCCAAACTTTCCCACATTTTCCTGTCTTTTCCTGAGCCCTCCAAACTGTTTCAACCTCTGCCTGTTACACAGTTCCAAAGTTGCTTCCACATCTTCACGTATCTTTTCAGCAGTGCCCCACTCCTGGTACCAATTTACTATATTAGTCTGTTCTTACACTGCTGATAAAGACATACTCAAGATTGGGCAATTTACAAAAGACGGAGAGGTTTAATGGACTTACAGTTCCACGTGGCTGGGGAGGGCTCACAGTCATAGTGGAAGGCAAGGAGGAGCAAGTCATGTCTTACATGGATGGCAGCAGGCAAAGTGAGAGCTTGTGCAGGGAAACTCCCCCTTATAAAACTATCAGATTTCATGAGACTTACTATCACAAGAAGAGCACAACAAAGACCTGCCCCCATGATTCAATTACCTCCCACTGGGTCCTTCCCACAACACATGGGAATTCAAGATGTGATTTGGGTGGGGACACAGTCAAACCATATTACACATGGATCCTAGAAGAGAAGAGGTTTTGTTTTTCTCCTGTAAATCTCTATAACAAACATTCCTGAGAGCATAAGTATCTACCTCCTGAAGTTCCCATTAAATCTTTTAACCAAATTCATTTCCTCTCTCCTAGAGACCATCAAGCTTCAGATGATCATGTGACAAAGGTTCCAGTCAGTTCCAGGTGAAGACACCACCCCTGGTCATTAAGGAGCTACCCTGTCTCCATTAGACAGAGCAGGACAAGAGTTCTGTGATCCACAATGGGTAGGGACTACACCCTGAGCCAGCATGAAGCAGTTACAGAAGAAAGACCGTCAGTCCCTCTGCCTCCCATAAAGATTTATGGGGATCACATCTTTTGGGGGGAAATAAGACAGGAGAATAGGGCCTGGAGGCAGGGAACCTAAGGACTTATTAGAACTAAATCAAAGGAAAACACTTCAGTGATGACAGGAAATATCCTCTTCATTTACATAGGGCATACACCTAGTAAATGACTTTGTAACTTGAATTCATCCTCTTCATTTACATAGGGTTTACACCAAGTAACCAGTGAAAATCTCTAGAGGGTATTTAAGCCCCAGAAAATTCTGTAATCGCACTGTTGAGACCCTATGCTTGCTCCTGCTCCCACCCTGTGGAGTGTACTTTCATTTTAAAAAAATCTCTGCTTTTGTTGCTTCATTGTTTCCTTGCTTTGTTTGTGTATTTTGTCCAATTCTTTGTTCAAGACACTAAGAATCTGGACACCCTCCAGTGGTAACAATTTGCAAGCTCGATTGGAGGTGGAGTGGCTTCAAAATTGGCTTAGTCACATGGCTGGCAAGTTGGTGCTTGCTATTGGTGGGAGGCTTTCACTATTTCTCATGGGTTCTTCTCCAATGGGCTGCTTGAGCTTCCCTCCAGTATGGTAGCTGGCTTCCCAGAAAGAGTGGTCCAGCAGAACAAAGCAACAGCTGTGGTGACTTTTATGACCTATCCTCAGAAGTTAAACATGGTCTTCTCCATCAAGTGGTTGCACAGACCACCTCTGATTCAATGTAGGAGGAGACTTCAGATGATCACGAATAGTAAGAGGTGAAGATCATGCAGGCATCCTAGAGCCTGACTGTGACAGGGTAGTATATGCCTATATTCCTCCCTCAATATTTTCCTGTTTTCCTACTCTGCCTGTTTGGCAAGGACACAGTGGCTCCTAACCTCTCTACTCTTAATCTCTTCATTGTGTTTTCTTGATATTTCTCAAGATTCCTACATATATTGAGTCATACAGAATGTAAAACCAACAGTTTTTAAAATTAATCAATTTTAGCAGTTTTTAAGCTTTCAGAGCTGTCCACTTCATCCTAACACTTTAGGAGTTGGTGGCCATCCCATGATCTCCTTCACGTTTATGTAATGTTCTATCTGCCTGCTCACAGTCTGTATCTCATCCTGGAGAGTCCTTATTTGTAAAGCATATCTGTCTTCTTGTACTTATCCTTCTGGTCTCTTCATGGATCTACTACCCTTTCTAGTGCTTTACCTATGTCATCACAAAGATTCCAGAATGAAGTCTCCTTCCTTCAAGATGGCAACCCTGGAGCATGGTTTTATTTGAGCCTGAGCTGGAATTGCAAAATTAGGCAGCTTGGCAGGAGAAAGCTAGAGCCAGGCATCAGTGGACCCCAACCTCTGAAGAAACCAACGCTTTTACAAACAGCTCCCTTCTGTAATGTCATGGGAGAGTAATTTTTTGCTTTTATAGGGTTTCTTCAGACAGAAGTACCACACAAAGATTATACAAGGATCTATGCTTTTCCATGTGGGGGTTTGATACATTAATGAGAATTTGACAAATCCTGACCACTCTGCCATCTGTGGGCCTCATTCTGTTCCTACTTCTGTGATGCTTTCCATCTGTTCTGAGACAGAGGAACTCGTTCCACTGACATAGGCAATACTCCTAACCCTACCAGCTGTCTTACAAGGGTGTGTTGCTGCTCACTGGAGAAAATGAAAGAAAAGGTATATATTCAACAAAAATCCTGCCAGAAACAATTCACATTCTTCCGTACAGGTAGCTTACAAAGGGGCACAATATGGGATGGGTTTATATTAATCATATCTCATACTTTTCATGAGGTTATGTCATCTTACTGCTCAGAAACCTCCAATAGCTCTCACGACTTAATCAAACTCCTTATCTTAGCATTGTAGGCCTTCCGGCTGTCATTCAGGCTTCATGGCACTTTATTAATACAATATTCCTTTCCCTTCCCCGCTACATGTCACCTATACTTTAGCCAAATGGGACCACATACTATTGTTCTAACCTGCTCCATAAATTTCTGCCTCCATGCTTTTAGAAATTGTATTCTCTGCATTCTAAATGTTTTCCTGTCATGTTGACCATAGAAGTGCTTCCCTTCCCTGAGATCTGTGGTAAGTGCTACCTCACTTATGACACCCTTCCTGATTTCCTCTATCTAGTGATCTCACTTCCCCATGGACTCTGAGAGCACTTTAGTGGTAACGTGTTTATAGACTTACCACATTCTTCCGGATATTTGAGCTGTTACTGTAACAGAGTCACGATGCTTACTTCCGCACTTGATGTTTTCCAAAATATTGATGGCTGAGAGTGAGAACAATCTGTTTTAATTCTGCCAGTGATTATTAAATTTATCTTTGAAGAAGGGTAGATCTTTGAGTTTTGGAGAAGAATAAGACTTAAGGGAGTTTTAGATTATACAAATGAAAGATAATCTTTTGGAATACAGAGACTCTGGTCCAATGTTTCTCAATTTGGTTTCCACAAAACCTTAAAGTTCAATATGTCATCACTAGGGGTTTGTAAGAGATTTTGATTTAAAACCTAGACATCAACTTTCGAAGTTTGCATACTTTGAGGATAGATAGTGGCTAAGCAGACATGTCAGCAATTTCATTCGGGGTCTTTCAGCCCCATTGTGGCAGTGTGCAATAGGATTGTATTTGTTTGTGCCCAGTTTGGTTTATGATGCAAGCTATGGGAGGTTACTGGTAACTGATGAGTGCTATATTGCACAGACGAGAGGGGTGGTAAATGGATGACATGAGTTTTTCCTTCTCTAACTATTTCCCCTAAACTCCCCTTATGCACTACAGGATGACTCACAGGACCAAACAAGCTTTGCTAGTATAACTAAAAATGAGGGGAAATTTAATTTTCATTCTAAAGGCTCAGCTGCACCCTGCCCCACCTCCTGCCCCCAGTTTTGTTGTGGTTACAAACATGGCAAAACATAGGTTGAAAAAGACTAAAAGTGATTTCTCCAGTGATTGATGAGTTTGGGGGGATTTTTAAATTTTACTATGCTCTTATGTTTTACACTTAACTCATGTTTGTATTTTATAAACATGTTTGATAACCCAATGTGGTAATTTTTGAAGGTGAGATGTGAGATGGAAGAGGAAAATTTTAGGCCTGGGGATAACCCTGATAAGGGTAGTGATGATGAATTATAACCTTCTGAGTCATTTTCCTGTGTGATTGGAACAAAGGACACAGAAAAAGTCCATCTTTATGATGAAAGACCCTTACCAAGGAGCTTCTATAGGCTGATTATCCAAATTTTCTTATTTTATTGAGAATCATCCATGTGAGGAGGCCAGCAAGATTTTTCTGTAAAGAGGCAGGTGGCAAATATTTTAGGTTTTTCAGATCACATGTAGTCTCTGTCACATATTCTTCTTTGTCTTTGTCTGCTTGTTTAAATGCTTTAAAAATGTAAAAGCCAATCTTAGCCCTGAGGGCTGTACCAAAGCAGGCCTCTGGTGAGGTTCGGCCCATGGGCTGTCATTTGCCAATCCCTGCTATGTCAAACAACTTAGAGATGTGGGAATGGCTCCAATAAAAAAAAAAAAAGAAAACCCAAACAAAACAAAAACCCTTAAATATAAGTCATAGGTATTCGAGAAGTAAAGATGCTGATTACTTTAAGCAGCTATTAGAATCTTAAAACAAACAGTAACTCTTGTTAAAAACACACAAACACACAAACAAACAAGAAACAGGTACATTCAGTGAAAAGGACCAGGGAGCAAGTTATTTAGTAGCAGAACTTACTGTCTTAAACAGGAAAAGTCACACAGTTGGTAAGGCTAACAATGTGATCATGTAAAATTACTGTGAATCAAAGGCTAGGAAAAGATGCACTACAAGAAACTGAAAAGGTTCCACAGCCTCAAACAGTGTCATATGGTGAAGTATTGATGACACGTCACACAACTTTGAAGAGGTTTTGTGACATACCCTGAAAAACCGCAGCTTCCTTTTCTAGGTTGATGAGTCAGGGGATTTCACCAATAAATGTCATACTTAGCATTTGTAAGATTTGCAAGTAATTGTGAAATTCAAGAAAACAAAGAGTGGCCCATAACAAGGAAAGGCCAAGATATAATTAATGTTTGGCCTTCATATCTATAAACAAAAGGTCTAAGAACTACATTGACATGAACACTGATAGTGCTCTGTCAAATTTGGTTCTATGAGAGCTTTTGCATCTTATTAAATGAAAAAAGTTTCTCACATTTTCACAACACATTGGCTTCTTCAAAGAGAATGTCAAACATTCTTGGAGATGAAATGAAAGTTTTAGATAATATTACAAAATGGCTATCTTTGTTATATAAAGGCTAACTTGAGAATACTTTTAAAACTGAAAAGGTGTCGATAAAGGCCACAGAAATATCCTGCTATACACAGAAATTTGGTGGCTCAGCAGAGGAAGCATTTTCAACAGGGTGTTTGAGCTAAAAGATGAAATTCAAAAGTACTTTCAATATCATACTGGGCAAGTTTCGTTAAGTGTTTTGATGAACAATGGCTACAAAAAGTTGCCTTCTCAGCGGACATTTTTCATTATGTGAACAAGTCTCTGCAAGGCCCTGGAGAAAATGTTTTGACTTTGAGTGACAAGATTCTTGAATTTAAAAGGTAACTGAGAGGGACTTCCGATTCAAGTGATGATGGAATAAGACCCTTGTGAAAAATTCCCTTGCAGTAAAACAACTATAAAACCTAAACATAAAGCAAAAAGCAACTACTTGAAGGCACTAGAGAGAGAACAGAAGCAGAAAGACATTGGCAAAGAATAAATATTTGGAAGAGGAAGCAGTATGAAGTAAGTGCCCTGTGTCTGTGGCTTCTAGCCTTGGTCTCAGTGCAACCCACTGAGTGTGCACAGTGGCAGTGTGGTAGAAGCATCAGTAGAAAACCCACCATCTCTCTGGTAGGGGAATCCATGGCTGATGGAGAGAGTTGGAGAATTCCCAAAGAGAAAGAAACAGAGAGCAAATCCCCAAAATTTTGTCTAATGATTTCTCTGACTGATTCCTGAATGACATATGCATGAAACAGACCAAAGGCAGTTCAACTAAAGACAAATGATCTGAACTGAGACTAGAGTTAAGATGCAAGAAACAAAGTTGCATAAGCCAAAGAAAACCACTTGTTAGAGAAGCAATAAAATCAATAATCTGCACAGCTTGATATTCATAAAGTCCAGGGTAAATCCAAAATTTCCCAACAAAAAAGAACCAAGAAAAATGGAATGTATCAAGAAAAGAAGATCAATTGAGACCCTCAGATAAGATGTTAGATACAACAGACAAGGATTTTTAAACAGCTATTATAATGATATTCAATGAAACAAAACAAAATATGAGCTCAATAAATAAAGAAAAATTGAAAATTCAACAGAGAAAAGCAGACAAAACTAAATTGAAATTCCAGGACTAAAAAATGTAATATCTGATCTAAAACAATCACTGAAGAGAACAGCTGAGTGGAAGTGACAGAGGCAGGAGTAAGTGAAGTGAAAAATAGATAAATAGTAATTGTTCCATGTGACAAACAGGGAGAAAAAAAATTGGAAAAAAACCTACAGAGTGCAGGGACTTGGTACAAAAATATTAAATGTTCCAATATATGTGTAATTGGAGTCCTAGGAGAAGAGATTAAAAAAATAGAAAAAAGATGATTAAAAATGGCCCCCCAAATCTCCCAAATTTGATAAGACAGAAATTTACAAATAAATATGCTCAAAGGACATCAGGTAAAAGAAACATAAGCAATCCCACATCAAGGTACATCATGGTCCAACTGTTTAAAGCCAAAGATTGAGAAAAGTCTTCAGACTATCAACAGAAAACACCATATATAATAGAACGATTATTTAATTAACAGCTGAGTTTTCATCATAAACCACGGAGAACTGAGTGGTAAAATATCTTTAAGGTGCTGAAAGAAAAAAAAAAAACATCAACCCAGATTCTATATCCAGATAAAATATTCTTCAAGAACAAAGGCAAAATAAAGATATTTTCTGATGAAAGAAGCCTAGAAGTATTCATTACAAGCAGACCTGCACTAAAAGAAATGGCCAAGGAAGTTCCTCAGGCTAAAGGTAAATGATACCAGATGATATTAGTATCTCCATAAAAAGAAGAAATAACATAAAAAATTATAAATACAAAATAATTTTTGTCTTTGATTTTTCCTCTTAACTTCTTTATGTGACTCACATAACTCTTCAAAGAGAAACTATAACAGTATCTTCTATGATTTATAACAAACATAGATGTAACAGATATAATAATTATAACATGAATCATGAAGGGCTTATGGAACCAATGGCTTCCAGGTTTTTCTAATTTACTTGAGTAGTACATTATTAAATGTAAATGGTAAAGTTAAGGATTATATTGCACTCATAAATTAATTACTAAAATAATAATACAAATAAGGATAGCCAATTATTTCAAGATGGAGCAACAAGGACTGAATATATCCTCTTGCCTGAAACAACTAAAAAATAAGAAAAAAATATGAATATTAAGGCATTGGGTATCAGACAATAAAATACAGTGAGATGGTAAACAAATGAAATAGCCTATCATTGCCCCAGCTTACTGCCTTGACAAGAGTTTTCAGGCATGGTGTAGGGAGGAGAAGCCAGGCAGAACCTGGATGCCTCCCTGCGTGGAGGACTCAGAGCTGGGAGAGAGGAGAGGCCAAGGCAGCTAGGGTTTTCAGGGCAGAGCAGCAGAGAGAAGAGAACTCTGGAGATCAGCAAAGGGTCCCCTGATTCTTCAGCTGGGTACTGATCAAAGCCTGTATCTGAGCAAATTAGCCAAGGCTGGGGAAAGAACTACTCAAAGGATTAGAGAGAATAATACTCAGAGCTCACCCAGGGCCTGGAGAAGTTTCTGTTCCCAACAGCCAGAGTGGAAAAGCTCATGATTTATGGAGAATCAGGTAACATATACAGAAGATGTTTGACTCAGTAGTCAGGGAAAAGTCATTCTAGATGAAACACTTTCTAGAAGAAAGCCTAACAGCAATTCCTGAGAGGATTTAACTGTTGCCAAGTAATCTAACTGTGTTAAGGACAAAGATCAAGAGTATTTTTAGGAATACAAATTGAACAAGTTAAAATTGACAATACCTGGCATACAATCGACTGTTACCAGGTGTGTTCATTTTCTGTTGCTGCCTAACAAATTACCACTGTTAGGGACTAAAGGTGTGTTTCCCCCCCAAATTCATATGTTGAAATTCTAACCTCAATGTGATGGTATTAGAAGGTGAAAATTTGGGCAGTAATTAGGTCATGAGGGTGGAGCTCTTACAAATAGGATTAGTGCCCTTATAAAGGAACCAGAAAGCTCTCTTGCCCTCTTTCCACCATGTAAGGATACAACAAAAAGCTGACAGTCTGTAACTCGGAAGAATACCCTCACTAAAACCCAATCACGTTGGCATCCTGATCTTGGACTTGCAGCTTCCAGAACTGTGACAAATAAATTTCTGCCACCTAGTTTGAAGTACTTTGTTATAAGTGCCCAAACTGACTAAGGGAACCACAAATGAAATGGCTTAAGATAACATACGCATTTATTACCTTAGTCCAGACAAGGCTCAATTAACTTCTCTGCTCAAGGTCTCACAAGGCTGTGATCAAGATGACAGTTGGGGCTATAGTTTCATCTGAGCCACAGTGTCCTCTTCTGAGGTCATGTGATTATGGGCAGAATTCATTTCCTTACAGCTGTAGAACTCATAGAGTTGGCATCATCCTCAAGACCATGAGGGACACATTTCTCTGGCTTTCTCTGTTTCTTCTCTCTAGCTTCCTTGTTAAGAGATCATCTGATTGTGTCAGGTCTACCAAAGTCAATTTCTCTCTTGATTAATCCAGTTGATTTGGTACTTTCATCTTTGAAATGTTATCTTGTCTTTGGACATGTAATATAATTATAAAAGTCATATTACTTCATCAAGGCTAGGGGGTTACAAAAAAGCATCTGTCACTGAGGTCATGTTAGAGTTTTGCCAGCCACACTAGACAAGTAAAGAGGCAGAAAAATATGACCCACATTTTGGGGTCATGATGAGAAAAATCAATGGGTAGAAATCAGCCTAGAAATGACACAGATGACAGAATTGATAGACAGGGACATTAAACCATCATTATAGCTATGTTCTAACTTTAAGAAGCTAGAGGGAAGATTGAGGATGCTAAGCAGCAACAGGGAAGACATAAAAAGACACAAATGTAGCTTTTAGGGATGGAAATTAACAATGTTTGAGAGTAAAAGTGCACTGGTTAGACACTGCAGAAGGAAAGACTAGTAAACTTGAAGATTTTATATATATATATATATGTATTTATATGTGTATATATATGTATATATATATACATATATATATATATGATCCAAAATAAAACATACAGAGAAAAAATATTAAACAGAGAAATGGGAACCTGTAGGAGGCTTAAACTCTGGATAACTGAAGTCTCAAATTTGGAGGTGGATAGAATAGAAAAAATATTCAAGAAAATAAGGCCAAACATTTTCAAAATTTGATAAAAACTATAAACCCATGAGTCCCCAAACCACCATGACCCTCAAGCATAAGAAACATGAAGAAAATTACACCAAGTCACTTCAAAATCAAACTGTTAAACCCGGTGATAAAAAGAAAATCTTAAAAGCATCCAGAACAATGACATGTGTAGGGGAAAGAGGATAAGAAAGACATCAGGCTTCTTGTGGGAAATAATGCATGGGAGAAGACAGTGAAGCAGTATTTTTAAAGTACTGAAAGAAAAACATCTGACAAGCTAGACTTCTATATTCAGCAAAAATCTTTCACAAATGCAGGCAAAAAATAAAGAATTTATCTTTAGCACTGTTTCACAAAAGATATTTTAAAGGAAGTCCTTTAGGCAGAAAGAAAATAATACCAACTGGAAATCTGCATTTACACCAAGAAATCTTAAGCACTGGAAAACCATACCAATACTATAAGGATGGATTTTTCCCTGACTACTGAGTCAAACATTTTCTGAATATGTTACCTGATTTTCTTTTTTTTTTTCTTTTGTTTTTGTTTTTGTTTTTGAGACAGAGTCTCGCTCTGTCACCCAGGCTGGAGTGCAGTGGCGCCATCTCAGCTCACTGCAAGTTCTGCCTCCCAGGTTGATGCCATTCTCCTGCCTCAGCCTCCCGAGTAGCTGGGACTACAGGCATCCGCCACCACAACCGGCTAATTTTTTATATTTTTAGTAGAGATGGGGTTTCACCGTGTTAGCCAGGATGGTCTCGATCTCCTGACCTTGTGATGCGCCTGCCTCGGCCTCCCAAAATGCTGGGATTACAGGTGTGACCCACTGCGCCTGGCCCTGATTCTCTTAAACAACAACAAAAATTAATGCAGCAAGTAATCATAGTCACCCAAAGAAGAAAACAAATGGATTCATAAAATTCTCAGTCCAACAGAATATAGAAAAATTGGGAAAACGTAACAAATGACAGATGGTAAAAATTTCTAGTTTTGTGTGTATTTCTGTAGTATTAATTTTAGAAGTAAAATTTTTAGTTGAATTAGAAAATACCAAGATGATAGATTTAAAATCAATCATATTAACATTCAAATGAATGTAAATGGTCTAAACATTCTAATTAAAAGCCTGAGATGGTCAAATTGGATTTATTTTTAAAAAGATCTCTTTATATGTTGCCTAGAGGAAATCCACTTTAAGTATGAAACAAAAATAGGTTATAAGCATAGGACTGGATTAGAAATGCCATTAATTAATGCTAACATTAATTAAATTTGAGCTGGAATGGCTGTATTAATATCAGAAAAAGTAGATTTCTAAAGAAAAATAGTACTAGGGATAAAGAGGGTCATTTCATAATGATAAAGGTGTCAATTCATCACGAAAGCCTAACAATCGCAAATGCTTATGTATCCAAATATTAAGCTTGAAAATGCAAAATGTAAAAACTGATAGAATTGCAAGTGCAGTAGACAGACTTACAAACATGGTAAGTGATTTGAAAATCCCTGCCCGAGATATTGATAAAACACTAACAGCCAGTGACCTAGTTGACTTTACACAACAAGTCACCTAACAGCAACAACATATTACACATTAATTTATATATACGCACAAATATATATATAGCTTTTGGGGTACAGGTGGTTTTTGGTTACACAGAAGAATTGTCTAGTGATGAAGTCTGAGATTTTAGTGCAGCTGTCACCTGAGTAGTGTACACTGTACCCAATATGGACTTTTTATCCCTCATCCCTCCCAACCTCCCCACTTCTGAGTCTCCAGTATCCATTATACCACCCTATGCCTTTGTGTACCCATAGCTTAGCTTCCACTTATAAGTGAGAACATACAGTATTTGATTTTCTATCCCTGAGTTACTTTACTTAGAATAATGACCTCCAGCTCCATCCAAGTTGCTGCAAAAAAATATTATTTCATTCTTTATTTATGGCTGAGTAGTATTCTATGGTGCATATACACTACATTTTCTTTATTCACTCAGTGGTTGATGGGCACTTAGGCTGGTTCCATATCTTTGTAATTGTGAATTATGCTGAGATAAACGTATGGGTACAGGTGTCTTTTTTATATAATGACTTATTTTCCTTTGAGTGCTCAGTAGTGGGATTGCTGGATTGTATAGTAGATCTACTTTGAGTTCTTTGAGAAATCTTCATACTGTTTTCCATAGAGTTTGTACTAATTTACATTCCCACCTGCACAGATTACACATTATTTTTGAGTGCACATAGGAGACCTACCAAGACAGAACATATTCTAGACCATAAAAGGTCTTCATATATTTAAAATGATTAAAATTTTACTAAATATATATTCCTATCCTACTGGAATTAAATTAGAAATTAATAGAAATCTCTCAGGAAAATCCCAAAATATTTGAAAACAAAACAACACACTTCTAAATAACTCATGAGACAAAGGAGAAACAAAAAGGGAAATTACAAAGTATTTTGAACCGAATAAATATGAAAATGCAACATATAAAAATGTGTTGCATTTAGAGCAGGACTTAAAGTGAAAGTTATAGGCTTAAATACCTACCTTAGAAAAGAAAAAAGGGATCAAATTAATAATCTCAGTTTACCCTATAAAACAACTAGAAAAAGAGGAGCAAATTAAACCTAAAGTAAGCAGAAGAAAGGAAATAATAAAGATTAGAGTGTAAATCAGTGACTGATAAAACAGAAAACCAATAAAGATAATCAATAAAACCAAAAGTGTGTTCTTAGAGAAGATCAATAAAATTGATACATCTCTAGCTAGATCAATCAGAAAAAAAATAAAGGACACACAAATTACCAATATCAGGAGTGGAAGTGGTGATGTAACTATAGATTTTTGAATTATTAAAAAGAACGCAAGGAAATATTATCCATTATGTCAATATATTTGACAACTGAGATGAAATAAATTCTTTAATAGATGCAAATTACCAAAACTCACTTAAGAAGAAACATACTTGACTGTCCCTGTATCTATTAAATAGAATTTGTAACCAGAATATTCCAACAAAGAAAATTCCAGGGCCATATACCATCACTAGTGAATTTTACTAAACATTTAAGAAAGAAAGAAATCAATTATACAAAAACTTCCAAAAAATGAAGGGACTTATTCCCAACTCATTCTATGAGACTAGAATTACCTTATAATAAAGTCAGATAAAGACATCACAAAGGAAAAAAAAAACTATAGACCAACATCTCTAATGAGAATATGTGCAAAAAATCTAAACTAAATTTTATACATCGAATAATCTATTAAACAGGGTAATATATCATGAATGGTGGAGTTTATCCTAGGAATGCAAAGTTGGTTTAACTTTTAAAAGTCAGTGAATGTAATTCACAATAGTAACAGACTAAAAAGCAAAACTCATGATTATCAGAATAGAGAATAAGTATTTGACAAAATTAAATTAAAAATCTATTCCTCATAAACTCTCAGAAAAGCATTATAAGGGGCTTTCCAACCTGATAAAGGGCATAGGAAAAATCACAGCTAGCATGATACTTAATGGTGAAAGACTGGGTATCTTCTCCCTAAAATCAGGGACAAGTCAAGGATATCTACTGTCACCACTGCTATTCAGCATTGTACTGGAAGTTCTAGATCAGGCCACAAGGTCGCAACAGTAGCTGGAGAGAAACGAACACCATATTGTGGGCGGAGGCTACAACCACAGTGGGAGTGGAATTGAGGAACATGTGATCTCTCCTCTAAGTTTCCCAGAGAAAATTAGATTTGGGAGAGGAAATTGTTAACTACCAGGACTTCATGTGGTCAAGAGGATAGGGATTCCGGCTGTCGTTAACGGAGTGTTAAAGAAAAGTGTAAGTCGGACCTGAAGAAGAACTTGAACACATCTAGGTAACATTTGTATGTCTCAGCTTATTGCTCTTACATGGGATAAATTCTTCATGATCAGGGAGCTTGTCTTTGTCTTAATTTCTTTCACCAAAGCAAGCCTAATGCCTTGAACACAGCAAACACCCATTAAATATTTGTTGAATGAATGAATGAATGAATATATAAATATAACAACATGGACTCTCCACAGAAATATTATTAAAATTCTTTAAAAAGATCAGTGACCTTATTTTAGAACACTTTAAATTGGGATGATTTTCATGTTCCTGTATCGGGGATATTACAAAATACTTTCATTACC
The DNA here is from genome assembly GCF_000001405.40 of Homo sapiens. NCBI lineage: Eukaryota > Metazoa > Chordata > Mammalia > Primates > Hominidae > Homo > Homo sapiens. The sequence goes on from NC_000007.14 coordinate 106,355,594, forward strand.
TCTGTCATTGAAAGTTACTGACAAGATATTATGGCCAAGGGCATCTCCAATATCTGATCACCTCCAGAAGGCTGATCGAAGAAGATCAGGTTCAAAACATGCCTGGTGTACGACTTAAGAAATGCAGAACAAAAGAAATAATTTTCTTTAATTAGAGAGATTTTCACTGGAAAGAATGCTCCACTGAAGCATGGCATTGCCAGTCTTGTATATGTATTTCTGGTTCCTAGAACAGCACCTACAGTAGGGCCTCCAGAAATTGTTTTTTGAGTGAATAAATGAGGGATTGCCCTCTAAGTTGATAAGATGAAGATTTGTTGACCTTCAGCCATTCATCCAAAACTTGTCTTTTTATTGTTCCACATGAGTCTCACAGGATAAATCCTACTGCTACAAGAAGGATTTTCACAGCTCACCTCTGATCTGGAGGTAGACACGGTGGAAGTGGGGAACAGGAAATTTTGTTGAAATACAATTGGGAGGGCTGAAGATTATCTTTGAAAATTATTCCAAAAGCAATACATATTTATTCTAAGAGTTCAAACATAATAATAAAACTACACCAAGTAAAAGGTGAAAGGTTGTGATGTCTTAAGATTTTTTTGAAATTATTGCAAAAGTAATACTTGTAAGAATTCAAATGTCACAGAACTATATGAAGTAATCTGTGAAAAGCTCCCTTTTCCCTGTTTAAGTCGGCTCCCTTGAGAAATCACTGTTACTGGCTTGGAATGTATCCTAGCCTCTCCATGGCAGTTTATGTAGATCGAATGCTTTATTTTAATGGCTGGTTACTAATCCATTGTATAAATGGTCCATAATTTACTTAAACTATCCCTGTTGGTGTGCACGTGAGTAGTTTTCTTATTTTTTTTCTATTATTAACTGTGCTCCAATGAAACATTCTTACACATACATATTTTTATAGTTTTGTGGGTATTTATGTAGAATAAATTTTAGAAGTGAAATTGCTGGTTCAGTTACAGAGATCTTAAGGGTAAGATCCTTAAACACGAGGCAGAGAATCCCTGTGTTCTGACTATTTTCCAGAGAGGACCCTGTTTTTCTTAGCAGCCACAGCAAAGAAGAAACCATGATTGTTTACATGATTCACTGTGTCCTGAAGGAGAGACGATGAAAGCAAAAGCTACCTTTGAGCAGAACCAGTGGAATAAGCACCAAAGAGAAGCAGCGCTTAGTCAGTTCAGGTGAGAGTCAACCTGTGAGAAGAGACCTGACTCCTTTCCTATCTTTTGGGAATATCAGTTGCAGTTTTCTGAAAAGATCCTGAGCCAAGTGCTGAAGTACAGGAGATTTCTGTTTTGTGCCAGCCTAATAGCCTGCATTCTGTTGAAAGACTTTAGAATTACACAGACCCTTTTTAATATAGAAGGTCTGAAAGTGTAGAGGTAGGAGAACAAACATGGAAGTTAGTCCAACCACTGCGTCAAAGGTGGTCACAGGAGGCATGGAACCTGATGGACTGGTTGCAAAAATAATAATGAGGTCTGACCATGGCCACATAGTGTGATATATACTTTCTGTAATACTTAACTCTCATCATACCTCTGGCAGGAGGTATTATGCTTATTTTATAGATGAAGAACCAGCGGAACAGAAAAGTGAAGTAGCTTGCCCACAGTCACATAGATAGGAAATGGGAAAACTGGGACTTGCATTCAGACCTGGCACTTAGAAGGCAGCTAATAAGTTCATTCTGAAATGAGATGCTGAGACTTTTGGATTAGGAAAGAGCAATGACTATGATACAGTGAGGGGTTTGGATACACAACAGCAACTTGGTAGGGGCAGGAAGTCTGAGATCCTTACTCAGTATTCACAGAGCAAGAACAGGTGTCTGTGTCACACCTGTCCAGATACTTGAAGTCTGAAAAGGTACCACATAAACTGTACATCACATGTCAGCAGCCAGGAACTGAGGATCCAGTGAAGATATTGGGCTGATTCTACTATCAATGAAAAAAGAGGGTTTGGCCCTTGGTTGACTTTCCCTCTGCAGCCCTGCCCACCTAGGTCATGGAGGGCATACACTCTGAAGGGCTCATCCCTAGACCACCACTCTCTCTGGGGATTCTTGGGCAATCCCTCTGTGTGTAGCCAAAAGAAGACAGCATTGCCTCTTGAAATGTTGCAGCCCCCATTGTTCATTTCTTAAAAGCCACGGCTACGCCAAATAATTGAGATATTTTACTAAACACTTACAAGTCTCAAAGAGGAAACAATCCCCAAAGACAATTTCCAAAGAGGAAATAATTGCAGCAAAATGGAGCTGTTTTCAAGCTACGGTGAAATGCATGCTTCCTAATTTTTGTCTGTCTTGGAGATGCCTGTGATAGGATTAGAAGTGTCACTAATTTTTAATGCCACTGAAGGTAAAATCGCATAGTGTGTGATCATAACAGTCATTGCCTTATTGCTGCTTTGCTAATTTAGAAGAAAGAGCAATGTTAACATAAGTTATTTTACTTTTAATATGATGATTTATTGTTCATTTCACACAGATTTATTGAGTGAGGCCCAGGCTCTTGGCTAAGGGTTGCAAGTACAGAAATGAGACTTGGTGCCCTAAAAATTTCACCCAAAAGATATGGCAAGCCTGTGAATTCAACTGGCAGGGTGATTTGGCAATCCACAGGATTAAGCTGTGCTTTTAGTTTTCAGCTCCCTCTGTGCTGTGGTTGTAAGAGATAAGAATTTCCTTTTGGACAGTTATAGAAAGTCCCTAGTTTCAGTCCAAGTCATGAGCCCACAGTTTAGTCATTTAAGTTAATCATTCCCTTTCTTTTAGCTGTTCAGTCCTTAAAGAAAGTATTGTATTATCCTCAAATTTCTCATATCCTTCAAACCATTTTATGGTGGCAGCAATTCAGTTTCCCCGAAGCCGTATCTTCAATGGACCTTTTATGCCTTGTGTCCACAGATAATAATTCAACTAGTGGCTCCTGTCCTATATGCCATAGGCTGTCAGTTGCCCATCTCTGATTAGTGATGGAATTTGCTGTTGTCTTCAGTAACTAAGATAGATAACCAGTCTTAGATATTTGGTAGCTCCTAGAGCTCCTGAGAAGACTAGAGAACTAGGTTTAGAAAATGGATAGGAATGAAGGCTGGGCAGCTTAGAGAAGCGGAATCTGTTCACAGTGCTCACATAGGTACAACCAACAACCATCACCCCTCTTGGTTCCTGGCTACCATTGACACCACCGGTACAAATCCTAAACCTTTCTTGCTTCTTCATATCATTCATACTCAAAATCTCAGAGAAGGGCAGCTGATTGGTTAAATTCAGACCAAGTGCTCTAGCTTCCAGGGGGCCAAGAAAACAAATGAATGGACCCTCACCCGGATTTACACAATGGAAACTTCACACACTCAAAATAGAAGGGTGCTCAGATACAGCCAAAAAATGACAGATATCCTCTATATTTTAAAAATGTAATAAATTAAAATAATTTTTAGATGGAGTTTTGCTATGTTGCCCAGGCTGATCTCAAACTACCTGGCTCAAGCAGTCCTCCTGCCTCAGCCTCCTGAGAAATGTCCTTTAAAGTTAAGGCCAGAAGTAACATGATCTTAGAAAGCAGCTTGGTTGATGAATTCTAACGATGTGAGACTAGGTGGGAACTGATTGGAAGTCTCTTTTGGACCCAGAAGGGTGAAACTTGATGCTGTATTGGATGTGAGGTGTGCATATGAGAGAGATGGGGGTAGAATCTTGGACCACTCTCAGATTTCTGGCTAGAGTGACTAGGTGATTGGCTCTGCTGTTGATCCTCACAAAAATACCATTCAGTGGGTGAAGCCTGGTAACATCTCTCTTACCTTGTTCTGCAAGTCAGTGAAGGAGTAAGGCAGGAGCCTAGGTCTTCCAACTCTAGGACCAGCAGTATGGTGTAAGATACTCCAGATACAGTCTTCTTGGGTTCAGCTCCTAGCTGACTGCTTTCCAGCTGTATGACTTTGGATGTGTGATTTAACCACTCCATGTTTCAGTTTCCCCCATTTGTAAAATGGGAGTAGTAATAATATCTGTCACAAAAGGTGGTTATCATGTTGACTGAGCATATATATGTAAAGCACTTAGAAAGATGCCTGATACTATTAAGTTCTCAAAAACTGTTACAACTGTTAGCTATTACCATTCCAATTAGTACAGTGAGTTTGGCAGGCTTCTATAAAAAAGGTGGATCTGAAACACTGGAGTGGTCTTTAGCATTTAGAAATGTAAATCAGCCATGAGAATTTCATGAAGAATATACAAGTATCAATAGCTGAATCGATCAAGTGGAAGAAAGGATATCAGAGACTGAAGATCAACTTAATGAAATAAAGTCAGAAGACAAGACTAGAGAAAAAAGAATAAAAAGGAATGAACAAATCCTCCAAGAAATATGGGACTATGTGAAAAGACCAAATCTACGTTTGATTGGCATACCTGAAAGTGACAGGGAGAATGGAATCAAGTTGGAAAACATTCTTCAGGATATTATCCAGGAGAACTTCCCCAAACTAGCAAGACAGGCCAACATTCAAATTCAGGAAACACAGAGAACACCTCAAAGTTACTCCTCAAGAAGAGTAACCCCAAGACACATAATATCAGATTCATGAAGGTTGAAATGAAGGAAAAAACGTTAATGGCAGCCAGAGAGAAAGGTTGGGTTACCCACCAAGGGAAGCCCATCAGACTAACATCGGATCTCTCTGCAGAAACCCTACGAGCCAGAAGAGAGTGGAGGCCAATATTCAACTTGCTTAAAGAATTTTCAACCCAGAATTTCATATCCAGCCAAACTAAGCTTCATAAGTGAAGGAGAAATAAAATCCTTTCGAGACAAGCAAATGCTGAGAGATTTTATCACCACCAGGTCTGCCTTACAAGAGCTCCTGAAGGAAGCACTAAATAGCGAAAGGAACAACTGGTACCAGCCACTGCAAAAACATACCAGATTGTAAAGAACATCGACACTATGAAGAAACAGCATCAACTAATGGGCAAAATAACTAGCTAGCATTATAAGGACAGGAACAAATTAACAATAACAATATTAACTTTAAAGTTAAACAGGCTAAATTCCCCAATTAAAAGACACAGACTGGCAAATTGGATTAAGAGTCAAGACCCATCAGTGTGCTGCATTCAGGAGACCCATCAGTGTGCTGTATTCAGGAGACCTATCTCATGTGCAAAGACACACATAGGCTCAAAATAAAGGGATGGAGAAATATTTACCAATAAAATGGAAAGCCAAAAAAAAAAAAAAAGCAGGAGTTGGAATCCTAATCTCTGATAAAACAGACTTTAAACCAACAAGATCAGAAGAGACAAAGAAGGGCATTACATAATGGTAAAGGGATCAATGCAACAACAAGAGCTAACTATCCTAAATATATATGCACCCAATACGGGAGCACCCAGATTAATAAAGCAAGTTCTTAGGGACCTCCATAGAGACTTCGATTCCCACACAATAATAGTAGGTGACTTTAACACCCCACTGTCAATATTAGATAGGTCAATGAGACAGAAAATTAACAAGGATATTCAGGACTTGAACTCAGCTCTGGACCAAGCAGACATAATAGACATCTACAGAACTCTCTACCCCAAATCAACAGAATATACATTCTTCTCAGCACCTCATCACACTTATTCTAAAATTGACCACATAATTGGAATTAAAAAACACTCCTCAGCAAATGCAAAAGAATGGAAATCATAACAAACAGACCACAGAGAAAAAGAACTCAGGATTAAGAAAATCACTGAAAACTGCACAACTACATGGAAAGTGAACAACCTGTTCCTGAGTGACTACTGGGTAAATGACAAAATGAAGGCGGAAATAATGATGTTCTTTAAAACCAGGGAGAACAAAGACAAAATATACCAGAATCTCTGAGACACATTTAAAGCAGTGTGTAGAGGGAAATTTATAGCACTAAATGCCCACAGGAGAAGCAGGAAAGGTCTAAAATTGACACCCTAACATCACAGTTAAAAGAACTACAGAAGCAAGAGCAAACAAATTCAAAAGTTAGCAGAAGATAAGAAAAAACTAAAATCAGAGCAGAACTGAAGGAGATAGAGATGCGAAAAACCCTTCAAAAAATCAATGAATCCAGGAGCCGGTTTTTAGGAAAGATCAACAAAATAGACCACTAGCCAGACTAATAAAGAAGAAAAGAGAGAAGAATCAAATAGAGGCAATCAAAATTGTTATAGGAAATATCACTACTGATCCCACTGAAATACAAACTACCATCAGAGAATACTATAAACACCTCTACACAAATGAACTACAAAATCTAGAAGAAATGGATAAATTCCTGGACACATACACCCTCCTAATTCTAAACTAGGAAGAAGTTGAATCCCTGAATAGACCAATAACAAGTCCTGAAATTGAGGCAGTAATTAATAGCCTACCCACCAAAAAAAGCCCGGGACCAGATGGATTCACAGCCGAATTCTACCAGAGGTACAAGGAGGAGCTGGTACCATTCCTTCTGAAACTATTCCAAACAATAGAAAAAGAGGGAATCCTCCCTAACTCATTTTATGAGGCCAGCATCATCCTGACACCAAAACCTGGCAGAGACACAACAAATAAAGAAAATTTCTGGCCAATCCCTGATGAATATCAATGCAAAAATCCTCAATAAAATACTGGCAAACTGAATCCAGCAGCACATCAAAAAGCTTATCCACCATGATCAAATCAGCTTCATCTTTGGATGCAAGGCTGGTTCAACATACACAAATCAATAAATGTAATCAATCACATAAACTGAACCAATGACAAAAACCACGTGATTATCTCAATAGATGCAGAAAAGGCATTCAACAAAATTCAACAGGCTTTCATGCTAAAAACTCTCCATAAACTGGGTATCGATGGAATGTATCTCAAAATAATAAGAGCTATTTAGGACAAACCCACAGCCAATATTATACTGACTGGGCAAAAACTGGAAGCATGCCCTTTGAAAACTGGCACAAAGCAAGGATGCCCTCTCTCACCACTCCTATTCAACATAGTATTGTAAGTTCTGGCCAGTGCAGTTAGGCAAGTGAAAGAAATAAAGGTTATTCAATTTGGAAAAGAGGAAGTCAAATTGTCTCTGTTTGCAGATGACTTGATTTTATATTTAGAAAACCCCATCGTCTCAGCCCAAAATCTCCTTAAGGTGATAAGCAACTTCAGCAAAGTCTCAGGATACAAAATCAATGTGCAAAAATCACAAGCATTCCTATACACCAATAACAGACAGAGAGCCAAATCATGAGTGAATTCCCATTCACAATTGCTACTGAGAGAATAAGATACCTAGGAAAACAACTTACAAGGGATGTGAAGGACCTCTTCAAGGAGAACTACAAACCACTGCTCAACGAAATAAAAGAGGACACAAGCAAATGGAAGAACATTCCATGCTCATGGATAGGAAGAATCAATATCATGAAAAGGTAATTTATAGATTCAATGCCATCCCCATCAAGCTACCAATGACTTTCTTCACGGAACTGGAAAAAACTACTTTAAAGTTCATATGGAACCAAAAAAGAGCCCGCATTGCCAAGACAATCCTATGCCAAAAGAACAAAGCTGGAGGCATCACGCTACCTGACTTCAAACTATACTGCAAGGCTACAGTAACCAAAACAGCATGATACTGGTACCAAAACAGAGATATAGACCAATGGAACAGAACAGAGCCCTCAGAAATAATACCACCGCACATCTACAACCATCTTATCTTTGACAAAGCTGACACATACAAGCAATGGGGAAAGGATTCCCTATTCAATAAATGGTGTTGGGAAAACTGGCCAGCCATATGCAGAAAACTGAAACTGGAGCCCTTCCTTACACATTACACGAAAATTAACTCAAGATAGATTAAAGACTTAAACCTAAGACCTAAAACCATAAAAACCCTAGAACAAAACCTAGGCAATACCATTCAGGACATTGGCATGGGCAAAGACTTCATGTCTAAAACACCAATAGCAATGGCAACAAAAGCCAAAATGGGATTTAATTAAACTAAAGAGCTTCTGCACAGAAAAAGAAACTATCATCAGAGTGAACAGGCAACCTACAAAATGGGAGAAATGTTTTGCAATCTATCCATCTGACAAAGGGCTAATATCCAGAATCTATAAAGAACTTAAAGAAATTTACAAGAAAAAAAACAAACAACCCCATGAAAAAGTGAGCAAAGGATATGAACAGACACTTCTCAAAAGAAGACATTTATGCAGCCAAGAAACATATGAAAAAAAGCTCATCATCACTGGTCATTAGAGAAATGCAAATCAAAACCACAATGAGATACCATCTCACGCCACTTACAATGGCGATCATTAAAAAGTCGGGAAACAACAGATGCTGGAGAGGATGTGGAGAATTAGGAATGCTTTACTCTGTTGGTGGGAGCATAAATTAGTTCAACCATTGTGGAAGACAGTGTGGTGATTCCTCAAGGATCTAGAACTAGAAATACCATTTGACCCAGCAATCCCATTTCCCAAAGGGTTATAAATCATTCTACTATAAAAACACATGAACACGTATGTTTATTGTGGCACTATTCACAATAGCAAAGACTTGGAACCAACCCAAATGTCCATCAGTGATAGACTGGATAAAGAAAATGTGGCACATATATACCATGGAATACTATGCAGCCATAAGGGAGGATGAGTTCATGTCCTTTGCAGGGACATGGATGAAGCTGGAAACCATCGTTCTCAGCAAACTAACACACGAACAGAAAACCAAACATTGCACGTTCTCACTCATAAGTGGGAGTTGAATAATGAGAACACGTGGACACAGGGAGGGGACCATCACACACCGGGGGCCTGTCAGGGGGTGAGGGGCTAGAGGAAGGATAGCATTAGGAGAAATACCTAATGTAGGTGACGGGTTGTTGAGTGCAGCAAACCACCATGGCACATGTATACCTATGTAACAAAACTGTATGTTCTGCACATGTACCCCAGAACTTAAAGTATAATAAAAAATTAATAAAGAAGGTCAGTTATATCATGTTTAACAGGATCAGCAGCAGCTTTGTAAGTGACTTTACAGAGACTAATAAGGGATTTGATCTTTCTTTTTTGTTATCGAGGCTTTTGAAATGTGGAACTTGTGTATTCTGCTTTGTTTATTTATTATCTTTTCAGACTCAGTCTATATTTTATGCTGAGTTTTGAAAATGAAATACTTTATGTGAACCGGCAAAACTGGTACCAAAGGGAAACATTAACCATTTGGAAGAACATTTCTGTAAGGGGAACAGGTGACAATATACACGTGTGCTAACTGTAAAATGAGCATCTTAATCCTTAAAGCAAATCAGAATTGAATACGAATAATCTTTTCGTCAATGAAATAAACACAGCTCTTTGAGGATTTGAGACTACATTTACCCTTTATTCATAGTCGCTTACAGTTTTGCTTTTCTCTGCATTTCTCTGCTGTAAGATGACTGTTGCATTGTTGAATTGTATTTTGAGTGGATATTTTTGTTTGGTAATAATTAAAATTTTAAATTGTAAAAAAAAAAGAAATGTAAACCAGCCTGAGTTCAATTATTTACAGCCTCTCACATCAGGTGAGATGGCGCACTCCTAAGTTGAAGACAGTGTTCCAGGGCAAGTCAATCAGATATCAAAAGCATGATTTCTGCAGACCTGAGACCATGTCTTCTGCATATTCCAATTTCACTTTCAGAAACTGCCAAGTCACAAGCCACGTCTACTAAGGGAATGACACAACATTATGAAACCTCCACCATAGCATGAGCAAGTCAAACAGGTTTCTTACATAATAAAAGCTTTGCCATCTCACCCAGGGCTTGACTCCTTGTCAGCCCCTCCACCCCCAGAAAAAAACACTGAGATATTTGGACAGCTGGGTGTGACCCAAGCTTGGGGCATGGGGCAATGTTCAGGTCAAGGAAGTGGGAGGCCAACTTTACCATGGCTTAGAGGCCCTGGAATATGTCGGATACAAAGGAGAGGAAATGCTTAGAGACCCCTGGTTCCAACTCCATCAGAGTGTACTTGGGGAAGTTCTGGGTCTAGACCTATCTCGATCCTGTGGAACTGCAGAACTCACTAATCTCCTGGAATTTTCTGAACTGTCTTCAGCTCTCTATCAGGTCATAAGGGTTGGAGCTTCTCCCTAAGGACTTTCCCAATGCCCAGAACTAAGAGAAGCTGCATGTAGAGCTTTCACCCACAATAAACAACTTGCATAACAGGGCAGGTCTAAATTTCCTGAAGGAAGGAAGAACCAAGGGCCAAGAAAGATACAGATAAGTTTTCCAGCTGGAAAAGAAATATCCTTCTATGCCAGACTAAGGCAAAAACAAACTAAAAATTTACCCAAACCTTTCCACACAAACATTTCACTCATTTTTCATTCTGAACTGCTAGGATAATCATAGGGCACTCATATTACATGTGAGGTCTGGGTGAAAAGAGCTAATCAGTTCTATAAAATATATGATCTCTCTCCAGGTACAGTGGCTCATGCCTGTAATCCCAACAATTTGGGAGGCCAAGGCAGGTGGATCACTTGAGCCCAGGAGTTCAAAACCAGCCTGGGCAACATAGTGAAACCCTACCTCTGAAAAAAAAAAAAAAATTAGCTGTGGTGGCATGCACCTGTAGTTCTAGCTACTTGGGAGAAGTGGGAAGATCACCTGAGCCTTGGGAGGTTGAGGCTGCAATAAGCCATGATTGCACCAGCCTGGGTGAAATATATACATGATCTCTCTACTTTCCTGAGTCTTCTTATTCAAATGAAACTGGCTCTTAGTCCGGACGGATCACTTCTGATATATGATCTAAAATGATGAGTGTTTTTATGTTGGGAAAATTAATCAGGATGTTATTTTTGACATCGCATTGAAAGAGACAGAATTTAAGACATATCAAGAAGGCAAATAACTCCATTTTACAAGAGTTTGCTTTTGCAGTTTTAGTGGAAGGAGCGTTACTGAACAGGTGGATTTCTATCTCAATAATGAGAACTCATATCCAATATTATCCTTGGCATTTTGAACACATTATCTCTAACTTTCACAACAAATCTGCAAGTTAGTCATTATTGTCCATTGCAGGGATGAAGAAACCTGGGTTCAGAAAGGTAACTTTGGCTAGGAAGGGAGAGGTGGACTGGGGACAGGCCTGCTACCTCAAAGCACCAACTCTTTAACTCTTTTCATTACACCATGATGTTTTTCCCTAAAGGAAAGAAATAAGTCTAGACTGAAAGCATCTTCTGGTTTAGGTAATTCAGATTAGACCCAATCCTTCCTTAGAAACTTAACCCAACCCCTTGCCAAATGGTAGGTAGTTTGGAGATGAAATCACACTACCTTTAAGGGTCAAAGTGTCATGTTTTATACATTTTTGGTTTTTTTTTCCCCTCTTGCTTCAGTGCAATAAATCACAGCAGTTCAGGCGTAAAATTACCTGCAATTTGTGAGCAGGTCTTAGACGCATGCTGTTGAGAGCAGTGCCCAGCCCACCCAGGCTTTGCACTGAAGGATCTAGTCCAGAGAAGCTCCACAGAGAGTCTACTGCCCTCTTCAGGGATAGTTCCTGTATTTACACAGTCTTTCCTTTTGTGCAAAAAGAGCCAACTCATGGGCTAACCAGCAGCCATTCTCTTCCTGCTCAGTCTATCAACGGGTAAACTCCTGGAGGGCAGGATCTAGATTTGATTTATCTTTGCTTCTCCCATGCAACACTTGCCTGAGCTCTGCTGGCTTCTGGGGCTCTTTTGCTCCAACAAGTGATGCTACACACCAGGAGGTGAAGTTCACCAAGTAATTCATACATCCCTGTTCTCAAGAAACTGATACTCTAAAGAGGTAATATAAAACCATCAGGAAAAAAAAACAGCTAATGTTTGAATCTGGGGATATAAGTGTTAACTTGTATGTGTGCCAGAGTCCTCAGGACGCCTCATGCAAGAGGAGAAACTTGGAGAATGGATAGGATTGGGGTAGGTGGGAGGCATGGTGGATGAGGGGAGCAAACACAGGAAGTAGAGGGCAGAGGAAATTATGGTAGGTGGAGGAAATAGCATCTCTCTCAGCATTACTGGTGCTTTCTTTCTACTAGCCCTCTTTAGTCATAACCATTCATGTTGGGCCTCTCCACAAGTTTCCATTGTATTTCCCTGTCTTTGTACAGGAGCCCTGATGATGTGGAGGGGAAGCAGTCTGTAGTCCCGTGACTAGGTCTCAGTCTGCTAGTGACACTGTGAGTCAGGGCTGTGGCCTTCCCAGGTGCTTCTGTTTTTCCCCGTTAGGTTAGACAGGATAGCTACAGGGTGCTGGAGTTGCGTATTTCCATTCCCCTAGGTCAGTTAGGCTCTACCAGAACCCCAGCTGGTTAGGTTCTGGAAAGTAGCTTCCCTTGAGGGAGACCCCATTAGAAGAACAGAATGCTCTGGCATATTTCAAAATGGTGACTTTCTCCTGATGTACAGGGAGTTTTGCTCAGATCTTCACTGATAATCTGGTGGCATTCCTGGAGGTAGCACTCGCAGAGTTGTGGGGCACCCCCTTAAGATTGGCTCCTACTGGAGTTTTCACCTCCCAAACTTGTCCACACTGAGCCTTCAGCAATACATCAATATGGTTTAGTATTGGTACCTGGCTCCCACAGAGGTTTCTTCTCTGGTAAACTGTGACTTTCTGTATTCACCTGTCTGCCTCTCCCTAATTTTGGGAGCATTGGTTTGCCCTGTGACCTCAGTTCTCTGTTGGATCTAAGAAAACTTGTTGAGTTTCAGTCTGTTCAGCCTTTTTGTTGTTCTGAGTACCAGAGTGATGACTCCCAGACTCCTTTTATGCTGCACTTGAAAGCAGCACTTTCCTGCAGTGTGTTCTGCAAAACATGAGTTTATCTATAGAGTTCTACACAAGGTTAGAGTTCAACAGCAGCAGGGGCCCATGTTCAAGGAGCTTTGAGAAATAGAGGTGTCTTTACAGCAGCTCTTTTCAGTGCCTTTATTATATCAATATGTATTTAATTACACTTTATGGGACAATCGATTGCATTGTTTCCTAAATGGATTTGACCATGAAGTTCTTTTGGGGAAGAGTGTTTCAGAAAACCATCTTCCTCAGAATTGGGGAAATGCTGCCTTACAGTTTTTCTAAATACCTTCTCCTTGCCTGAGGTTGCTGCTTCTTTGTGGGCCAGTTGACATAATCAGTCCTATCTATGTTCATTCATCCACAGATACTTACTAACTCTCCATTACGTGCCTGGCAGTGTGATAGGTCTGATGGGGGATACTAAGTGTTTAAGACATGGTAGCTTTTAGATTTACAGTCTGGTATGGAAAGTAAGACAGACATGCACAGAAATAACTAGTTCTGGAGACTTCAAAGAAAGAAAGGCTCCCTTAATATTTCTACTATTTACAAAAGGTGAATCAAATTAGAGAACCAAAACAGAAAATAATTTTTTTAAATGAAAGCTGTTTACTTTCCACATTTCACTGAGGTGCCAAGTTGGCTTCAAGAGTGAAAAAGTCTTGTAGATCAGGTTTCTTGGCAGAACATCAGTCTGTACAACACTGCCCACGACCTGCCATCTTGTTCACCGACCCGTGCTCATCGCAACATCTCCTCACGGAGTTTCCAGGGGTCTCGGTGGACAGCATCAGCAGGCAGGAAATAAAGGGCTGGGTGGACTCACCCAACCAAAATCTTGTTTTCGGCAAGTGTTAGGGCTTTGTGGAGAAGTGATGCGGGATCTGTGGCACCATCCACCTGTCAGCCTCTTGTCTGCCTTTTGGACAGAGCCTTTCCTTTCCTGGCTAAAGGACTCATCCTTTCAGAACATGCCTCCAGCTTCTAATGATGAACAATACAAGAAAACAAAAGACAGCTGCCTTGGCTCCAGGCACAAGCATCCAGAAGGAACCAAAAACTGGCAATGAGTCACCAGCTCGTGAATTACCAAGAAAAGTGGTTTTTGTATGCAGGCAGGCAGTTTAGTGCAACCTGAGAGAGCTCAGAAGATGCTGCCCCAGCTCTTCCCCTGCTTGGCCCTCACTCAGTTGCAACTGGGCCTGAAATCCACCCTCAGGCAGGCATTTTTTATTTTCTCAAGCAGTTTTTCTCTGAAAGTCATCTTTTTTAAAAGCAAATACTTAAGGGGGGGAGGATGTAATTTTAATGCTATAGTCTTCTCATGGCTGTTATCAAGTGGCAACATTTTGGGATAAAAGGAACAAAAGACAAATCATTTTATCTTATTCCTCAGTTTCTTTGTTTGTAAAATAAGGGATGAAATAAGAAAGTTCTAAGTTATGTTCCCACTTTATGACTCATTATCACTCCCAGAATTGAAACAGCATGAAGGCACTGGAAACTCAGGGGAAAGGGAGGAGAAGGCCTCACGGCCTGAAATAAGTTATTAGTATTTATTTTCTGTAATAGAAGAGAATAGGGAATGCCCGATTATGTTATATGCCATAAGAGTAAGTATTGTGTTTTGTGAAGCTTTTGTTGTACATATAGATTTAGGTATAGATACAGATAAATATGTAGATATATGATATATGCATATTGTATTTGTTGGAGTTCTCCATGGAAATAGAACCTATGTGTATATTTAGGTTGGCAGACTGAAGACTCAGGGAAGACTTGGTGTTGCAGCTTCTGTTTGATGACAGTCTGGAGGCAGAATTCTCTCTTACTTGGGGGATCTCAGTCTGTTTTTTCTTAAAGCCTTCAACTAATTGGATAAGGCCCACTCACATTATGGAGGGTAATCTGCTTTACTCAAAGTCCACTGATTTAAGTGCTAATCTCATCTAAAAAATGCCTTTACAGCAACATCCAGACTGATGTTTGACCAAATATCGGTACTGTAGCCTAGCCAAGTTGACACATGAAATAAACCATCTTACATATAAGAGTACCCAGCACACACACACGCACATGTGAGAGTACCCAGCATACACACGCACATATGTTCAAAGGGAGTGATAAGATAGAAGATGACTGACGCTCAGCCAGTCAGATGCACCTTTCTGGGAACAGCACTAGGGAGCAGGCACGGCAGATGATCACTGTCACGGGTGGAGGCGGCTGCAGAAGCACTCCTGGTTTCCAGGGTAGCAATAGCAGTGATCCGGGCAGCAGCCACGCATATGTGCGTGTGTGTGTGCTGGGTAGTGGAATAAAATATATTCTTATAGCATATCGTGGCCAAGAAGATTGAAAACTTCTGAAAATCCACAAAACCATTCTGAATTCTACTTCTAAGCCAGCACTGCCACCATCATAAAAAAGGGGACCATGCCTCCAGGTGTAAAGTGTCCTTTGTTACACCTGCTCTCACACCAACTAGGGAGACCTTGATACTGCTAGGCTGCCATTCCAACACTGTCTCAGAACTCCCTGCTGCTCCTTTTGCTCTAGGCACAGCGGCTCCTGTTTCTTCCTTCAGAGGTGCTCATGTATGCCCACCTCAAGACATTTGCTTCTGTTCTCCCTCTTCCTGGAAGGTTCTTCCCCAGGCCTTTTCGTTGTCTGACTCCATCCCATCTTTCAGATCTCTGACCAATTCCCCCTACCTCCTCAGAGAGGCCTTCCTTGACCATCCCATTAAAGTAATCCCTGCCCACTTCCCCATGCTCCACACATATCCATACATTCCCCAGTGACCCTGTATCCTAGTACACAACTTTATTTTCTTCATTGCATTTATCACTATCTGAAATACCTTATTTATTGTCTTCCCTCCCCCACCCCACAAAAAGATAAGCCCCATGTCTTTCCTATTTATTTTTGTATTCTTAGTGCCTAGAATAGTGCCTGGCATATGGCAGGGTCTCCACAAATGGTTAGGGAATAAACTATCCATAATGGTTATAAAGTGGACATTTGTCCATGATTTGGCTGTCCATCATCTGAACTTCCTGTCTATTTTAGGGAACACCATTTTATGAGCCTTGGTGGGGGAAAGAAGCTGACAATGGTACTCACTCTCTTAGCTTCCCTTTGCGGTATGTGTGGACATGTGACCCACTCAGCCAGTCAGATGCACCTTTCTGGGAACAGCACTAGGGAGCAGGCACAGCACATGATCACTGTCATGGGTGGAGGCAGCTGCAATAGCACTTCCGGTTTCCAGGGTAGCAATAGCAGTGATCCAGGCAGCAACCATGCAAGCCATGGCATCCGGTGAACAGAGGCAGTGGCACAGTGTCCTCCCTGGACTGATTCTGTGGTATGGCTTTGGCTTTGTTCTGGTTGTACCAGATTTCCCACACTCCTGCCCTCTTCTGAGTCCAGTCCCCAGCCTCTCAGTGACTCTGCGAGCTTTCAGATAGCCTTTTTATAAAGTCCTGTTGCTTAACTCATAGCAGTTTCTGGTGCTGGAAATTCTCTTGTCTTTTCCCTTCTCTTGCCTTTCTCATCTTTTATCTTATCACTCCCTTTGAACTTTCCAAGTCCTTGAAGTCATCTTTATGTCCTTCTCCCTAGATGTGATACTCATCAGTGGCTCCCATGAGTCTTGGCAGTCAGGCTTGGTTTAAAAGGAACGAGGGTCTCTCTGGTATAGTTTTGCTCTACCAGTAAGGGTAAGACGGACTGAAGAACAGTGGGTGGATCTGAGTCAGTCATTGGATCTTCTGTGATTCATCAATGAGTTGAATTTTAAGCCTTTGAGTTGGTCAGCACTTACTGATGAATATTTGTGACATCCCATACAGGGTATTTGTGGCTTCTTATAAGAGCATCACACATGGTTTATCCTCAAGAAGCCTGTCTAATAGAAAGGAAGAGAGAATTGTTACACAATTAAAATAAGTAAAAGGATATGGTAGATTGTGCTTCCCAAAGATGGCCACAATAATACCTTCTATATGCCTTTCTGAAATGTCACTAATAGAGTTTGGATGTTTGTCTTCTACAAATCTCATGTTAAATTTGACCCTCAGTGTTGGATGGGGGGCCTGATGGGAGATGTTTGGGTCATGGGTTGGGGGTGGATCTTTCATGAATAGCTTGGTGCCCTCCCAAAAGTAATGAGTGAGTTCTTGCCCTATTAGTTCACATGAGAGCTGGTTGTAGAAAAGTATGGCACTTCACACCTCTCTCCTGCTCCCTCTCTTGCCACGTGACATGCCTGCTTCCCCTTCACATTCCACCATGAGAAATAACATCCTAAAGTCCTAGCCAGAAGCAGGTGCTGGAGTCATGCTTGTACAGCCTGCAGAACTGTGAGCCAAATAAGCCTCTTTTCTTTATACATTACCCAGCCTCAAGTATGCCTTTATAGCAAGATAGAGTAATATAGTTACCTTGCCAAATCCCATCAAGGCTGAGACTCTTTCTCTGCACTTTCTTGAACCTGGGAAAGCCCTGTGACTACTTAGACCAATAGAATGTAAATAATGCTGCAGCAGCTCCAGGCACAGCCCTTAATTGGTTTGATAACGTCTGCTTCCTGCATCTTGGAAGCCAGTCACCGTGTAAGAAATAGGGCACATTGAGAACAATGTGCTGTGAGAAGCCCAATCCCCATGTGGAGAGGCCCTGGAGGAGGAGGTACTGTGTAGAGAGAGAGGTCAAGGTGCCAGACTCATGAGTAAGGAAGCCATATATAAGGTGGTCTCCCAGCCCTGCCTTCCCTAGCTGATGCCATGTGGACCACAGACCAAGCACCTAGCTGAACCCTTCCTAAATTCCTGACCCACACAATTGTGAGCAAAATAAAATGGTTGTTTTAAGCCACTGCATTGTGGGATGGTTATTGTTATGAGGCATTGGATTAACTGGATCAAAGGACAAGGACTCATCTATACAGAATGCTTCTAGGCACCTGGCTGAGATCATGTAGCGTGCTTTATGTAAGTGTGGAAACAGTTTTGGGTGATAAGAACATCAGAGTAGATACTCCAGTCACCTGAGTGTACTCAGTACCCTTTGGAGAAGCAGCTGTCAAATAAAAGGAAACTTGTAGTTATTCAAAATTGAAAATAATCTCACAGTCAGATGTTAGTGATTTCTAGCATCAGTAGGGGAGGTCTGGCATGGAGAAACAAGATCCAGGATCATTAACAAAACAAAAGCCCTTCCTCATCTTGACAGGCACAGCTATACCTAATGGAATCAATTCTCAGAATCCTTCTACTTCTTGGCTCTGTGGTAACCAAGGAGATTTTGCCCTAAATTTTTATTCCAATCCAAAATTGCATTTATTGCAAACTTGGGAAAGTCAGACTACAATCAAACATCGCTTATAATAAGCCCATGCATTATGATGCATGTGATACAAGAAGGTTAAAATACTACAGCATTATATGTTAGATCCTTAGGAAAGCACAATTCACAATTCAAATAATCTTACGTCCTTTATGTCCTACTTCCATTTCTCTCAGAGACACATTCTGTAGCCTGTACTTAAAACAAAAGATTATTTTATTTTGTCTCATCTCTGGCCTCCTTTGTGTTGGCTTTGGTAGCAGCTTCCAGGTGAAATATGACTGCCTCTGAGTTAACCTGGAAGTGGATGATCTGCAAAGGGGTCTGTGTTGCACTGCTCTGTGGCATGTACAGGCACTATTGGACCTGAGTTTTCTTTTGGAGATAGCGAATGGTAGGTTCTGTCTGTTTTCTACTCAGGAGTCATTCTCCAATTTACTTCTCTGTTAACAGACGCTGATTTTTAAAATACATCTGGTAGTTATCTCCTTTATGGGGAGGCCAGGTCATTCCTTAGCCCAAGGAAGTGAATTGATTAAGTCAGTGATCTAAGTTCCATCCCTTTTGTCAGTGTTTGGTTGAGGAATGGACATGGGACACAATTCCAGCCCATGAAACATGATGCACAGTCAGCTGTGGGACTTTAGGTAAAGTTCTCCTATCTTTTAAGTAGGTGCCTAAGTAAAGGATAGTGTTGGCTCCCATCTTCTGTCATGTGGTTACTATGTGAGAGTATGAGGTCTGGAGCCACTATCTTGGTCACCATGAGGGAAGCCAGCCCAAGAGGATAGGTCAGTGTGCTGACTAGAGTGGAGAGACAGAAAGAGGGGAAAAAAAAACCTGTGTTCTTAATTGTGTTATAGAGCTGCTGAATTGACCTATTTGAAACTGTCCTAACTTAGGACTTCTTGTTACGTGAAGGAATACATTTTTCTCCTTGTTTAAGCCACACTTGGTTGGGTTTTCAATTTTTTAGCTGATAGCATCCTGAGTCAGTAATTATAAATAAGAAATCAATGATAATGTGTATAGTAGAAGGAAAAACTACCTTCAGCATTGGGGAGACAAGGTATCTCATGTTTTTGGATAGGTGAGGCTACAGGAACACATATCGGGTTATGAATTACCTTTGGGGAGGTCCACATTGATTGGAAAGCAAACGAAGACCCCTGGGAACACCTGAACTGATCTCAGTTTTGAAAAGCTTGGTCGGGCGCTGTGGCTCACGCCTGTAATCCCAGCACTTTGGGAGACTGAGGCTGGCGGATCACAAGGTCAGGAGATCGAGGCCATCCTGGCTAATATGATGAATCCCCATCTCTACTAAAAATACAAAAAATTAGCCGGGTGTGGTGGCAGGCGCCTGTAGTCCCAGCTGCTCAGGAGGCTGAGGCAGGAGGATGGCATGAACCTGGGAGGGAGGTGGAGCTGGTGGTGAGCAGAGATCGTGCCACTGCACTCCAGCCTGGGTGACAGAGCAAGACTCCATCTCAAAAAAAAAAAAAAAAAAAAAAAAACAAAACTCAAAATAAGGGGGTCAAGAGCAAAAAGACACTGTTATACAGCATTTCTCCAAGGCTTCATTAGTCCTCCACAAGGAAAATGCAGAGAGTCTGAAAGATCTGAAACCCTACGTGAGGTTGTCATAGCACCTATGAAGAAGACACATGTGTGAGCCTAGACAAGGGTGCAATAAATGAGGAAAGTAGGGTTGTAATTTCTGTAGTGCATAGTCATGACACAAAGTGAATGTACCTTTACGGCAGTTCACCTATGAGACAGTAAAGGAAACTCTTTGCAAAACAGCTCTGGATGGCAGAGAGAGCTGTGTGTCCAACTGGCTGCCCCAGAGACTTGTCACATGCCACAGGCCTCCTGGGCACACACCAAAAGTCTGGCTTGTGACTGAAACATGCACTGCCATCAGCTCCTTTGACAATTCCCAGAGTGATGAAAATCCTCTTGACACTTGGAACTGCACACATTCTAATTCATTTGTTACAGGCTATATGTGTTGCTTGTGTGCTCTGAACCAAATCCTGATGTATTTCTTGGAATGAAGGAAACAAATTTTCTAATCTGATAAATAATAGCAACTTCTCAATAAGCAGCAAAAAAAAAAAAAAAAAAAAAAAGACTGAAATGGAAAGTTTTCCACTTCTAGCCCCTCAGAAGGCAATTTGGGTCTGTTAGTGGCCTTCAGTTGATTTCTCTTAGAAGCTCCTGAAAAAGAACAAGGTAACCCTTGACATCCAGGAGCTGGCCTGACCCTCCCCGCTGGGCCTGGTGTTCTTTCATGGAATGTAAACAATCTTATATAACATAACATCAACATCAGACAAGGACACTCTGTGACTGCAAAATGGATCAAGAGAGAAACAACCACATCATAATCACATCTGAACACAGATAAAATGTAGTTAATGTGATTATGGAATCTGGCAAGTCCCAAGATCTGCAGGGTGAGTTGGCCAGCTGGAGACCCAGGAAAGCCAATGGGTTTAGTTCTCGTCTGAATCTGAAGGCCTGAGAACCACGAGAGCTGATGGTGCAGTTCTTGTCTCTGAAGTCTGACAGGCTTGGGACTCAGGGAATTCTGATATTTCAGTTTGAGTCTGAAGGCAGGAAGAAAGCCAACATCCCAGCTAGAAGACAATCAGGCAGATAGCAAATTCTCCCTTAATTAGCTCTTTTATTCTACTCAGGCCTTTGACTGATTAGATGAGGCCCACCTTCACCAGGGAGGGCAATGTGCTTTACTCAGTTCACCAATTTAAATGCTAATCTTTTTTCTTTTTGAGACAGAGTCTTGCTTTGTCACCCACACTGGATGAAGTGAGATTCCACTTTGCAGTGGCAAGATCTTGGCTCACTGCAACCTCTGCATCCCAGGTTCAAGTGATTCTCCTGCCTCAGCCTCCTGAGTAGCTGGGATTACAGGCATGTGCTACCATGCCTGGCTAATTTTTGTATTTTTAGTAGAGACAGGGTTTCACCATGTTGCCCAGGCTAGTCTGGAACTCCTGGCCTCAAGTGATCTGTGTGCCTCGGCCTCCCAAAGTGTTGGGATTACAGGCATGAATCACCGTGCCTGGCCTTAAATGTCAATCTTATCCAAAAATGCCCTCATAGACACATCTAGAATGATGATAAACCAGATATCTGCGCAGCCCGGGCCCCAGTCAAGGTGACACATGAAATTAACCATTACAGCATTTTTCCCAAGATTCCATAGCTAGTAATTGGTGGAGCCAGAATTCAAACACTGTGCTGTCTAACTCTGAAGCCCAAGCTCTTGACCACTCTGCCACAGTGCTCCCCACTTAACCCCCCTATATCTCCCTCATTTGGGCATTATCCAGAGACAATCTAAGAAGAATTCTATGCTAATTTTCACAGATCTTAGAGTTTGAACTATACAGTTTGAAACTGAGTTACATATTATTTTATGTTTCTGCTATTGTTTCCTATATGATTTTTCTCATCCCTCTCATTAGATTGTAAGAAATTTAGAAACAAGGACTATGTCTTATGCTTTAATAATAGCTAGTATTATTAAATACTTATAATGGACCACGCATTTTACATACCTTTATCCATGGAAGCCTTACAATAATACTATAAGGTAGGTACTTTGTTATCCCTGTTTTACTACAGCCCAGATACTGATCAACTTGCACAAAGTTACAGGGGCAGTAAGTGGAGCCATGGTTTGAACCAAGATGATTTGGCCCCAGAACTTGTGCTCTATTTTTTTAAAAATACCATATGAGTGTATGCTCTGTTTTTTTCCAGTAGTTTAAAACTAGTTCTTTAGTTTCTTTTAAGTACAAATCCACAGTTTCATTTCCATCCTATTGCAGATGTGCTTAGGGCAATCACAGAACTCCGTCTAATTTTTGGTTCTTATGAAGGTGATTTTTTTGGTGTAGTTGTTAAATGGGTGTCCTTGCAGGCAGCATGATTGGTGGAGCCTTCTATCCCGCTATCTTGCTCTGCTCCCCCTCTCCCCAGAACCTGTCTTAACCATCATGTTTTTTACTTTCACTTTGACACACTTCTTGTATCCTTTCCTCCCATTCTCAGTACCCATCTAAGTTGGTGGTTTCAGAGATCAAGAGCTCCTTGGGAGGTGGAATGGCTTGGAGGTTGGCTGACTGTGTGGGATGTAGTCCCTTCCTCAGGGTGCTCCTGGCTTGTGGTTTGGCCTACACTGCTCTCTGGAACTCCTCTGCTCAGACTCCCGCACCTCCTGGGAAGCCAGGATTAACAGTTCCCAGAGACCCTCCCTCGGGAGGCACTCAGACTGTCCTCACTTGCCCAATTCCTGGTGCCAAGGTTGGGCATCAAAAATGCAATGTCACCTTACTAAGCACTGACTGGCTTCTGCTAGCATGAGACACTGCCCCACCAGAGCTGTACAAACATTCTTTGCATAAGGGGAAATCTGCAGCCTCATCCAGAGGCTGGGTATGGTGCCTGGGGGTGGGTTGCCAGGCTTGGTCATACCTAGTCCTCTTTGGAGCTGCTGGGACATAACTTGCTAACTTAGCACCGCAGGGAGTCGGAGCAGAGGGACCCATTGCCCTCCTGCAGCACCGAGGTCTTACCTGCACAAGTAGGCAACGTTTTCTTTTCTACATTTTTATTTTTTGAGATGGAGTCTCCCTCTGTTGCCCAGGCTGGAGTGCAGTGGTGTGATCTCGGCTCACTGCAACCTCCGCCTCCCAGGTTCAAGTGATTCTCCTGTCTCAGTCTTCAGAGTGGCTGGGATTACAGATACATGCCACCATGCCTGGCTAATTTTTTTGTATTTTAGTAGAGATGGGGTTTCACTGTGTTGCCTAGGCTGGTCTCGAACTCCTGAGCTCAGGCAATCCACCCGCCTCGGCCTCCCAGAGTGCTAGGATTACAGGCATGAGCCACCATGCCCGGCCTATTTTTAAATTTTTTTCACTGCAACCATGAGAGATCTAGCAAGCCATGTTTAAATGCCCCTAAAGCAAAACTACTACCTTCAGAAAGTCCTCAGCTATCTAGATGTAGTCAAATTCAGAATGAGAGTATAGTTTTCAGCTTGGGAAGGTGCCTCTACTTGGTGCCCCTAAACTACTAGATGTCCCGTCATAGAACCTTTCTTAGGGAGTCATTAACTTTCTCGAAGGCTAGACTGTGAGCTCTTTAACGGCAGAACCAGCTCCTACTACAGGGCCTGGAACGTAGAAGTCTCTTAGGAACTGTTTGTGAATGATAAAACCTGTAGGGCTTTCGCTCGGTATTTCATCATATTGCCATCGTCAAAAAAGCCTTGCTATAAGGGAAGAATACCTGGAAGAACACAGGAGGCTTGTGGGTATGTCTCCGCTCTGGGGTGAACCAACTCTGCAACTTTGCCAATACAAGTTTACTTCTGGACCTCAATTAATTTATCTGAATGAATGATGAGGTTGGATTAGAGAAACTCTAAGGTTCCATCTAAGTTTAGCATTCTAGGACTGTGCATGTGAGATGCTCTGTGTAGAGAGGGGGTTATAGGAATTTGATTCCTGCCATATCTGAATTTACAAACCTAAAAGTGAATACACGGATATGGACACACTGCCATGGGTTCCACCAGCTCTGGAGCTAGCCTCTACAAGGGATGACCGAAAAGGGGCTGGGGATTAGGAGTTAATAGCTTTCCAAGCCCTGGTGGATGTGAAACTATAATCAGGGCACCTGGCTTATGGTCATTAGCATCTGCCTTTACACCAAGGCCCTGCTGCCCGGGCGCAGATGTTAAAGACCTTTCCGGGAGCTCCCCATGCCTCCCCCATCACGGATCTGTGTAACCCTGCTGACAAAACATGATGCAGGCTCCCCACTTTAGGCCATATGCTTGGGAAAAACATCCTTCTGGCAGAGACTCCTGGGGGAAAGGAAAGGCATAACTCTTTGATCTTGATCCCTAACAAAGAATTTATCTTGGGATCTTTGAAATCTTGGAAAAAAAACAAAAACAAAAACCCTGTACTTTCAAAGCTTTTCTTGTGTGATGTATTATAAAACAGGGGGACAAATATTGTCCTCTGGGGTAAATATTCCTTTGTTCTGGAAAGACACTACAATGGATATTTAGTTATTAAAAGGAAAAGTAAATATTCTCAAATACAGAAATTTAGACCCTGCCTTTCCGAGGGGTTCCGGTGTCATGCACAAAAACATAAAAGGCTGTTTTCATCGTGGATGGTGTTGCAGTTCTGCAAATTGTTTTCTACAGGAAAATGTTTAAAGATTTATTCTGCAGAGCCTATGAAAATTGTTTTGCTTTCTTGAAAAATATGTGGATGTCCTTTTTGGAGTGGAGGCTGGAAGCTCTCGGGGGTGAGTGTGGGGCACTGGAGTCCTATCCTTACTCAGGCTGGTGAAGAGATCACCAGGGGGCCCAGATTTAAAGTGGGGCTTGTTTGAAGCAGCACTATTTGCGACATTCTATACTAACTCAGACTTTGGAAAAGGACTGATGTGTAATTTACTGCCTCCTAGTTCATTGTCCAAGGTAAGACCAACTCTCCCTGAATGGGAAGGACATTTCAGCTGTTAATCATGCACAAAGGGGAGAAAACAGAGAGAACCTGGGGAATATTGAGACCAGGATTGCAGACAAGAACCCTATGGGCAAGAGAAAAACTGGAGGCCTCTTCCCCTCTCTCTGGTGGGAGGAAATGCAGAGTCTAGGACTAGTGAAGCTTGCTGGGAGCTGGGCTGAGAGGTGCCCAATAAAGGTTGTACGTGGAGAGGCTCGGCCTGTAAACTTTATGATTCCACATTTCTAGTATCAGTTTTGACTTTCTCAAAGTGATCATTCCTGTGTGCCATTTCCAAATCTTTACTAAAGTCCTGTTACTCATTCAAGCTTAGGTTTAGCCATGCTATTGAGGGAATTAGAGGCCTCAGTGATCACAAGAACAGCTCACAGGACAACTCTGGGAGGGACTGGCAGCAAAATAAATGAGATCTGAGGAGGAGCAGAAGCTAAAGATATGGATGGAAGGAATGTTGCAGGCACAACTGTGGCTGCAGATTAATGGCGTAGCTTCGTGAGATAACCCTTGTCCCCAGATATACTAGAGCGGATAGGGTCTTCAAAGAGGGAAGCCAGGACCTACTATATATAAGTTAGTGGGGGACACCAAGTTTGCAAACATAGGTTACATTTAGTAAGGTTTATCCTTTGCATAGAACGAGAAAGGGCAAAGGCTTGCGGGGCCCTGTTCTTTGAAGGAAGAAAGGGACTCAGAGGGCTAAGTACACTGTGGGAAAGAAAGAATGAGTGTATGGAGAGGGGTAATAAAAATGCTTTTTTTGGGGGGTGGGGTAGCAAACAGCAATATGTAGGAGACAGAGCATCAGAGACAAGCAACTTGTCCTAACTTACCACACATGGGGTGCAGTCACTTAGCTTTCCATAGACTTTAAGTTCCCACAGTGAGCAGTTTGTTTTTTGAGGATGTTTCTGGTGTGCCCCTCTGTGTTCCCTCCATGTGCACATCTGCCACCACGATGCAGCAGTTTGACATCCCTTCTCTCCAGTCTTTGCTTTCTTATCAGATCTCTCCAGGGACTCTACTTTCAGCAACTGTGATCACAGCATCTGATGGTCAAAATAGGCAAGTGCTTCTGTGGAGCTGTGTTCTTTGGTCTAATGACTCAAATCTAGATTTGATGGCGTGGGGAAAATGTGCTCAGGGAACTTCACTACAATGATGTATCTCAACAGGTACAGCAGTGGGAATGGTGGGCTCCTCCGCTGCATATATCTTTTCCAATTTTGTGTATTAGGAACTCAGATCCTACAGACATATCTGTAACTACTCGTCTATAACTCCTGGGCCGTTTTCCTTGTGTTTTCAGTGACAGTATTAGACTGGCACACATAGGTGCTTATACACATGTTGGACAAATGAGTTCATGACATCTATGAATAGCTACAGGAATCATTTTCAAAGACAATCAGCCAGTCATATTGTCCACAAAGGGTTTTGTGCTTTTTCCAGATGTGAGAGGCAGTGTGGGAGATATCATTTAGATGCTGAAAAATTGGAATTTGGAGACATTTGGAGATTTCTGAAGTTCTGCAGAATTTTACAAATCAAGAGCATCGTTTAAAAGAGATGTGTAATCATCACATAGTACTTTAATGTTCTTCCTGCCCATAGCATCTTAACTGCCATCTTCAAAGCCAGACTGCAAGCCTGAAAAAGCCTTAACAAGTAAAAATTATCCTTTACATTCTCTGTTGTCCTCTTGAATCCTGTCCCTAGATATTGGTGACTGTTCTCCCTTGGGCCATGCAGGACCTGTCTGCTGGTCACTCTACTTTCCTGGCACTGGCCCAGGCCTGGGAGGAGGAGGAGGAAGAGGAGGAGGAGGAGGAAGAAGAGAAGGAAGAGAGGGAGGAGGAAGAGGAGGAAGAGGAGGAGAAGGAGGAAGAGGAGGAGAAGGAGGAAGAAGAAGAGGAGGAGGAGGAAGAGGAGGAGGAGGAGAAAGAGGAGGCGGAGGGAGAGGTTTCCTATGTCCCATCACTCCAATCTGGAGTCCTACAAATGTTCTTTGGGGACCTTCAACAGTGAAATATTCTATTGCAGCCAGAAACCTAACCATGTGCTCTGACCTAGCATTGAGTCCAAGCTTATTTTGTCTCTGTCTTCAGTATTTTATGGGATGTATGCATCTTTCTAGGGAAGCCCAGAGAATCTGCTGAAGACAAATGTTTGTTTACAGTATCTAGTACCATGTATCTAGTAACCAGTATCTAGTAACATGGGCTTTAAAACATGTATCTTGTTACCAGTATCTAGTAACATGGGCTTTAAAAGAGTATTCATGGGTTTGGGGGCTGGAGCACTGCTGTGGCAAATGTTTGGGCCCTGGTAAACAGGGCCTAAATTTTTTTTTCACTCTGATAAAAATTATGCATCTCACCTTCCATTACAACCTTACATAGATTAGTTGACATTCTGCAGCAGGATTTTCGGGTAAATGTAAGCAGGCCTGGTGGGATGAGAGTTAGGGAGGCAGATCAGGGGTCCTAGTAAAGACAGGGGACTTGAAATTGACAGCCTGGTTGTGAATTCTGGCAAAGGCACACAAAAGTGGGGTGCTCTTCAGGATACTCACCCTTCCTAACCCTTGGTTTCCTCAGCTGTAAAATAACTACCTCATAGAGCTATTTTGAGGAGTTACTATAGCAGAAAAGACTTAAAATAGTTCTTGAGTGTGATATATAAGTGACTGTTATTATTGTCCTAGGCAACCCTTGGGTCTATGCTTTTCTAGGATATTCACATGGTCCTGCGACACAAAATCTCCCAGTGGTTCCCAGTCAATGCCTTAAGGCTTATGGGGAGCCAAGGAAATTGATTGCTATTTTCTGGACACCTAAGTTCTAGTTCTTAAAACCATTTGTGCTTCATCAAGGAGTTCAGCCAGAGAAGTGTCATCCAAGGTGATACAGGGTAGGACCAAGGAGACTGGTACCTGATGGGCTCTATTGTCACCCCTTAATCCAACATTCTCCATTCCCATGAGGGTCCCATATTTGAGTGGCTACCATTATTATTGGAGACAGAAATTACTCCAGGCCCAGGGGTTCTTGCTGTAGTAAAAAGCCTACAAGCCTTTGCAGTGCTCTGATCTTAAACAGGTGAGCCGGTGTGTGCAGCTTGATGGATGCTTCTCCTAACTTAGGGAGGTGGTAATGAACAAAGTTACTAAAGACACCCAATTGTTTTAATGTCATATGCCCTCCAAAGCCCCTGAAGTTCACAGAAAATAACTCCGTTCTTAGAAGCTGGACATCAGATGGAACTGAGCTATCAAGAACTTGAGCTGAAATTCTTTCTAGTCTCACATATGTAGAGATTAAAAAGCAATTTCCTTCAAATAATGATTAGATCATTCACTTAGCAGTTCTACGTCAGTATCTTGTTTTAGGCTTATTCCATTATCTTGGCAAGGGAAAGAGCAGCAATAGGAATTGCCAAAAGTAAAAGGCAAAATTTCGTATTAGGTTCATTTTTAATGTGAAAGAGCATTATTAAATCAGTTGTCTAATAATAGTTATCAAGAATGCTGGCCAGGTGCGGTGGCTCACGCCTATAATCCCAGCACTTTGGGATGCCGAGGCAGGCAGATCACGATGTCAGGAGGTCGAGACCATCCTAGCTAACACGGTGAAACCCCATCTCTACTAAAAATACAAAAAATTAGTCAGGTGTGGTGGCAGGTGCCTATAGTCCTGCCAGGACTCCTGAGTATAGCTACTCAGGAGGCTGAGGCAGGAGAATGGCATGAACCTGGGAGGCAGAGCTTGCAGTGAGCCAAGATTGTGCCACTGCGCTCCAGCCTGGGTGACAGAGAGAGACTCTGTCTCAAAAAAAAAAAAAAAAAAAAAAAAAAAAAAAAAAAAAAAAGTATGCCTTTGGTTAAACAAAGCTGGATATATCAAAATGCTTGAGATCAAGTTAAAAGGAAAAAGCATACTAGAAAAATCAGGCAGCATAGTACAGGCATATGAGCCTTCAAAGGAGCAGCATGGGGGCACCTGTGACCACATGATCATGGCTACCATATGCAGAGCCAGTCCAACCACCAGTAGTGGCAGAGGGTTATTAGAGAGGATGAATGTCCAGGCCTGCAAGAACTGGAGCCAGAGAGAAGTAAAAGAGCTTACTGCAATGAAGAAGTTCCTGTTTTTCCAAAAGACACTCAGAGCAAACAAAAGGCAAAACATCATGCCTCTAACCTGTTCATTCCACAACCTGCCACCTCCCACACCTCAGATTAAACACACAATAAATGAATCAGATGACTTTAAAAATAGGCAGATGTCCTCAAATGAACAGGCTACATCTGGTGGCCCTCAACAGATCCACACGTTGTTTTCAGCTATGAAATCCTCATCCCAACCCTATGGAGTGATACAGTAAATGAAATCATATCATTTAAAAGTGGATTGATTTAGACATGATTTAGTCCAACTCTGTCTTCACTGATGAGAAAAATCACTTATTCATTTTTCTCATTTAACAAATTTTTGTTGTTCACCTACTATCTGCTCTCAACTGTGAATAGTCATAATCTGATTTCTGCCCTCACAGTACAGTCTCATAGTGGAGGAGGAGAAGCAGTAACAATACAATGTGAAGAATCCTGTGATGGGAGGAGTATACGATTCTTGGAGCTGCAGAAAGGGAAGCGTAACTCAGGTGTGGGGTGTCAGGGCTGCCTTAAGGAGAAGCTGAAGGGTGAGGAGGAGAAGCCAGGCTAGCAGTAAGGGGAGTGAGAAGAGGAAGTAGCACAGGTGAAAGAGCTGGAAATTAGAGAGGATAGCCCTTTAGGGGAGACGAGTGACTGATTGAGTGTCATAGTTGTTGGATAAATTAGAGAGCTGAGTCTTGCCAAGGAACAAGACCCTGATTGTATTTAGACTTGAGACTTGTGAAAAGCAATTTTATTGGGCTCAAGCTTATTGTGAGTAACTGTTGCAGGGAGCAAGCAGTTAGAAAGAGCTATATATATACTAGAAGTACTTGCCATATGGTTTTTATACTGTATACAGCAAAGGAATGAGCTATGATCACCACCACTGCACTCCAGCCTGGGTGACAGAGCAAGACTCTATCTCTAAAAACAAACAAACAAAAAAATAAATTAAAAAACACCAAAGGAATGAGCTCTGAGCAGGAAAGAGTTGCCCAGCTTTTTAATATAATAATACATGGATATAGTTAATAATATAATAAAAATAAAAAATCAATGATAAACCACAGTGATTCACTGAAAATTGTTTTATTTCTGAAGTGATTAATCCCAAAACACCAGAAGGCTCTCCCTGACTATCCTCTATACTGGTGTATTAATCCATTTTGGGTTGTTATAAAGGAACACCTGAGGTAGGGTAATTTATAAGGTTTATTTGGCTCATGGTTCTGCAGGCTGTGCAAGCCTGGCTCCAGCATCTGCTTGGCTTCCAGTGAGGCCTCAGGAAGCTTTTACTCATGGTGGAAAGCAAAGAAGGAGCAGGCATGGCACGTGGCAAGAGATGGAGCAAGAGAGATGCCAAATGGGCTTTAACAACCAGCTCTCATGTGAGCTAACAGAGTGAGAACTCACTCATTACTGCAGAGAGTACCAAGCCCTTCATGAAGGATCCACACCCACGATCCAAACACCTCTCATTAGGCCCCACCTCCACAGTGGGAATCCATTTCCACAAGAAATTAAGAGGGGACAAAAATCCAAATTATACCAACTGGTGAGCGACTCCCCTGCTTTGGAAAATATGGGGCAACTTCATGGCCTGTTTGCTTGAACAGATGCTCTTTGACTTACCATGGGGCTCCAACCCAATAAACCCATCATAAGTTTGAAAATATCCTAAGTCAAAAATGCATTTAACACCCCTAACCTACAAAAAAATCATAGCTTACCCTACCTTACCTTAAATATGCTCAGAACATTTACATTAGCCTGCTGTTAGGCACAATCACCTAACACAATGCCTATTTTACAATGAAGTATTGAATATCTCATGTATTTTATTAAATACTGTACTGAAAGTGAAAAACAGAATGGTTGCCTGTGTGCTTAAAGTTCATACTGAACGTGTATATCACTTCTGCACCATTGTAAAGTAGAAAAATTAAGTTGAGCCATAGTAAGTCAGGACCACCTGTATTTTGCTCCTCTCCCACTTTTACTCCACTCCAGTTGTTCTTGCTGCCTGAGCAGAGTCAAAGTGTATACTTTCAGGGGAAGAAAGTGTACCTGGAAAGTTTTGTGAAAAATTAATTTTTTAAATATAAATATTTCTGCATGAACTAATGCTACAACAAAGCTCCTCTTCTTGCTCTGTGCTTCATTTGTCTGTGTACCTCATTCTTCCTGGTCACAGGACAAGAACTCAGGACCCGCCGAATGGTGAAGCTAAAAGAGTTGTAACACAAACAGGGCTGAGACATGGCCCTTTTTCTCCACATTGTGGGTGAAGAGTAGGAAAGAAGAGCTGCAGCCCTTCAGGGAGCCCAGACCTGGGAGCTCCCTGAGCCAGGGCTGTGACCCCCTCTTTGGGCCCCTGTAGTTCCTGGCATCTCCAAGCTTCTGGGAGCCACCGCATTCCCCAGTGCCAGCCAGGGACTTGCAGTGCACCTGGTCCAGCTGTAGCCTCACAGAGAGCTGGTGCCCATGCTGGCACCTGGAGCTGCCTGCCCCACAGCAGCAGCTGGTGTGTCTGACTATGCAGTGGCTGGACCCCGCGCTCACTCACACACCACTTGCAGCTCCATGCCTGACTCACAGTCTCCCGTGGAGGCGTGGAATCCAGGCTACAGTTTGAGCTGAGTGCAGCCTACCAGGCCAAGTGGGCAGAATGAGGCCAGAGGGCCTGGGCAAAACTTAGGCAAAGGCACCACTGGCCACAGGTTTCAGGCCAGAAAAGCAACACCCCAAAGATCCCATAACATAATATTTTATTTTTCAGTTAATGTTGCTATCAGCAGTGGCTATTCCTCAAAGAGACTTCAGCAGACCTTGACTTCCACACAACCTTTACACAGTCTCCCTACTCCCAGACTGTGTCCCCCTGAAGTCTCCCGATCAGGACATTTGCACTCCCACTGACAA
Organism: Homo sapiens; assembly: GCF_000001405.40. NCBI lineage: Eukaryota > Metazoa > Chordata > Mammalia > Primates > Hominidae > Homo > Homo sapiens. The sequence continues at coordinate 106,387,547 of NC_000007.14, forward strand.
ACAAGTGTTAAGCTATTTTGTGGTGGTCTTTCTGTCTGCCTCACAACATTGTATTTTTGGCAATCATCATTTGTGATTTATTATCCAATTATTGGAATAACTACAGCATTTTGCTTTTATCATCTTGTAAAAACTGAGTAGAATATAGATAGAATAAATAAGATCTAGTATTTGATAGCACAGCAGGGTGATTACAGTCAACAATAACTTATCATACATTGTAAAATAATAAAAAGAGTTATTGGAGTGTTTGTAACAAAGAAATGATAAATGCCTGAGGTGATGGATACCCCATTTACCCTGATGTGAGTATCACACATTGTAGGCTTGTATCAAAATATCTCATGTACCCCATAAACACACCTACTATTTAAAAAAAATTAAACTAAATAAATATGGATAAATAATAGATTTTAGTTTGTTAAAAAAATGAATGGAAGGTAGCAAAATGAAAGTGCCAATACCAGTGATAATGCAGTTAGGTCTGCTGAAGGCAGGTCATGTTTACCTTTAGTGAGATGTTCAGTGGATATCAAATGCTTGACTATGAGTTTGGTTTCAGAGGAAAGGAACCACAAGAGACTATAGAGGACATTAGGAAATATCATCAAAGACAAGGAGTGCTGATGGAGGAATTAAGGAGCCTGCATAAGTATAAATTGAGAATTAGCAGTCTAATGCACAGAGGCGTGCACAAGGCTTTGGAAACAACTTCTCACAGACCCCTTCTCTTAGAGGAAGGTGGCTGGTGTTCAACTTTCTCTTGACAACAAATTTAGGAAAGCTGATCTGACACCACTAAATAGAATCTCTATCAGCTCATCCTCCCCCTAACTTTAGATAAGTTCCTGAGACAACCGGCAGTTGAGGTAAGAAATTATTTCAAAACATGCATCTGTATTTTCTATGCTTAATGCTTATTATTTTTAACATATTCATTTACCATGTACACATTGTATACCCAAGCAAAACATTATGTGTTTAATCACAATTATGGATTTCATAACATTCTGAGCCCTCTGGAAGCAGAACCCTCTATACGCCAACTGACTTTCAGACTTTCAAATATGTTTTCAGGAATTCATTATATACAAATGTAAGGGACTTTATATACGAATTATTGGGGGACAATCTATCTCTCTCATTAAGAATGCTGTGGTGTTCTTTTGAAAAAGGATGTTCTTTTTTACAATGCAAATGTTGAGTCTTTTTTGTACATTTCTAAACATACATGAAGCAGAAGTGTGCCCTTCAGCATCAAGGTCAGTGACTTGATTCCTGGCTTTCAGGCTGGGGACTGCTACCTGGAGACATTTAACAGGTGACAAGCAAATAACACTCCCAAGCCACTGATAGTTATGGATCTGACTATGTGCTTGGTATGTTGTTATTATGATTCAAGTAAGCTGACCACTTTATTTTGAAGAAACTAAAGATCTAGGGTATGTTGTTTAATCTTTACAGGAACAATAGAGAGAGGTCCTACCCCCATCGTGATGGCTTGTCCTTCCCTGGAGTCTCAGGTTCAAACAACATCAAAACTTAAAAAAAAAAAATGCTCAGTTTATCTTCTAAGTGGATCAAACATAGATTTCTTTGCCAATAGAGCTGTTTTTACTTTTCTCAAATATTTCACAGTGGAGTCTTTGAAAGCGTTGTGCTCAGTAGCTTGTAGTGACCTATTTTTTTAAACGGTTCTAGAAATAAAGATTTCTAAATATATTTTCTTTTCTTTTTTTTTTTTTAATAGAGATGGGGACTCACTATGTTGACCAGGCTGGTCTCGAACTCCTAGTCTCAAGAGATCCTCCCTTCTCTGACTCCCAAAGTGCTGAGATTACAGGCATGAGCCACCTTACCTGGCCTAAATATATTTTCTTAAATAGCTTTTATTTTGAGGTTATAATCTCTAGTTTGTGACTAAATGTTTAGAGATATCAAAGTAAAGCTCTTTCGTATAGAGATACATCTTATTTGAATTTTGAAGACACAAAAGCAAAAATTTAAAAATCTAAATATTTAATAATTGCCTCCACTTGATTTTTGGGTTAGATTGTATTTGGAAGGATTTGGTGCCTATTGGATCTGATTTCCCCTCAAAGCTTAAGGTATTCTCATAGTATACGGCGCATTTGAAACATTACCAATGATGATGATAGAGTCTGAATTTATGTAAAAGATCAGAAATTTGAGAAGGTACAATACAGTATGTAATATATGAAGCCAATTTAAAAAATACGCTTATCTAAATGCATGAGAAAGAAAGGTCTGGAAGGAGATACACTAAGTTATCAAATGGTTATACCTTGGTGATGAGATTATGGATTTTATTTTTTGTTCTTTTCAAAATTTTGATAATACAGTCGTGTTTATAAGTAAAAACAATACTTTTGAAACAGAGAAAGGAAAAAATTTGAAGTGGGGAAGGGAGTACTTTTGAGGCCTTGCAACTTCTCTGGCTTTTAGGAGTTATTGAATTTAAATAGGCCTAGTAGAGGCTTAAAAAACAAAGAATTTTAAATCAACAATGTAATAATCCCACTTTGCATTTCATTCATGGAGCTTTAATACTTTTCAAAAATAACAGATATACCTATAATCCCAGCACTTTGGGAGGCTGACCTGGGCAGATCACGAGGTCAGGAGATCGAGACCACAGTGAAACCCGGTGGCCCCCTGTGGCAGGCACCTGTAGTCCCAGCTACTCGGGAGGCTGAGGCAGGAGAATGGCGTGAACCCGAGAGGCGGAGCTTGCAGTGAGCCCAGATTGCACCACTGTACTCCAGCCTGGGTGACACAGCAAGACTCCGTCTCAAAAAAAAACAAAAAACAAAAAACAAAAAACAAACAAAAAAAAAAACAGATATAGAGCTTAAAGTCACTAAATAGCTCAAGTCCCAAACTTTGCATGAGACCTTTCCAAACTTAAAAGTTTGAAAATTTACCAAAAACTCAGAGCCAACACCTAGGTGGAGGTACTTATGTTCAGGCATAATTAGATATTTGTAGATATTCACTGTAGATAAAATAAACACTGAAGCCAAAGATGCAATCTTAAAAGATGAATGATTTGATCAGTGTGTCCAAGGGATACCTGCACTGCCATGTTTATTGCAGCATAATTCACAACAGCAAAGTCATGAACTCAACCTAAGTGTCCATCAATGGACAAATGGATAAAGAAATCACAGCATATGTACACAATAGAATATTATTCAACTGTAAAAATGAATGAAATTATGTCATTTCCAGCAACATGGAACTGGAGGCCATTATCTTAAGTGAAACAACTCAGAAAGAGAAAATCAAACAGTGCATGTTCTTTCTCATATGTGGGAGCTAAAGAAGTTGATCTCATGGAAGTAGTGATTAGAGTAATAGGTACCAGAGGCTGGGAACAGTGTGTATTGGGGGGATAAAGGGAGATTGGTTAATGGGTACAAACATACAGTTAGATAGAAAAAATAAGTTCTAATGTTCAGTAGCGGAGTGGTACAGTTAACAACATGCATGTTTCAAAATAGCTAGAAAAGAGGACTTGAAATGTTCCCAACAGATAGAAACGATAAATACTTGAGGTGATGGGTACCCCACCCTGACTTGATCATTACACAGTCTATGCATGATTACCACATATGTACCCCATAAATATATACAAATGTTTGTAGCAACAGATTAATGATTTGTTTTATTAATTAACTGAGAAAATGGTTGTGACCTGACAGAATTTTTTTATAGCACTCGTCTTACGAGTTAGAAGATATGATTTGCTGTTCTTAACATGGTTTTTCATCCCTGTGAACACAAGCGAGTCATGTTTCATCCCAGCTTCTTTTAAGTCTGCTTTTCTGTAAAGCAAGGTAGATTTTCTGGTGGAGGCCCCTGGAAAAGAGCTTGCCAGTGAGTGCCAACTCCACTGGTGTCTGGGGCTCCCGGGGCTATTTTAAACTGTTGCACTAGCTGACACCAGGGCTCTGAGCACTTATTACATTTTTAGTTGATTTCTTCTTGCTTGTTTCTATGCTGGCCACCTCCTCCTATCTTGCTCTGCCAAAGGGGAAACAGTTCATTTGCCCCATCCCTCTTAGGAAAGATTGTTACTCTGGCATTTGATTTTCTTGGTTGTCTTGTGATCTCATGATGAATTCAAGAAAATTTATGATTTTGTAAATTGCCTGACCTTTTCTCATTAGCGTGAGAGCAATTCTCTTGTAGCTTTCTACATCCTATGAGCAAGCAGAACCAAAATCCTTTTAATTCTGTCTCTTACAGTTGGGATCTAGAAGAAACTGGCTTTTCCAAGTTTATAAGACTCTGGATTTCTAAATAGAGTCTACTTCTTTTTTACTTTTGCCTGCCATTTCTTTCCTGAGCTCATCTTTTTTTCTGTAATATCTACTAAAAGGTAGATAACGCACACCATTTCCATTTTGTTTCTAACATCTTCCTCCAGAACTGCTGGGATAGTATCCTTATACTCTACCTTCTTGAGCTCCCACAGGTGGAAACTTTAGAAAATGTTTTGCTACTGCATAGCATGAATCCATAGCATTTCAGTCTCCAATATCTGTGTCTTCACTGCCTTCCAATGAAGAAAATGCCATGAAAATGCCTCAGATGTTTGTCATGCAGTATCCAAAAGGGACCATCTTGAGGTCAGGATAAATTTTGCTATGCTACGGAAATCTTAATGGATTGACCAAGAAAGTTTATGTCGTACATAAAGTTTGGTGCAGTTTGAGTACCTCTTCTCCATAGCTGCACCATTTGGGACACATGGCCTCAAAAGTTGCTGTGTCAGGTAAAATGACAAGAGAAGGATGGAAGAAGTACATTGACTTTTAATCACCTTAGTTTAGAAGTGGCCACGTTACTTCTGCTCACAGCCCATTGGCCAGAACTACTCACATGGCCCCAACCTAAATGCAAGGATGCTAGGAATGCAGGGGAAAAAATGGACATTTGAACAGTCTCACCGTTACCCTGTGTCTGTCATTCCAATATATGGCCAAAAAGGAACAAGATTGCATTTTCTCTTGTTGGTATTTTTGAAATAGAGGTAGCAAATACATTTCAGATGGCAGCATTGTCTAGTAATGCACAGGTGGGAGTCAGGCTACCAGAGACTCCTCACTGGCTCTTGCCCTTCCCTTCCCCCACAGGTGCCCGGGAGGCTCTGACAGAACCAACACAGGAGGATATTCGAGCTCAGACAGCACCTCCATGTTTATGAATCACTATTAATCACTTTCAGACCTGGAAAGCACCACAACCAAAGGTGACATTAGGCTGGCACACTCCATTGTGGTGCACTGTTGTTTATAGCCATATATCCATTCTAATGAATCAGTGCCCAGGCCTAATGATGATCAATTGTGTTGACTATCACCTCTGCTTATAATTTAAATATAGTCATGTGCCACATAGTGATGTTTTGGTCAACAACAGACCACATATACAACGGTGGTCCCATAAGATTATAATGAAGCTAAAGAATCTCTGTCACCTAATGACGCTGTAGTCCTTGTAACGTTGCAGTGCAGCGTGTTACTCACGTGTCTGTGGAGATGCTGGGGGAAACAAACCTACTGTGCTTTCAGTCATATAAAAGTCTAGCACATGCAATTATGTACAGTACATACTTGATAAGAAATGACTGTTACTGGTTTGTGTATTTACTGTATTATGTTTTTTATTATTTTAGAGTATACTTCTTCTACTTATTAAAAAGAAAGTTAACTGTAAAACAGCTTCAGGTAGGTCCTTCAGGAAGTATCCCAGAGAAAGGCATTGTTATCATAGGAGATGAGAGCTCCATGCCTGTTATTGCCCCGAAGACCTTCCAGTGAGAAGAGATGTGGAGGTGGAATACAGTGACATTGACGATCCTGACCCTGAGCAGGTCTAGGCTGGTGTGTTTGTGTCTTAGTTTTTAACAAAAAAATTTTTAAATAAAAAACAATTTTTAAAATAAAAGCTTATAGAATAAAGATAGAAATAATACTTTTGTACGGCTGTACAATGTGTGTTTTAACCTAAGTGTTATTACAAATAGCCAAAATTTTAAAAATTATAAAGTAAAAATTTATAGTAAACTAAGGTTAATTTATTGAAGAAAGAAAAATATTTTAAAATAAATGTCATGTAGCCTAAGTGTGCAGTGTTTATAAAGTCAACAGCAGTGGACAGCAATGTCTTAAGCATTCACATTCACTCACTGCTCACTCACTGACCCCACCCAGAGTGACTTCCAGTCCTGCAAGCTCCATTCATGGTAAGTGCCCTATACAAATGTACCATTTTTTATCTTGTATATTATATTTTTAGTGTACCTTTTCTGTGTTTAGACATGTTTAGATACACAAATACTTACGGTTCTCTTACAATTGCCTACAGTATTCAGTACGGTGGTGAGCTATACACGTTTGTAGCCTGGGAGCCATAGGCTATTCCATGGAGCCCAGGTGTGTAGTGGGCTCTATCGTCTAGGTTTGTGCAACCACAATACACTCTAGGATTTTTACACAACAATGAAATTGCTAATGATGCATTTCTCAGAATGTATCCCCATTGTTAAGCAACGTGTGACTGTCCAACAAATTACTGCTAGATCGTGCTGCTGCTTAGTGTTTTGTTTTTAAAGCAACTCCAGTCTAAACCAAACATCCTGAAAAATAATGGCAGTATTTATGCTAGGTTTCCTGGAAAACACAGCTCAGAAGTCTCGCCTAGTGTATTACCCAAACCTTTCTATACGTCCTCTGGCAGCATCTTTTCCCCATGTAAGCTTCATCGCTCATGGCAATGGCCAATATTTCTTCTTTCTCTCTTTCTGTGCCCACACAGTCTACTTTCTATGAGGTGGCCTTTTAATTCCATATTCTTTCTCTGCCTTGCCCCTCCTCCCTCTACAACTGTCCCTCCCTGCTGTACAAGGCACCTTGGAAAATAGATCCTGATCCCACTTGCCCTGCTTTAACCATACCTGGAAATCAGGTGAATATGTTCATTACTCTCTATTTTACCTAAGACCATACCACCTCCTCCATCAATACTACTCAAATTTTTGCCACAAGAAAAAAAAAAAAGAAAAGATGCCACTCCCAAAATACTGTGATTGTTACCAGCAGAAGCAGAGTAGCTGGCTCACCAGATCACAACAAGCAGATTTCTGGCTCACCAGATCACATCAACCAGGGTGTTTCCATCCTAGTCATTGCTGATGAAACCCTTCAGAAGAGGATAATCTGCCAACTTCATCACAAATGTGTGTAAATGATAGATTTTCCCTGCCTCAAACACTCATGAACTGCAGATGGTAAATACTCTCCCTTTAAAAAGCAGATTTATTTCTTAGGCTGTTAAAATGCAAAAGCCCCCCAAAAGAACACAGCTTTCTGACACTGCAGGTTTTCCCAAAGTCTTTGTTCTCAAGCGATCTTAAATATAATTGCCCTTTGGAAGTTATAGATACTCTTGCGATAAAAACATTTAATGCTTATGTAATCAAACTGATTTTGTCTATGATGCTGTCATTATAGTTTCCAAGAGAAAAATAGTGCCGATCCTGGTGGAAAGTGCCCCTTTCAAATAGGTGGTTTGGAGTTGCAATCCTTTTGTCCTCTTAAAAATAGATACATAGATATAGATAGAATTACATCATGAATATTATCAGGGATAAATAAAAATGGAGCAGAGAGCCAAGCGCGGTGGCTCATGCCTATAGTCCCAGCACTTTGGAAGGCTGAGGCAAGAGGATTGCTTGAGGCCAGGGGTTTGAGACCAGCCTGGGCAACAAAGTGAGACTTCCATCTCTACTTAAAAAAAATGGAGCAGAAATTGATATCACTCATTACCATAGCGAGTAGTTAACTGAAGGTTATACACTTCTGTGATGGGGAAGAATTAAAGAGAGAAACAATAGTTAAATTGCTCAATTAGAAATGCTGGGAAGAACATCTGAGGGAAAATAATTGCCTGGATGTCTTGATAAAGACCTGAAGTCATTGAGAGAGATAAACCAGCCTATAGGTCCGAGAATATCAAAGGAAATCAGGTCAGCCTGATTCCAAGGATTGAGTCTGGTAAGAATTTGGTTGTCTTGAGAGTCTGTTATTGTGAGAGGCTGCTTGCCCACAGTCACACAGCTGGAAAGTGGTAGAGCCAGGAATTGAACTGAGGTCCTTTAGCCACCAGAGCTAAATTATACCAGAAGGCTACATAGTGAACCATGACCTCTGAAGAGGCAAGGACTTCTGGAATGAGGTGGAAAGGAGGCCGAGGAGGAGGATAGAAAGAAGGAAGGAGAGAGAAGAAGGGGAAGGCAGGCAGGCAAGCAGGTGAGAGAGAGAGAACATTATAATCAAAAAGGAAGGGAAATTCCAAGATGCAATACAAACAGAAACAAATTACCAAAATGAACTCATGACTTTTAATATAGATTTAAGATATAGAAGTAGATACAGATATGTGTTTATAAATTCATATGTTTAGAATCAATGATGCCCCAATACTGATGAGCACACCTCATGCCAAATCTTGATATCTAAATACCACTTTCCAATAAAAGGAACCAGCACTTTTTTGAAAGATGGTTGATTCTGAGCTAGGTCAGGGAAACTGCAAGATGAGTCTAGGACATCTTGTGGTTCTAAATAGTAAGAAAGTGCTAAAAAAAGAAAAATAAGGGAATATGTCAGATGATGTAGAAGCCAGTTCAAATGGGCTTCCATTGGCTAAAGTGAGGGTAAATTGGGCAAAAAAGCAAAACAAAAAGGGAGTAATTGATTATAACCCATAGCATAAAATAAAAGTAAGAATCCACGAATCCATACCTACATAATAAAATTTAAAAAATAAGAGGCAGAGATGGGAAAGCTCTCCCTTGTAGGAGAATTCCAACAAACAAATGTAGAAGAAATGATGGAGATTGAAAATCACCATTGACTAAGCACCACAATAGTAATTGTTTCAGGTAAGAACCATCAATGGATGCTAGACTTAGTGGGTGAAAATGTAACGAGAAGCAGGATATCTATAGTCTCAAAACATCTTGCCACAACGTATTTAATCACAAAGGGAAGAATCGTGCTAGAAGACACCACCTTAACCAACAGACCACAGTTAACACTGTTAGTAAGGAGATAAATTCAAATTTTGCATGCCTGGGGTAGAGTGAGAAGGAAGCAGAGAGTGGCAGAAACTTTCTCAGAGATGTCATTGTAGGGCCCTGTGAGCTGATATAAGGAATTTGATTTTTATTACATGTATGATGGAAAACTATTAGAAGGTTTTGAATGGGGAACAAAGTTATCCAATACACATTTTAAAGACTGCTCTGGAACCTGGGTGAAAATTTGATCATTAGAGATATGACAGCAGGGATGGGGAAGCCAAGTAGAGGCTGTGGTGAGAGATGACAGTGGAGTTGGGAGAAGTAGATAGGTTTGGGAGATATCTTCAAGGTCGAGGTGACAGAAATTGCTTATATATTGGATTTGGGATATGATGAAAAGATGAACATCACATACGGCTTCTAGATTTTGACCTCAGCTACAGGTTAAAGGATGGCATTGAAAATTAAGATAGGACTCCCTAACATTACTGCAACTGGAAGCCCTCACTTTATCTGTGATGAGAAAAAATAAAACAAGACAAAAACAAAGTGCTGCTCCCTAGCCACTACTAGTGAATCTTTACTATTTCCTTCTAATGCAGTTTCCCACATCTTCCAGCCCAGATGAGATGCTAGCGCCTTACCTTCTTCTGCAGTGAGAGTTAAGTGACTGAGCTGGCCAGAACTGGGCAAAGAGAAGACATCTCTCTGAGTAGGAGGACTGAGGGACTGTGGGCCTGTTCCGCTTCCTCTTCCTAGATAACCCAATGCAGTGACTGACTAGGATTTCGTTTTTACCAAAACATTGCAAGCAACAAATGGTGAAGAATGACCATAATGTGAGCTGAGATTAATCCAATGATCCAATGACACTTCTCCCAAAATTCAGACATATTTTGTGCTATGCATAATTCTTATGCAAAACACTAGATTGGCATACCCACAATAAATTTTTGTAATTAGGATTGCCAACAGTCAGGCTGAGCAACTATCCAGTCAGTTCTGGCCTGAGGTCTGAGATATGTCCAATGGAATCTTAGGAAAAGAGGAGCTCTAGAGAACATAATCCTTTTTCTATTTTTTTTCCAAGGAGGGAAAGGAGGAGTAATTTCAGAGAAGGGCTGTGATCTAGAGAGAGAAGAGGGAGTAGATGAATGATAAAGGAATTACTTCTTTTTTTTAAAATTATACTTTAAGGTTTAGGGTACATGTGCACAACGTGCAGGTTTGTTACATATGTATACATGTGCCATGTTGGTGTGCTGCACCTATTCAGGAATTACTTCTTATTAAGCACCCCCTAAGTGCCAGTCACTGGATTAGTTGCTTTGCATATATTTTGTCTAATAATGACAACCACCTTACAAAGAGGATACTGCCATCCCATTTTATGTATAAGAAGACTGAGACTTAGATAAAACTAGTATTATTTCCTCAAGGCACTTGGGCCACAGAAAGAGTACTCACGACTTCATCCAAGGCAGCTTTGAGTCACTCTGAGCAGGCCAGTGGCAGGTGGAGTGATGCCGCAGAGGAAGCATGACAGAGCGATTTTTGTCTCAAAGGTATTTGTAGACAAATGGTCACAAATCACCTTCATAATGGGGATCTTGTGCGCGCAGAACCTGCTAATCTCATCTCTAAACTCTCCTACTTCTGAAGAAAGGAAGATGTACTAGATCCCTCCTCCACTTCCATGGGATCTGTGATCTTCTGACTCTACCAGTCTACAACTTCTTTATTCCTAAGTCTTTCAAAGGTTTGGTAAAACCATCTACATGGGGGGTGGGGGGAGAAAAAAAAAACCCAGGTGCCCTGATCTTTAAGGAAAGGAGGAGAGGAGAAAGAGTGTTAGGAGTAAATAGTGGTGGCGACCCCCATGGAGCCTTTGAAGAATTCCTATGATCCTGAGCAGCAGGTGGCACTTTCATAAATGGGAAGCCATGGCTGAGCCCCAGCAAAGGGCACTGGGAAATCTCACTGTCTTCATTGTTGACATACCAAGAGCAAAGCTGGGAGGTTTGAGCACAGAGCTCTATGGTGAGTGTCTGTGAAGAAGACATGATGGAGAAGTTTCTACCAGACATGAAGGAGACTAGAGTTCTTCCATCATGAAAGAGAGGATACAAGGAATTAAAGATATTCTGGGGGATAAGACTGAGGTAGAAGGAACTTTGTACCCCATCTCCTGGAGGTGGGTGACACTAGATGACAGAAACTCCAATGTCAACTTCAGGCTGGTTGAGAGAACATCCTAGAATATATAGACTTGTGATCCAGTTCCTTCCTCTTTGTTATGGGTGAAATTGTGTTTCCCCCACAAAATATCCCCTGATGCTTGTTAATGTGGTCATATTTGGAAATAGGGTATTTGCAGATGTAATGAAGTTAAACTGAGGTCATACTGGATCAGGGTGAGCCCTAGTCCAGTTACTGGTGTTTTTATAAGAGGGAAATTTAGACACAGAGACATTTATGGAGAATACTACATGATGACAGAGGCAGGTATACCTGCAAGTCAAAGATACGGGATTACATTGACCCGAAATGGACTCTAAAGCTAGAAAAGATCAACTTGCCTTGAATGGGCAAAACTCAATCATCCCACCACTACTGTCTGCCAGCATTGAGCAGGGCTCCAGAGCAAGGTGAGATTCCTTCATTCTTTTAACTTGTGTGTGTTGATTGGCTACTAGGAGCATTCAGAATCCAAGATCAGTTTGAGGAAATAAAGACAGACACATTATTTTTCACATTTAGGTTGTAGTGCATGCATTTAGACCTTGCTATAACCTAGTAAATCAATCCAGAATGATCTTTCTCTCATCCTTGAGGGAGGGACTGGTCTGGGGTGGTGGTTGGGGGACACCGAGTGACAGTGTAGGCTTTCAGTATGTATCTATTGTACACTTTCCCTGCACATGGTACTTTGGCAAGGAGATTGCAGGAGAAGACAAGGTCAAGGGAATAGGGAAGAGTGAGGCAGGACTATGTCAGCAGAAGTATCTTCCTTTTCCTGTCCCCTCTACCTTTTGCAAAAGGCCTTCATAAATACCTTTACAAATCTCAACTGAGTGTCAGGAGGAGACAGATATTCTAGATGCTAAGGACCAGCCTTTTGATGGCTCTAAAAAAGAAAAAAGATTCAAACTAAATCAGACTAGGAGTACCTCCATCCCTCTCTCTGAAGTCCCCTGGATCTTAGTGGGACTTTAGGATGGGCTGCAGAGGAGAAAGGAAAGCACATCGTTAGCTATAAGACACAAAAGAATAAAGGAAACCTTTCTTGCTCATCTCTTCCCTGAAGAAATGTTGAGGAGCCCTAAGCCATCTTTGCACTGGCAATAATCAAGCCTCAAGTTTGCAAGTCAGCCTGCTGAAGTCAAGTAGCTTATTAGAACTGTTTGCACAGCTAAGAGAAATAAATCATCAGCAAAAAGCAGCTCAAAATAAGTGAAGATTCACTTAATTCACAATCAGGTGAAAAATGACATGGAAAGAAAGTCAAAGAATAATCCTAAATGAGTTTTTTAGCTCTCTAAAGTTAACCAGATGATAGACTTTTGTACAGCACTATTTTATTCAAATTCTAAATTGAAGATTTTTCCTCTTAAAGGAAAATGTGCATTTCATTATAAGGATAGAACCCAATATTTGTGGTTTCTTAGAAAAACATGTTCTTCAGCTTATATGATAAGTACAGAGTGTGATAAGTCTATTTTTAGGCATGGCGAATATAAGCATCCCATATATAATCAGGCAGAAATGTGAGACAGCCAACCTTTTTGGCTATATGGGTGGGCTACATTTACAAAGAATATAGGCTAATATTTCAAAACTCCATTTCATCAACCACAAATCTGATGGGACTAAAGTAAGTGAAGTGAGAATAAGCAATGATAACATTAAATGTCACGGAGAAGAAAGGGCTAAGTCAGGATTGGCCATTTCTTGGATTCTCGCTTTGGGAAACATATATAACCCAAGGAGAACCTTGATCCTCATTTCTGGCGGAAGTATAACAAGAGAAAAGAAGATTTATTCTAAAAATGTCCTTTCAAACAGATAACTTTATAATAAGTAATAATACTAGCATTGTTAAGAAGTTTGCTAATGATCTAGAGACACTTTTAAATTTGGATGGACAGTATTAGGTAAAAATAAGCTGTGCTGGAGACCCGGTCATATTTTAGATAGGTACAAGCTTTCTCAGATTAAATAGATTTTCTAAAATCTAAAATTGACTCTGATCATATGTAAGGGGGATTAAATGTATTCAGTGTCAGCCCAGAGGTCAGAATAGAATCCAAATTTTCAATAACAAAAGAGCCGATTAAATGGCTTTACAATGCAATAGGTAGCTTTTAAATGTAGTGAGCTCCTTGTTCCTTGAAATCTTCAGGAACTCTATATAAAATGTGTGTCTTTTGTCATACAAATCTGTAGTAAAGCTTTGATCATTTCTCAGAAGTAGCATCTTTCCTCCAGAGGATTGTGTGATCATTAGTGCAAGATACGTTGTCAAAGCGACATGGCTGTTATTGTCAAGTAGCTGGCTCTGCACAGGCTCTAATCATTTAAATGCATCAGATTTTGCCTTTTGTCTTTAGACAATGTGTCAAGAGTTCCTATTACAGTGGTGGGATTGTGACCCCTGCCCCTTTGGTTCATGGTAAAAGGCAGCCCCACATGACAGATTTTCCTGGTTTTGAACACTCCAGCTAATGACCAGGTGAGAGGACAATAATCTTGTTAGTGTCTATGTCAAGTTTTGTTCTGTGATAGAATAATTGAACCCAGACCCTCGCTTCCTCATCTCAGCTCCCACCTGGAGAAGAAACAGGAACTTTGTGGGTGGACAAATGGGAAGCAGGAACCTGGGATCAGGAGGAAATAAAGGCATCATCTGGCTTTTAGAAAAACCAGGTACAATAGAGAAGAACTGTTTTATTATCAGAGTTAGGGGTGCTTTAAAGTCTTGATCCAAAGACTTACAAGCTGCAGAATTATTTTTGCAGTATACCTCTTAAAAAATAAACCCATAAAATAATACTACACAGTTTTTGTAGGTGTATATATTTTTGTAAATACAAAGGAACATTTGGAAGAATTTATTCTAAGTTGATGCTAGATTGCCAACTGGTTACATTTGGAAAGAAACTGGGATTAGAGAGACGATCAAGGGACCTGAGCCTACCTTGTATTGCTTTAATTTGTATGGAGAAATAATGTCCATGCATTGCTTATATAATCAATTTCAATAATATACATGCACATGTGTATGTATAAGTCATATATTAATACATACATAGAATATCTCTGAAAGTTCAAGAAGTTAAGAGTTTTTGATTCTGGGAAGGGAAACTCAGTGGCTAGGAGGTAGGGGTAAAAGGGAGACTTACTTTTGACTACAAGCCCCTTTGTACCCCGTGAATTTTGCACCATATGCATCTATTACATAAAACAAATCAACACAACTTAAATCAATAATTTGAAAATTTTTAACAATAAGAAAGTCTAAAATGAGCTAAAATTCTACTCCAAAGGTTTAGCACATAGCTTAGAATAAGAGTTGAAGGGCTGAGCTTTGCAGAAGAGGCAATTTTTTTTACCAAGAGAAGGGAGATCCTTTTAGGTCCCTAAAGCTTGGATAGGTCGGGGTGTAATGACACCTAAAGGTCTAAGCCCAGCGGCAGAATTCTTGAAGCTGGGTAGAAAAAAAAACACTTGGTATCCATATCAACCCCAAGTATCTTAGTTAAAAATCAGAATAGTTTAAGATTAAAAAGAGTTGAGCCATAAAAAAAAAAAGAAAAAAATTAAAAAACAGAAGTGTAGGGGAAGAGAGAAAGAATGGGGATGACTTTGGCTTTTTCATTAGAGTAGGTAATTCATCATGGTAAATGTTCTACTAGTTTGCCTCTGTTTTTTAACTTTAATTTTTAAATTACCTGTTAGTTTTTAAGGGATCTGTTAACATCTAAGTCATAATAGCTGGAGGTTCATATATCAAGAGACCTCTTTTTGTTCTGACCGTTGCAACAAAGTGTGTGTGCTGGAAAAAAGGGGGTGGACCTGAGATATGTAGAAAGCTAGAAATAAAATAAGTAGAAACAAATAAAAAATAACACTACAACAGTGGAGGTGGGTTAGCGAGAAAAGGCAGCTTCAATTGGAATTCAGCATCAGATTTGAATTCTAAAATCTTAGTCAAACCAATTAACTTTAGTGAACAATTTACCTCAAGGCTGGAGAGAAGCAAAAGATGATGGCAAATGCATGGGCTTTTCCAAGGAGTGGCTTAACTGACATTCCCTTTTACTACCATCCTTCCAGACTTGACAACAAAAGCCAAGGGATAGGATGTGTGTGGTTGACCATTTCACTTTCCAGGGGCCCACTTAGCTTCAGGGAAGGAAACAGACTCCAACATCTCCATATATGGTAGGACTTTCCATTAGAGGTCAGTGTTCTTGGGAACATGGGCACTCCTCACAGATTTTCAAATTGAAAGCTGTCCACTAGGCTGTGTCATCTTGGGATAGCTTGCTAGACAGCTTTGTCCAGTTCCTTAGGTCTAATCACGACATAACTGGAATATCTGTAAGTTTGCAGTGTCTCACATCCTCAGCTGGGCTGGAGGATATGGTGGGAGGTGATTTCTATCTGTCCCATATACCTAAGGGGCTACCCTATCCATCTTCTCTGTATTCCCCTTCTTTGATAGACGGTCTTCATTCGGTATCATAGAATTTTATTCTGGGTATTTTCTTAGTCCCCACCTTGTACTTAACATTTAAAAGTATCTCCTTATCTGCCATCAAATTAGATGGTGTCCAGAGAACTTGAAAGAATAATGGATGACTTGGAAGGATTAACAATGCAAATTGCTTTCTACTTGTTAATAACTGCACACAACCTTTATACTTCAATTCATATTCACAGCACACCTGAATCAAGGAAAATGTGAGCTGTCAAAGTGTGAGGATTTAAACAAGAGAGGATGTTCCTCCAAGCCTCTCTGTATTGGCCATTGTTGCATTGCTATAGAGAAATAACTGAGACTGGGTAATTTATTTAAAAGAAAGCTTAATTGGCTCAGTTATACAGGCTTTCCAGGAAGCATGGTGCTGGCATCTGCTCAGCTCCTGGGGAGACCTCAGGAAGCTTACAATTATGGGCAGAAGGTAAAGGAGGAACAGGCATGTCACATGGCCAGAGGAAGAGCAAGAGGGTGGGGGCGAGCAAGGAGGTACCACATACTTTTAAACAGATCTCCTGTGAACTCAGAGCTCACTTAACAGGGGATGGCCCAAGCCATTCATGAGGGATCCACCCCCATGATCCAAACACCTCCCACCTGTCCCCACCTCCAACATTGCAGTTTACATTTCAACATGAGATTTGGATGGGAACAAGTACCTGAACTATATCTCTCGCTACCTTACAATATCTGGGGTTGTACATTATAAGTGATTGTTTCTTATATTTTGTCAAAAAACTGAAAATATTTTCCAATTTTGCAACTTGCTTTGACTTTTCCTGTTTCATGATCTTTTGGAAGGAGGGATGGGATATGTTCAGGAAAGAACCAGTTGCTTAACACAAGGAATCTCTGAACTGGTCACAGATTTGAAGAACAGAGAAAATAAGGAGGCATGCAGCTCTGGGGTCTTCTTTTACCAGAGACAGAGTAGTGATCCCAGTGACAGATGGGACTCAGAAAAATGCCCGAGTCATGTGGCTGGATGGCATGTTACCATCCAGCCTGAAGATGGAAAATGGGTTTTACCAACTTTGAGCCTGCAGAAACTGGTGTGCTTAGGAGTATGAATTGGGCTTGAAACACCTTGGATTTTAAGTTTTTACTTCATTTATAAAATCTGAAGTTCTTAAACAATCAGAAAAAGAAGGACTGAGTAGGCATGGATTTGGGAAAAGGTATATAAAGTTCTGGAGCTATTAGAAATCTTTAGATTGTTTGGAATGCAGTCACCTAGACCAGACAGAAAAGAGGTGAGCATTAATTTGCCTAATAATTTATAACAATGCCATGCAATTTTGTATTTTTCTTGCAAGGAAGGGAAAACTGCAGTCCAAATTGTCAGTAGTGTGCTAAAGAATATAATTTTCTTCAGATGGGTTCCAAGCCCTTGGGTACTTTACCCACTTCACTTCATTTAATCCTCACCATAATCCAACCAGGCAGTATTATCTTTCCCATTGATTATCTAGGAAATAATATTAATTGGCAAGGCTAACTGCTGTAACGAGCACCCCCCAAATCTCAGAGGTTTAATACAGCATAGGTTTTTTTCTTGCTCAGAAAAAATTCCAATGTGGATGTTTCTGATTGGGTAGGTATCTTGGGGGCTCTCCTCCAATCTGTAACTCAGGAATCCAAGCTGCTTCCAACACAAGGCACCATCTGCAGGTGTAGGGACAGTGAAGAGAGGGAGCAAGGAGAATCATTGGCATGATATGAACAGGCCTGTAACTGAGGTACAGGCATGCCTCAGAGATGTTGCAGGTTCCATTCCTGACCACCACAATAAAGTAAATATTGCAATAAAAGGAGTCACACAATTTTGTTTCCCAGTGCATATAAAAATATTTGGACTATACTGTAGTTGATATAGTATGCAATAGCATTATGTCTAAAAACAATGTGTATACCACTTTTAATTTAAAATACTGTATTGCTTAAAAAATGCTAACAATCATCTGAGCCTTCAGGGAGCCTCCACCTGCATCAGCACTCTTGGGTGACAAGGTACATTGTCAATGAGAAGTAATATTTTGAAAGGAGTATTTTTGCTGCTGGAGGGTCTTGCCTTGATGTTGATGGCTGCTGACTAATCAGGGTGGTGGTTGCTAAAGATTGGGATGGTTGTGACAATTTCTGAAAATATGACAACAATAAAGTTTGCCACATTAATTCCTTTTACAAAAGATTTCTCTATATCATGTGATGCTGTTTGATAGCCTTTTACCCACGGTAGAGCTTCTAAGTTAGAATCAATCCTCTCAAACCCTGCCACTGCTTTATCAACTAAGCTTATATGATATTCTAAATTATTTAGTGTCATTTCAATATTGTGGCTGGTTTGATTTTCTATCCAGACCACTCACACTTTCGCCATATCAGCAATAAGTCTGTTTCACTTTCATATCATTTGTGTGTTCACTGGAATAAGCACTTTTCATTTCCTTCAAGAACTTTTCCTTTGCATTCACAACTTGGCTGCTTGGTACAAAAGCCCTAGCTTTTGGCCTATTTTGGCTTTTGATATGCCTTCCTCACTAAGCTGAATCATTTCTAGTTTTTGATTTGAAGTGGGAGATGTGTGACTATTCCTTTCACTTGAACACTTAGAGGCTGTTATAGGATTATTACTTGGCCAGTTTCAATACTGTTGTGTCTCAGGCAGTAAAGGCCCAAGGAGTGGGAGAGAGATGAGGGAACTGTCTGTCAGTGGAGCAGACAGAACACACACAGCAGTTATTAAGTTCACCGTTCCATATGGGCATGGTTCTTGGTGCCCCAAGATAATTTCAATAGTAAAACCAAAGGTCACTGATCGTAAATTACCATAACAGATATACTAATAATGAACAAGTTTGGAATATGGAGAATTAGCAAAATGTAAGAGACATGCAATTTGCTCAATGCAGGGCTGCCACAAAACTTCAATTTGTAAAAAAGGTACTATCTATGAAGCACAATAAAGTGAAACGAAATAAAACAAGGAATGCCTGTCTATTGTTTGTACCCACCATCAACTGGATAGAGCAGTTTCATGCACCCACGCAGATTCAAGAGTGTGTTGGAAATGCATATTAACTATGTGTCTAGAGGGAGAGGAAAGTTGGCTGCTGGTGAGTATTTGAAGTTTCTGCCACAGCAACTGACAAGAAAGAGATTAAAGATTTATTATCGATTTTCTGCCTCCTTTCCAAAAGATCTCAGGCAGCGCATTTAAGGCACATGCCCAAAGTCACACAGCTGTTAAGTGGCACAAGGATTTGAACTCATGTTCCCCTGGTTCTAAAGCCCATCTGCATGGTACCACTAGCTTCTCAAGCAGCGTTGCACCCGAGGGGAACTGGGTAGTATGCCTTTTTAGACACTTAATAGCCTGGAGCATGTTTTGCATGCTGGAACAGGATATTTTCCTTTCAAAAGCCTATTAAAGAAGACCAAAGACAAATTTAGTTGAAAAACAGTGTGTTTTTTACAGGGGGTTGGGAGGGACAAGTTTAAAAGAGCAGAATGACAGTCTGTTTTGTTTTCTTCATTTTAATTGAATTTTGTTTTGTCAGAAGTTCGTCTCCTCCTGTATGCATACACCACTTAGACCTGTGGGCTTGCTACCTCTTTCCATTTTCATCCAGGCATAGAGAGGAGATTGCTTCCAGAAAGAGTGCACAGGCCCTTGAAGTTTTACTCTTCAAATAATTAAAGGCTTAATTCCAGCCCCAGGTCAGCCATACACAATGCCAGCTTTCCCATACACCTGGGAGAAAAAGCTTGCCATCAAAGTAAACAATTCCCTCTCATCTCAGTTCCAAGAGTCATTTGGAGAACATACATCCTGAGGCTAGAAAAGGATGCTCGCTCTTTCCTTTTTTCCTGGGGCGGGAGGAGGGGGGCATTGATTATTAATTCAAGGTCAAGTTGAAGACATTTGGGTTTAATAGATACCTTCCCTCACCACCCCCAATAACCCTTTATTTACCAGAGCTATGTAGAGGGAAAGAGGAAAGAACTAAAAATTCCTCTCACTTCTCTACCAACTCTTTGGCAAAAGAAAGTTAAGCCAATTAGTTTTTCTGTAAAAGGAGTGCAATAAATATTAGTTTTTGTGGAAGAAATCAGGTGGTTGAGAGTGTTTCAAAGCTGATATTCATGAGAAATTATGGAGACCAGAAGAAGGTGGAACATCTTTAAAGTCTGAAAGAAAATAATAAAACCAACAAAAAGCCCTGTACACCCAGAATTCTACATCCAGCAAAAACAGCCTCCAAGACTGCAGATCGTGTAAAGATATTTTCAAATAAAACAAAAATAAGAGAATTTATTGTAAGTAGGTCTGTATTACATGAAATCCTAAAGGAAGTACTTCAGGCTGGAGGAAACTAATGTCAGATAAAAACAGATTCTAAGAAAGGAATGAAGAACATCAGAATAGTAACTATCTGGGTAAATACTAAAGACTAGCTGGTTTTTACTTTCTTCTTCTTAATTTCTTTATTACACACATAACTGTTTAAAGCAAAAAAGCATGCTGTGGAGTTTGAAGTATACAGATGTAGTACCTATAATAGCTATGACATAAAGGAGTGGAGGTGGGGAATAGGTGGACCTATACGATTTCAAGACTCATATATGTGTATTATATGAAATAGTATATTAACTACTAGTGGACTATGAAAAAAATAAAGATATATATTGTAATTTCTAGAGCAGTCATTAAAAAATATAATGTAGAGAAGTATGGCAAAAAGCCAGTAGGAAAATTAAAATGAATTAGAACATCATTCTAAAAATCCAAAAAGACAGGAAAGAGGGAACAGAACAGAGATGAGTAAAAAACAAATAAAATGTCAGACCCAACTTTAACCATATAATAATTGTGTTAAATGATAATGAACTAAGCACTTTAACTATAAGGTAGAAATTGTCAAAATTGATAAAAACATACATATGTGTCACACAAAAACACATGAGGCCGGGCGTAATTCCAGCACTTTGGGAGGCTGAGGCGGGTGGATCACCTGAGGTCAGGGGTTTCAGACTAGCCTGACCAACATGGTGAAACCCTGTCTCTACTAATAATGCAAAAATTAGCTGGGCATGGAGGTGGGTGCCTGTAATCTCAGCTACTTGGGAGGCTGAGGCAGGAGAATCACTTGAACCTGGGAGGTGGAGGTTGCAGTGAGCCAAAATCACGCCATTGCATGCCTGGGCAACAAGAGCAAAACTCCGTCTCAAAAAAACCAACCAACCAACCAAACAAAAACCCACACATGACATATGTGTTTTTATCCATTTTGACAATTTCCACCTTACAGTTATATGCAGTATATGAGATGTACTTTAAATACAAAGACCCAGATAGGCTGAAGCTAAATGATTGGGAAAAGACAAACCATGTGAACAGTAAACATAGAAAGACGGAAAAGTAAACATAAAAAGCAGAGAAAATAGATTTCTATGTTACAAAGAATTACCAGATATTTTTTAATGATAAAAATGTTCATTTGTTAGGAAGAAAACACAATCATAAATATGTGTGCACCTGATATACGAACTTCAAAATACATGAAAGAAAAATTGACAAAATTCAAAGGAGAAACAGACAAACTCCACAATCAGTTGGAAATTTTAATACTCCTCCCTCAGGAAAGGCCTGAACAGTGCTATTCATGTTTTAGCTTAATTGATATTTACTGAATAGTACACAAAACAATGGAAAAACAGGCTGGGTGTGGCTCATGCCTGTAATCCCAGCACTTTGGGAGGGCAGGATGGGAGGATTGTTTGAGCCCAGGAGTTTGAGACCTGCCTAGGCAACATAGAGAGACCCCCATCTCTACAAAAAAATAAAAAATTAGCCAAGCATGGTGGCACGCACCTATAGTCCCAGCTGCTTGGGAGGCTGAGACAGGAGGATCACTTGAGACTGGGAGGTTAAGGCTGCAGTGAGCTGTGATCATGCCACTGCACTCCAGCCTAGGTGGCAGAGTGAGACCTGTCTGTACAAAACAGGAAAAATAGACATGATTTTTCAAGTTTACATGGTAATTTTATCAAAATAGACTATATGCTGTGTAATAAAGCCTTAATATACTAATTTATGAAAAACTCCTATCTTAGAATGGTAGGCAACTTCCTCAACCTGATTAGGAATATCTACAAAAACAAAAATGAAAAACCTAAAGCTGAATTCATACTCAGCGTTGAGTATCTCATTATTTTCTAATTAAAGTCAGTAGTAAGGCAAGGATGTCCACTCTGACCGCTTCTAGTCAGCATTGTATTGGACGTCCTAGCGGTGTAATATACCAAGAAAAGGAAATAAAACACATAAAGATTAGAAAAAGTAAGTTTCTATTTGCAGATAATATGATAATGTATGCTGAAAATTCTAAGGAATTTACTAACAAACTCCTAGAACTAATAAGTGAATTTAGCAAGATCACAGAATACAAGGCAAATATCTAGGAATCTATTGTATTTGTATACACCAGCAATTAACAATTAGAAAATGAAATTTCAAAATTTTATCTACAATAGCATAAAATGTATTTGAGAATAAAGTTATAAAAAATGTGCAAGACATGAACATTGAAAACCATAAAAAATTACAAAGAGTAATCAAGAAACCTAAATGAATATATCATGTTCATGGATTAGAAGATTTGATATTGTTAAGCTAATTTCCTTTAAATTGATCTATAGGTTTTATGCAGTCTGAATCAAAATATAAGTTTTAAAGAATAAACTCACAGATACTAAAAAATTGTATGCAAAGGCAAAGAACCTAGATTAGCCAAAATAATTTTGAAAAAGAATAAAGTAGGAGGACTTACACCACCAGGTTTTAAACCTTACTATAAAGCTCCAGTAACCAAGGTAATATGTTACTGGTATAAAGATCAATGGAACATGGTAGAGAGGCAAGGATTTTATTGCAGGGATTCATGCAGGGAAACTCGTGCATGAAAGGAAAGAAGACAGACCCAGGGAAAGCTGGGACAGCCATCACACCAAGATGCAAGGCATGGTTTGGCAATTGATAAATATGTATTGAATAAATTAGGATCTTCTTTAAGAACTTAGAAGTCAGTGATCAACATAATAGACATATTCACACAACTTGTTAAAAATAATGGCATTAAAGAATTTTAAAGCAGAAAAAGATATTAGGTATAAACTAATCCTGGATCATAGATGTGAGAGCCAAAGAAAACTTGTCAGGAACACAGGCTTCATAGGGTGCATGCTGGGAAGAGCCACTGGGCCAGGGACAGACAAATTCTAAGAATGTGAGTGCGAAGGGCATTTGTGGAGAAAAGCCACATCAATAAAAGGTTGATGCATCAAGTCTAAGAAGTTGTAAATAAGAATGAGTCAAGAAATCAGTAGTTCAGAAAATAAAGAGAAAGGAAGTGCTAGGTAGACTGGAATAAAACAATTCAGTGCATAAAATATTCAAATTATCAGAAAATATTGCCAGAATATGTTTAAATTCTTAGATTGATGGAGGTACCATTATTCCTAATTACTTTATTCAGGTGAATAAGGCAAAGGTTTTAGAAGTTTGGGGTTTTTTTAAAGATGGTTTTACGGCACAGGAGTAAGCCAGCTGGCCCCATGTTATAGATGAATTCTAGGAAGATGAAGGATGTGCTTAATTTCGTGTAAATAAACACCCTTTGGATAGTTGGTGTGATGAACAGTAGCCACAGCGACAGTTTTATTAAAGCCCGGCCAGTGGGAACTACAATCAATTCTATGAAATGTGTCTAAAATATGTGCACTTTATGCCATATAGTTTAAAGACTTTCAAGGGCTGATCTGAGTAATGCATTTCAATGTGAGTGAAAAAATTAAGATGAAAGAGAAGAAGGCAGTAACCTTTAAGGGCTGGCACAAAACACAAAGAGACTAAAAATTAAGCCTAAAAACCATTTTTATAATATTGATTTGGTGCAGTAGAGAGTAGAGCATTAATTGTAACTCAATACGAGGGTAATTAGGACTAATGGTGCATCCATCAATCTAAGAATTTAAACATATGCTGGCAATGTTTTCTCATAATTTGAGGTTTTTTTTTTCCCGGAAAATAAAATGCATGAATCTTCTCCCATTGGTCAATCAGATTTTTAAAGATGATGATGATTCTGGCTGAAATGTAGAGAATGGATCAAAGCCGGAAAAAAATGGACACAGCTGGGGAAATCAAGTAGGAAGTTGTTTAAATTTGTAGAAGAGATTATGGTAGTCGAAACGGGAGGCATTAACAAGTATCAGTGAAATGTAAAGGAGTGAGTGACTTGAAGACATGTAGGTGGAAAGATCATCAGGACATGATTGCTTGGGAGGAAAAAGGAGAGGAGTGAGGGTTGCACACACAGACAAGTGATCTGGGCAGCCACGTGGGTGGCAGACCTCTAGGGCATCACATGGAGGCACTAATGGGCAGCGGACTACAAAGGTCCAGATCTTCCATCCGATGGAAAATTGCTCATTTTATTCCCTTTGCCTGAAGTCTTTTCCCTGAGCTCACATCACTGGAACCCACCCTATAACATGTTCCTCTACTCTTCTTTATGCTTCATGATCACATTATATTCTTTTCCAACACTTCAGAGGCATCCATAGCTCATGCGCATCTCCAAAATCCTCACAAAATCATCACTCTCCGCTTTTCTCATTTCATCTCCTTTTAGCACACCAAGTAAAATGGGCCACCTACAAACACTGACTTGCACAAGACAAGCCATGATACAGACATAACCTTGTCTTCATCCATTTCTCCATGAAAGCATTTCTCTCTCCTTCCTTTTCCAACCCCCCATCACTTAAAACCATGTCAATAACAGTCTCAAACAACAAACAGAAGTCCAGAGACATTGGTTCAACTGTATACAACAAATTCCATTTCCTAACTAGAACATTTCAAACAATGGGAGGGTTCTAATTTTTTACTTTTGTGCACCTTAAGAATTCTTTATGGTGATTTTTTTTTTATGTTTTATTTTGTTTGAAATAGAGTCTTACTC
Organism: Homo sapiens; assembly: GCF_000001405.40. Lineage (NCBI taxonomy): Eukaryota > Metazoa > Chordata > Mammalia > Primates > Hominidae > Homo > Homo sapiens. The sequence goes on from NC_000007.14 coordinate 106,412,454, forward strand.
TGTTGCCCAGGCTGGAGTGCAGTATTGCCATCTTGGCTCATTGCAACCTCCACAGCCCATGTTCAAGCGATTCTCCTGCTTCAGCCTCTGGAGTAGCTGGGACTACAGGTGTGTGCCACCACACCTGGCTAATTTTTGTATTTTTAGTAGAGACGGGGTTTCACCATGTTGGCCAGGCTGGTATCGAACTCCTGATCTGCCCATCTAGGTCTCCCAAAATGCTGAGATTACAGGTGTGAGCCACTGTGCCTGGCCAAGGGTGATCTTTTTTTTTTTTTTTTTTTTTTTGTAAAACAAGGTAGTCATCTTTCACAAAAGTGAATTGAAATCATGCTCTTTAAAGAGAGACATTGCTTGCAACTTTTAGAAGACAGCTCCCATTTCCAATCTCCCATTTCATTATATAAAAATATTTGTCCATGAGTATATTTTAACAAATTATTATACTACATATAGGAAAGAAGAAAAAAGATTAAAGCCATGGAAGGAAAATATCTGGCCTATATGAATTAGGATTAGATTTAGCAGAGACCTAAGAGAACTGGCTTGAGCATGAAGGAAACTTATTTTTCTCTTACCTACAAGTTTGAGTGAGCATTCCAGGGCTAGCATGGGGCCTCTGCTCTTTGATTTCTACAGAGACCGTGACTTCGTACAGCTCATTACTCTCCCAGCTCTAGGCTGTGACCTTCATCCTCATGGTCCAAAATGATACCTACAGCTCCAGCTTTCAAATCCATATCCTTGACAGAAGGATGGAGGAAGAGTCTAAAATAAAAGGAAAGTACACATAACACATGGAAAAGCTCTTGGAAGCTGTCACATGAATTTTGCTAGCCAGAACTTAGCCGTATGCCATGCCTAATTGTAAGAAGTGCTGAGAAAGATTTTTTTTTCCCCTGAATGGCCATGCACTACCAAAAATGTAACTTTCCGTTGCTAAGGAAGAAGGGAAAATGAATTTTGGGGTGCAACTACTAGGTCTGCCACAGACTGAACTGAATATTTCCTTAAAACAAATCCCTAGATTACTGAGTTAAAATGCATATATTTTAAGAGCTTACAGCTGAAATGGCTAGCCACTCATCAAAACTGACATTCTTCCTTCTGGGCACACAGTTACACGCTGTTCCCTGTCTCCCTTACAATCTGGCATGGTCAGTTACTGAATTTTGGCTAATGGGATTTGAGCAGAAGTGATGTGTGCTGCTTCCTAGACTGGCCCTAGAAAGCCTCCCGTGTTCCTATCCTTTCCAGCTGGTCAGAATGGAAATATGCCTTGTGCAAAATTGGAAGTCACATACTGAAGATGACAGAGCCAGCAGCAGCTGGTCTCCCATCTAGTATTTATTATGTGTGCAAGAAATAAACTCTACATTATCCATTTTAGGATCATTTTGTTACCTACCCTAGACAAGGTTCTTAACAAATACAGTGAAATAATTTCCAGAAAAGATTGTACTACTTTCCATCCCACCAAAAGGAGAGGTACATGCCTGTCTTCCTTAACACAGTGATTATAATTTTTAAAAAATATTTACCAGTTTTATAGAAAAAACCAGATTGTTTGACATACATTTCTTTGTTTTCTGGTTACACAACATATTTTAAATGTTTACTAGCCTTTATGTAACTTTGCTCCCACCTCTTGGTTGCTAATTACAAAGCTAGTATTTTTATATGTTTTTTTTCCAAGATTAAGATGATTAACTACTAATAAAGGGGGATACCACATTGGACAAAGCCAACATATGAAAATACAAATTAATATAAGAGATAAACTAAAGAATTATTTGTTTTGTAAAGCAAAGAGAAATTTCCAGCCTAACAGAGAGAGCAGGAATTTTGCCAGAGATCAAGAGAATCACTTTCAATTCAAACAGTAAATGGCCAACACAGCCCAAACTCACATGCTTCTAGCAGGGTAGATTTTAAAAGCCTTCATTCACTTAAGTAGGTGATAGGAAAGATTATTTTCTCACCCCATACTTAGTAACAGGGCTTGAAGTTCACCTGGGGGTCTGTCTGGCACAGTGGCTTATCTATCAGCTGTTAACAGTTTGAGGAAAAACTATTGGTTATTTTAGACCAGAAGCTGGCAAAATATGGCCCATGGACTAAATCCAAATTGCACTTGTTTTTGTAAATAAAGTGTTACTAGAATACAGTCATGTCAATTTCTGCATGTATTGTCTACGGTTGTTTTCATGCTGTAATAGCAGAGTTGATAGATTACATTAGTTGCAAAGCTTAAAATATTTATTTGGCCTTTTACAAAGTTTGCCAGCCCTGCTCTAGACCTTAAGGCTGTTCAGGTTTTGTGTCTCTTCTTGAATCTGTTTTGGAAATTTCTTTCCCAGGCTTTATTGTATTAAACTTGTTGACTTTTTTGGCATACAATTTTTATATTACCTCCCATCCTCCTTTTAATATCTATAGAAATTATAAAGATGTTCCCTCTTTTATTCCTAATGTTGGTAATTTATATCTTCCCTCATTTTTTTTCTCATTAAGTCTAGGAAGATGTTTATAAATTGTGTCTATCTTTAAAAAAAACCCAGCTTTTAGTTTGTTTTTTCTTCTATAGTTTTTTTTTTCTGTTGTATTGATTTTCATTCTTATCTTTATCATTCACTGTACTTTGGGTTTAATTTGCTCTCCTTTTTAGCTTCTCAAGATGGAAGCTTATTCATTTTGATAACTTCTTCCCTAATATATGTAGTTAGAGCTATAAATTTCCCCCAAATCACTGCTTTAGCTACAGACCATAGATTTTTATATACGTTTTTATTATTCAAGAATTTTTCTAATTTTCATTGTGAGTTTTGTCTGATTCATGAGTTATTTATGAGAGTGTTGTTTCATTTCCAAATATGTGGGGTTTTTGTAGATATCTTACTGTTACTGGTTTTGTCAACATAAAAAATATAGAGAAATGAATCTCTAAAAAGAGTTTTTTGGAAATATACAAAAAGTAGGATTGCAGTCCAGGACATACATACAGATCAGATGTTATGTCTAGAGAACAGAGGAAAGGTCAGAGTTTACCAGAGAAAGAGGAGGTTATGCAAGCTGTTTTGAAAGAAAGCTTATTGGCACTGGCAGCATGTTATAAGGGCTGGTGGGTTCTGATTGGCAAGTGTCAGTAGCTATTAGATAGGACTTATACACTTGGATTTGTGGTTGGGTTCTTGCAGTTTTGGACTGGGCTTGTGAGATGGTGTGTCCAGTAAGTATTCTTAGATAAGGAGCTAGCTGTCCTTATGTGACTCATTCAGGAAATTGTAATTTGGAAAAAACTGCAGCTTCCAACTCCTGCTTTTGGATTTTTGTATCTCTTTCTTTAGATGTGTTAATTTTAGCTTCATGTATTTTATTTGTGATACTGGTAATTAGTGTCTTTGGTTATCTCACTTAGATATTTATCAATTTTATTGCTCTTTCTATACAGTCAATCTGATTTTTTCTATAATTAGTTTTTAGTTTCATTGATTTCTGCTCTAATTTTTATTATTTCTTTTCTTCTGCCTTAGACTTTTTTTATGTTAAGGTAGATATATAGATTATTGGTTTTAGATCTCTTTTATAATAGCATTTAATGCTATGAATTTCCCTCTAAGCACTGCTTTTACTGCATTTTACTAACCTTGGTAGGTTGTATTTTAATTTTGTTCAAAATATTTTTCTAATTTTGTCTTTATTTGTAAAGCATAGCTTCTTTGAATATAAAATTCTGGGTTGACACTTTTTTCCCCCCAGCACTTTAAATATGTTTTCCAGTGACTTCTGGCTTCTACTACTTCTGATATGTCAGGTTTTAATTATATTGTTTCTCTGTATATATAAGGGTTGGATGGGATTTTTTCCCCCCAAGATTATCTCTATCTTTGGCTTTCCGAAACTTGACTTAGGTGTGGGCTTTATATTTATCCTGGTTGGGTTTTGCTAACATTCTTGGATCTGAAAGTTGATGTTTTCCACCAAATTTGGGGAGTTTTCTCTATTTCTTTAAATATTTTTTTCTTCCTTTTCTTGATCTAAGATCCCAATTTCATCTATGTTGGACTATGTGATATTATTCTGTAAGTCTCCAAGTCTCTATTATTCTTCTTCATTCTTTTTACTATGTCATTTAGATTGGATAATTTTTATTGCTCTATCTCAAAGATCACCAATTCTTTTTCCAGTTACTGTGCTAATGAGCTTATCTAGTAAATTTTTCATTACAGTTATTACATTTTTCAACTTTAGATTTCCCCTTTTATGTAGTTTCCATTTCTATGTTGAGATTCCCTATCTGTTCACTCATTAAGATTATGCTTTTAATTCTCTGCACATATTTATGATAGCTACTTTGAAATTTTGTCTAGTAAATCCAATATCTGAGTCCACTCTGAGTTTCTATGTATTACTTTTTTCCTGAGTATGGGTCAAACCCTCCTGTTATTGGCAGGCCTAAAGAGTTTTGGATGAAAACTGAAAAATTTGATGATACTTTGTAGCAACTCTATACTGTTATGTTCTTCTGAGGACCAATTTTTTTATTGTTGTATTTGCTGCCTGGAGTTGCTTGGACTCAAACTATCTCACCTTATACTGTACAACAGCTGGTATCTCTGTTCAGTTCTTTCAGCTTTAAGCCATTTATTTTTAGCCTGCTTCCCAGGGTCACCCCTCAACTTGTGTAGTTTAGCAGTCAGCCAAGGATTTGGGCAAGGTTTGAATCAGATTTTGCAGTTTCCTTACTGTTCTGTTAGTCCAGCGCTCTATCCTCTAACATTAGAAGTGCGTTGGGGAAGGCACTCAATCAAAAAAGCAGCAAACTCACAGACCTACCCAGTGCAACTCTGTTTTTCAAACGTGATCCCCTCACTGGGTCTTGCTTTGTGCAAAATAACTTAAAGACTTTGGGACAGTTGCAAAGGGTGGGGGATGGGATGTTGCTATCAGATTTGTCAAGCTCTTCCTGATGAGTCGAATTTGGATGAATCACAGCCTGGCCAACACAAAGCACCTGCCCGTCCCTTCAGCGTCTTGATCAAACAGCATTTAATAAACACCACATGCCCTTGGGCTTCTGCTGAGGACAGTTGAGATGAGGTTAAGCTCACATTGGCCCTGATAACCTACAGCTTGAAGTCTCTGGAGTGTCTATCTCTGGGGCTGTGTCTGTATAACAGGCTCATGAATAGAGAAGGAAAAAGGACCTAGGATATCTTGGATCCTAATCTCTTTGTGACACTCATTGTTTGGCTTATCCCCCGGTTGTGACTTATTGGAATACTCCTCCGGGTATATGTATGTGTTTTTTGTTTGTTTTCTTGGAGGCTGTATCTGAATCTCAGCTGTGACTGACATCTCACAATGATGTGTACTCAAAAAGGCCCCATTTAAATTATTCAGGTTGCTGCAAACCAAGTGGTTATTTGGAAACTTAGAAAAACCAGGGAGAAGCAGAAATTTATATTTCTAAAAATGAAGTAACAAATTCGTTGATTTATTTCACACTTTTGGTTGAACATTCATATTAAGCTGTTTTTTGTAAACATATTACTAAGAAACTATTCTGATATGGCTTATTTTCCAGTGAACTTATGTGCACACATTAATTCATTAATATATCATGTCTTACATTTGTTTTATAAATATATAGACATGCTTCAGTCCCTGAGAAATTCTAAGATAATTAAGTGACCCCAAAAAGCAGTGTAACTAGTTAGTTCACACCACAAACAATGAATAAACTGTTTGCTGAATTTCCTGTGTTCCAAGTGGTAACACTTGCATCATAGTTACAAAACTTCAGTTTCCTGGTTTATTCACTTATGCCATTCATTTAACAAAACTGCTAGGTCAGACACTGACAGGCTCTGCAACATTGCTTCACACAAACAGAACAGTCTGTGCTCTCAGGAACATAAGATCAATGATAAGTAAATTAAAAATAAATATTTCGAATAATGATAAATGGTTCAGGGAAAATGAAGGTGATGAGGTGGAGAGTTCCTGGTGAACTTTTCAGGAATTGAGCCATGTGAAGATCTGTGGGAGAAGAATTCCAGACGAGTGAAAAGGGAAAGTAATGTTTTTGAGGCAGGAGTGCATGTGGTTGAACCAAGCCTCCAATGGAAGTCTACTGGCCTAATTTGTTTATTCATATTCATTTAATCAAATAGAACAAAGAGAACTAAGCACCTGTCCTAGAGCCTGACTCTTCTGTTTAGAAATCTAGGGAATCACTCTCTTCTAACCCCACAGCCTTCAGCCACAAAATGCCTGTGGTCACACGCACTTCTCCAACTGGGTTCTTCCAGCTCCTCAAGGAGAAATCTCTACATAATTAGGGCTTCCTTTGTTCAGTTACTCTTGTGTGACAGATGCACCGAGAGTAATAACTTAAGCATACCCTGAGAATGACCCTATGGTCTAAAAAGAATGTGTGTTTGGATTTCCAAGTGAAGAAATCCAGAAATGGCCAGTCCAAAGATTCATTCTATGAGAAACATCTAAACCTACAGGCCAGCCCATGGAATGCAGACCATACAGGGGATCAAGACCCTTTGTTTTGGGTTAAATGAAGGTTGCCAGGTGGAGGTTACCAGGGGGAGGGTGCTAACTAAAAATACTATATAAACTGCATGCTTTTTACAAGAAGTTAGTGGTTCTTCTGTCCAGACCACTGCCACCAGGACAGTGTCCTGTATGTAAGTCCCCTCAATAAGCTCTGTGTCTCATTTGCAGGCTCTGGGTCTCTTCTTCAGCCTCTCAAACATCCTATTGGGGATGCCATCCCTATTGGGGTCAATAGGGGTCTGGCATGACAACTCTGCAACCCTCTTACCTTCCAAGAAGGGCTCTGTGTATATGCACTTCAACACCTGGCACCAGTTGGTTTTTGGGTTTTCCACTTGCTATACCCTCAACTAAGCTCTGCATTTAAATTTCTCACTCTTTCCTCAGAAATCTATGATTGCTGCCAGTTAATTTTCACATAGATTATGTTAAATGCTGGGAATAGAAGGGATTAAAGCACAGACCTGACTCAGGGGGCAGGGGTTGGTATTGTCCTTCGTGAGGCATACGGCTTCTGTGATCGAGGCCCCCAGTGCTCTCCTATAAGGATGCCGGACACAAAAGAGGCCGGGAAGCCATTGAGGCTCTCAGAGCTTCCAGTCTAATTCCAAGGGTTTCAGGTTGTGCAATAGTCTTCAATTGCTCACTGCCTGGATGATATTTCTGAAAAGTCTGCAAAAGCACAAAGCCTTTTCCGATATTTCTTAGGGAGTTTCCCCAAGAATCAAAGACCAAAATTTGTTCTTTGGTCAAATGCAGGCCATGGGGCTTCTTCCTTTGTCTTGGCAGTGTGACTTTTCACCACGTCTCCTCGAAAAGTTGAAAAGGAGATGCACTTATTTGTCAAGACCCCGTTAAATGGAAACAGATGCTTGCCTTTTAAACATCTCTAGAATCCACCCACTTCATTCCATCACCACCACCTGAGTCACCATGTCCTCTCACCTGGACCACAGCATTAGCCTCAAAACTCATTTCCCTGTATGTAATTCATTCTCCACTTAACAGCTAGAGTGTCCTCTTTAAAAGGCAAGTCTGACTTTGCCCTGCCTATGCTTAAAATCCCTTAACAGCTCTTATTTGCTCTATGAAAAAGACAAAACTGATCAAATCCTGCATGCTGTGGCCCTCCCCACCTCTCCATTCTCTGTTCTGTTACCTCAGAAAACTTCTAGTGCTTTTTCTAATACTCTGAGGATCTTAGAAATTCTTGGAAATGTTTAATTACAGCAGTTTTGAAGTTCTAAGGAGCCAAAGGAGACCACAGGTCAGCTGGCATTTTCCCAGTACTGTCCCCACTGGAGGAGGTTAGCACTTTATTTGTGCCTGTGGGTGGGTGTGAGTGTGGGCATGGATAGGTGTTGAGGGGGTGGCCTCTCACACAGGCGTGGGCTGTGATGTGCTCTGTCCCCTCTGGACATCTGAATTCTGGCTGCAGTTGTCAATGGGATTCATCTAGTGGTTTAATTGACTTACAGTTCTGTATGGCTGGAGAGGCCTCAGGAAACTTACAATCACGGTGGAAGGGGAAGCACTCACCTTCCTCACAAGGTGGCAGGACAGAGAATGAAAGCTCAGGAAAAACTGCCACTTTTAAAGGCATCAGATCTCATGAGAACTCCCTCAATATCACGAGAACAGCATGAGGGAAACTGCCCCCGTGATCCAATCACCTCCCACCTGGCTCCTCCCTCAACACCTGGGGATTACAATTTGGATTACAATTCAAGATGAGATTTGGGTAGGGACACAGCCAAACCATATCACTCAACATCCCCTGGCCACAACTCCTTCACCTATACGATGGGGATAATAATGCCTGTCAGCAAAGGAGATAATGTGTGCCCAAGCTCAGCATGTCTGTGAGACAGAAGCAGCACGGGAAAAGAGGAACACTGAGGATGTGGCTAATTGGGGTAATGGGGCTTCTTCAGGCTCTTTCTTCAGCTCCATGTGGTTTCTCATCTCAGCACACACTTGGAGCGGAGCAGCCATTCCTCCCGGGGCTGAGGACCCAGCTCACATGGAACATCTCTGGCCCACATGTTCTGAACCCCTGGGTTTTTATTATAAATCCCTGGTTCTGTTTGTCTCCCTTGGGAAGCCACGGGGAAGCCCCTGCCCTGGACCAGGCCTCAGCATTTCTCAGACATAAGCGGTGGCCCAGGCTGCTAAGCACTCTCCCTGAGGAGAGAGTGTGGGGCAGTGAGTGGAAGGCCTGGCCATCAGCCCAGTGCTTATCCGCCTCGTGCCTCCAGCCTCCAGGGGCCCGGGATGATCCTTCAGACATAGTCCTCAGGCCCTGGGGCTGACCAGTCATCTTGGTGTCGAGAGTTATTATTTCTTGCCATGTCAGATAGCCTTGAAGTGTTGATGCATTGCCAGGCAGCCAAGGCTGTTTCAAGGATGGCTGAGTCTGAGCTACTTATCAAGAATGAGTGCTCTGATCTTGGGTGGACATGTTTCCTCTGGCATCTTCTAGCCTCCAAGTTACTGCTTTCCCCTTTTTAGTTTACTGTAAGCTGGAGAGATGGATTGGCTCTAACCCAAGAAATAAGCACTTCCACTCACATAGAGGCCCCACAGAGTAAAAGCGGGAAGAATGAGCCCTCAGCCAAGCAGCCAGCTTGCCAGCAGACATGTGATCTGGGCAGATGACACAATCTCTTTGTTATTCAATTTCCTCTTATGCTAACTGAAAATAATACTAGCACTTACTTCCTAGGGTGGTTGTGGGTATTAAATGAGTTAATATTTGTAAAGCACTTAGAACAGAACCTGGAACTTATTAAATGCCGCATTTGTTAAGATACATACTGATACACATGCATACGGATGCAATAGGGATGGCATGGACGTTTGTGCCTTCAAAGACCTGGGTTTCAAGTCCAGGTTCTCTTTTACTGTCTGGGTCACTTTGGATGAATTACCTGCCCTGTCCAAGCCTGTTTCCTTACCTGTAAAATAGAACCAAAATACCTACCTAGAGTTATTTGAGAATGAAAGCAGGTATATATGAAAGCACAGAATCAGGCACATATGTGGTACTTAACAAATGTTTTTTCTTCTCTATTCCCTCGTAGGCCTCTTCCCAGTAGTCTCGCAAAGGCATAAGCCAATTTCTTCCCTCAAATCGGTGCTACTGTCTTGCCTACAATGCTCTGTTTTGTCTTCTTCCCCTCACTATTCTCTGCTTTGTTACCTCAGGAAACTTCTAGTGCTTTCTCTAATACTCTGAGGGTATTACAAATTCTTGGAAATGTTTAATTACAGCAGTTTTGAATTTCTAAGGAGCCAAAGGAGACCACAGGTCAGCTGGCATTTTCCCAGTACTGTCCCCACTGGAGGAGGTTAGCACTTTATTTGTGCCTGTGGGTGGGTGTGAATGTGGGCATGGGTAGGTGTTGGGGGGGGTGGCTCTCTCACACAGGCATGGGCTGTGATGTGCTGTGTCCACTCTGGATGTCTGAATTCTGGCTGCAGTTGTCAATAGAATCCATCTAGTGCCAGTCCCTCTCTCAGTACAGTCGGATGGAACCCTTTTACTTTGGACTTACAAAACAACTAAAGGGATGAAGCAGAAAGAACTACTGTTCTGTGAAACTTGCCCCGATTCATCATCAGGCTGTGTGCTCCCTGTTCAGAGACCATGTCCTCTTCTTCTTCTTCTTGTCCTCCAATCACCTTTAGCCATCAGATGCCCAATATTCATCAACCTCATCTAACCTGTTTCCTTGCTGTATCATCCTGGGCAATTTACTCAATGTATTAGCCCGTTTTTGTACTGCTATAAAGAAATGCCTGAGACTGGGTAATTTATAAAGGAAAGAGGTTTAATTGACTCATAGTTCTGCACGGCTAGAGAGGCCTCAGGAAACTTGCAATCATGGAGGAAAGGGAAGCAGTCACCTTCTTTACAAGGTGGCAGGAGAGAGAATGAAAGCACAGGAAAAACTGCCACTTTTAAAAGCATCAGATCTCGTGAGCACTCCTTCACTATCACGAGAACAGCATGGGGAAAACTGCCCCCATGATCCATTGAGTCTTCAGTGGAAGTGGGGACAGATGGTGTTGGGGTTAAGAGTCCTACATTTGGGTGAGCATCAGAATTTCCTGGTGCTTGTAAGAAAGTTAGGTAAGTTACTATTCCAGACCTATGTTCAGGAAAGGGCCTATGCAGTTGGGATTTGAGAATCGGAGCCTGTATTCCGACACCAGCCCTGCACCTAAGTATGGTCTTGGACAACTCTCTGACTTGTGGTTTCTTCACTTGTGGAGTGGAGATAACGGTACGGGCCCTCCCATCTCCCTGCATCATTGTGAGGGTAAAATGAGAAGGACAGGTGCAGGTGCTGATCATGAGTACAGGACACTTCCAGCTCCCTCAGCTATCGGTGTAATCCCCAGCTTGACATGTAGGCAGCTGCATTTTGGGGTCATTTGTGGCCTTGGGGACACAGAACTAATAATCAGGATTTTCCAACAATGTATTCAAATAAAGTCTGATGACTTCCGGCAGCTCTCTAACCATGAAGAATTATAGAACTTTCCTGGTACAGTAATACATTTAGAAAACAAAATAGAATCGCCATCTAAATAACTGAATTTCATTTTTTTTTTCAGGTCTTGATTAGGCATAGAGTTTGTCTTCTTAGGAATTAAGCCCAGAAGAGATAACAGTTCCAAACCACGCAAAAACATTTGTTTGACTAGGCTTTCTAGTAAAACACCACTCATCTTTCCTTCCTTCCTTCCTTCCTTCCAGTCTTTATTTCTTGACTGTGGTTCATCTTCTTTTTAAAAAAATTATCTCTTTTATATTGAGGCTTTCTATAAAGCTTCTACAAGTGCTTTTTGGAAGTAAGTTGGATTTAAGGCACGTGTAAAAGCCTGTGTCTCTCAAATTCCTCTGCCTAGAGTGAAACAGAATCTTAGTGAGAGATACAAAACAGCATTCTCTGGATTTACCCAAATCCATTCTGCAGCTGCTCCAACCACACACATCCTCACATCAAACTCATCCCCTAAAGTCTGGGATTCTCCAGGGATTATCTTACAGATACTGAGCATGACTGCCCACTGCTATGTGTGGCACCTGCTACCTTCTTCCTCACCTGCCTCTGCTTACGGGACTGGGGTCTCCATTGCTGCTGACAACCAAGGCAGCCTTAGAGAGCAGCACGTCTATGCTGGAGCACAGTGGAGGTGCCCACCACCACCACCCATGACACAGCTGCATCTGCACAGGGTCAAGGACACTGACATCAGCCTGGCTTTTGGGGCTGGCTGGTGCTGCTCTTGCCCCCTGCTTCCTGTAACCTAGGGATGCTTTTGTGATGAACTATTTTTGTTTACACTTGTTTTTTATTCCAATACCCTCATCTCAGGACCCAGGCGCAGGACTTCCCAGGACTTCTGGCCCTGGGCGCTGGGCCAGAAGACATCAGAGTGACAGGCACTGTGCTGTTCCTCAAACCCCACCAGGACCACCCCAGTCTCCATTCTAGTCCTGGTCCAGTGCAACTGAACCTAGTAGGTGCTTCTATTTCCCCCTCCTGTGAAGAGAGTCTTTCCTAGGAGACTCCATCACTCAGGTATGCAGACCCACAGGTAGGTTGAGCCACACATCATCCTGGCATTCACAGACTTACATCTAAATCCTAATCAGGGAGAGGAAGAGGACACAGCTATCTTAAGCTCAGGTTCCAGGTACAAAGTAATGAATGGGTAATTGGATAAATTACTGAATAAAAGAGGGAGAGAGAAATGGAATGAAAAGAAAAAGGGAAGGAAGGTAGATAAGTAAAAAGAAGAAAATAAAAGATTCTGGAAAGTAGTTCCTAACCCAAGTTCCAATCTCTCTCTCTCTCTCTCTTTCTCAATCATGATGGGATGGGGAGGGCAGAGGAATATGTTAGGACAGACTCCTCCACTTCCGTTCAAGTACCAATAACTAGATGTAGAAAGAAAGTATGCAAATTAGAAGACTAATGTTCTAAAATGAGTAAGAGCCTATTTGCTCACTCTTGGCTCTTAGGAAACTAGAGAACTCATGGGGAAGGCAGGCAAACAGAAGCAAGATTTCATCAGAACACTGGCCCCTTGTCAATTTATCACTCTGGTGAAACAGCGTGACGCTTGGGATTTCCCCAGAACGTCAAACTGCAATTTTACATGTGCTGCTTGGAAGCAAGCTGTGTAACTTCCTGTAATAAGGATTTCAAGTATTCAAGCAATAAATCTGAGATGCCAGAGCCTCTCTTAACACTGTCCTGTAGCTCAGCAACTCCAAATTAGCACAGCTCCACACATCCAAAGCCTGGAAAGGGTGGAAGATGAATATGAACGGACAGATCCCTCATGCTCACCCTTGGTGGTGAATTGAGTCATCAGCTGAGTATGGAAAGGAGTGGGGAACAAGCTCACAGGCTCTTTGTCTCCTTCGACTTTTGTTTCACATTTGCCAGGAGGTAAGGCCTTCATACCTGCAGCTGGGTCAAGTATCTGGAAACACGTGGGCTGCCAGCAGAGCCACTTCATGTCAGCATCAGAGTACAAAGTGAGTGTGAGACTGAGTGAGAATGTGAACTGCCAGGGTATTCCTACCCGTGTGGCCCAGGCCTGGCTGCAGGGAGGGCAAAGTCTGGCTGCAGGGAGGGGAAAGGTCAGCTACAGGTCCCACCACACATGTCCTCCAACTGCACTTTCCTTGTTCTAGCTTGGCATCAGCCCACCTTGCTGTGTGCCTTGCATGCCTCCTTCCTCTTCCTTTAGGAGGGGATAGAAGGGTCCAGCTGAGGATAAATACAACAATCAAGTCTTAGATAGCATTTGACAGCTATTTGATGAATGAATAAATAATAGATGCATAAATAAATGAATGAACAAATAAGCCAACAACTGGGTGTCAACAGGCAGACACGCACATTTTACAAATAGGTATTTCCCTACTTCTCCAGCGTGATAGAGTGGAGATCAATGGCTTTCACAATATCTTGTTAAACCTGAAAGTTTAACGAAAATATTCTCTTTTACTGAGTCCTTGTTAAATTAAAGAAAATTAGAAACAGCTACATATAGCCAGGGTAGGGGAAGGGGATGGTTGGGTAAGAAACCGAGAAACTTGAAGAAGGGGAGCAGATCATTCTGGTGGAGTAGGGACACCTGCCTTACCTGCACTCAAACATTCCCAAGTGTCGACTCCCAATTCCCAGTGAAGGCTGGAGGGGTGATGTTAATACCTCACACTGATAATCCACAGTGCCTCTCCTCAGGGTCCGCTGACTCTGACACCTTTCCCTTCCCCACTCTCCTCCCTCTTCCCTTCTAGCTCAAAGTTTGGGTGAGACTGAAAAGCCAATCTGGCTCCCACTTGCAGAGGAATCAAGGCCCCCAGAGTTTCAGAACCCAGAGGGCCCTTCGCTTAACACAGCACCTTCCTGAGAACTAGAAACAGGCGTCCCGATGGTAGTCACAGCTTCACAGGTGCATGGGGAAGTGAATGAAGATGTTGCCTTGTGTTAATTAGAAAAATATTCAATATCAGTCCTGGTCCTGGCGGGAAACAGATGACACAGTCAAAGTGGATAATGAAGGAAAGTGTGAGGGGAAGGCACCATTTACAAAGACGTGGGTGGGATTTAGGCAAACCTGCAAGGAATGGTATGGTATCCTGGGGCTAGCAACAGTGGGGAGCCCTGAGAGACAAGGAGAGAGAGAGCCCTGTACTGAGACAAAGCAAGAACTGTAGCTTTGGAAGCTGTGACCTTCAGAAAGGGAGAGAGACAATCAATGGCCCTCAGTAAGGAGAGGAGCCAAGAGAAACGCTCTTCCCTTTGCTCTCCTGCCAGCACCCCCAACGGTGGAACTCAGCCAGGTGCTGGAGGGAGGGGGGTGGGCCATGTCATCCACACAGGCCAGCCAGCCAGGGCACAGAGGAGGGTGGGAAGTGGGTCCAGAGAGGTGATGGGAAGCATCCTCATGGGTACCCCTTTCCCAGGCAGATGCAACCCTGTCCGTACACTCCCAAGGAGCCTCGCACAGGCTGCAGGTCAGCCTCGCTCTCTCCCGGGCCAGAAGCCCTTTTGCACGGCAAGACTTGCATAATCATATGTGACAGTCCTAACAGCCTTTGAGGACTATACCCCTTTTCATGTGTAAAAATATTACAAAAGGATCCCATGTCCCAAAATAAATAGAGAAAAACAAAACATTGCAAGCAGCTATCTCCAGCAACCATGTTTCTATTCTTCCAATTTGGCTCCACTTTCTCCACCAGCCTTTTTTTCTCTTCAGCAAATGGCACAACCTTCCACCTGGTCACCTGAGGCAGAAACCTGCTATTGCTTTGACCATCTCCTCCTTCATCTTCCACATCCAAATGAATGGTCACCAGCATGTTGGGTCCCTGCTGGAAGTCCATCACCACCTGTTTATTCCTACTGCATTGCCACAGGCCCTTATCCATCTTCCCGGACTCAACACTATGATCATTTCCAAGCTGAGCTCCAGCTTCTGCATGTATCCAGCCCCACTCGGTCTTCCACTCTCTCACATCCCATGGCCAGAGGTATCTTCTAGACAGAGAACATTAATATCATCTCATCACTCCACTGCTTAACATCCTTCTGTGGCTTGCCTTTTCCCATAGGCAAGTTCAAATGCATGCATCCAAATGGACGGCTCTTTACCGTCCTGCCCCATCAGGTCTCGCAGCTGCAACCCCCTCTCCCACCATATCCCTGCCCCCTTCACTCCCCTTGCTCCCTAACACTGACCTTCTTGCAATTCCTCCAAAGTATCAGGCCTCCTCCCACCTCTAGACAAATGCCCAGGCTGTTCTCTCTAGCCTGAAATACCCCCGCCCCTCCACTCCATCCAACTAATGCCTGCTTATCCACCAGACTTTTGGTGATGCATCTGTTGTTGTTGTTGTTTGTTGTTGTTTTGAAAACTGCATTGACCCTCTTTCTCTTTCCCTGCAAGCGGACTCAGGCACCTTTCATTTGCACCCATTCTCTACACTCTGTGAACACTCTTGTGCACCTCTCTTGATGCCACTGTGTTCTCACTGTTAATCTCCTTGTCTTTCACCCTCACCATCCCTGTAGCCCCATGGCCTAGCACATGCCTGGTTCTGCCTATCACAGGATCTGTAAGGGCTTACTGAAGTGAAGTAAGTTGTAATGAAATGAAAGCTTCCTAGGTTGGTGCTGCCTGACCTCTATCCAGTTAATCTATGATCAGGGTGGCTGTTGATTCTGTGGTACGCTATGCCTGTTTGATTCTTTATGACAGAATGTGATTTGCCTTGCTCTATTTTCATCACAGTTTACATGCTTTTAAGGCAAGAGAACCCCATTTTCTGATTTCTAAAGATTTCCCACCCAACTTCTGTTCAAATATTTTGTCAAACAATGGAAAAAGCCAAAGGCAGTTAAGTCCATGAATGGGGTTACATTGCATAGGCAAATAAATCTTCCCCTAGCTCTCTCCTTTCAAAGGGATGGCCTCAATAAATTCTTCAAGTAAGCTACTTTAAAAATATCTCTTCTACCACTATTTACCTCATTTGAATCTATCTGAATATGGAACAGAGTAGGAACATGTGAAATGTATTAGGTAAATCTTACATTGGTAGGAACCTCGAGTAAAGAGCTTGGGATACCTCTGTATTTGCTCCTTCACTCTTCTTACTTAGTAACTCCCATAACTCACATTTCTTTTTTGTTTAATAGTGTGTTAGGCACTTTTCTAGTTACATAAGCCGAAGGTCACTTTAACAGCAATAACAATTAGAATTTGCAGTTTATAGAACACTTCCACATAAAGCATCTCACTTAACTCTCAAATGCCTATGAGGCAGATACTGTTATTGTCTCTGTTTTGTAGATGTGGGTTTTAGACACTTCAATTTTGAACACTCTCATCTCACCTCTTACTCCAGTCATGTCCTCATCAACTTGTTCCACACAGGATTGCCGACCTTCACACGGGGGCAGCTGGACAGTGTGTGGACCTGGTCCATACTCCTGCTTCTTGCCCTGAGGTGCCCCTGATACTTCATGTAGGCACTTGTTGCATCCACTGGACACTCATATCTTGTACAACTTAGAAATGGATAGGAGTCGTGCCCATGTGGGCTCTTCTAATCAGTGGAGGATGGGCCAATATATAAATGTTTCCCTCTGTTATCTGAGGCCCATTTCACATGGCTCCTTCCAAGGCCAGTGGCCCCTCTGTCTATAGCGGTGGCCAACTCCACGGCACATCCTTGCATTGCCTCCTCCCCCTTCCCTGTTCCACTTCCCATCCCTCACTCCTACTCCTTGGGATCTCTTCCCAAATAAACTACTTGCCTACAAGCCTTAACACCTCAGGCTCTACTTCCAGGTAACTCAGATTGAAATATCTGCCAAATATCCCAGAGTTTAAGTGGAACACTGGCATTCATTTTAAGATTTTTCTGATTCCAAATTCCACACGCTTTTCTCTTTATCCTCCTTGCATTGTGAGAATTAATAGTCTGTGTGCACAGCTTAGATATATAAACAACTACAAAAGAGAGGTGTCAAGTCAAAACTAGAAGCTATAACTTTGGAGCACAGAGAATAGTATTGATTCAGTTGGGGTGGGTGTGTGGGCTGGTCAGAAAATATTCCACAGAGTAGGTAACTAGGAGGCCTCTCCGAATCATAGTCTCTACAGTCAGTGCCATCTGTTATTTCCTCTCAGAGTCATTTTCTTCTTAGCACTTATGACAATGTGTAAGTAAATATTTATTTCTATTTGTTTATTGTCTGTCTTTCCTGTGAGGGCAGGGAGCATGTCTGTTTTGTTCACAGACATGTGAACACGATATCCACAGCACCTAGCGCAGCACTAAGGACATAAGTGGCAATCAATAAATTGACAAGTCAAAAAATGAATCACAATTAACAAATAAGAAAATTTGTTCCTGAATAAATGAAAAAATGAACAAAAGGCATTACAAACAGCCTAAACAAAGTCATGAAAGAATATGAAAATATGGCAACCTTCAGAGAATGTCAGTGGTTGGTTATTTTGGTTTTCTTTTGGTTATTTGTTTAGAAGGGTGAGAGACAGGGAGTGGCTGCAGAAAATGCATCTAACAGTAATACTGAGGTCGTAGAAGTAACCTAGCCACATTCTTTGTATTGGGAGATAACATGGCTTCTGTGTGGTAACTGGTTATATAACGTGAGTTCTCAAGTGTCTGCCGTGCCTGTATTAAGTGTGCTTTCTTCTCCACTAGGGAGTTGGGATGGGTGTTGGCAAGGCCTGACCTTGTTTACAGTGTGGGACCTTGAATTCCAGGTTCGTCTTGATGTGACCTAAGCTTGGATTATGAACTGCTATTGTCACCTGTTGCATCTTGTGAGGTTGAATATTGGCAGATCCTGTCCTGTTACACTGGCCATACTTCTAATTCTGCCAACATCCAAGTATCAGTTTAGGAGCCTTGCTGCCCTTCACTTTCTGCCTTGCCTTTCTCATCTGAACCCTTAGGCATTTAACATCACCCTTCGGAGCCTTCATAACAATACAAGCCAGTATGGGATACTTTTTTATTCATTTGATCATGCATATATTAATGGTATATTATGGACCAGGTGCTATGCCAGGCACAAATCTCTCTTGGTTGACTCGTGATTCTAGGAACTCTGCACTGTTCACATGCTTTGCTCATTGGCTGATGATTGACCAATTCGTCATTGCATTCTGTCAGCCCTGGTTTGCTGAAGTGGGCTCATGAAGCCTCAATTCCACTCCTGTGGACTATATGTGCTTAAGGACCCTGAAAGAAATCTATTAGACAATGGAAGAACTATTTCCCTGCTGTCCTGCTTTTAGCACAACTTAAAAAAATCAAGACATGACTGCTCTCCAGCAAGCTTCTGACAGTTTCTCTTTGCATTTGCAAAAGCCCAGTTATAAGTACATAGCCACCTGTTCCTTCTTGGCTCCCTGAGAAATAAGTTTATACAGTTGGTGTACTGACATTTCAGGAACAAACAAAACTCACCTTTAACACTTTATTTTTAGTGTCTCTGCGTTTATATTTAGAAGGAAGGAACTGCCATGTCTGCAGGAGCATCATTCCTGCAATGTTTGCTGGATCATGGGGGGGCCACAAGGTGGGAAAATGAGCCATGTGTGTAACTCCTTATTTATTTCCTGGAACTGGTGACACTGCACAAGTGCATGTACCACAGGATACAAGGACAGAGTGAGAGTCAGGGTTGGCCTTCAGTTGTTTAGACCTGGCCATCCACCAAGGCCTCCTAGTTGGCACATGTCTGCTCCTTGATTTAAGGGTTCCTGAGAGAAAGGGCAAGTAGAAAATTGCAAGGACAGAGATGTTCACTGAAAACTGAAGTAAAATTACTCCCACCCTAAAACCTGACACATTTTTTTCCAGTTTCTACAAAACATGTAGATAAATATTTTGTGTCTACATGCACTTAACATTTTTAAAAATAAGCAATACATGCATGTAGTATAAAATGCAAAGGGAAGCTAGGCATGGCGGCTCACGCCTGTAATCCCAGCACTTTGGGAGGCTGAGGTGGGCGGGTCACCTGAGGGCAGGAATGAGACCAGCCTGACCAACATGGTGAAACCTCATGTCTACTAAAAATACAAACTTAGCTGGGTATGGTGGCACATGCCTGTAATCCCAGCTACTTGGGAGGCTAAGGCAGGAGAATCACTTCAACCCAGGAGGCAGAGGTTGCAGTGAGCAGAGACTGCACCATTGCACTCCAGCCTGGGCGACAGAGTGAGACTCTGTCTCAAAAACTTTAAAAAAATGCAGATGGAAGAATTTGTAGCATATAACATAGGCAAAAGGCTAACATTTTGATTACAGTTTGAGTAAATCTTATCCAAAATACTTGGAACCAGAAGTGTTTCATATTTTGGATTTTTGAATATTTGCATATATATAAGGAGATATCTTGGGAATGGAACCCAAGTCTAAATACAAAATTTATTTATGCTTTATATACTCTTTCTATGCATAGCCTGAAGGTAATTTTATATAATATTTTTAGTAACTTTGTGCACCCAGCAACAAAGTCAGGTGTGGAATTTTCTACTTGTGCGGTCATGTTGGCACTCAAAAAGTTTCCAAATTTTGGGGCATTTCAGATTTTGGATTTTCAGATTAGGGGTGTTCGGCTTGTGTTTAAAAACTCTTTAACAAAAGCTAAAAGTAGATCTACCAATTGATTCAGCAATTCCACCACTGGGTATCCACCCAAAGGAAAAGAGATCATTATATGAAAAAAATACCTGCACACTAATGTTTATAGCAGCACAATTTACAATTGCAAAGATGTGGGACCAGCCTAAGTGCCCATCAGCTAATGAGTGGATAAGGCAAATGTGGTATATACATATACCACGGAATACTACTCAGACATAAAAAGAAATGAAATAATGTCTTTTTCAGCAACTTGGATGGAGCTGGAGGCCATTATTCTAAGTGAAGTTACCCAGAAGTGGAAAACCAAAAACTGTATGTTCTCACTTTCTAGTGGGAGTTAAGCTATGAGTATGTAAAGGCGTACAGAGTGATATAATGGAGTTTAGAGGTTCAGAAGTGGGATGGTGGAAAGGCGACTAGGGATAAAAAAAAAACTACATGTTCAGTGCAATGTACACTACTCGGGTGTCGGGTGCAAGGAAATCTCAGAATTCACCACTATATAATTCATTCACGTAACAGAAACCACTTGTACTCCAACAGCTGTGGAAATAAAAATTTTAAAACAACTCTTTAACATTGAAGAACAAAGGAGGAAAACTTGGTTTAAAAAAATAGGCAAAAGACATAAACAATTCAACAGATATAAATATATCTTTAAACATTACAAGATGTTCAAACTCTGTCATTATTAGATAAAGGCAATTTATAATACCACCTTTAAAAAATGCTACCTTTGAATGTTACCATTTCATAACTATTAAATTTGTGAAAATTTAAAAAGCATGAATAAGAGCTTTTGGTGAGACTGTGGGGAAACAGATACTTTCATGCATTGGGATGGCAAATTGGTAAAGCCCATATGAAGGAGAAGATGGCAAGATGGAACAAAACTACACATGCACTTACCTTTGACCCAGAAATCTCACTTCTAGGAATCTATGCTGAAGATACATTTCTAAGAGAAGAAAAACACACTTGCACAAGTTTATTCATCTCAGCATTATTTTAAATTGTAAAATATTGAAAACAACCTAGATGCCCATACATAGCAGATTAGTGGAATACACTAAGAAAAATTCACACAAGGGAGTACCATGCAGCTGTATAAGTAAATACAGGAGATCTCAATGATCTGATATGGAGAGAGTGCCAGAATACATTGCTTAGTGGAAAAGACTGGTTTTACTAGTGTGCTACCGTTTATGTAAGAAAGCAGAAGAAATAAGAACATATATATGTATTTGCCCAGGTATGCACAAATCAATACAGGAAGAATACGTTTGAAACTAAGATTAGTCACCTA
Organism: Homo sapiens; assembly: GCF_000001405.40. Taxonomy (NCBI): domain Eukaryota; kingdom Metazoa; phylum Chordata; class Mammalia; order Primates; family Hominidae; genus Homo; species Homo sapiens. Next base: position 106,433,564 of record NC_000007.14, read on the forward strand.
CATAGGGTAGATGGGAACAAAGTGGATAAAAACAAGAAATGGCAACACAGTGTAAGGGATAAAGGGGTTCCACATCTGAGTATGATTTTCTGTCAAGTTCTGACTTTCAGAATCATAATCATGTTTCACATACTAAAAATAAACAAATCAATAAACAATAAAAATCAAAATGAAAATACAGTAAAAAATATTGTAGGGGAAATCCCAAATGAAATATATCAACAAATAAACCTAATTGAATTACAAATGAATAAAATAATCAAACAAAGAGGTGGGAAAGAAAAGAACTAACTTAAGTAACTCTGGAAAATGGTACTTGGCTGTATTTTAAAAAGGTAAATTACAAAAGAACTGTACACAAACATTATATATTCTAGTTGTTTGTAAGTTTGCTTTTCACAGAACTCTGGATTAGCAATTCTGAAGTTATTTTGAGTGTTCTAAGATTGAGCAAATAAATAAAATAGTATGAATAACAAAAGCCAATTTTATCACTGTTACAGAATGGAATAAGGCTGGGGGAATAAGAGAATAAACTATTGTGAGATGAGAAGTAGAGATATCAATTTGAACTTGGGATCAATATGAACTCAAATCTGTGTGTGTGTGTGTGTGTGTGTGTGTGTGTGTGTGTTTGTATGCATCTATATTCTTAGCTTTATCTATGTTCTAAGGACTAGGAGTAATGACACTCCAGTACCAACTAGCACATTCAGTAACCATATACTGGTTTCTAAACATCATTCTCCTATAAAAAGAAACAACAATCCTTGGAGAAATAGCTAATTCCAGGTGTGAGTAGGGAAGATGAGCCTGGAATATCTTGTAGTGCCAGAAAACAAGGTAAGGAAGTACTCAAAATATAATAAGGACATGTCAAAAGGATACACTGGCCAAATTCAAGGGGCTCCCAATGGTCAAATATGAGATAATTTGGGTAACAAAATAAATGTCAGTAGTAAGAGATTGTAACGAACAGAATAAAATAACTATCCCTGAATCCATACTGATATAAATAATTGAATAGGTAATTAAAGTGGGGAGGAAAATCTCTTTCTCACAATTGAATTCTTTTTTTTTTTTTTGAGCCAGAGTCTCACTCTGTCAGCCAGGCTGCAGTGCAGGCTGGAGTGCAGTCCAGTGGCACGATCTTGGCTCATTACAACTTCTACCTCCTGGGCTCAAGTAATTCTCCTGCCTCAGCCTCCTGAGTAGCTGGGACTACAGGCAAGTGCCCATCAACTAATGAGTGGATAAAGCAAATGGGGATACTACGCCCAGCTAATTTTTGTATTTTTGGTACAGATGGGGTTTCATCATGTTGGCCAGGCTGGTCTTGAACTCCTGACCTCAAGTGATCCACCAGCCTTGGCCTCCCAAAGTGCCAGGATTACAGGCATGAGCCACCATGCTCAGCACTCACAGTTGAATTCTAATTTATAAGTGTAGAAGGAAAGATGAAAATAGAAATTACCAGTTGACAAACACCACAGTATTAATTGTAGGCAAGAATCATCAATAGATCCTAAAATTACTGGGGTTAATATTCTGAGAAAAAAAATATTTGCATAGCCTCAAAGTATATCCCCATGAAAGAGAGAAAGTAATAACTTCGTAGGGAAGAAACCGTACCTTAACTATGTGATCAAAGACAAGATCACGAATAACAATACATATTGACATCACATATCTCCCGGTATGATGCTCTGAGAAGATACAATGCTGCTTTTGTGGTATTCTTGCCAAATACATATAACCTGAATTTATCAGAAGAAAACATCAGACAAACCCAAATCGAACACATTCTATACAATAACTAAATAGTATTCATCAAGGTTATGAAAGACAAAGAAAAACTGAGGAATTATCCTAGATGGGAGGATACTAAGGTGATATGAAAACTTGATTCTGGAACAGAAAAGGACATTAGTGATTCAAGTGGAGAAATCTGAAGAAGGTCTCTAAATAGTTAATACTATTAAGGTTAATTCCCTATAATGTGGTTATGAAAGGTGTTAACATTAGAAAAGGAAGCTATAAGAATTCTTTGAGCCTGGTGCAGTGGTGTGTGCCTGTAGTGTCAGCTACTTGAGAGACTGAGGTGGGAGGACTGCTTGAGCTGAGGAGTTCAAGTCCAGCCTGGGCAACAAAGCAAGACCCCATCTCTAAAATTAAAAAAAAAAATTCTGTGACATTTTTTGCAACTTTTTTCTAAGTTTGAAAATGTTTCAAACTGCAAAGTTAAAAAGTAAAAAAAGTATTCCTTTTTAAAGGAAAAAAAGGGTTTACAATGTTCCCACCAACATATTCTCCAGGAATTGAGTTTTCTTTCCAACAAACAGCTACTCAACAGTTTCTCATACATTCTTTTGAAGGTTTTCTATATGAATACATGTATGTTCATCATATGTGTTTATACATGTATATATTAGAGATCCTCCCATAAAAGTGTATCTCATTTTTAATGGCTGTATTATATAGATTCTCTATATTACACATATTAATTTAATTAGCAATACTTATGATGTTTCTAATATTTTGGTATTATAAAAATACTGCAATGAATGCTTCATTTCCTATATGAACTAGTACTTGCAGTTGTAGTACAAACTTCCAGAAGTGGAATTTCTGATTCAAAGTGTATAAAAATTTTAATTTTTGTTGACATGGCCAGTTGGTCTCCGTGGGTGATGTACCAATTCATATTCCTACCGCCACTGTAGGAGAGTGCCTTTCTTCATGCTGTTATTAACACAGAGCATAAAATGATCTTTGCCAATATGATGGGTGCAAAACATATATTGTAGTTTTCATACGCATTTCTCTTATTGTGAATCAAGTTAAGGCTTATTTCACATATGTAAACTCCATTTGTGGCTGCTTTTCTGTGAACTGTGTATTCTTTTATATATATATTTATTTACTTTAAGTTCTAGGGTACATGTGCACAATGTGCACGTTTGTTACCTACGTATACATGTGCCATGTTGGTGTGCTGCACCCATTAACTCATCATTTACATTAGGTATATCTCCTAATGCTATCCCTCCCCACTACCCCCATCCCAAAACAGGCCCCGGTGTGTGATGTTCTTCTTCCTGTATCCAAGTGTTCTCATTGTTCAATTCCCACCTATGAGTGAGAACATGTGGTGTTTGGTTTTCTGTCCTTGCGATAGTTTCCTGAGAATGATGGTTTCCAGCTTCATCCACGTCCCTACAAAGGACATGAACTCATTCTTTTTTATGGCTGCATAGTATTCCATGGTGTATATGTGCCACATTTTCTTAATCCAGTCTATCATCGTTGGACATTTGGGTTGGTTCCAAGTCTTTGCTATTGTGAATAGTGCCGCAATAAACATAAGTGTGCATGTGTCTTCATAGTATAATGATTTATAATCCTTTGGGTATACACCCAGCAATGGGATGGCTGGGTCAAATGGTATTTCTAGTTCTAGATCCCTGAGGAATCGCCACACTGACTTCCACAATGGTTGAACTAGTTTACAGTTCCATCAACACTGTAAAAGTGTTCCTATTTCCCCACATCCTCTCCAGCACCTGTTGTTTCCTGACTTTTTAATGATCACCATTCTAACTGGTGTGAGATGGTATCTCACTGTGGTTTTGATTTGCATTTCTCTGGTGGCCAGTGATGATGAGCATTTTTTCATGTGTCTGTTGGCTGCATAAATGTCTTCTTTTGAGAAGTGTCTGTTCATATTCTTCGCCCACTTGTTGATGGGTTTTTTTTTTCTTGTAAATCTGTTTGGTTTCTTTGTAGATTCTGGATATTAGCCCTTTGTCAGATGAGTAGATTGCAAAAATTTTCTCCCATTCTGTAGGTTGCCTGTTCACTCTGGCGGTAGTTCCTTTTGCTGTGCAGAAGCTCTTTAGTTTAATTAGATCCCATTTGTCAATTTTGGCTTTTGTTGCCACTGCTTTTGGTGTTTTAGACATGAAGTCCTTGCCCATGCCTATGTCCTGAATGGTATTGCCTAGGTTTTCCTCTAGGGTTTTTATGGTTTTAGGTCTAATATTTAAGTCTTTAATCCATCTTGAATTAATTTTTGTATAAGGTGTAAGGAAGGGATCCAGTTTCAGCTTTCTACATATGGCTAGCCAGTTTTCCCAGCACCATTTATTAAATAGGGAATCCTTTCCCCATTTCTTGTTTTTGTCAGGTTTATCAAAGTTCAGATGGTTGTAGATGTGTGGTATTATTTCTGAGGGCTCTGTTCTGTTCCATTCATCTGTATCTCTGTTTTGATACCAGTACCATGCTGTTTTGGTTACTATAGCCTTGTAGTATAGTTTGAAGTCAGGTAGCGTGATACCTCCAGCTTTCTTCTTTTGGCTTAGGATTGACTTGGCAATGTGGGCTCTTTTTTGGTTCCATATGAACTTTAAAGTAGTTTTTTCCAATTCTGTGAAGAAAGTCATTGGTAGCTTGATGGGGATGGCATTGAATCTATAAATTACCTTGGGCAGTGTGGCCATTTTCACGATATTGATCTTTCCTATCCATGAGCATGGAATGTTCTTCCATTTGTTTGTATCCTGTTTTATTTCATTGAGCAGTGGTTTGTAGGTCTCATTGAAGAGGTCCTTCACATCCCTTGTAAGTTGGATTCCTAGGTATTTTATTCTCTTTGAAGCAATTGTGAATGGGAGTTCACTCATGATTTGGCTCTCTGCTTGTCTGTTATTGGTGTATAAGAATGCTTGTGATTTTTGCACATTGATTTTGTATCCTGAGACTTTGCTGAAGTTGCTTATCAGCTTAAGGAGATTTTGGGCTGAGACAATGGGGTTTTCTAGATATACAATCATGTCATCTGCAAATAGGCACAATTTGACTTCCTCTTTTCCTAACTGAATACCTTTATTTCTTTCTCCTGCCTGATTGCCCTGGCCAGAACTTCCAACACTATGTTGAATAGGAGTAGTGAGAGAGGGCATCCCTGTCTTGTGCCAGTTTTCAAAGGGAATGCTTCCAGTTTTTGCCCATTCAGTATGATATTGGCTGTGGGTTTGTCATAAATAGCTCTTAGTATTTTGAGATACGTCCCATCAATACCTAATTTATTGAGAGTTTTTAACATGAAGGGCTGTTGAATTTCGTCAAAGGCCTTTTCTGCATCTATTGAGATAATCCTGTGGTTTTTGTCTTTGGTTCTGTTTATATGATGGATTACGTTTATTGATTTCTGTATGGTGAACCAGCCTTGCATCCCAGGGATGAAGCCCCCTTGATCATGGTGGATAAGCTTTTTGACGTGCTACTGGATTCAGTTTGCCAGTATTTTATTGAGGATTTTTGCATCGATGTTCATCAGGGATATTGGTCTAAAATTCTCTTTGTTTGTTGTGTCTCTGCCAGGCTTTGGTATCAGGATGATTCTGGCCTCATAAAATGAGTTAGGGAGGATTCCCTCTTTTTCTATTGATTGGAATAGTTTCAGAAGGAATGGTACCAGCTCCTCCTTATACCTCTGGTAGAATTTGGCTGTGAATCCTTCTGGTCCTGGACTTTTTTTTTGGTTGGTAGGCTATTAATTATTGCCTCAATTTCAGAGCCTGTTATTGGTCTATTCAGGGATTCGACTTCTTCCTCGTTTAGTCTTTGGAGGGTGTATGTGTTGAGGAATTTATCCATTTCTTCTAGATTTTCTAGTTTATTTGTGTAGAGGTGTTTATAGTATTCTCTGATGATAGTTTATATTTCTGTGGGATTGGTGGTGATCTCCCCTTTATCATTTTTTATTGCATCTATTTGATTCTTCTCTCTTTTCTTCTGTATTAGTCTTGCTAGCAGTCTGTCAATTTTGTTGATCCTTTCAAAAAACCAGCTCCTGGATTCATTGATTTTTTGAAGGGTTTTCTGTGTCTCTATCTCCTTCAGTTCTGCTCTGATCTTAGTTATTTCTTGCCTTCTGCTAGCTTTTGAATTTGTTTGCTCTTGCTTCTCTAGTTCTTTTAATTGTGATGTTAGGGTGTCAGTTTTAGATCTTTCCTGCTTTCTCTCGTGGGCATTTAGTGCTATAAATTTCCCTCTACACACTGCTTTAAATGTGTCCCAGAGATTCTGGTATGTTGTGTCTTTGTTCTCGTTGGTTTCAAAGAACATCTTTATTTCTGCTTTCATTTTGTTATGTACCCAGTAGTCATTCAGGAGCAGATTGTTTGGTTTCCATGTAGTTGAGCGGTTTTGAGTGAGTTTCTTAATCCTGAGTTCTAGTTTGATTGCGCCGTGGTCTGAGAGACAGTTTGTTATAATTTCTGTTCTTTTACATTTGCTGAGGAGTGCTTTACTTCCAACTATGTGGTCAATTTTGGAATAAGTGCGATGTGGTGCTTAGAAGAATGTATACTCTGTTGATTTGGGGTGGAGAGTTCTGTAGATGTCTATTAGGTTGGCTTGGTGCAGAGCTGAGTTCAAGTCCTGGATTCCTTGTTAACTTTCTGTCTCGTTGATCTGTCTAATGTTGACAGTGGGGTGTTAAAGTCTCCCATTATTATTGTGTGGGAGTCTAAGTCTCTTTGCAGGTGTCTAAGGACTTTCTTTATGAATCTGGGTGCTCCTGTATTGGGTGCATATGAAATTTCCAGAGGAACGATCAGACAGCAACATTTGCTGTTCGGCAATGCTTGCTGTTCTGCAGCTTCCGCTGCTGATACCCAGGCAAACTCCAGCAGTGGACCTCCAGCAAACTCCAACAGACCTGCAGCTGAGGGTCCTGACTGTTAGAAAGAACACCAACAAACAGAAAGGACATCCACAGCGAAACCCCATCTGTACATCACCATCATCAAAGACCAAAGGTAGATAAAACCACAAAGATGGGGAAAAAACAGAGCAGAAAAACTGAAAATTCTAAAAATCAGAGTGCCTATCCTCCTCCAAAGGAACGCAGCTCCTCACCAGCAATGGAACAAAGCTGGATGGAGAATGACTTTGACGTGTTGATAGAAGAAGGCTTCAGATGATTAAACTTCTCTGAGCTAAAGGAGGAAGTTTGAACCCATTGCAAAAAAGTTAAAAACCTTTAAAAAATATTAGACAAATGGTTAACTACAATAACCAATGTAGAGAAGGCCTTAAATGACCTGACGGAGGTGAAAACCATGGCACGAGAACAATGTGACGAATGCACAAGCTTCCATAGCCGATTCGATCAGCTGGAAGAAAGGGTATCAGTGACTGAAGATGAAATGAATGAAATGAAGCAAAAAGTTTAGAGAAAGAAGAATAAAAAGAAACGAACAAAGCCTCCAAGAAATATGGGACTATGTGAAAAGACCAAATCTACATCTGATTGGTGTACCTGAAAGTGACAGGGAGAATGGAACCAAGGTGGAAAACACTCTGCAGGATATTATCCAGGAGAACTTCCCCAACCTAGCAAGACAGGCCAACATTCAAATTCAGGAAATACAGAGAATGCCACAAACATACTCCTCGAGAAGAGCAACTCCAAGACACATAATTGTCAGATTCACCAAAGTTGAAATGAAGGAAAAAATGTTAAGGGGAGCCAGAGAGAAAGGTTAGGTTACCCACAAAGGGAAGCCCAATGGACTAACAGCTGATCTCTCAGAAGAAACTCTACAAGCCAGAAGAGAGTGGGGACCAATATTCAACATTCTAAAAGAAAAGAATTCTCAACCCAGAATTTCATATCCAGCCAAACTAAGCTTCATAAATGAAGGAGAAATAAAATACTTTACAGACAAACAAATGCTAAGAGATTTTGTCACCACCAGGACTGCCCTACAAGAGCTCCTGAAGGAAGCACTAAACATGGAAAGGAACAACCGGTACAAGCCACTGCAAAAACATGCCAAATTGTAAAGACCATCGATGCTAGGAAGAAACTGCATCAACTAAGGAGCAAAATAAACAGCTAACATCATAATGACAGGATCAAATTCACATATAACAATATTAACCTTAAATGTAAATGGGCTAAATGCTCCAATTAAAAGACACAGACTGGCAAATTGGATAAAGAGTCAAGACCCATCAGTGTGCTGTATTCAGGAAATGCATCTCACATGCACAGACACACATAGGCTCAAAATAAAGGGATGGAGGAAGATCTACCAAGCAAATGGAGAACTATGTATTCTTATACTTTGATTATTGAAGGGGGGTTGATTATTGATCTTCCTTTGCATTATTTCCTAATTTAAGAACAAACTGGAAAAAAATATCTTTATTGTATCCATTTAGCAGATAAACAAATAAAGACTCAAGAGGGAAAGAAAATTTCCCAAAGTTAGAATGTTATTTGTAGAGGAGCTGAGATTCTTATATATGGAGTATATGAACCACCACACCTGCTACCCAAAGTGTGACCCCTCAGACCAGCAGCAATGGCACCATCTAGGTGCTTGTTACAAATGCAGAATCTCAGGTCACTTCCTAGGCATAGCAATCAGAATCTGCATTTTAACACAGCTCTCAGGGGAGAGAGAATTGTACCTTCTTCATGTGTACATTAAAGTTTGAGAAGCTGCTCTAGAGTGAATCAGTAAAGGATAGGAAGCACAGACTTTTTTATTGGGGTAAAATGGACATAAGCTGTACATATTTAAACCATGCAATTGGATAACTTTTGCATATGATTTTATCCATGAAAACATCCTCACAATCAAGCGAGTGAACATATCCATCATCCTCCAAAGTTTGTGTCTTTATAGTTGCTCCCTCCTGCCACTCTTCCAAACCTCTTGATTCCCAGGCAATCACTGATCAGCTTTCTGTCATTATCATTTACATTTCCTAAAATTTAACATAAATGAACTCATACAGTATGTACTCTTTTTTTTTCAGTATTTGCTCTTTTGTATCTGGCTTCTTTTACTCAGCATAATAATTTTCAGATTCATCCATATTGTTGCACATATTAACACCTCATTTCTTTTTGTTGCTAATTAGTATTTGTTTGGAAAAATCAAATTTGCTCATCCATTCACCTGTAGATAGACATTTTGGGTTGTTTTTGGTTTGGGCTGCTACAAATAAAGGCTCTATAAGCACTTGTTTGTAAGTCTTTGTATGGAAATATGATTTCATTTCCTTTGGGTAAGTAGCTAGGAATGGAATGGATGGGTCATATGATAGGTGTATGTTCAACTTAAGTGCCAACTTACTTAAGTAATTTTGGAAATAAATGGAGTCTGTAAGACTAAAAACAAAAAGAATTGCACATAAGCACTGTATTCTGCTTGATAAAGTTATTGCCATGGGTTAACAATTCGGATACTGTCATGCATGTATACTGGAATTGGACAATTAAGCAATTGGATGGTGGATGGTAGGAGCCAAGTTTTTCACTGTTGAGAAATTTGAGATTGGAAATTTAGAGATAAGCAAGGGTGGAGGCTAAAATTATCTTTGTGGTAATTTATTAGAGTTGGAGATAGTAGCATAAATTCATATTAAACTTAACGTAGATACAGATGTTACATATGAAAATATTGATATGTATATATACATGAGTTAGCATATAATCAGGAATAATTTGAGCAACAAAATAAAATAATAGTGGATTATAACCCAAAGAATAAATACCCATGAGTCCCCATATATATAGACTATTGAATAAATAAATAAATGAGGGAGAAGAGAAAAATCTTCTGTGCAAAAGAATTCCAAATAACTTATGCAAATATTACACCCTCAAGGAGGTGGCTCATAACTCTTCACTCTAAATGTGGGCTTCACAGAGCGACTTCATTCCAGAGACTACAGTATGAGGAAGGTGAGAAAGGAGTAACTTTACAGTGGAGAAACCTGACAAACTACCTCAGACAAACAGGGCCAATGTCAACCATAAGTCATGTCAATAGTACGTATTCTTGATACAGTGTGATAGGAACGGCACTTCACCTCTGCAAGATTCCTCTCCAAAACCCCTATCCCTACTATAATCACGAGAAAAATATCAGACAAAGCCCTATTTAGGGACATTCTACAAAATACGTGATCAGTACTTCTCAAAGCCTCCAAGTTCATCAAAAACAAAGAAACTCTGAGAAACTGTCATAGGCAAGAGGAGCCGAAGGAGACATGATGACTAAATGTAATGTGGTGTCCTAGATGGGAACAGAAAAAGGATGTTAGTAAAAACTAAGGAAATCTGAATAAAGTATGGACTTCAGTTAATAATGTATTTATATTGCTTCATTCATTATAATAAATGCACCATACCAATGTAGATGTTAATAGTGGGGAAACTGGGTATGGGGTATATGAGAAATTGCTGTACTAACTTTCTTTGCTATAGATCTAGAACTATTCTAAAATATAAAGTTTATTTTAAAAAAGAAATAGAGGGGAAACAGATTTAAAAAGGCATAAGAGATAGCAACTGAATTGAAATGTGTAGACCTTGTTTGGATCCTGATTCAAGCAAACTGTTTTTAAACACATTTATGCAAACAAAACATAACAAAATAAAATCATTTATAAAAGAATTGGAAATTTGAATACTAATATTTAATGATATCAAGAAATTTATTGTTACTTTCTAAGGTAGAATTATGGTTATTTTTAAAATAGAATATTTATATTTTTGAGATAAATAGTGAGATATTTGCAGAAGAAATGATATGTCTGGAATTTGCTTCAAAATGACTAAGGCAAGGGGTTACTGAGGGTATTGCTGAAACAAGGTTAGTCATAAACTGATAGTTTTTGAATATGGATGATGGTTACAGGGGTCAACCAAACTATTCTGTCTAGTTTTGTAAAAGTTTAAAAATGTTCATTGCCAAAAAAAATTGAGAAAGAGAGAAATTTGAGCAACTGCAATTCCAAGAGAAACATGTAACACCTTCTGAGGATATCAATCTCCTGGCTCCCTCCTTGATCCATCTAATATAAGGTTTCTCTGATTTCAAACGCTACTCCCCAAGATCACAGTTGCATAGCCACACCCTTGATGCCCAGGGCTGCCTCCAATTTCCACATTTTGTATAATAGAAATTCAAGAAGTGGCTTGCCAGAGGAAATAGGGCAGCCTTTGCCAGCATTCTAAGAAAGATCTGGAAATCTCCATATGCATTATGGGGCTAACAGAAGCAGATACTTGATTAATTAAAGCTCATCCTAGAGTTTTCAATGCCAATATGGCCTTGCAGCTCCATAGAATCTAGTTCACAAAAAGCGCCTTTGTCAAAGGTGACATAAATCCATCTCCATGCCTTACTGCCAGCAACATATAGAGGTATACTTTTACTGGTAAAGAAAGAGGGAGAGACAATGAGAAGGAGAGAGGAAATCAGAGGGAAGGAAAAGAAAAGAATGAGAGGGAGAGAATAATTTTCATATTTTATCCTTGCAGATCAGAGTCAAATGAGTATGAACAAACTAATCATTAGCAAATGGACACCTCCAACAAGTTCAAAGGAATTGTGAAAGTTAATTAAGGGCTTAAGTGCAGTGCTCATGTAGTTGCTGAGATCATGAAAGTACTAAAAGAACGCTTTCTTAAATTCTTTTTAAATGTATTGAGATGTAATTTAGTTACAGTACAACTCATTCTTTTCATGTACAGTTGTTTTTTAAATTTTTAATTTCTGTGGGTACACAGTAGGTGTATATATTAATGGGGTACATGAGATATTTTGATACACACATGCAATGCATAGTAATCACATCAGGGCAAATGGGGAATACATCACCTCAAGCATTTATTCTTTTTGTTACAAAACAATCCAATTATACTCTTTTAGTTATTTTAAAATGTACAATTAAGTATTGGCTATAGTCTTTCTGTTGTGCTGTCAAATACTAATTCTTATTCATTCTTTCTAACTATCCTTTTGTATTAACCATCCTCACTTCCATCCCACTTCCCTACTCCCCTTCCCAAACTCTGGTAACCAACATTCCCTTCCCATTAACCATCCTCACTTCCATCCCACTTCCCTACTCCCCTTCCCAAACTCTGGTAACCAACATTCCCTTCCCATTAACCATCCTCACTTCCTCCCACTTCTCTATTCCCCTTCCCAGCCCCTGGTAACCATCCTTCTACCATCTATCTCCAGTTCAATTGTTTTAAATTTTAGCTCCCACAAAAGAGTGAGAACATGAGACATTTGTCTTTCTGTGCCTGGCTTATTTCACTTAACACAATGACCTCCAGTTTCACCCATTTTGTTGCAAATGACAGGATCTCATTATTTTTTATGGCTGAATAATATTCCATTGTGCATATATATCACATTTTCCTTATCCATTCATCTGTTGATGGACACTTAAATGTGTATGTATAGTTCTGAATTTGGACACTTGCATCCAGTTGTGTAACCATCACCACAATTAAGATACAGAATGGGTCTATCTTCCCCTAAAATTTCCTTGGGCCTTGTTATAGTGAACCCCTTCCCCACCCACCAACCCATGGTAACCATTGACCTATTTGTTTTCTTCCTTTTCTAAAATGTCACAAAGCAAGTAGCCTTTTGAGTCTGGTTCTGTTCACTTAACCATAATATATTTGGGATTCAATTATGTTGTTACTTGTATCAGTAGTTCATTCCTTTTTATTATAGAATAGTATTTCATAGTTTATCCATTTACCATTTGAGACTTAGATTGTTTTCAGTTTGTGATAATTATGAATAAAATCAATATGATGGAGATATAGTTAGACATATAGATGCCCAATTGTTCCAGCACAATTTGTTGAAAATACTTTTGTCTCCATTGAATTACTTTGCCACATTTCTCAAAAATTAATTGACTATATATGTAAGGGCCTGTTTCTGGACCTTCTACTCTGCTCCATTGAACTATCGGTGTATTGTTAAGCAAACGCCTCACTGTCTTCATTACTGTAGCTTCATAGTTAAGTCTTGAAATCAGGTTTTGTGAGCCCTCCAACTTTGCACTTCTTTTTCAAAATTGCTTGTCTATTCTAGAACTATTGGCTTTCTGTATAAATTTTATAATCAATCTATGAATATATACAAAAAAGCCTGCTTGGATTTTTATTAGTATTGCATTGTATCTATAAATCAATTTTGGAAAAATTAACATTTTTGACAGCATTTTAGCAGTTCTCTATCCCATGAACACAGGATATCTCTCCATTTATTTAGTTCTTTTTCCTCTCAGCAAGGTTTTATAGTTATGATGCATATAATTGGAAATTGAATTAAAAATCACAACCATTTACAAAAGCATCAAAAAAACAAAGCGTTTAGCAATAAATTTAGTAAACTATATGCGATTTTTAATTCAATTTCCAATTGTTCACTGCTTGTATAGAAATATGCAATTAATTACCTGGGTGTGGTGGCTCATGCCTGTAATCCCAGCACTTTGGGAGGCCGAGGCAGGCGGATCATCTGAGGTCAGGAGTTCAAGACCAGCTTGGCCAACATGGTGAAACCCTGCCTCTACCAAAATAATACAAAAATTAGGCAGGTGACTGTAATCCCAGCTACTTGGGAGTCTGAGGCAGGAGAATTGCTTGAACCTGGGAGGTGGAGGTTGCAGTAAGCTAAGATTGCACCATTGCACTCCAGCCTGGGCAACAAGAGCAAGACTGTCTCAAAAGGAAAAGAAAAGAAAAGAAAAGAAAAGAAAAGAAAAGAAAAGAAAAGAAAAGAAAAGAAAAGAAGACTGTTTCATTGGTGAAACTTTAGTACTTAAGCTTTGGCTAGAATCTTGCTCTTATATGAATTAAGAATTTAAGAATTTGGTGAACACTGTAGCCTAACTCTCTTTGTGAGGGACATTCCTGGGCTAGGACTCCCTTTGGGTTTGTATTTTATCACTTAACGGAGAGATCTGTCTCCTGATTCAACTAAAAGTCTAACATATTCTCCTGACACTAAAATGCTGTTACATCTATTTTGAGTGAACCTTTCATGCAATGCACTTGTCAAGTACCCAAAGATTAGAGAGCTGGAAGTGTTTACCAGGAAAGGTGTGGCCATGGTTGTCCTGCCTTGTAAGACAGGCTTGTCTGTGAGGCCAAACTCCCCCCTGCACTTTCATCATAGCCCAATAGTGAGTTTGGGGAAGAAGGGACCTAGAATTCCGATTCACCTCTAAGCACTCCGTGTGTATAATCTAAGCCCAATCACCTTAGATCAGTTATCAACACTTCCCTTCCCTCAGAAACCTTCAAATTCACAATACTGTCCCAGCCAAATTCTGCCTGAATGGTTGGTCCCATTACCAGCCTTTCCTAGACAGAGCTTTGTGGCCTTTCAGTCCCCAGGCACTCCATTTCCAGCTCACACCAACTCAGCTTCTGTGGGTATCTTAAGATCTCAGAATGTTACAGCTATCAGTTTAGTTGCTTCTCATTCTCAGATTATTTCATATGTGCTAATCTGGCCTCCCCAACTAGATGACAAGCTTTTAGAGGATCAACATTCCCCCAGTCCCTCCTTTCCTTCCATATTTTAAATACTTACTGATCTGGCACTACCCCTTGCACTGGGATGCATAGTACTGGTGAAGAAAGCAGACACAGTTTCTGCCTAACAGAATGCCCAGTTGAGTTGGGGAAAACAGAAAAGAAAATGGGCAATTACAATAGACCATTATAAGTAGTAGAAATTCATCCATGCATATATTCACTCACTCATTTGCCCATACCATAAATGTATGTTGAGTTTCCACTATGTTGGCCATTGAGGGTCACAACTACTCAAGATGGACCCAGTCCTTATGGATCATAGTCCAGGAAAGAGGAAACACCGGATAGGAGAGCTCAAGGTGGATCAACTGTGATGTGGATGAGAAGCCTTGCAGGAGGGGTAAGGTTGATGCTGAGTAACTCATAGCTGCTGGGAATCTGCAGCTCCCCCTTCTCTTTATATAGCTCAGATTCATGCTTTATTACTGGAGAAAAATAAAACCAAGAAACAAATGACACAGCATTAGCATAGATGTCATGTTGCATCCATAGTAAGAGGCACCTCCCTCTCCAGGCTGGAGTCCCCCCAGGAAGCAGCTTCTGATGTCAGAAATCCCCAGGGAATTGGCCACCTTGGTGAGGGGCAAGATCCAAGTTTTCCCTTGAATAGCTGGGTGTTATTTTTTTCCTGGAACCTGCTAAGAAGCTGCAAACTACATTCATATTTAACTCCTGGGGACCCCTTTCTCTCTGAAGAACCTATTGGACAAAACATATTTCTCAGTGGGGATGAACTAACACTGAAAAATGTTACAAGACCAGTGGATTACCTCCCCCCCGAGTCCCCTACCACTATTGTTAAAATAAAAACCTTAGGCAAATTAAATTTAACATCATTTAATTGAGCAAAGAACAATTCACAAATTGGGCAATCCCCAGATGAGAATAGTTCAGAGAGGTTCTGGGGGTGCCACATGGTGGAAGAAGATCTATGGACAGAAAAAGGAAACTGAAATACAGAAAAAACAGCCAGATTGGTTACAGCTCAGCATTTGCCTTATTTGAACCTGTTTGAACAGTTGGCTGCCTGTGATTGGCAGAAACTTAGTGACTGGCACAAGAGCAGGTTACAGTCTGTTTGCACATCCAGTTGGGTTCAGTTCACTGTGTACAGAGAAACCTTTAGGCCAAACGTAAAATATGTAAGAAGGCAGCTTTAGGCTAAACTTAATCTAACACTATTTTGCAGCCAAGTGGCTCCATGCTCCTGTCATGTTATAAGGTGGGGGAGGAATACAGGGTGAACAACGCCTGTATTCAGGTCCTAGCCCTGACCACTGGCCACCCAGAGGCTAGGAGCTCTGCTCAGCCTTCTACCCAGCTTCTTCTCCCTCAGTAATCTGGCTGTTCCCAGAACCAGGTAAGAATTCTGCTGTGTGAGGATGAATCGGCAGAATTTTGCCAAAGACTGAAGTGGAAGGAACCGCCCATGCCACTTCTGTGTTATGCCTGGGGAGCCAGGGACTCATCTCCCCACTTGGCCGACTCTCAAGGTCCTTGGAGCTCTTTGCCTGTGGATTCCCTTCTGGAGGGGCTGAGTATGAAGGCTCCATCCCAAAGTACCTTGATCCAAACCATCTTTCATCTCTGTCTTAACTGTAGGCACTGCTCAGGAGAAAGGGTGGGGCAAGCTCTTTATCTAGAGGAAATGAGTTGTATCACCAATTTGACATCTACAAACCTACTCATAAAATGACGGGCATGGTAACATGTAACTACCCAACACCGAATGAACAAATGGATACCCTACTTACATTTTCCATAGAATAAAAATGAATTTCTAGAGGTGGTGACACTTATTTAGAGAAGGTGAAGTTAGCTTGAGGATACAGTACAGTGGCCTGGTTTTACATGTCATTTCTCTCTCTGTGGCTGATCTTACATAACTTAACACAAAGTCTTTGTGCTTCCACAGTTTAGTAATTCATCTTCTGTTTTTGCTTTACTTAGAATACATTTGGAAGAGCAATGAAAGCCACTGACAATCCTAGCATCTCACTGGAGACCATAATTTCAATCTTCTCTCATCAAGGTGGACTATCAAGTAGATATTTTAATTCCATCTCCTTTATTTTATTTTATTTTCCATTTCCTCCTGGTGGTGGTACTAGCAAGCCAATAAATTATGCTCTTAAAAATACATAATAAAAATAAAACCACCATCTATTGGTATGACACTGAATACTTAATAGAGTACTTTTAAAAACGTGTTTCTCATGTTGGGCCTTGCAACTTCCCCACTGTGGTAAGCAAGGCAAGCATTACCTCCATTTTTCAGATGATGACACCAAGGTTCAGAGATGTTGCATCTCTTGGCCAAAGTCACACAAGTTGAAAGTGGCAGAGTTAGGTATCAAATAGTTTTACTCCATGCTCCAGATATGTTTTGTTAAAATGAACAACAAAAATGAAAAACTGAGTGCCTGGATTATTCACAGTGAGATCATTAACCCACTAAAGAGGTTAATAGTTTGTTCATTTTTAGTTTTTGATGTTTACTTCTATTAAAATCACAATGGTAAGTAACCATTTGTATTTGTCCAACCAAAGACTTTCCACACCCAAAGCCATTGTTTCCCATGCATTCCCTTACAGCCTTGTGGGTGACTGGCCTGTGCACCAGTGAGACACTATAGCTCCTCTCTTGATGTTTTCTAATCATTTATTTGGAAAATAATATCCTACGAACCATTCATTCCATTCCCTGAACATTCAAAAAGATTACATTTAATGGGAAAGACAGACATGTACCTGCTCCGTGGGTTCACCTTGTCCACTGTCTAGACAGAGTCAATTTATCAAGACAGGAGAATTACAGTAGAGAAGGAGTAATTCGCCCTGAGCCAACTGTGCAGGAAACAGGAGGTTTATTATAACTCAAATAAGTCTCCCTGGGCATTTGGGTTTCATAATTTTTATGGATAATTTGGTGGTGAGTTGGGATATGGGGAGACAGTGAGTCAAGAGTGCTGAATGTTTGGGTGGGAGATGAAATCAAAAGGAGTGAAAGCTGTCTTGCACTAAGTCAGTTCCTGGGTAGGGGCCACAAGGTCAGACGAGCCAGTTTATCCATCTGGGTGGTGCCAGCTGATCCATCAAGTGCAGGGTCTGAAAAATATCTCAAGCACTGATCTTAGGCTTTACAATGGTGATGTTATCCCCAGGAGCAATTTGGGGAGGATAATTTCTAATCTTTTGGCTAATTTGTTAGTCCTACAAAGGCAGTCTAGTCCCCAGGAAAGAAGGGAGTTTGTTTTGGGAAAGGTCTTTCATCATCTTTGTTTTAAACTATAAACTAAGTTCCTCCCAAAGTTAATTTAGCCTACACCCGGGAATAAACAAGGCCAGCTTGGAGGTTGAAGCAAGATGGAGTTGGTTAGGTCAGATCTCTTTTACTGTCTCAGTTGTAATTTTGCGATGGCGGTTTCAATCATTCCCTTTGGGTTTTATAATACCTTAATCTTAAGGTGTTGGCTAATGAAGATGGAAAAAGGACAAAGACCACTCTAACTTCTTCCCGCTGACCAGGAGCATAGTGGGGGTAGGTGTTGAACCCAAGGTGAGGGGTAGAACTGCTTTGCAACTATCTGAGTGTACTAATGCAGGCTGGGATTTCCAGACCTGTATGACAAAGACATTAGTATTGTCATGTATAGTTTTAGTACCACATTTAAGTGAACAGTGTACTATAAGGTAAGTAATGAATACGAGGATAACGGGTGCAATTCCCAGTTTTAAAAATAAAGATTTGAAAGCATTAGTCTGGGGTCTTGTAGCCCACCAAGAATTTAGGATTTAGTCCAAACTGCAGAATAAAACTCAAGAACAGCTAACAACAGGTTTTTGTTGGAGGAACTAAAGTTTTTTGGAGGAACAACTAAAGTTTTTTGGAGGAATAACTTTTCTCTCTCCGGTCTCCATTTTTATTAAAAGCAAATCATGACATGATTGATTTGTATGCAAAATAAACTTTAGTCTTATTATACTTGACCTGATTATTTGCATAAAGGGCAGCAAGAATAATTATTTTTCACATAGGCTTTTTAATTGGTTTGGATGGAACTCTGTTCCATAAGAAATGTCAGATAAGACTTTTTTTTAAAGCTGAGCACAGCCATGGGTTTGTACCCTCAAATACCTATGAGTTGAGTAAATTCCTTTCCTCTTGAGGCACCAAGGTAACTTGGGGCTCCTGGGCCTGTCAGAACATGACATTCTTTACTTATCACATACCAGGAACCCCATGCAGGGACTGTATAGACAAGGTGTGAGGTCAATTTTCCCAAGGGGCTTTTATTAGCTCTATAAGTCAAGTTTGATTTCTTAAAGGAATGCACGCCATTCCAGTCAAAGCCTTGGTAAAATAACCAGTTTCTCCAATTGTGTCCTGTTACAAAAGAAAACAGATTCTTACTGCATTTAAGCAAATAACTATATTGCCATAAGTTAAGAATACTCAGAAGTAGTTTCCAAATTCTGGAGAAATCAGGTAGAGAGAAACAAATATGCTCCAAATTTTGTTCACAGGAGTATAGGTTACTCAATTGTTAAAAGCTGTAAATAGCTCAAAAGAAAAGTTTTCTTGACTCTGAAAAACAAAACAAAGGATCAGCAACGTTTTAAGCAAAAAGTAAAAAAGATTACTTCAGTTTTCTATTAGTTCAGTCCGTGCAGTTAACTCCCGTTCTGTTTGATATTCATGAACGTTTCAGCTCCCCATGAGAATCCTGAAAGTTTTTTTCTCTATTCTAATGTCACAATTTCCAAAGTTATTAGAAACCTGCATTCAAGAGCATCTATTAAAGTCCTAAAGCTGATTATAAGCCACCTTTTGAAGAGGATCAAAACAAGACAATAATTGTCTGTGGATGACAAAAACTCTTAGAACAGCCATTATTAAAACCACAATTGACCAGGAATTTCAGTTACTTCTATGGCATACAATAATTTTACGTAACAATTATAATTATTAATAACACACAGTAAGTCTTATCAGAATTATAGGAGTTTCTCATAATTTTGGAACACATACCAATAACACATTTATACAAATTCAGCCCAAAGAAAGCCAAATACCATTTCTTATTCAACAATGCTTCCTATATGATTTTTATACCAAATAAGCAAAATATGTCTCTTTTGGAATTCAGGGCATTAATATAAAAAAAATTAATGTGGACCCAAGTTAGAATTTGACTTTGAAAAGTTTGTCAAATATATAAAGTTTAAAATGCTTTATATCACAAAATAGGATCACAGGTCATTATAAAATAAGTCATTCATTTCACCAAAGTGATAACTCAAAAATGTCCCAGAAAAGATTAAAACCTTGATTCACTGAGAGAGAAGAGACTTAATTTCCCAAATAATAAGCCCTAATAAAAACAACATGAGGCCAAACAAAGTTGTTTTTCAAAATTTTATAAACAACCTATAAAATTTTAATCACATTGACCATAAGATATAATTTCCATAAACCTTTTTATAACCTTTATAATCTTCATTAAGGAGTGGATTAATGCTCCAAGAAAACCTTGTTAATCTGACACAGGGTCTTGCGTCAGTGTGCCTTTGACATTAATGGTTAATTTATAGAGAAACTGAACTTATTTTATCTCTCAAAATCAGCCCTTACAATCTCATGTGCCCACCTCTTCTGCAAGGTGCCTGGGCCTTGAGGAATTGAATAGTTTTAATTTCTGCCCCTGTGTCTCATGAAGGCAGTTTATTTTGACTGCTGTCTTCTACCTGGCCTAAAGATGAGGCTTTAATTGCTGTCAGTGTTTAAGACTTAGCAGGATTTGGTGTCCATTTTAGACCCAGCAGTCAGAGCCCTATAACTCAATGGCACAAGGTTTTTAAAAGCACATACAGAAAGATACATAGATGTAATAACATTAATTTAAAAAACATTTTTTTAAATCTCAGGTTTTTTTTAAGCAAACCAAAACAGAATAATAATGACATAGGAATTACTTCCATAAAACATGAAATCTGTTAGGCCAGTTACCAAAAGGCAATAGAAAAGATCTTCTGCAGTGCATAGAATATTATTTTGGAAGAAAACATTTCCTTAGACCTTTAAGAAAACATTTTTAGCATCAAGTCACAATAAACAGTTGGAACCTGAGGGGGAAAAAACTTACATGAGCTGAAAATGAGTTGAAGGAGATCATTATTATTTCGAGCCTTTTAAAAAAGGGGAGAGAAAACTGAAAATGGTGACACAATAAAAGTTGAAATTTGGGTTACAAAATTAAAATATCTTATAATTTATTAAGAGTTAATCAATCCCTTAAGAAAATTTCATTGTTCTAACCAATTCTTTAGTGTATAAGTGTTTGTTAACATCGAAACCCAATCTCTAGAAAAACTATTATAACTAATTTCCCTTTAATTATAGACAACTTGATAGAAGTCAATTGTGACATGCTTGGACTTCCTGTTTTATCCTAGACATCTCTCTTTCCTAAATAATTATTTTATTCTAGGACAAAATTTCCCTACAAGATTCTTTCTCATTAAAATTATTGTCCTTTTAACATTTCCTGTCAAAAATACCTCTTCGTATTTATAACTTTCTTCACATTGTTCTTATTCATGGATTACCATTACCTAATTTCATGAATAACTCTTAAATAACCTTTGAATTAGATAAAAATTATTTTCCTTTAAATAAGAACACATTTCTTGTTTTTGGAAAAATATTTTCCTATAATTAAAAAAATGGAAATGACCCAAAGATTTAAGGGATATCTATTATTTAGCTTAATATAACTTTAGATTTTAAATTATATGACAAGATTATCTACAAGCATTTATTCTATTACATTTACCTAATACATTAATTTATAAAGATAGTTTACTCAGATTACTTAAGAAAACTGTGATAGTTATCACTTAAAGTTATTTACCTGTTAACCATTTTTATAACCTATGAATTTCAGGTTTTCCTAAGTAAGGACCTTAAGATTAGATAATTGTTTTTTTTTTGTTTGTTTATTTGTTTTTGCCAATACCTCAGGACTTAGCTGTTTTCATTAACTGAACAAAAAACCTGCCTTATTTATTAAGTTTTACATAAACAAACATAATTCTCTTTTGAGCTGCATTCATAGCTTTATAACCCTCATGGCAAATTTTGACGTTTAATAGAAATAAATAAGTTGACAATCCTTAAGCCATTGCTAATTCTACTCCACCAAAATTTTTAAACCAACATATTTATTAAAGATTTACTTAAGTGACATGAACTTGAAAAAGCATTTGGCTTAACATCTATTTTTCTGATAAAGTATTTAAGTGTTTCTAAAGTCAATTAATTAGAGCATTTTATACATTTTTAGTGGTGAAACATCATGTACATGACAGATGAACACATAGACATACTAGACCCATAGAAAGATCTTACAGATCTGTTACTGGAAAAGGGTCCCCATCCAGATCCTAAGAGAGGGTTCTTGGATCTTGCACAAGAAAGAATTTGGAGTGAGTCCATAGAGTTAAGTGAAATCAAATTTCTTAGGAAAGTAAAGGAATAATGAATGGTGACTCCATAGGCAGAGCAGCCCCAAGGGCTGCTGGTTGATCATTTTTATGGTTATTTCTTGATTATATGCTAAACAAGGGGTGGATTATTAATGAGTTTTCTGGAAAAGGGGTGGGCAATTCCTGAAACTGAGGGTTCCTCCCCATTTTAGACCATATGGGGTAACTTCTTGATATTGCCATGGCATCTATAAACTGTCATGGCACTGGGGGGAATGCCTTTCAGCATGCAAATACATAATAACTATTGTATAATGAGCAGTGAGGACAACCAGGTCACTCTTGTCACTATCTTAGTTTTGGTGGGTTTTGGCCAGCTTCTTTACCATAGCCTGTTTTATTAGCAAGGTCTTTATGACATGTATCTTGTGCCAACCTCCTATCTCATCCTGTGATTTAGAATGCCTAATCTCCTGGGAATGCAGCCCTTATTCGAGATGGAATCACTCTGGTTCAAATGCCTCTGACATATTTCCCCCCTCCCTTTAATAAGAGAACCCTTAATCTTAAGGGTTGTTGAGAGCTGAAGATTCATCTCCATAACTTCTTCAGGCTGAATAGGGGCAATGATATTCCTGCCTAACTATTAGGGTCTCTTATATTTGGTGTACAGAGAGGCTCAGTCAGAAAGCGTCAATATGATGAGGGCCATTCATGACTCTGAATTCTGATAAGTGATATCTGGAAGATTAATATGTGTTCAATTTAAGAAAACATTGAGTAAGCTTATCTTGCATTCCTGCAAAGAGTATAACAGCAAATATATTCCACAACAGTAAAGCAAAATAAGCAAAATTATCCCAAGTAAACTAAATAAGAAGGTATTCCATGAACTGGGCAGCTGTTGGAACCAAGCTGATATGAAGTTGCTATATGTGTTACATATTTCAATATGGGCCCAGAATTTGAATATTGATCCAGATTTTTACATTACTCATCCTTCTTGTTTATTCTGGGCAGCAGCCAGAGATCACTGCTTGGGTCACAGGAATAAGCAGGGTTAGTTTAGATTGCAGAAAAAAAATCTCAAAAACAACAGATGAGTCTAGAATCTAATAACAGGTGTACCATAGTTTTTGAAATGTAATTTTTCTCTCTCTGGTCTCCTATTTTTACAAAAGAGAAATCATGGTAAGACTGGTTTGCTTTATTATACTTGGCCTGATTATTTGCATGAAGGGCAGCAAGAATAATTATTTTTTACATAGGCTTTTTAAATTGGCTTTGATGGAACTCTGTTCCACAGAAGGAATCTCAGATAAGACTTTTTAAAAGCCAAGCCCAGCCATGGCTTTTTACCATCAAATACCTGTGAGTTGGGTAAATTCCTCTCCTTTGAGGTCCCAAGATAACTTGGGGTTTCTGGGCCTGTCAGAAAGTGATATTCTTTATTTACAACAGGTCAGCAACCCTGTACAGGGACTGTGTAGATGTGTAGGAGGCCAGTTTTCCCAAGGGGCTTTTATTGGCTCTACAAGTCAAGTTTGATATCTTAAAGGAAAGCACTCCATTCCAGTCAAAGCCTTGGTAAAATAACCAGTTTCTCCAGTTGTGTCCTGTTACAAAAGAAAACAGATTCTGGCTAGGCATGGTGGCTCACGTCTGTAATCCTACCACTTTGGGAGGCCAAGGCAGGTGGATCACCTGAGGTCAGGAGTTCGAGACCAGCCTGGCTAACATGGCAAAACCCCGTTCCTACTAAAAATACAAAAATTAGCCAGGTGTGGTGGCGTGCGCCTGTAATCTCAGCTACTTGGGAGGCTGAGGCAGGAAAATAACTTGAATCCAGGAGGCAGACGTTGCAGTGAGCCAAGATCACGCCACTGCACTCCAGCCTGGGCAACAGAGTGATATTCCATCTCAAAAAAAAAAAAAGAAAGAAAATAAAACAGTTTCTTATTGCACTTAAGCAAATAACTATATTGCCATAAGTTAAGAGTACTTGGGTTGGCACAGTGGCTCATACTTGTAATCCCAGCATTTTGGGAGGCTGAGGCGGGTGATCACCTGAGGTCAGGAGTTTGAGACCAGTCTGGCCAATGTGGTGAAATCCTGTCTCTATTAAAAATACAAAAATTAGCTGAGTGTGGTGGTGGGTGACTGTGATCTCAGCTACTCGGGAGGCTGAGGCAGGAGAATGCTTGAACCTCTGAGATGGAGGTCGCAGTGAGCCGAGATTGTTCCACTGCACTCCAGCCTGGGTGCCGGAGTGAGACTCCATCTCCCAAAAAAAAAAAAAAAAAAAAAAGAATACTTACAAATAGTTTTCAAATTCTGGATAAATCAGGTAGAAAGAAACAAATATGGTCCAAATTTTATTCACAGGAATTTATTTTACCCAATTGTTAAAAGTTGTAAATAGTTCAAATGTTTTCTTGACTTTGAAAAATAAAACAAAGGATCAGCAATGTTTTAGGCAAAAAGTAAAAAAAAAAATTACTTTATTCCTTTATTAGTTCAGTCCAGGCAGTTAACTCCTGTTCTGCTTGATATTCATGAATATTCCAGCTCTCCATGAGAGTCCTGAAAGTTTTTTCCCGTATTCTAATGTTGCAATCACCAAAGTTATCAGAAACCTGCATTCAAGTACACCTGTCAAAGTTCTATAGCTGATTATAAACCACCTTTGAAGAGGATCAAAACAAGACAACAATTGCCTATGGATGACAAAATGTCTTAGAGCAGCCACAGTCAAAAATATGACAAAGAAATTTGGTTACCTCTGTGGCATACGATAATTTAACATAACAATCATAATTATTACTGATAATGTACACTAAATCATAGAATTATAGGAGTATCTCATAATTTTGGAACACATACCAATAACACATTTATACAAATACAGCCCAAAGAAAGCCAAACACCATTTCATATTTGATAATGTTTCCTGTATGATTTTTATACCAAATAAGCCAAATTTCTCCATTGCATTAGTATACTATTAATGTCAATCCCAATTTTAAATAAAACCTTATAGACAAATCTATTCAATCTTAATCAGTTTAACCGTAAGGTAAGATTATTATAAGCTTTCCATAACCCTTTACATTATTTGTGAAAGTGCAGATCAGTGCTCTAAGAAAACCCTGTTGTACTTTTATTCCAATGTTCAATTTACAAAAAAACTGAATACTCCTTGAACTTTAGCCAATATGTTCACACACTTAATTTCTTTTACAAGATTAATTTTTCAGAAACCTTCTACAACTTGCTCAAACCTTCAGCTTTCCCCTATCTAATTTGAAACAATCCTTTAACCCTTTAATCTAGGGAAAAAAATCCACATTCCCATTCCCATGCCTTTTCATAATCTTTACCAAAAACACATTTCACTTTCTTATCCACCTTGCATGTAAAACTGTTTTTTCAGTATTCTCAAGTACATGTTACGCTGTTAACTCTTAGTAACTTTTGGTGAAAAACCTGGTTAGTAAGCGATTCTAATTATGAACTAGGTGTGGAGCCTAGAGCAGCCAGTTTTGAGCTTGCAAAGTCTTTTAAGTGCTCAAAATAATTTTTAGAGCTAACCATGACATGAACCCCAAAATTCTTGTCCTCCAGAAGGCAGATATTAAGAGAAAGCATGGCCCGGGTGATAATAAGGTCAAGCTCCCAAGGGCATACAAGACAAGAGGGAAAGCTCATTCAGTAATTTTTTTTAAGAGACCTGCAGCAAACTTTGCAACTGACCAGTTTGCTGGGCTGGCTTGAACAGCAGGCTTATAGGGTTCCTAGGCCCACATTCTATCCTAAGGTACCCCTCTTTTATGACACAACACAGAAAGACAAATTCATAGCACAAGGCACAGATTTGATACAGCTTAAGACTGGCCTTATAAATCCTTTTTCCTGTGAATCAAAACTTTGCAGAGGAGATAAACAGTCATTTTTACCATTCATTCAACTAGTTTGCATAGACAGAGAGGCCAGCAGTGTGACCGGTAAGAAACCCTTACCCTTTTGCCAGCATGTCAGGCTCCTGGGTTCCCTATCCCTAAGCAGTCCTAGTGACCCGGCTCACCCACCATATCCCTGGGGGCTAAGCCACAACACAAAGGAAAATCATGAAACCATAGGCAAAATCCTCTCAATTTTGCAAGTGGCTGCCCAACCGGCTGCCTGGGGGAACAGAATTAACATTTTCTATTCCAGCCAGAGCAAAATACCTGTGACAAAACACAGACATTAGCCACTCCACTTAGGACCCAATATTGAACTGGCAAGACTCAAATTTTTCCCCAGTTGGACTCGTCACCTTTGATCCATTCAAAGTGTGTTGGAATGATCTTCTACCAGGGGTTTCAACATGCGGTCTCTGGGCAAGATGGTTGCCCTGAGTAACAGAAAAGATAACAAAGAGAAAGTTGAGAAAGAGAGAGAAAAGCACTGCCTGCGGCAGGGTAGGGAAGGCAAGGCACTCAGGGAGGCCAGAGAAAGACCCACCCATTGCACTGAATCAAAAAGTTCAGGCGGCTGCTTGTCAGTCACAAAGGGATCTTTTCCAGCAGTCCCATCGGCTCTCAAGTTTCCTCCATCAGGGAGGAAAAGACTCCCAATGTCCCATGATCCTGTACCTGCTTAATCCTGTCACCCACAGCCATCAGCAAAGAGTGCAAGGCAGATTAATCCAAAGAGAATAGCGTATAACACCCCGTAGTGCTGAACCCATTCTTAGCAGAGAGGGATTTTACTGCGGGGAGGGGGCGGTTTCTAACCCCTTAACTCTTAGGAAGGACTCTAACCTTCCTAAGTTGGGCTTCCAACCCAAGTTTGGTCAGGTGTCCTTGCCCTTATTAAGAGGGGCCTTTAACCCCACTCTGTCTTGGGAGAAACTCTAACTCCCCTAAGCTGGGCCTCTAACCCAATCCCATCCTTTACCCAGATACCTCACCACTCACCCAAAGTCAGCTGATTGGTGCTGCGACCTGTTTCCTTTGTTGTTGGGGGGTGGGTCTCCTCAGTATCACCCCTTTGAAGTTTGCCAGGAAGATGTTATCAGAAAGGGGTCCCAATCTAGACCCCAAGAAAGGGTTTGGATCTCACCCAAGAAAGAATTTGGAGCGAGTCCATAGAGTAAAGTGAAAGCAAGTTTATTAGGAAAGTAAAGGAAGAATGAATGGCTACTCCATAGGCAGAGCAGCAGCATGGGCTGCTGTACTGATGATGCTTATTGCTACTTCTTGATTATATGCTAAACAAGGGGTACATTATTCATGAGTTTTCCAGGAAAGGGGTAGGTAATTCCCACAACTGAGGGTTTGTCTCCTTTTTAGACCATATAGGGTAACTTCCTGATGTTGCCATGGCATCTGTAAACTGTCATGGTGCTGGTGGGAGTGTCTCTTAACATGCTAACGCATGCTAAGCAGTGAGGACGACCAGAGGTCACTTTCATTGCCATCTTGGTTTTGGTGAGTTTTGGCTAGCTTCTTTGCCACATCCTGTTTTATCAGCAAGGTCTTTATGATCCGTATCTTGTGTTGACCTCCTATCTTATCCTGTGACTTAGAATGTCTAACATCCCGGGAATGCAGCCCGGTAGGTTTTAGCCTTACCTCACCCAGCCCATATTCAAAATGGAGTTGCTCTGATTCAAACGCCTGTGACAGTTTGAGCCATAAAGATAGCTCAAGCTTGTACCAAGTGGCCATAGAAGATTTTCCAAAGGCCAGAGCCACCTCCATTCCGAGTCACTTACGTTGGTCACCAAATTATTAACTCAAAATATGTGAGACAGGTCTTCATCAATTTAGAAAGTTTATTTTGCCAAAGTTAAGGATGCATGCCCATAACACAGCCTCAGGAGGTCCTGACGATATATGCTCAAGGTAGTCAGGGCACAGCTTGGTTTCATACATTTTAGGGAGACATGAGACATCAATCAATATATGTAAGATGTACATTGGTTCTGTCCAGAAAGGTGAGGGCGGGGGGGTGGTGCTTCCAGGTCATAAGTAGGTGAGAGACAAATAACCATTGGTTTCTCAATAACCATTTGCATTGAGTTTCTGATTAGCCTTTCAGAAGGAGGCAATCAGATACGCATTTATTTCAGTGAGCAGAGGGATGACTCTGAATAGAATGGGAGGCAGTTTTGCCTTAAGCAATTTCCAGCTTGACTTTTTTCTTTAGTGTAGTGATTTGGGGGTCCCAAGAGTTATTTTCCTTTCACAGCAGCAACACTGCGGGTCTACCTGAGAGGTTAGGCAAAGCATCGTGCGGGATTTAGGGTTTGCCAGATACAGACAGGGAAGAACATTCTAGATAGAGGAAACAGAGTATGCAGAGTTGTGAAAAATCAGGCATGTTTGGTGAACTGCTAAATGTCTGTGTTACTGAATTAATAAGTATGTGTGTGTGGGTGTGTTTGTGCAAGTGTGTGTTTGTCGGCCACGTTGGAAAAGGCTTGTGTGTCAAGCATTGAAGGTTTCATTTGGTCCCATAGCCAGTGAGATGGGTTTTTAAGCAGGAGAATGGCATGGTCGGCTCTGACGTGTAGGAAGGCAACTCGAGTGGCTGCAGGTTGGAAGGCTGGAGGCAGGGAGGACAGTTAGGAGCACTTGCAGTAGTCCCAGAAATTGCAAAGGACATCAGTCTTAAGGTGGGCCCAGCTCAACAGTGACAGGGCTTATGGGCACGAGAAAAGAAGACACCAGCTATAAATGGTTCAGTTGATTGACAGATGCAGAAGACTGAAAATTCCTCAGTGGTGGAAGTTGTCCCTGGGGCTTCCATACAAGGCCTTTTCCACCAGGACTCAAGCAAGCTGCGTGTTCAGGAAGATCATTAGGAAGTGGTCAAAGAGATTTTTTTTCTTTCTTTCAAAGAAACAGGAAAACATGTAAGAAATGCTCTTAAACCACTGGGTCTCTTAGCAAGTGTAACTTCTGGTCAGAGAGGTGTACCACACAGGGGTATTAGTTGGAGAAAGGATATTTATTTCCCTTTAGCTGAAGAAATTTCTGTATTGCTTTCATACTAGAATTTTTTTTTTCTGCAATTAATCTGCCACCTCGTGGCCTAATGAGAAATTTCAATTTCCATAGCTTGGAGAGGGAGGATTGAAGAAGCAGAAGTCAACACTCTTTCACTTAATAGAAACATCGACATACTACTGACTGCCAGCACAGGAGTGCTTTCCTCTAACTATATAATGCCCTTTTTACCTGCTATTCAAAGGGTGTTTTGTGATTTCCCAAAAACTCAAAAAATAACGAGGAAGTGCTTGACTCATAGACACTTCATACACGTGTATGTTTTTGACTCCACAAAATGAAAACTAGAATATGGTTCTTGTATTTTAATGGGAAAAGAAAATGTCCTAAAAGCTATACAACTTTATAAGATTAATTTCAACTTCTAAAATATTGCTTAAAATAATAAAGTGAATTTGCAAATATAGATAAAACCTGGACACTGAGCAAACACCCATTAAGCTAAAATGAAAAATGAACACAAGCAGATTGATGGGACTGCTTTTCTGTGGCTGAGTCATAAACCTGTATGTAATAATTGATCTTCTTGAGAAACTGAGAGGGCTGCTTTTGTGAGAGATGGGTGATCTTTGAATCAGATCACTTCTTGGATTCTACACAGATCAAATAAGCCATCCTGAAATGTGTCCCTAAGTCAGAAGTGCGGTGCAGCAAGGAGGGTAAGAAGACCAGCACTGGGTTGGACTGTCACCTGCTGGGTCAGGCCTTTAACCTTTCAGTTGCTGGATAATAGGGAGGTGGGGAGTCCCAGAGGAGGATGGGGGAGGGGCACTAGAAAGCCAGACAAGTGCAGATGCCTGTTGCTCTTAGTTCAATCTACTCTGGCCCTCAGAAAGGCTGTCTAAAGAAGATGTCTTTTAATAGGTACATTCGCCTAGTACAATACTTAAGAGTATAAAATCGTTAACATAAGATGTGGTCAGAGTTTATTTTTGCTCTTTTGTGAAGCAGCTGTGTGCAAAGCAAATTAAAAGCATAAATACAACTTTAAAAGAATATTTAAACCATCTAGGTACTAATAGATTTCCCTAAGTTTCCATTTCCATATCTTTCTGTAATGATTTTCCTAAGTTTCCATTTCCGTAATTCTGACTACACAACTGTCATTAATTCTTTAAAAAAGTCAATCATTTTGTTTTCTAGATCCAAACGTATTGTTCGTACATAGTGTTAATTTAGTGTCCTCCTTTCTAATAGTAATACTTAGAATTTGTTATATATCTTAAGTAATTGGCAGGTAAACTTCTTTCTGAACAGAAAACTATTTCTTATAGGATTTACTTGGTAACAGTTTGTTAGCAACAAGTCTCAATGACTCTTTCACATAAGAAAGAAATGCAATGTCTTTGAAACATTGTATGCTTCTGACTTTTTAAAACTAATTTAAAATACTGGCTTATCCCAGTCCAGATTTTATTATTATTGTTATTGTTATCATTTATTTTATTGGCAATGTATCAAGGAAAGTGAGAGCCAGAAGAAAACTGAAAAGTAATTGAGTATACCCAGCTGCTATTTGAGTCAACTCATGTCCTGAATACCTAGTTTGATTTTGATCCACATTGATGGAAAGGTAAAGGAAACCAACTAATCTATGAAGGATCATGTGGAGAGTGAGTGTTACACAAATCATACGGAAACAAAAGTGATCACTCTTGGATACTTCCAGACAGAGAAGCTGATGCAGCAGGCATGGCTGCAGGGCCAACAAAGATGGCAGATGCTAGAGTTGGGCCCAGGAGGCAGGGATGAAGGTAAGTGGGGCTGTCACAAGTAAACAGAGGGAAAGAACAGTGTACACCCAGGAGAGAGAACCAAGGATCACATGGTTTAGCTTTGGGAAGGACGCCAGATAATTACATGACCCAATCACTTCTTTCAGAGGGAGGATGGGGGCTGTGGGAAAGGATTGTGCTGGTGAGGGAGGAGGTCACACAACTTCTGTTTTCAGCCATGTAAATGAAGTGAAAATTGGGTGGTGACCTGAAAAGTGGTAGAACAGCAGTTCTCCACCTTAGCTGCATATGAGAATTACTTGGGGAGCTTTGAAAAATCCTAATGCACAGATTCCTCATCTGACTCTGAGAGTGGGACCCAGGCATCCTATCTTTTAGAGCTGTTTAGGTGATTTCAATGTATAGTGACAGTTGCGAATCACTAGTGTAGAAAACATACTTGTGAGATTTCTAGCCCTGAGCAGATAGGCTATGTGACCTCAGAAGAGGAGATGAGACCTAGCTATTGGCCTGCCTTTCTCAGCTCCATAGAAAAAAAGTACTCTAACTCGGAGGCTCAGCTTTCAGTAGCACTTGACTAATTCTGACCAGGCCCAGGACTATATTAGGAGCTCAGTTCTCATCAGCTGGTGGGGAAGCTGGAATGAATTTTGTTGCCCACAATTCTACCCCTGGGCAGCCCCATTCTCAGAGAGCTGTAACATTTCCTCCTGCCTCCTGACTTTCAGATTTTGGGTTTCATTCCTCTACCTGCTGGAACTAGAACTAAGCTAAGCCTTCCAGCCAACTGTGCTGGTCCTGCCTCCTCCCTAGAGCTGGACTGTGACCCCTTATCATGGCTGCTGGCTAAAGGCCGGCCTGCACCCTGGTGGATCTCACCATCAGCTTACCTTCTTGAACAACTGTGGTATCAATTCTAGCATGGAAAGAGTTGAGGTCACAGAGTCCTTGGGGACAATGGGACTTGCACTGCTGGCCCTCTCTCACTGGTGCCAGTCTTATGGCTAGGTTACTTTCTGGAGACTGAACATCCCAGTTGTTGGCCACCTCTCCTTTCCCACTGTCCACTGTTGCCTCAACACTGAAGACAAATGGTCAGAGCTCAAGCAGCCAGATCAAAATTGTGCCACCCCACTGGTAGGAGGATAACATCTCACTCCTCAGGGCATTCAGATGTTTTGGAGATTGAGAAGTCTGTTGGGAATCTATTTAACACACAGTATTCCTCCATGAACCCATCACCTGGAATCATCAAGAAGGCTTCTGAAGGAAGGAAAGGGATGGGGTAACAAGATGTGAGTTATGAAGGTATTTGGAAGAATTGGAAAGGAGAGGGGTGCTCAGCTTAGAGAATTGTTTACAGCAACATTGGCAAAAGCATGGCAGTCGAGGCTCTGCTGCATCTTCCCATACCCACAGCACATGTCACCCATCAACTTCAACATCCTCACCTGCTGCACTTGGCCTGGGCTTTAAATCGCTCAATCTAGCTTTCCAGGTTTTGCTACGAATCAATCAGAAAACCGTCAGCCATCCTGGGTCTAAATGAAGAAGCACATTTCTTCATCAGGGCCACCAACACAGTATAGGCATTCATGGTTGAGAGGAGGTCAGAACAGGAAACCAGAGAAGAAGCCTGTGTTATGGAGAAGTAAACTCATTTCTCAAGGTTTTGTAGTAAAATTTAATACTTTATTTATTAAATTATGCCCAATTCACACAATTCTCTCCTTTTTGCTAATTCCTCATTTTCCCCAGTGCCATTTCCCTTAAGTGTGGTCTCTCTCATAATCCTCCCAACCCCTCTTTCTTTTTTTTAAATTGACTAGTGTGCTATTGAGGTGAAAATAAAAATGGCTGCCTGGAAACCCCTCCTGACCCCAGGCAACCCGCCAAGTTGAGACCAAGGACAGAAAAGGCAACTGGGGAGTCATGTGACTTAGGAGTGCCTCTCCATGCTGAGTAGCCATTTGTCCCCATTTGAATCTAATTTGTGATCGTTTTCCAACCCCTGCAAATACTTTAGATTCTGCAGGCACCAAATGTTCCCTGGCATGTCAAACAAAAACACAAGAATAGAACAGAAGGTTGACATTTCACCCAACCCTATGGAACAGAAAAGAAAAATATTAGAAGCTAAAAGATTGCTTTCAGTGCATGCAGTTCTGGGAAGGTTAAATCAGATTAAATGTTCTTACCTCCCTTTAAAATCGACCCAAGTACAGCATGGTTTCTATTCCTGATTAAAGCTCGTCCCGTATCTCCAACTGTTGGCAAAACACTTGGAGGCACTTGGATAGTCTATTGTTACCTATGCATGTTATCAGTATTCTCCTAGTCACCCCGAATTGAAACCTCAGAGCCATCATTGATGTTCTTTTCTTCTTAATCTGTGGCATCTAACTGCATCAATGTCCAACAGATTCTCCTCTCAAAATGTCTGTAGATCAACTCTCTTTATTGCTTCATTCTTAGATTACTGCAGCCACTTGATCTGACAGCCTCCAGCTTCAACTCCCTCCATTGCTAGACCAATAGTCCTAAAACTCAACTTTCCCCTTTCTAATATCCCTCTCAATAACCTCCCATGGATTCCCAAGCTGACATACAAAGCCTAAAACTCCTTAGGCTGTTATGCAAACCCTCGATAATAGACCACTATATTTCCTATCTTCATTATTTCTAATGAGAAAAGGAAGGAACTCTTATCTGAGGAATGCAAGTCCTTTTAAATGATCAGGCCCAGAGAGTCATTCAAATGAGACAGCAATCGTGTCCTACTGCTGTCCCAGCGCCCTTTGAGCTCTGTATTCATCTCTTGAAACTGCTTACTATTGCCACAAGTGGCTCTAAATTAACCTCATAATGCTGCACCAGACACTGTAACTCACACCCTATACCTTAACAGCGTGAAGCTAATCAGTTGCTTATGTTATTTTAATATAAATTCTTGGTAAACAACTCGGGAACTGCTTCTTCTTTCCCTTCAATGATCCACTTGTAACTGCTACTAATCAGAGATTACATTGAAGGCAATTTGAATCTGTGCTTTCAGGCTGCAATCCTTGAGCCTGGCCCAAATAAACTCTCTACTTATATTAATTTTGCATTTCTTCCTTTTAGGTTACCACTGACTATTTCCTAACAGTACACATGGGCTCCAAAAATCATGTTTTCACCCAAAGTGAGTCCCTTGTTAGGTACTTGAGTGGCCTTTTGGTTTGCTTTCCTCTTAGCCTCTAGCAGAGGGTCAAGGGAGACCCCTAAAGTTCTGGGTGTTTCTAGGAACATTCCCCCATTCTCACCTCACCAGTACCATTGTATTATTCATTATATTATTTCAAAAAGAAACAGCCCAATAGATATACATATAGGGAGAGATAACTAGATATGTAAACAAAAGGGGATTTATTATGGGAATTGGCTGCTGTAATTACTGAGGCTGAGAAATCCCATGATGTGTCTGCAAGCTGGAGAACTAGGGGAGCTGGTGGTGTAGCGCAGTCCAAGTCTGAAGGCCTGAGACCCAAAGGGTCACAGGTGCAAATCCTGAAGTCTGAAGGCTGGAGAACCTGGAGTTCTGATGTCCAAGGGCATGAGAAGAAGAGTGTCCCTGCTCCAGAAGAGAGTCAATTCACTTCTCCTTTGCCTTTTTTGTTCTATCCAGGCCCTCAGCCAATTGGATGGTGCCTGCCCACATTGGGTGAGGGTGGATCTTCCTTATCAGTCCATTGATTAAATGCCAATCTCTTCCAGAAATACCTTCACAGACACACCCAGAAATATGCTTTATTAGCTTATTAGTCTGTTCTCATGCTGCTAATAAAGACATATCTGAGATGGGTAATTTATAAAGAAAAGAGATTTAACTGACTCACAGTTCCACATGGCTGGGGCGGCCTCACAATCATGGCGGAAGGCAAGGAGAAGCAAAGCCACGTCTTACATGGAGGCAGGCAATGAGAGAGCTTGGGCAAGGGAACTCTTATTTATAAAACCATCAGATCTTGTAAGACTTATTCACTACCACGAGAACAGCATGGGAAAGACCCACCCCCATGATTCAATTACCTCCCACTGGGTCTTTCTCATGACACATGGGAATTATGGAAGCTAAAATTCAATATGAGGCTTGGGTGGGGACACAGTCAAACCATATCAATTAGCTATCTGGGTATCCCTTGATCCTGTTAAGTTGGTACCTAAAACTAACCATCACAATGATCAAGGCTATTTTTATCCTTTCTTTCAGCATTGTTTGTGGATTTTCCCTCAAAAATCCCAGGTTTCCTTGTTTATCCTTTATGTTAGTCCATTTTCACACTGCTGATAAAGACATACCCCAGACTGGGCAATTTACAAAACAAAGAGGTTTAATTGGACTTACAGTTCCATGTGGCTGAGGAAACCTCACAATCATGTCTCACATGGATGGCAGCAGGCAAAGAGAGAGAGAGTTTGTGCAGGAGAACTCCTCATTTTAAAACCATCAGATCTCATGAGACTTATTCTTCACTATCATAAGAATAGCATGGGAAAGACTTGCCCTCATGATTCAATTATCTCCCACCAGGTCCCTCCCACAACACATGGGAATTCAAGATGAGATTTGGTTGGGAACACAGGCAAATCATATCATCCCTCATCTCCCAGATTCTAATACCCATAGTATCCTACCCACCCCCTTTTCTGATTCTATTTCCCACTTCCTCACTTCCTGAAACAACTTCAATGTACTTGTAGGAACTCTTTATTCATCAGCAGCAAAATTTCTTTATGCTTGGCTTCTCTTCTGAATGTTTCCTTTCTCTTCTTTCTCTCCCTGAAAGTTGACTCTCCCCTGAGGACACAGCTGCCCTTGCAGCTTTCTCACATTGTGGCTTCTTTCTCGTCCACATTCCTCTAGTCAACTGGTTAGTGTCCTTCTTGTTCTTCTTTGCTGCTTCTAGACCATTCTCTCTCCTTCCTCTTTAAAAGTATCCACATGTGATATTATGTCATTATATTGTACTACCTGCTACTGTTCCTTGTGACAGTCACCTATCAACCCACTGGTTACATTCCATCATTCCTTGAAAATTTTATCTCCTGACTCATTGTCTCATTCCCCATCTTTTTCCTGTTATGATTCTTGATTATGTCAATATAATTAATCTTCCCAATATAGTGACTCCTCAGTTCCTTGACCTCATCTGCTCCAAAGGTCATACCATCGTTCTCATTTTTAGCAATAACTTTTTTTTTTTGAGACGGAGTCTTACTGAACAGAGTCATACTCTATTGGCCAAGCTGGAGTGCAGTGGCACAATATCAGCTCACTGCAACCTCCACCTCCCGGGTTCAAGAGATGCTTCTGCCTCAGCCTCCCCAGTAGCTGAGATTACAGGTGCATGCCACCATGCTTGGCTAATTTTTGTATTTTTAGGAGAGACGTGTTTTTGCCATGTTGGCCAGGCTGATCTCAAACTCCTGAACTCAGGTGATCCGCCTGCCTTGGCCTCCCAAAGTGCTGGGCAATAACTTTAATCTGCAATATTATCCACTTCCAATTATCACTATCTATTTTGCTATTTTACTTTCTGTAGTACCTGGACACCAAAATCTACAATTTATTGTGTTCATCACTTTTTACTGACCCTTGTGCCCTACATTTTAAAATGTCGTTTTTTAAGATATAATTAACAAAATTGTATGATTTTAAGATGTACAATGTGATAATTTGTTATGCATATATTTTGTGAAATGATTATTGCAAAATCCAGTTAGTTAACACACCTATCACTTCACCTCATTACTCTTTTTTGTTTTGTTTTGTTTTCCTATGAGAACATTTAAGCAAATTTCAAGTATAAATTCAGGATTGTTAACTGTAATCATCATGCTGTATACTAGATCTCCCAAACTTACTCATTTTATGACTGAAAGTTTGTACCCTTTAACCAATATCTCCCTATAGTAATAGAAGACAAAATAAAATATATGGTACACGTGCAGATAGGTGGCTACCTATGGTGGTGGCTTCATAGAAGTTTTCTTCTTAGTGCTTATATTTTTTCAGTGAAATAAGATGCAAAATCTTTGGGTTAGATTAGAGATAGGACAAGGTTCCTCCACATTGTTGCCAATGCCCTGTGCCTCTCTTCTCCTCATTTACCTCCTTACTCAGGTTAATTCTATGGCCAATCATTACATTTCTGCCCTTGCTTACAACCTCAGCTCTCTTGCCCCTCTCTCATTTTGTTGTGCTGCTTTCTGTTAAAGTATAATTTGAATAAAGTTAAACCTGACTCTGATGCAAATATTAATAAGCGTAGATTAAATATTTTATTCAACTCATTAATTAATGAGGCAATTAGAAGTTATAACTGGTTCAAAGAACATTTAAGTAATTAGGTATATACAGGCAGTGCTAGGATAAAAATTGCTAGATTAGATATAAAACTGGTTAACATCCAATAGGGCCATAAACCATGTGATCCATTAGGCAAAAATTATTTGTATCTCTACTGGACAAAAAAACCCTACAACTTAATATGCAACTTCACATATCACCTGGGGCCTTTAATCAATAGTTAACAGTGAGTTCAAGTAAGTACATTCCACAGGATAATCCATGGGTGGCCTTCATCACCATATGACAAAGAAGGATACGGGACTCATATTTTTGCCTTATTTAAATAACAGCCTTAAAATCGCAAGCCTGGCTAAATTCAAGTTCTAAACTATGCTACACTTGTACTGCACAAGTAAACATGCCTGGAGAAAAACCAATGTTCTCACTTCAAATTCATGATCACTAGTTTTTGGTTTGTTTTTTCCGTACCTCAGTGGATGCAAAATGATCACCAGTTTTAAGAAGACCCTTATTAACCATGATGTATTCATTGATTCCACTTGCCCTCCCACTCTCCTAGATGACTATGTCACACTTTTTCTACCCTCAAACCTCCTCCACTTCTTTTCCTATCTCTACTCTAAGCCAGAGATTTTGCATCTTATTTCACTGAAAGAATATAAGCCAGAAGAAAAATTCTACAAACTGCCACCTCCACGTGTACCCACCTATCTGCATCTGTACTCATATATTTCACTTTCTTTTCTATTACTATGGATGAACTGTCCTCCCAGAAAAGATCAAGGACTCAACTTTAGGCTTCTGACCATGGGTTAGATTAGAGATAGGACAAGTTTCCTCCACATTGTTGCCAATGCCCTGTGCCTCTCTTTTCCTCATTTACCTCCTTACTCAGGTTAATTCAAGATGATGGGTTAACAGGACTGGACTTAAACTTTTACCTTAAGCAACTAGAAAATGAGACAAAATATATTTTAAAAGGTTTCAGACAGGCATTTGATAACAGGAAGCACAGGACAGTGATCTCTGAAAGAAGGGAAACGTTTAAATAAGATGAAGCCTACAATTGTCTGCGCTTCTAGTGCAGAGGAGTTTCCAGGCCACAGTACCACGAGGAGAATACCAAATGAGCCTAGCAGTCTTGCTGGGTTGAGGAAACAACATACACTGAAATTTGGAGATGCAAAGAGAAAGAGCTCTGGGAATCTGTAGAAAAGTCCCTTAAGGCTTGGACTCAGCACTAATTTAGACATTTGTATGTGAAAACCAGCCAAAGTTTGGGAAAGAAAACACAGGAAAAGAGGAGGTGGGACAATCCCTGGGACTCACACAGCATTTAGAAAAATTTGTGTTTGCACCAGCCACAGAAGAAAGGTCTCCTAATATGTGAGACATTTGGTAATGTCCTCAGAAGTGTATTGCCTTAGTAGTGGACTAAATTAGCCCTAAATTAAAGCCTTGAAAGGATCAAACTAATTCCAAGTCACTCAACATGTCTCGGAACAAATCTAAAGCAATACATTAAATCTGACATCCAATAATGTAAAATTCACAATGTCTAGTATCTAATAAAAAAACATAGCGGGAATACGAAGGAGCTGGAAAACATGACCTATAACCGGGAAAAAAGATACAATAGAAATGACTCAGAAATTACATAGATAATAGAATTAGGAAACAACGAAATAAAAACAGCTATTACAAATATACTCCATATCCTCAAAAACAAAAGAAGAGCATGAACATGATGAGAAGAGAAAAGAGAGATTAAAAAGTCCCACATTAACTTTGTAGAAATAAAAATAATACAATATCTGAAATGAAAATACACTGGATGGCATTAATGGCAGATTAAATGCTGCAGAAAAAAATAAGTGGACTTGAAGACATGGCATTAGAAACTACCCACACTGAATATACAAAGAAAATAAATTGAAAAAACTAAGCAGAGAATCAGTGACCTTTGTAACAGTATCAAGCAGTCTAATATGTATATAATTGGAATCTTGGAGAGGAGGGTTAGGAGAGACAGAAAAAATATTTGAAGAATAGTCAAAAAATTTCCAAATGTGATAAAAATGATAAACCTACAGATCCAAAACGCTCAATAAATCCCAAACATGAAGAAAAACCACACAAGGCACATCATAATCAAATTGCTGAAATTTAATGAAAAAGATAAAAAAATTTAAATCAGCCAGAGGAAAAAAGATGCATTATACATAAAGGAATAAAAGTAAGAATTACAGCAGACTTGCAAACCAGACTTGCCTCAGACTTGCAAACCAGATGACATCACAAAGATATGGAAAGAAAAAGGCTCGCAATTCTAGAATTCTACACTGGTCAAAAATATCTTTAAAAAATTAGGCAAAAACCAAGAGAAATTAACGCATATTTCTAAATAAAAGCATGCACACAAAGGTTCACAGAAGTTTTATTTGTAATAGCCAAAACCTGGAAATGACCCATATGTCCATTAACAGATGAATAAACATACAAATTATGTCATATGATATATTGATACATGCAAAATAAATGAAACTCAAAGTAATTATTCTAAGTGAAAGAAGCCAGACAGCTGGGCATGGTGGCTTGTCTGTCATCCTAATACTTCAGAAGGCCAAGGTGAGTGGATCACTTGAGCTGAGGAGTACAAGACCAGCTTGGGCAACATGGTGTAGAGATAGTGAAACCCCATCTCTACAAAAAAATACAAAAATTAGCCAGGTGTGGTGGCTTGTGCCTGTAATCCCAGGTACTTAGGGGGCTGAGGCAGGAGGATCCCTTAAGGCTAGGAGGTGGAGATTGCAATGAGCCAAGATGGTGCCACTGCACAGCCTGGGTAAAAGAGCAAGATCCGGTCTCAAAAAAAAAAAAAAAAAAAAAAAGCCAGACAAAAATGAGTGCACACTATATGATTCTATTTACATAAAATTCTAGGAAAAGTGAAAACTAATCTGTGATCATAGATTAGTAGATCAGTTCTTGCCCAAGGAAGCGGTAACATGGAGAAGTGGAAAGAGGGATTACAAAGAGAAATGAAGAAACTTTGGGGAGTTATGGATATATTCATTATTTTGATTGTGGTAATTGTTTCATAGGTGTACACAAACATCAAACCTTGTTAAATTATACACTTTAAATTTGTGCAGTTTATTGTATATCAATTATATCTCAAAAAAGTGGTTTAAAAAATTAAAGCAAAACAAAAAATTTTCAGACAAGCCAAAACTGATAATTTATTGCCAGCAGACCTATGCTATAAGGAATATTCAAGAAAATTCTTCAGGTAGAAGAAAAATGACACCAGATGGAAATTTGAACCTACACAAAGGAATAGAAAAAAAAAATGATAAGTATATAAACAAATATGAGGGTTTTTTTCTAAGTTAAAAAAGTCTTAAAAAATGACTGTCTAAAGTAAAAACAATAACAATATAGTAAAAGGTTCATTCATACGTGGAAGTAAAATGTATGATAACAGTTGCATAATGGATGGGAGAGAAAATAAAACACACTTTTTTAAGAGTCATATGTGAAATAATACAATATTTAAAGGTAAACTTTGATAAGATAATGATATATATTTGAAAGCTTAAAGAAATGATGCAAAACAAACTAATGAAATATAGTTAATAAGCCTACAAATGGAATATTTTCAAAAAACAATTCAATCCAAAAAGGGAAAGGGAGAAACAAAGAACAGATAAGATAATTGGAAAAAATAGCAAAATGGTAGATTTAAATTCAACTAGATTGAAAGTCACATTAAATGTAAATTATCTACACATTCCAATGAAAAGGCAGAGATCTGTCAGACTGAAAAAAACCACAAGATCTAACTTTATACTGTCTACAAGAACACTACTTTAAACATAATGACATTTAGAAGTTAAATGTAAAAAGGAAAGAAAATGATATGCCACCATAATATTAATTAAAAAAAAACTGGAGTGAGTGGCTATATTATCCTCATAAAGTAGACTTCAGAACAAGGAAAGTTGTTAGACTATTTCATATTTCATATTCACCATAAAAAGGTGAATTCATCAAGAGGATGTAATGATCCTTGCAAAGTCAACCTCATCCCTATCAACTAGATCCCATTCCCATTAACTTATTCAAGGACAGCACTTGAGCAAATATTCTGTCTCCTGTAGCACCATTTTTTTTCCTGTTTACTAGAACGTTTGCATTAGCATATTAAGAAGCTGTCATTTATTTAAAAACAAATTAACCCTTTTGTGACCACAGATCCTTCAGCTAATATTCAACTCTTTTTTCTTTAGATAAAATTTCTAGGAAGTGTTGTTTATACTTGCTTTTTCCAAATCCTTTCCTCTCATTCTCTCTTAAATCCATTCTCATAAGACCTTTGCCTAACAACTGTACTAAAGCTGCTTTTGTCAAGCTCACCAATAACTTTTACCTAATTCAATCCAATAGTCAAGTCTCAGGCCTCACTTCCTTGATCTAACAATAGGATTTGATGGAAGTCATCACTCCCTACTTCTTCATAAGCTTTCTTTTTTTGGCTTCCAAGACTCCATACTCTCTTGGTTTTCTTCCTGTTTCCTTCTTTTCCTTTCCTGATTTATTCCTGACCTCTTACTAATACAGCGCTCTAGGGATCAGACTTTGGCCCTTTTTTCCCCTCTATCTACACTCACGTCCTTGATGATCTCACTGGGTCTCACAGCTTTAAATACCAAACATATGCTTGCTAATGACTTTCAAAGTTATGTCTCCAGCCTAAACCTCTTACCTGTGGTAGAGACTTATATACCTACTTGCCTATTCCAATATCTCTAACTAGATGTTTAATGGGGATCTCAAATTTAACGTGTCAAAAACTGAACTTCTTATTCCTTCCGGCAAAATATCTACCATGCCCCAAGGCTTCCCCGTGTTAGTAATGTCTCTTCCACTTTTTGTAATGATTTGCCAAAAACTGTGGTGTCCTCCTTTAAGCCTGTCTTTCTCTTATGTACTACAGCCTAGTTCCTATGCTATAAGAAAATTCTATCAGTTACATTTCCAAAATATATCCAGAAGCCAACCATATCTTACCTTCTCCACCACTGCCACCTAGTTCAAGCCACAATTATCTTTCACTTAGATTACTGCAAGAGCTTCCAATTTGTCTCACTGAGTCCACCCATGACCCTCTTCCATTTTTCAACACCAGCAGGCAAAATAATCTTTTCAAAATCTAAGTTATTTCATTCCACTTCCTTCTCAAAACTCACGACCAGCTACCATATCACTTAGAATAAAAGCCATTAAATCACTTTCACTTGAAAATCTTCATCTTGGGCTCTGCTGCTATGAAATACAACCTAAGACAAGCCAGAGGTTATTGGTAAGGTACTCACAGAAGAAAGTTGTCAATTTAAAATTCTACACTGAAATAAGGAGATATTGAGAAGAGTCATATGGATGGACCTATGAGAATCTTTGTATTAGATATTAATGCCCACCAGAGAGCATCTATTGCAGAAGTAGAATTAAACAACCAAGTGGACAAGATGATTCATTCAGTAGATGTTAGCCAGCCTTGGTCCTTGGCAATCTCCGTGCTTGCTAATTAATGGAGTAGCTATGGTGGCAGAGTTGGTGTCTATTAATATATGTGCACCCAAGTGCACTGGCTTTAGCTCACTGAGATTGGTGCAGCCACTACTGTTTCTCAGTATTGACCAGACAGTGGCAGGGTCCAGTGCTGAACTCCCAATATGGCACCACCCCTTGAGAAGTTCAACCAGCCACCTGGTGGCAAGATTTTTTTTTTTTTTTACATCTAACTCCTTTAGCCTGAAAAAGGTAACAACACTTCCTGACTAGGATTGACATGTCAATCAATCCGTGGCATACATTTGCCTTTCTCTCCTCCAGTGCCTCAACCAGTATTGCTAGCTAGTGGCTCATAGTTTCTAAACTGCCGGCAAGGGAACCCACATAATATCATCTGGGACCAAGAACCTTTTTCAGCAAAGAAGGTAATGCAGGGAGCACTTTTCCTGTCACATTCTGCATTATCCAGAAGCTGCCAGCCAGCCTAATAAAGAAGTGAGGCAGTCTCCTGAAGGAACATTGAAATACTGGCTTGGAAATGCCACTATCTGGGGCACTATCTTTCAGGACGTTGGGTATGTCTTCAGCCAATACCCATAACATGGTACCATATCCCCAGAATGTAGAATA
Source organism: Homo sapiens (assembly GCF_000001405.40). NCBI lineage: Eukaryota > Metazoa > Chordata > Mammalia > Primates > Hominidae > Homo > Homo sapiens. The sequence goes on from NC_000007.14 coordinate 106,476,863, forward strand.
CATGGATTTGAGACCAAGGCATGGAAGTAGAAGTGGCCATATTTATTATCACTCCCAGTGACTCACTTGGGAAACTGGTACTTCCTGTTCCACAATGTTAGCCTCTGTAGGTTTGAAGACCCTGGTTTCCAGAGGCAGATGCTTCTACCAAAAGGCACTATTTCACTAAATTTAGTTATAGCAGCTACCTGGTCACTTTAGGTTTCTCATGCCAGTATATCAGCACTCATAAACAGCAGTTATCATACTGAAAAGGATAATTGACGCTGATCATTACAGCAAAGTGGGGCTCTGGATACATATGAGAGAAGGGAAAAATATGTTTGATGCTCAGACAATCCATTGAATCATTTCTTGGTACTCCCATGCTTAGTTCTAATTGTAAATGAACTATCTGGGCATGGTGGCCTGTGCCTGTAGTCCCAGCTACTCAGGAGGCTGAGGCAGGAGGATCACTTGCGCCCAGGAGGTTGAAGCTGCAGTGAGCTGTGACTGCACCTAGGTGACACTGAACACTGAAGCCTGGGTGACAGAGTGAGACCTTGTCTCTAAAAATAAAAATAAAAAAAAGGTAAATGAGCAAATACAGGGACCACAACTTGACAAATACATGGCAACTAGGGACCCAGTCCCCTCAAGGATGAGGATCTAGGCCCACCAGGTATACTAACTAGACTAGCAAAAGTGCTTGCCAAAGTTAAGAATGGGTGGTAGAGGAGAGAGTTGATGTGTGTCAGTTTAGGCTTCAGGACAAACTGAAACAGTTGTATCCTCCAGCATCCAACATGTTATCAGACGTAATGTTTATGTAAAGGGATCAGACAGTATATTAACTTCTGGGCTGGACAAACACTTATGGGCACTCTGGACAGGGTAATAGAGTGTTGTCTCTTAAAATCTATATTCTTTAAATACATTTAAATCTACAGTCTTTATATATATATATTTAAATCTATGGTCTTTATGTATTTACTCAGAAGGGATACTGAGCGCTATGTGGATGGAGGTTAGAGATGACGACTGATCAAATTACTTAATATTCCTATAGTTTCATTAGGGTTTTCTCTGTAAACAATCATGTTAATAAAATAATGGAACTTTTGTTTCTTCATCTCTAATCCTCATATACGTTCCACTTTTTTGTTGTCTTATTTGGTACCTAGGCATTCCAGTATAATGTTGAATAGAAATGGGGAGAGTAAGTACCCTCTATTTGTTTCTGATTTTAGAAGAAAATCTCAACATTTCCTCCATTACACATGGTGTTTGCTGTAGGCTTTTTGTAGATATCCTTTATCAGATTAAGAGAATGTTCTTCAATTTCTAGTTTTAATAAACTAGATAGTTTTTTAAATCATGAAAAGCTGTTGAATATTAGATTTTTATAAATATCTATCAAGATAATCATATAATGTTTCTCCTTCAATCAGTTAATGTACCAAATTGCATTAATAAGTGCTCTCACATTGAGGGAACATTGTATTCTTGAATAATCACATCTTGCTTATGATTATCCATTACTTGGGTTGATTTATTCATATTTCATTTGTGATTTTTGCATCCATAATCATAAGTGTGATTGACCTGTACTTTTTCCTTCTTTATCACATTTTATTGTTCTGCTATCCTTACATTTATCCTGTTTGGTCTTGATATCAAGGGTATTCTAGTGTCATAAATAAATGCTTAGCTCATTTATTTTCAGTATTTGTGTTCTTTTGATATCATTTAGTTCTAATTTTCCCCTAATTTCCATTATATTTCTTTATAGACCCATGAATTATTGAGAAGGGTATTTTTTGGCCTTTTTGTTTCCTGTATTTTGGAGCTCTGTTGTTGAATATGAAAATATTTATATTGTTATATATTCCTGATGTATTAATCCTTTTATTATCATGAAACACCCCCTTTATTCCTACTATTTTTTTGTTTTAAAGTCTACCTGGCTGATATTTGTATAGTTACTCTGGCTTTCTGGCTACTATTTGCATGATGTATCTTTGTTCATCTTTATGTTTTGAACCTATTTCTGTCTTTAAATCTAAAGTGTGTCTCTTATAGAAAATATATTGGATCATGCTTTAAAAAAAAAAATCCAGTCCAACAATCTTTGCCTTTGAAGTCCATTCACATTTAGTGTAATTATTGACATGTCTGTCATTTTCTATTTTTTTCTGTCTCATGTCTTCTTTTCTGCCTCCTTTTGTGCTAAACAAATATTTTTTAATGTACTATTTTGATTCATTTGTTGACTTTTTGACTCTATGTTTTCAGTTATTTTCTCAGTGGCCAGGATTATAATGTGCATCCTAACATCATATATGTCGGGTTAATACTGACAGGATTCTCATAAAAATTTGCCCCAATGTAGATTCATTGCCTCCCTCATTCTTTGTAATTATTGCCATATATGTTATATCTCTGTCTGCTGTAAATCAATAATACAGTATTGTAAGTATTGTTTTATGAAATCTATGTTTTTAAAATAAATTAAGAGACTTATCTAGGAATGTCTTTATTTTGAATTCCTTTTTAAAGGCTATTTTTGCTTGATGTAGAATGTCTGCTGACAGTCTGTTAGCTTTTTGAATGTCATTTCATTGCCTTTGGTTCCCCATTGTTTATGAGAAGTCAGCCAAAACTCTTTGTCTTCTCCCTATGTGTGATAAGTCATTTTCTCTTGCTGCTTTTAAGATTTTCTCTTTATCTCTGCCTTTAAGCAGTTTGAGTATGATGTGTTATAGGCATTGATCTCTTTGTATTTATTTTCCTTGGGGTATGTTGAGGTTCTTGGATCTACATATTAATGTTTTTCATCAGATTTGTTAAGATTTTTGCCATTATTCCTTCACATATGTTCTCTGTCTCTTCCTCTCCTTCTGGGATGCATATACAGATGTATGTTGGCATACCTGATATTGTCCCACAGGTCTTTGAAGCTCTGGGGTTTTTTTTCTTCAATCTTTTTCCTTCCTCTCTTCTCCACATTGAATATTCTGTTGATCTATCTCCAGGTTTATACCTTTTTTATTTCCATTATCTTATTGTTAAGACCACCTAGTGACTGTTTCACATTGGTTATTATATTTTGATTCTGGAATTTCCATTTTGTTCCTTTTTCTAGTTTCTGGATATTTGTTGAGATTTCCTATTTGTGTGTCATTGTCATCATATTTTCATTTATTAATATTTATATGTTTATTGTAGAGATGTTGCCCAGGCTGGTCTCAAACTCCTGGGCTCAAGCAGTCCTCCTGCCTCAGCCTCCCAAAGCACTGGGATTACAGGTGTGAGCCACTGCACGTGACTCATTTAATTTTTTAAATGTTACTTCACTTAATTCTTTGAACATATTTATAATAGCAGCTTTGAAGTTTTTGCTACTAAGTTCAACATGACAGTCAATTTCTGCTGACTGATTTTTATCATGACTATGGGTCACATTTCTTGTTTCTTTGTATGTCTCAGGCTTTTGTGTTGGAAACCAGAGATAATCTAAATAATACATTACAGCAACTCTGGATTTCACTTTCTTGTGAAAGTTGTGGTTGTTTTAGTAACTTGCCTAGGCTTAACCTGAGGAACCTCTCTCCCCTACAACATGCAGATGCTGATGTCTCTGCCCAGTTTCTTTTTAAATCTTTACATTAGTTTTTTAACATCCTGGCTTCTCAGGGGTCACACCTGTCTGTGCATAGTTTAGTGGTCAGCCAATGGTTGGTGAAAGGTTGTGTTTAAATGTCTCAATTTCATAAGTTTTCCACCCTCTGTGAGGATACCCAACTGTGCATAAGTTGGAGAGTACATCCAAAAGCCAGACATTTTCAAGTATATTTCAACTTTTACTTCTAAGAGACTGATTTGAATCTCCTCTGAGTGGGCACATGGTTTCCCCGTTAGCCAGGGAGATACAAAGAGTTTGTCTCGTCCCTTCATAATGCTCTCATTTTAGGTACCTCCCTACATATTTCTGGCTGGTTGCCACCCTAACCAGACCACACTTTAGTCTAGCAGAGTTGGGAGTTTTTCCTGTTTGTTTCCTAACGGGTTTTCTACTTATACTGACAATGATATTGTCTGTGGATTTTTGCTCTCTGCTCCCAACCAAGTCATTTCCTTCTGGCTGTGAAGCTACTGGTTTCCACAGCCAGCTCTTCCCTGGAAAAACTATCTTTCTCACCAACTGAGCTGAAGGGGATGGGAGTAGCCCCAGACAAAAAGGTGGCAAACTCACACTGTTCTTCCCCAAAGTAAGTGCAAGCAGTTTGCATGAATAAATGCTTCTTTAAATGTTGTTTGTGTCTGGTTAATTTCCAGGGCCCTTAAGTAATTGTTGTTTTCACAATTTTGTCTAGTTTTATATTTGCTTTTTGCCAACAGTATTTTCTAATCTCTTAACTCCACCATAGTTGGAAGTCCTGCCTCTAAATATATTTTAACCACAATTTTTCATTAAATCAATATTCAGCATACACTGTAAACACATAAATGATTTTATATCTGAGGTCAATAGTAAACTAGCATTATTTGTTCACTTTGGTTTTTCTTAACGTTAAAAAAGATTTTCTTCTCCCTCCTCTTTTAAAAGGTAGATACAGGGTCTTGCTTTAGTTGCCCAGGCTAGTCTCACACTCCTGGGCTCAAGCATTCTTCCCAACTTAGCCTCCCAAGCAGCTGGGACTATAGGCATGTGCCACCACTCCCAGCTTCATATTTTCATTTAAAATTGAATTTTCCCAGGCCATCATCTCAATATAGTTTTATTTTGGTCAAAACTTTCAGACAAACTATCCCTTTTTTATTCTCTCCTGGAGATATTTTTCTTAGAGTTCCTCATTTCTTTATTCCAATCTTGACTAATTTTTCTCTGGGTCTGCAGTATAGGTGCTATTCTGAAAATCTCCTTTGACTCTCTTCTGTGTTGGGTGCATTGTTTAGTGAGTTAAATGTGATTGTTGTAGAGGTCATGGAAAATAGTGCCTAAAAACATGGGCTCTGGAGTTAGAATAAATTTAGAGTCCAGCTCTATATCATTATTTGTGCCACATTGAAGACACTGCCTATCTATGCCTCAATTTTCCAGTCTGTAAACTGGTAAAAAGAACAGTACTTGCCTTCTTTGGTTGTCCTGAAGATCAAATGAGCTAAAATATAATAAATATTTACTACTCTCATTGTGTTGAAATATGTTTGGTGGAACACATGCAGTTTTTTGAGAAATGTGTTAGAGACTTTGCACAGGTCATAATTCTACTAACACTTGATTGTCTGATCAGGCATAGAATTCTAGGTTGAAAATTATGTGTCCTCAGAATTTTAAAGGCATTGTGCTGTTATCTTGTAGTTCCAGTGCTGCTGATAAGTCTGATGACATTCTGGTTGCCATTTTTTCTGTAAGTGTTTTTTGTTCATTTGTTTGTTTTGTTTTGGAAGCTTTTTGAATCTCTTATCCTTGGTGGGTGTTTTTGTTTGGTTAGTTTTTTTCTGAGACAGAGTTTTGCAATTCTCTTGCCTCAGCCTCCCGAGTAGCTGTGACTACAGGGGCGTGCCACCACACCCGGCAAATTTTGTATTTTTAATAGAGGCGGGGTTTTACCATGTTGGCCAGGCTTGTCTCAAACTTCTGACCTCAGGTGATCCACCTGCCTCAGCCTCCCAAAGTGCTGAGATTACAGGTGTGAGCCACCACACCCAGCCTTTGGTGTTTTAAAATGCCATTCTAGTGAGCCTTCAACTATTTCTTCTTTTATTCATTGTGCTGGCTACTCTGTTGATCCATTACTCTAAGAATTTTTATTGTGTTATTTCTTTGATGATTTCCTCCTCTGTTCTCTCTTTCTGTTCAGACTTCCTGGAACCCATATTAATTAGAAATTACATCTTGGGGATTGATCCTTTTCTTAGTCTGCTGGAGCTGCCGTAGTAAAATGCTACAGGCTGAGTGGCTTAAACAATAGAACTTTATTTCTCATAGTTCTGGAGGCTGAGAAGTCCAAGATCAAGGTGCTGGTGAGGCAGGTTTTATTCTGAGTTCTCTTCTCTTAGCCAGTAGGCAGCTGCGACCTCACCGTGTGCTCACGTGACCTTTTCTTTGTGTGTATATATATAGAGAGAGAGATCTTTGACATACACTCTTCTTATGAGGATACCAGACCTACTGGATCAGGACTGTATCTTATGACCTGATTTAACCTTTATTACTTCCTTATAGGCACTATCTCTAAATACTGTCACATTGGGGATTAGAGCTTAAACATGAATTTTGGAGGGATATAATTCAGCCTGTAGCAATCTTCTAATCCAATAACCTTTTCACTTCTATTCTCCCTCTTTTTGAATTTTTTCTTTATTCTAGGTGAGTTCCACTTTTACTGAATCATTTCGACATTTCTTGCCATCATGTTTTTTATTTCTAAGAGCTCTTATTCAATTTTTTGATTATTTTCCTTTATTTCACTGTTTTTTCATTGATAAATATATTTATCTTTCTGAAAATATGATAGATTTTTTAAATCCTGCTACATGAATTACTTGTATTTTTTACTAAATGACTTTTTTTTTTTCTATTTACTTTGCACTTGGCCTCTCAAATTGGAGGCTTTTTCAAATATTTGGTGATCTTTGGCTATCCTTTGTCATATAAAAGTGAGGCACAAAAAAAATCTTAGAGAGAACGAGGCTTGTTGACCAAGTAGCAAGAAGACTTTTTTATTGTGTGATCCCCAGATGTCAAAATTGATCTTTTCTCTGGGTCTGCTTAGTGTTACACTAGTTAGTTTAGCTAGGATAGGCAAGGTTAGCTACAGGAAAAGAAAAAATAAAAAGAATAAAACAACTCTGTGGCTTAACACAATAAATATTTATCATTCCCACTATATGTCCAGTGATAATTGGTGATGGGCTCTGCTCCAGTCACAGAATTACTCCAAACCATCTTATGATGTCACTGTTTCACCAAGATACCTCATTTGTCATAGCAGGAAAAAAAGCAAGCATGGAAACTCGCATATTGTCTGTTGAATGTGTCCACCTGGAAGTAGTATACATGACTTGTACTTTTACTTAATTGACTGAAGCAAATTGTAGGTCCACACCTAGCCTCAAAGAGTGGGGAAGTGCAGCCCTCCCAAGTGTCCAAAAGGAGAGGGTAGCCAGAAATACTGGAGAGCAGCACCAATGTTTACCACAATGACTGATTCATTCTCTTAAAAATAGTATGCTTGCATGCCTGTAATCCCAGCATTTTGGGAGGCTGAGGCGGGTGGATCACGAGGTCAAGAGATTGAGACCATACTGGCCAACATGGTGAAACCCCGTCACTACTAAAAATACAAAAATTAGGTGGGCATGGTGGCGCGTGCCTGTAGTCCCAGCTACTAGGGAGGCTGAGGCAGGAGAATCGCTTGAACCCAGGAGGCAGAGGTTGCAGTGAGCAGAGATCATGCCACTGCACTCCAGCCTGGGCAACAAGAGTGAAACTCCATCTTAAAAAAAAAAAAATAAGCTTGCAGTCCTCATTCCTCCTCAGCAGATATTATTCAGATACTCAACATCCACTTGGTGAAGTATTGATAAATTGCTTCTTTTACTATTATTTTTTCTGATGAAGTATGTTGACTAACTTAAGGAGAACTTAAGAAAAATTAGATGAAAACAAAAGGATTCCTCTGCCTGCTAAACTTTTTATTGTTGTAAGAAAGCAACAAAAAACCACTGAATTCCTATTTTTCCATCATCCTATGTCTTCCTAAAGTCATCCTTAATTTCATCACAGCACCACTGATGAGGCAAAGCCAGGGTGGAAATGAAGGTGGCAGTAAGCTGAATTGTAACTTGGAACTGGCTGTGGCCAGCCTCCACGTGACCAATTTTGTAATTTATTATTAACTTTATGCAGCTACACACAAAAGGGAGTGAAGATTGCACAAGAGGCTCTGCTAATAGCAAAGTCTTTTAGGACCTAGAGCTGTGAACTACAAACAGTTTATCTTCAAGTGCCCAGGAAGTGATGGTAGAATTCAGGTTGCCTGACAGAAGCAATTTAGATTCTTCAGCAATAGAGGAGAGTTTGAATGTGAAGACATTCTCCTCTCAAACTTATATCACCTTGAAGAGTGGACAAATCCCAAGCTTTACTGTTTCGGGCTACCAGGCACAAATGTGATTGCAAACCAGACAAAAGTGTCCCCACAAGTTCATGAGCAGATTTTAAAACCAACCTGTTTCTCTGCCTCTGGTTTCAAAGAAACTAATTGCTCAGGATGCACACAGATGGTGTCTGACTCATTGTTTCTTTCCTTCATGTCACTGGATGTTAAATTAGTAATGGTAATAAACAACCACATATATTCACAGAGAAAAATGTATGAAGCTAAAATTAGAATCTTTGTCATGCAACATTGATTTGTTCCAGAAGTTGGAGCTAGATTGGTCAGCAAGTGAATGTTTCAGCCTTGTCACTCCAAGTCTTTTTGAGCCCTGAGCACAGACAACCCTAGTGTCATTGACCTTAATAAATGGAGAGTTGCTGAGAAAGCTTCTAGTCCACTGCCAGGCCTCCAGCTGTGGCCTTCCAGTACACACGCCCCTCCTCAGCTCAGACAACTTAGTGCTCTATGCACTTGCTGCTGTGCAGGGGACCTCAACACCTCTAGAATGCAGTACAGAAGTTGCCATTTACATCTTTAAGGTCCTAGACATGTGGCAGCTTATTTGCTAACTGAAGTCGCCACACTGATCAGTCATTGGATGCAGGCCACCCTGGGAAAGGGTGTGACATTGGAGGAGGTAGGTTTCTGCAGAGGGGACAATCCATAAAGGGGCTGACAGTTGAAGGCTGTTGGCCCATGACATTCTCAGGAGCTGGGGCAATGAGGCTTCACTGATGGGGGAGCTGGGCAGTGCATCCTTGTGTCTAGCGCACGGCTACTTCAAGTCACTTTTCCCAGAAGACTCTTCTATCACAATTGAAACTTCTTCAAGTTTCTGCCTGAGATAAGCTTTCTCCATGGTTTTCAGACCAACATCACTTGCCCCAAACTCTCCACCCCTTCTCATGATCAGTCTCATTTTTTTCTCCACTTTATTTGATTTGTCACACTGTCTCATGGATATCTGTCCCTAGATGGGTAAGCTTACTTCTACATTTATGGTTATGTTCACTTAGTAGCTTTTCTCCACTGTTTACAATAGTCAGCTCTGTCTGTACAAAGAATCAGGCTCCAAATAATGAAATGTTGGCTGAACTTGTCCTACTTTTCAACTTCTGAACATGTAGAGTACACAGGGTTCCAAACTATAGTTTGCTCCCACAGAGTTGGCTTCCTTTGTGTTTTTCATGAACCAAACTCAATCTAATTTACTACAAAAAGTGTGTTCCTGTCAGTTCACTCCAGTCACATGAGAAATCGATTGGCCTTTCTAAGGGAGAAGAGGAATCATTTCCCAAAATGATAAGAGAAACAAAGCCAGCCAGGGTTAGAAGACTCCTTTTAAATCTCCTCCTCCTGAAAATAAATGAGAAGAAGAGTCGATAAACTCATTCCCCACATTCCACATAGTGGCCTCAGCAATATTATGCTTCACTGGGCAAAACAGCTTCGAAGTGCCTGCTTTTACCTAATAGCACCTAAGTGCACTCTGAGTGCCTTCATTTCAATGATTAATCAAGAAAAAACTCAATGATTAATCATTTCAATACTCTGTGGCTGCATTCCTTTGGTGCTCCATGTACAATAGGACAAATTAGGTAATAAACTTTCTGGCATTTATTCCATTCAATTGAATACTTCTCCACTTTTTTAGCTGTAATCTCTGACGTTATCTAGCATAAGTGGTCTGCATGGAAATTGTGATTTTTTTCCTAACCTAGTTTCTTTTCCAAGTAAAATTACATCCTTAAAGGTTCATCCACTCCTCACCAGGGCACTAGACAAAAACTCAGCCTTGATTTTCTCACCTTTGAACAAGTTGTTTTGTTACCTCCAGTTCCTGGTAAAATCCCCCTGCTGTTTGTTCATAAGGCTTCCACAGTACACATGAACAGAAAATGCACAGTACACATGAACAGAGACCCCAGAACAAAGTGAGATCCAAAGTGACTTGCAAGCAATGCTTGGGGAAGAGAAAAAGGGGAAGACATATTTGAAAAGTTACATTAATAGAAGAGGGAGAATCAGATTGACATTTGGAACTTTTCTTTCGTAAGAAGATAATTACCACTAACTCTTCATCAAAGAGGCATCATTTTGAAATTTTTTTCTGGCTGCCAGGATTAGTTAATATGATAACACATACAGTTTCTTTCTCTCTCTCTCTCTGTCTCTTTCTTCCCTCCCTCCCTCTCTTTTTCAGTCTCTTGCAATCAAAAACATACTTGATCAACACATCCAGCTAGGGTTTAAGGTGTAGTGTGGAATAGGACAGCTGTTTTTCTCTGGGATGCTACTTGATGCGTGGAACACAAAACGGAGTGTGGTCACTTCTAATAAGCTATTTGACTTAGCAAAAGCTAATAATGAGAAAAAAAGATTTTGTTGTTTTTATTGTGGCTGTTATTCAGTCACTATAAGTTATCATATTATTATGTAGGGCCTTAAAAGTTATTGAGAATCTACGGACAATGAAAAAGACACCAAAAATGTAAAGTAGTTAAGTCATGTTCCTGCCCTTGAGAAATAAAACATAGATTTGGAAGAACTTGAGGTTGAAAGAAAATTTAACTGCTTTTTGGGGTTGGCAGGATCTTTAGAGATCGCTCACTTCAGTAGAGGAGAATGCAGCACTGAGAGCAAAAGTGACTTGTGGTTTGTTTAGAATCACTGAGCAGAAATGGAACCAGAAGTTGGATCTTCATATTCCTAGCTCACTGTACTTTTTATTACTCAAATTGCCTTCATGGTCTCCAGTGAGAGTCCATTCACCCTAAGACAATTTTTTTCATCTATTTTCATTTAAATGTCAAGAAAAATATTTCAGACATACAGAAAAGTACCAAGAACAATATACTGAGACTCATGTATCTACTCCCCAACTTAAATAAAATATTATAGTCATAATTAAAGCCCTTTTTATATTCATTGTTAATCCCTTTCCTCTATATCCCCCCAAGATGTAATCAGTATCCTGAATTTGCTGTTTATCATTTCCATGAATATTTTAAACTTCACTACATATGTATATATTCACAAATAATATATTGTATTACTTTGCATGTTTCAAAGCTTTATAAATGATGTCATACTGTAAATGGTATTCTGTGCCTTGCTTTTTCCACTCAACCTATTTTTGAGATTTATGGATATTAATATATGTATTCTAGTTCTGTGTTGTTGCTATATATTGAAAGAATATACAGGTATTTATTTTTCTGCTATTTTTTGTTCATTGACATGTAAATTGGTTCCAAGTTTTTCTCATTTCATGAACATTTGCATACTGTCACCTTGGACACACTGAGGATATATACTAGGAGCCAAGTTACTAGGTCACATAGTATGAGCATCTTTAAATGTACTGGATTCCAATGTCAGATCTAGAAACCTAGCTTCACTGGGTTTGGTCTTCTAAATCTATCTGCTTACTTGCTGTATTAGCCAGGGTTTCCCAGGGGAACAGAATAGAATATATCTATACATGAAAGGGAGTTTATCAGGGAGAATTGGCTCACACAACAGGCTGTCTGAAAGGTGGGGAAGAAAGAAGCCAGTAGTGGCTCAGACCAAGTCCAAAAGCCTCAAAAGCAGGGAAGCCAACAGTGCAGCCTTGGGTCTGTGGCCGAAAGCCCAAGAGCCCCTGGCAAACCACTGATGTAAGTCCGAGAGTCCAAAGGCCAAAGAGTCTGATATCCAAGGGCGGGAAGCATCTAGCACAGAAGAAAGATAAAAGCCAGAAGACTCAGCAAGCCAGCTTATCCCACCTTCTTCCACCTGCTTTGTTCTAGCCGAGCTGGCAGCTGGGTGGATGAGGCCCACCCGCATTGAGGATGGGTCTTCCTCTCCCAGTCCACTGACTCAAATATCAATCTCCTCTGGCAACACCCTCACAGACACACCTAGAAACAATACTTTACCAGCTATCTAGGTTTCCTTCAGTCCAATCAAGCTGACACCTAATATTAACCATCACACTTGCCATATTGCTGACTTTTCAGCTAAGTGCAAGTTTGAGATTTTAATGATGGAAGAGCTTGACACACGTAGCTACCTTTTGAAGACTGAAGATGCAGGGTTAGTTTGCCTACAGTTATCACTGGTTGGAAATGCAAGGAGACAGAAGTCTTTGTATTGAGCTGGTTAATTTCGAGGCTTATAGTGAGCTCCAAAGAGAGAATCAAAACATGTAGCTTTGAATGGGAGATTGTCCCTTTGTGTCATCCTGTGGACATGGTAGGGGATACAAGTAGAGGCAGCCTTCCAGGAAATGTAGTAAAGATCAACCATGTGATACAAGTTGGTTGGTGCTGCAAAGGTCCTGACAAAGTCTTGCCCTGTGGTTGTTTCTGAAACACCACCATTCGTTAACGCAGTCCTCCACTAAAATGCAAACAACTGGACAGGAGGGTTCAAGTAAATTATCAGTGTGTTATTTATTTAAATCTTAATATGAAAGCAATAGTGGTGGTGTTGGTAGTGGGGGGTATGTGTAAAATCTCCTGAGGGAAATGGATAGCTACAGATGACAATAAACTGGGCTGAGTCTTTAAAGCCCATTTCAATTACCATCTTCTCTGTGAAGGATTCCCCAATGCCTCTGCCTGCATGTATTTTCCCTGTTCTGATCTCCCTCAGTATTTTATGTCTTTTCAGTAACAATTATCACACACACTGAATTTTATTTTAAATGTGCAAAATCAGGGAACCATGTATAGTAGAGCAAATGTTTATTATTACAAAAGAAAACACCCTCAAACTTTGTGGCTTAAAGCTACCATGTGTTTGCTCATAATTCTACAATTTGGTCAGGGCTCAGCAGGGCCAGTTCTTCTCAGCACTAGGTTGTGTCAGCTATGATCCTTCATGTGGTTGCACTCAGCTGACTGCTCACCTAGGGCTTGAATGTTCAAGGTGTCCTGTCATTTTCCAGGATTCTTCCCCACGCAGCCTCTTCAGCAGGAAAGCTGGATTTTAAGAGAGCAAAAGTGGAAGCTGCCAGGCCTGTGAAGAGCTGGGCCCAAACTGGCACAGTGTAACTTCTGCCTCATTCTGTTGGCCAAAGTAAACCACAAAACCAGCCTGATTTTAAGGAGAGGAAAGGCAGATTCTATGTCTTGATGGGGAAGGTAATATAAATGTACAGGAAGGACTTGCTGGAAGGCATCTTTAGAGACAATATATCATGCACAGTATTTTAGACATAATATTTGATTTAATGAATAGGTGAACAAAAGTGCCTGCCTGCCAGCTCTGGAGAGAGCAGCAGATCTCCCAGCACAGAGGACTGGTCAAAGAACTACCGAAGAAAACATTCCTTTGGGGCCACCAGTGAATGAAAATGTGAGTCTAGCTATCTCAGGTAGCACAGAACATAAATATAGAACTATCAGTGCACTGTGAAGAACTGCTCACTCAGCTGGCTTGACTGGGGCCTAGTGGCCACTCGAGCATAGTCTGGTACTCACTGTTCACAAACATTTCCATCTTACTCTTTGCACAATTACACTTATCACTCACTCTGAAATTAGGTATGGCTGTGTGATTTGACACGACATCTGTCAAATCATGATATCTGTTACATCTAAACAGAAACTGTAGGTACCAATGTGCAACTTGTCACATTGCCTTTTTTCTGCCCTGATGATGGTGGAAGTACCTGTTGAGATGGAGCATCTGTCAGTTTGGGTATCTGAGTGACTACAATGCAAAGAGCTCTGGAATGTGAGGTGCAGAGAATCACCCCAGGAGCTGCAGAACGAAGCTTGGGGCCAGGCAGCCAAAACCAAAGCCAATGCTTCATAGAGTGTGAGAAATAAACTTTTGTTGAACCACTATCATTTTAATTACTATAGAATAATTACTTTATTAGTTTGCTAGTATTTCATGATATAGTACCATAAACTTAGTATGTGTATTAGTCCATTTTCACACTGCTGACAAAGACATATTTGAGACTAGGCAATTTACAAAAGAAAGAGGTTTAATTGGACTTACAGTTCCACGTGGCTGGGGAAGCCTCACAATCATGGTGGAAGGCAAGGAGGAGCAAGTTACATCTTAGGTGGATGACAGCAGGCAAAGAGAGAGAGCTTGTGCAGGGAGACTCCCCCTTGTTCTTGAAAAAATAAAAACGGAAGCTCAGATTTGTATGCAAGAATTATTTCAAGGTTATTTATAATAAAATGAAAATACATTTAATATTCAACCTTAGAGGACTAGATAATAAACAAAACAGGTCTGTACTGTGGACAGTTATATAGCCATTAAAAATGATATTTTTGGAGGTGGCCGGCAATATGGCCAAATAGGAACAGCTCCCAGTGAGATCAATGCAGAAGGTGGACGATTTCTGCATTTCCAACTGAGGTACCCGGCTCATCTCACTGGGACTGGTTAGACAGTGGGTGCAGCCCATGGAGGGCGAGCCAAAATGGGGTGAGGCATAGCCGAAGCAGGGCGAGGCATTGCCTCACCCAGGAAGTGCAAGGGGTTGGGAAACTTCCTCCCCTAGCCAAGGGAAGCCTTGAGGGACTGTGCCATAAGGAATGGTGCATTCCAGCCCAGATACTATGCTTTTCCCATGGTCTTCGCAACCTGCAGACCAGGAGATTCCCTCAGATGCCTACACCACCAGGGCCCTGGGTTTCAAGCACAAAACTGGGCAGCTGAAGTGCAGACACTGAGCTAGGTGCCGGAGGTTTTTTTTATACCCCAGTGGAACCTGGAATGCCAGTGAGACAGAACCGTTATAAATGGGGAGTCGCTGAGAAACCTAGTCCACGGCCAGGCCACCAGCTGTAGCCTTCCAGTACACATGCCCCTCCTCAGCTCAGACAACTTAGTGCTCTATGCACTTGCTGCTGTGCAGAGGACCTCAACACTTCTAGAATGCAGTACAGAAGTTGCCATTTACATCTTTAAGGTCCTAGACATGTGGCAGCTTATTTGCTAACTGAAGTCGCCATAGTGATCAGTCATTGGATGCAGGCCACCCTGGGAAAGGGTGTGACATTGGAGGAGGTAGCTTTCTGCAGAGGGGACACTGGAGGCCATAAAGGCAATTTGAGTAATAAAAAGTACAGTGAGCTAGGAATATGAAGATCCAACTTCTGGTTCCATTTCTGCTCAGTGATTCTAAACAAACCACAAGTCACTTTTGCTCTCACTGCTGCATTCTCCTCTACTGAAGTGAGAGATCTCTAAAGATCCTGCCAACCCCAAAAAGCAGTTAAATTTTCCTTCAACCTCAACTTCTTCCAAATCCCATGTTATATTTCTCAAAGACAGGAACATGTTTTAACTACTTACATTTTTGGTGTCTTTTCCATTGTCTGTAGATTCTCAATAAATTTTAAGGCCCTACATAATAATATGATAGCTTATAGTGACTGAATAACAGCCACAATAAAAATAACAAAATCTTTTTCTCTCATTATTAGCTTTTGCTAAGTCAAATAGCTTATTAGAAGTGATCACACTCAGTTTTGTGCTCCACGCATGAAGTAGCATCCCAGAAAAAAACTGCTGTCCTATTCCACACTACACCTTAAACCCTAGCTGGATGTGTTGAACAAGTATGTTTTTGACTGCAAGAGACTGAAAAACAGAGGGAAGGAGGGAGGGAGGGAGAAGACAGAGGAAACTCAGTAATTATGTTAGTGTCTCTCTCTCTCTCTCTCTCTCTCTCTCTCTCTCTCTCTCCCTCTCTCTCTCTCATGAGACGGGGTGGAGAGTTTGGGGCAAATGATGTTGGTCTGAAAACTATGGAGAAAGTTTATCTCAGGCAGAAATGGGAAGAAGTTTGAGGCGTGATAGAAGAGTCTGCTGGGAAAAATGACTTGAAGTAGCCATGTGCTAGACACAAGGATGCACTGCCCAGCTCCCACATCAGTGAAGCCCCATTGCCCCAGCTCCTGAGAATGTCATGGGCCAATAGCCTTCAACTGTCAGCCCCTTTAGGGAGGTTTTTTTATACCCCAGTGGAACATGGAATGCCAGTGAGACAGAACCATTCACTCCCCTGGAAAGGGGGCTGAAGCTAGGGAGCCCAATGGTCTAGTTCAGCAGATCCCACGCCCATGGAGCCCAGCAAGCTAAGATCCACTGGCTTGAAATTCTCGCTGCCAGCCCAGCAGTCTGAAGTCAACCTGGGATGCTTGAGCTTGGCACAGGGAGGGGCATCTGCCATTACTGACGCTAGAGTAGGTGATTTTACCCTCACAGTGTAAACAAAGCCACCAGGAAGTTCGAACTGGGCAGAGCCCAGCGCAGCTTGGCAAAGCTGCTGTAGCCAGACTGCCTCTCAAGTTTCCTCCTCTCTGGGCAGGGCAACCCTGAAAGAAAGGCAGCAGTCCCTGTCAGGCGCTTATAGATCAAACTTCCATCTCCCTGGGACAGAGCACCTGGGGGAAGGGGTGGCTGTGGGTGCAGCTTCAGCAGACCTAAATGTTCCTGCCTGCTGGCTCTGAAGAGAGCAGCCAATCTTTCAGCACAGCATTCAAGCTCTTATCAGAGCCTCCCCAAGTGGCTCTGATCACACTGCCTCCCCAAGTGGGTCCCTGACCCCCGTGCATCCTGATAGGCAGATACCTCTCAGCAGGGGTTGACAGACACCTCATACAGGAGATCTCTGGCTGGCATTTGCTGGGTGCCCCTCTGGGACGAAGCTTCCAGAGGAAGGAAAAGGAAGCAATCTTTGCTGTTCTGCAGCCTCCGCTGGTGATACCCAGGCAAACAGGGTCTGGAGTGGACCACCAGCAAACTCCAGCAGACCTGCAGCAGAGAGGCCTTACTGTTAGAAGGAAAACTAACCAACAGAAAGGAATAGCATCAACATCAACAAAAAGGATGTCCACACAAAAACCCCATCTGAAGGTCACCAACATCAAAGGTAGATAAATCAATGAAGATGAGGAAAAACTAGCACAAAAAGGCTGAAAATTCCAAAAACCAGAACACCTCTTCTCCTCCAAAGTGTCACAACTCCTCACCAGCACGGGAACAAAACTGGACAGAGAATGAGTTTGACAAATTGACAGAAGCAGGCTTCAGAAGGTGGGTAATAACAAACTCCTCTAAGCTAAAGCAGCTTGTTCTAACCCAATACAAGGAAGCTAAGAACCTTGAAAAAAGGTTAGACGAATTGCTAACTAGAATAACCAGTTTGGAGAAGGACATAAATGACCTGATGGAGCTGAAAAACACAGCACGAGAACGTTGTGAAGCATACACAAGTATCGATAGCCGAATCAATCAAGCAAAAGAAAGGACATCAGACACTGCAGATCAACTTAATGAAATAAAGTGTGAAGGCAAGGTTAGAGAAAAAAGAATGAAAAGGAACGAACAAAGCCTCCAAGAAATACGCGAATATGTGAAAAGACCAAACCTACATTTGATTGGTGTATGTGAAAGTGACGGGGACAATGGAACCAAGTTGGAAAACACTCTTCGGGATATTATCCAGGAGAACTTCCCCAACCTAGAAAGACAGGCCAACATTTAAATTCAGGAAATACAGAGAATACCACAAAGATACTCCTCAAAAAGAGCAACCCCAAGATACAGAATCATCAGATTCACCAAGGTTGAAATGAAGAAAAAATGTTAATGGCAGCCAGAGAGAAAGGTTGGGTTATCCACAAAGGGAAGCCCATAAGACTAACAACAAAGATCAAAAGAGACAAAGAAGGCCATTACATAATGGTAAAGAGACCAATGCAACAAGAAGAGCTAACTATCCCACCCAATATGTATATATATATGCACCCAATACAGGAGCAGCCAGATTCATAAAGCAAGTTCTGAGAGACCTACAAAGAGACTTAGACTCCCACAAAATAATAGTGGGAGACTTTAACACCCCACTGTCAATATTGGATAGATCAATGGGACGGAAAATTAACAAGAATATTCAGGACTTGAACTCAGCTCTGGACCAAGCGAACCTAATAGACATCTACAGAACTCTCCACCCCAAATCAACAGAATATACATGCTTCTCAGCACCACATCACACTTATTCTAAAATTGACCACATAATTGGAAGTAAAACACTCCTTAGCAAACGCAAAACAGCAGAAATCATAACAAACAGTCTCTCAAACCACAGTGCAATCAAATTAGAACTCAGGATTAAGAAATTCACTCAAAACCACACAACCACATGGAAACTGAACAACCTACTCCTGAATGACTGCTGGGTAAATAGTGAAATTAAGGCAGAAATGAACAAGTTCTTTGAAACCAATGAGACCCAAGACACAGCATACCAGAATCTCTGGGACACAGCTAAAGCAGTGTTTAGAGGGAAATTTATAGCACGAAATGCCCACAGGAGAAAGCAGGAAAGATCTAAAATCCACACCCTAACACCACAATTAAAAGAACTAGAGAAGCAAGAGCAAACAAATTCAAAACCTAGCAGACGACAATAAATAACTAAGATTAGAACAGAACTGACGGAGATAGAGACACACACACACACACAAAAATCCTTTAAGAAATCAATGAATCCAGGAGCTGGTTTTTAGAAAAGATTAATAAAATAGATAGACTGCTAGCCAGACTAATAAAGAAGAAAAGAGAGAAGAATCAAATAGACACAATAAAATATGATAAAGGGGATATCACCAATGATCACACAGAAATACAAACTACCATCAGAGAATACTATAAACACCTCTATGCAAATAAACTAAAAAATTTAGAAGAAATGGATAAATTCCTGGACACATACACCCTCCCAAGACTAAACCAGGAAGAAGTCGAATCCCTGAAGAGACCAGTATCAAGTTCTGAAATTGAGGCAGTAATTAATAGCCTACCAACCAAGAAAAGCCCTGGGCCAGGCAGATTCACAGCCAAATTCTACTAGAGGTACCAAGAGGAGCTGGTACCATTACTTCTGAAACTATTCCAAACAATAGAAAAGGAGGGAATCCTCCCTAACTCATTTTATGAGGCCAGCATCGCCCTGATACCAAAACCTGGCAGAGACACAACAAAAAAAGAACATTTCAGGCCAATATCCTTGATGAACATCGATGCGAATATCCTCAATAAAATACTGGCAAACCAAATCCAGCAGCACATCAAAAACTTATCCACCATGATCAAGTTGGCTTCATCCCTGGGATGCAAGGCTGGTTCAACATACGCAAATCAATAAACATAACCCATCACATGAACAGAACCATCAACAAAAACCACATGATTATCTCAATAGATGCAGAAAAGGCCTTCAACAACATTCAACACCCCTTCATGCTAAAAACTCTCAATAAACTAGGTATTGATTGAATGTATCTCAAAATAAGAAGAGCTATTTATGAAAACCCACAGCCAATATCACACTGAATGGGCAAAAACTGGAAGCATTCCCTTTGAAAACCAGCACAAGTCGAGGATGCCCTCTCTCACCACTCCTATTCAACACAGGAGTTGTGAACAGGGCACATTGGAAGTTCTTGCCAGGGTAATCAGGTAAGAGAAAGAAATAAAGGGTATTCATATAGGAAGAGAGGAAGTCAAATTGTCTTTGATTTCAGATGACATGATTGAATATTTAGAAAACCCTATGGTCTCAGCCCCAAATCTCCTTAAGCTGATAAGCAATTTCAGCAAAGTCTCAGGACACAAAATCAATGTGCAAAAATCACAAGCATTCCTATACACCAATAACAGACAAACAGAGAGCCAAATCATGAGTGAACTCCCATTCACAATTGCAACAAAGAGAATAAAATACCTAGAAATACAACTTACAAGGGATGTGAAGGACCTCTTCAAGGAGAACTACAAACCACTGCTCAAGGAAATAAGAGAGGACACAAACAAATGGAAAAACATTCCATGCTCATAGATAGAAAGAATCAATATCATGAAAATAGCCATACTCCCCAAAGTAATTTACAGATTCAATGCTATCCCCATCAAACTACCACTGACTTTCTTCACAGAATTAGAAAAAACTACTTTAAATTTCATATGGAACCAAAAAAGAGACCCTATAGCCAAGACAATCCTAAGCAAAAAGAACAAAGCTGGAGGCATCACACTACCTGACTTCAAGCTGTACTACAAGTCTACAGTAACCAAAACAGCATGGTACTGGTACCAAAACAGATATATAGACCAATGGAACAGAACAGAGCCCTCAGAAATAACACTACACATCTGCAACCATCTGCTCTTTGACAAACCTGACAAAAGCAAGCAATCGGGAAAGGATTCCCTATTTAATAAATGGTGTTGGGAAAACTGGCCAGCCATATGCAGAAAACTGAAACTAGACCCCTTCCTTACACCTTATATAAAAATTAACACAAGATGGATTAAAGACTTAAACCTAAGACCTACAACCATAAAAACCCCAGAAGAAAACCTAGGCAATACCATTCAGGACACAGGCATGGCAAATACTTTATGACTAAAACACCAAAAGCAATGGCAAAAAAAGCCAAAATTGACAAATGGGATCTGATTAAACTAAAGAGCTTCTTCACAGCAAAAGAAACTATCATCAAACAGGAATCCTACAGAATGGGAGAAAATTTTTGCAATCTATCCATCTGACAAAGGGCTAATATCCAGAACCTACAAAGAAGTTAAACAAATGTACAAGAAAAAAAAAAAAACCCCATCAAAAAGTGGGTGAAGGCTATTTACAGACACTTCTCCAAAGAAGACATTTATGTGGCCAACAAACATACGAAAAAAAGCTCATCATCACTGGTCATTAGAGAAATGCAAATCAAAACCACAATGAGATACCATCGCATGTCTGTTAGAATGGTGATCATTAAAAAGTCAGGAAACAACAGATGCTGGAGGGGATGTGGAGAAATAGGAAAGCTTTTACACTGTTGGTGGGAGTGTAAATTAGTTCAGCCATTGTGGAAGACAGTGTGGTGATTCCTCAAGGATCCAAAACTAGAAATCCCATTTGACCCAGCAATCCCATTACTGGGTATATATCCAAAGGATTATAAATTATTATACTATAAAGACACATGCACACGTATGTTTACTGTAGCACTATTCACAATAGCAAAGACTTGGAACCAACCCAAATGCCCATCAATGATAGACTGAATTAAGAAAATGTGGCACATATACACCATGGAATACTATGCAGCCATAAAAAAGGATGAGTTCATGTCGTTTGCAGGGACATGGATGAAGCTGGAAACCATCATTCTCAGCAAAGTAACACAGGAACAGAAAACCAAACACCACACTTTCTCACTCATAAGTGGGAGTTGAACAATGACAACACATGGACACAGGGAAGGGAAAATCACTCAGTGGGGCCTGTTGGGATGTGTGGGGATAGAGGAGGGATAGCATTAGAAGAATTACCTAATGTAGATGACAGATTGATGGGTGCAGCAAACCACTATGGCCCGTGTATACCTATGTAATAAACCTGCATGTTCTGCATATGTTCCCCAGAACTTAAAGTATAATAAAAAAAGATATTTTTGAAGAGTAAGTAAAGATATAATGATCATTATCTATGTTAAGCTATTAAATAGGATATAAAATTATATATATAATCATTTCATTCTAAAAGAAAATAAATATATGCATGAAGGTTACCTCAAGAAAATATGACAAAACATTTCAATTATTTAAAGTGATAGAATTAAGCAATATTTTTTGTTCTTGCTAAGTTTCTAATTTCCCAAATTTCAGGAATGAAATTGCCTTGCTTAAAAAAACAGAAAAAACAATCCGTATGTATTTTTTTTTTTTAGAGCTTAGAATATTGCTTTCAAGTGCTTCCAGCATGTTCAGGGCGGCCTTTCATAAGTATTACTAGTACACAATAAAAAGTTCTTATTTTTTGTGAAAAAAGGCATAATTTGTTGGCTTGATTTGTATGTCTGCCTGGATCTGAAAGTTGTAGAATTTATAAAATAATTTAATCATTCACACTTTGGACCATTTTAGACCACATTCCAACTTGTCTGCATTTTCTGAATCATCAAAAGTTTGTGTGGATCTTGTTTGGATCCTGATTCAGTTAAAACAACCAGAGAATGATATTGTTGAGACCATTATGGAATATGTCCTGTACTGGCTAGTATGTGATGTTAAGGAATTATTATTTTGTTAAATGTGAAAATGACATTTTGTGTAGTGTTTTTTTTTTTTTTTTTTTTTTCGAGACAGAGTCTTGCTCTGTCGCCCAGGCTGGGAGTGCAGTGGCGCGATCTTGGCTCACTGCAACCTCTGTCTCCCAGGTTCAAGTGATTCTCCTGCCTCAGCCTCCCAAGTAGTTGGGACTAAAGGCACGTGCCACAATGCCTGGCTAATTTTTTGTATTTTTAGTAGAGATGGGGTTTCACCGTGTTAGCCAGGATGGTCTCGATCTCCTGAACTTGTGATCCGCCCACCTCAGCCTCCCAAAGTGCTGGGATTACAGGAGTAAGCCACTGTGCCTGGCCTGTAGTGTTTTTTTTGTTTTGTTTTTTGTTTTAAGGGTCACCTCTGAAAAATTTACAGATGACATGATGTGATGTAAGGTGGAAGATCAAAAAAATTGGCAGAATATTGGTGATTGGTACATCAGTATGTGGAGGTCATTCTATCACTTGCTTGACTTCTGTGCATGATTAAATTTTTTCTGTAACAAAAACAATTAAAAATAAATCTGAAAACAGAGTTTCACTGGGTTTGGGTGTCAGACAATCTGGTGCATTGAAAGTAAACAAAAAGACAAGGGGCCTGCCCAGAGGGAAGAACTGGGGAGGGAGGTAGGAAACCAGTGAGAGCACATCACCTGTCTGCCCATCATGTATCCTCTCAGCCCTGTGCCAATTTCCCCCAAGGCCCATAGGAAGTTTACTGCTTAGAATCCCCAGTGAGCTGCCTCAAATTTGGGATTAGGAAGAACAATGTTTCCCCATTAGTGTGGAAAGTAATTTCTATTCTTGGTGTGTGGCATTTTCCCCTGTCATTGCAAGCACCTCTGCTTTAGGCCTTGGTCCCTGGAATTGCAACTTTATTTACCTGTAAAGCAAGGAGATGAGCCAATAGAAATGAATTATGCCTATCATTACTGAGAAGTCAGCAAAATCTAGAGGAGCCTCGAAAAAGGAGACCGTCTATCTACAGTTCAGCTATATGGGTCAGCAGGCATTTGAAATCCAACACATAGACGAAGAAAATCATAAAGGCTGAACTTAGGGGAAGAGTGAGGAATCTGTCTAATGGATGCAGTCTTCTTTGTTACCGTAAGGTTAGACTCCCTATGGTTGCTTATTTTCAGGTTTATTTGTTTTGAAAAAGACTGATGAGAGTTAATAAGTTAAAATACATAAAGTAGGTACAATTAGGTTTTTAAAGTTCTTTGCAAAGTCAACAAAACAGGCAAACTACTCAAAAGAAATAAAAGGAGAAAGCACAATTACACGAAGTAAGAAATGACAAAAGGGAAATTTCTGTTGAAAGAAAGGAAATCTTTAACACCTAAAAGATTATTTTAAACAATTCTATGGCAATAAATAGAAAACCTAGATGAAATGGATAATTTTCTAGGAAAATATAATTTCTCAAAATTGAATGGAGTAAAGGTCAAAGAGAAAACATTATAGAGAAAATTACGAAGGAGCTACAACTCCCCCAAAGCACCAGGCTCATATGATTTCACAGAGATTCTACCCAACCTCCAGAAAGCATATACACCCAATGCTGTTTGAATTTTTCCGGAGCAGAGGTAAAGAAGGATAACTTCCAATACTTTTAATCAAATGAATAAAGCATCAATAGCTAAACTCAATAAATATTGCTTTAAAAAGTACATGTGGAAATTTAATATTTGATAAAGATGACATGTCAAGCCACTTAGGAAAATAGCCGTGTTCAGAACAAGTACCGAAACAACTGATAAACGATTTGGAAAAACTTAAAATAGAATCCATACTTTACACTATACACTAAGATAAACTCCAAATAGATCAGCAACCTAACTGCAAAAAAAAAAAAAAAAAAAAAAAAAAAAAAAAATAGAAACCATGCAGTATTTGAAGAAAACATAGATGAATTCATCTATTAACTGGGAATGGGGAAAATATAAAAATAATATTATTAAATCAAATATATTAAAATAAAAATATTTTACATAGCAAAAAACATCATAATCAAATTGAAAAGAAAAAGGTTCAACTGGGAGTAAATACTTGCTATTTACACTACAAAAAAATGACTATTCTCCCCAACAATATAAAGAGCTCTTAAAAATCTAGAGGAAGACTGGAAGCCTATGAAAATGTTGAGCAAAAGACCTGAATGAATACTTCTGACAAAAATAAATGTAAATAGCAATTAAATGAACCAAAGATCCACAAACTTCATTCAGGTGGGAAATATAAATAAAACTTCACTGATAAAACATTTCTCAGATTGGCAAAGAATTCAAAAGTTTGGCAATATACTCTGTTGTTGAGGGAATAGAGAGGGATACATGCGGTTCGGAGTGGAAAACTCCATATGAAGATTAATTTGGCAAAATCTAATAAAATTATGTGAGAATTTAACCTTCAACTCAGCAATTCCACTTTTAGACTCTATTCGGTAGATATAACTCCAGAAAGACAAAATAACATATGCACAATGTTATTCATTGTGGTACTTTTTGTAATATCAAAAGATTCTAAACAACTCAAACGTCTACTAATATAGAACTGGTTGAATATAGTTATTTCCACACAATGGTGTACTCCCTAGCTGTAGAAAAAAAAAAAGAAAAAAATCTCTATGTACTAATATGGAGTATTTGGCTGAAAACAGCAAGATGCAGAATGATGTATGTAAGTATGCTTCTTCTGTGTTACAAAGGAAGCAAAAAATGATAGGTGGATAACAGATAAATAGTAGAGAGCAAGATTTGCTGATTTGCTTATTATTTTCCAAATGAAACACTAGAAAAATAAATCAGAAGCTAACAAAAGAGGCTGTCTTATGTGAGAAAGAGAGTGGGAGGAATAAGGAAGGAAACAGTACTTCTCTGGGGATTCTTTTGTATATGGTTTTGAACCACACAAACGTGTCCATGTGCTAGAAGACCTCACTTAAAGCTCCATGATGTGCTGCCATGACATCTGATAAGATCAGGAGGGCCTTGCACCGTAAGTTCCCCTCCTGACTCTGCTTCTGCAGATAAGTTCCTCTAGCCAAGCAACCCTTCTTATGAAAGAGACAGACACAGTTCCTGCTTATTCCTGAGCAGAGGGTTTTGGTTCCCCACCAGTCCACAGAATTATTCAAACACACATCTTCCTATGGGAACCCGGGGCACTTTGCCCCCTTGGTACTACAAAGCCTGCCTCCCACAGCTCCTGGCTGTTCACTCTATTCCTGAGTACTATCCCTGTGTGACCCTCCCTGTGTGGCCCTGCATGGTGTGCTGTGGACTGCTCCCCCAGGCCATGAGTATACATCACTAATAAACTGCTGCCAATCTCCTTTGCCCAGGGTCAGATCATGTGTGATCAGCCACCCCCATAACCCTACGGTGGGAGTCTGTCCCTCACCAGTGGGGTGAATAGGAGATGATTAAAGCATTTACATATTAAAAGCAAAATAAAACTTTAAAATAGCCAAACTATCAAACTGAAAACAAACTAAAAAAAGGAACCTGAGAGTGTAACAAATTGGTAAGGTAAAGAATTACTTCAGTTCAGTTGACTTTTCACTGTTCATTTTAGTGGAATATGTTCCAAGATTTAATGGTATTAGCACTATAATTTTGAATTAACTTATGTATTTGTAGGATAGAGAAAGCTAGGAAACATATTATTAAGGTCCAAGATTTTCAGTGGGAATGAAGAGATACAAAGAAGTTTAGAAAAAATGTGATATTAAATTTTAATTAGAAATATCGATGAAAATTCATGATTTTCAAAACGACATATACTATATATATAGTGTCTCTGTCCATTGAAAGGGTTTCAAGCAATGTCATTCTGGTAGTAATAAGCACTGATAGTCCAATTATCTTGATTTTCATATACTATTCTCCAGTTACAGGAACCAAGGCTTCTTAGAGAAATGGCTAGAGTAAGTACAAGTACAGAACATTGTATTGTTCCAGAAAGCACAGAAGTCCTCAATTGTCACACGCATGCCAACTGAGAGGAGGTATCACTGGTAATATCTGGAATAATTTAAAGATCAAAAGAATAATGACTGTAATTCATCGAACACATTAAATAAATAAAAGTCCATGGTTATACTCCAAAGGGGGGTGGGGAAACTAATTTGCTACCATTAAAGGTGACATATCATCCCCTTATTCAGAAAGTTAGTTATTAAAGAGTAACTAAAATTTATCCTCCATTTTCAGGAGACATTACAGTTTGTCCTCAGTTGATGAGGTGGAAGTTTTAAAACAATTTTTTTTTCTAACAGAGAAGAATGCTAGATAATGAGTGTAGGAGGAATGAGAGAATTAGAAAATTACCCATATTGCAATCTCCAGTAAGCTAATTTATTGAGGCAAGGATTAACGATAAATACTAAAACCAGTAAGTAAAACGTTGGTAGGAAACAGGACATTTGCTCTGTGCCAGGTGACCTGGCAATGGCAAAGGGAAAACATAATTTCTATAGTGGAAAGATCTGACTGTTATCCCCTTCACCTAGTGATCAAATTAGCATCTCTAATATTGAAGCAATGAGACACGTGCCTGCTAATATGATGCAATGTGAGCTATGTAGCATCATCTATGTAGTATCGTTACCCAAAGTATTTAACCTAAATCAGTTGTATAGCATTTTAAAATTGCTATGTCATTTAAAAAAAAGTGCTAGGTCAGAAAAAAAATCAATGCATGACTTTATCTTACTTGGAAGAAACTAGTAGAGATGATATTTTTGGGACAATAGACAAAATTTAATTATGCATCAGGTATTTGATAGAAAATTATTAAATTTAGGTGCAGTAACGGTATTATGGCAAAAGGGAATTTTCTTATTTTTAGAAGATACAGGCTCAATTATTTATGATAAAAGGATCATGATATTTGCAAATTATTTTGAGATGGTTCAGCAAATGTTAGATGACAGAGCAAATATAGCAAAATGGTAATAATTTTAAAAATGTGGGTGGTGGGTATGTAACATTGATTCACTATTCTTTCAACTTTTCTGTGTAAATGAAGATTTTTATAATAAAAATTAGAAAAGATATTTGAGATATTTGTCATTTTACATCATCTACTTTAATTTAAACACAACAGAGTCCCTTTAACTTCCGAGTAAGACTTGGTGTAGTTTGCAGCTGACCTGTGTTCCCACTGAGAAAAACTAAATGAACTGGGTAAAATTCAAAAATCCTCTGTTTAAA
Source organism: Homo sapiens (assembly GCF_000001405.40). Taxonomy (NCBI): domain Eukaryota; kingdom Metazoa; phylum Chordata; class Mammalia; order Primates; family Hominidae; genus Homo; species Homo sapiens. The sequence continues at coordinate 106,504,370 of NC_000007.14, forward strand.
GATTGCTGATGCAATAGGGATGAGAGGGCACAGGACTCCAGAACAAGGATAACGGTGGCAAAGTGTGCTGACTCTGCAGGCTTTTGTCCTTGGGGGTATGTGCCAAATCTGGGCTCAGGACAAGAAGCTGAGCACCTAGACTTTGAGCACAGGGCCACTGATGGGGACAGAGATCCAGAGAGAATTTGGGTGGTCTCATGGGGCTGACAGACAAAACTAAAGCCGGGGAGCCTGATGTCCAAGTAGGAAGGGAAGGTGTATTAGTTCATTCTTACACTGCTAATAAAGAGATACCCAAGACTGGGAAATTTATAATGGAAAGAGGTTTAATTGACTCACAGTTCCACATGGCTGAGGAGGCCTCACAGTCATGGCAGATGGTGAAAGAAGAGCAAAGTCATGTCTCACATGGCAGCAGGCAAGAGAGTATGTGCAGGGGAACTCTCCTTGATAAAACCATCACATCTCATGAGACTTGTGCACTATCTTAAGAACAGCATGGGAAAATCCCACCCTCATGATTCAATTACCTCCCACTGAGTTCCTCCCATGACACACGGGGATTATGAGAGCTACAGTTTAAGATGAGATTTGGGTGGGGACACAGCCAAACCACATCAGAAGGGTAGAGAAATGGGCCTAACACATGGACTGTTTTCTCCCCAAGACATTCACAGAATTCTGAAGCTGGGACACTAGGCTAAACATCTAAGAAGAAAACCTCTGAAAAGTTGGGCAGGGTTTTCTGCAGTCTCACAGTAATGCAGATGAACATTAGAGTTCAAGACTTCCAGAGGAAGGTGCTCCAGTGAAACACACCAGTCTCACAGTCAAAAGACCTTGAAAACTATACTTCAGGAACAGAATAGAATCAGAGGTAGGCACAGCCTTTCAAGAACGGCAACAAGCTCAACTCTTTCTAGTCACTGATTGGTTTAATGGGATCAGTTATCCCTGTATCTCCTGAGCAGAAGACAGGATAAATCTTCTCTGAGGGAAGTTTTTATCTGGATCCTTTACAATGGGTGCCACAGGTCTTAAATTCCGTATTTGGATGACAATGCCCAGAAGCATAAAAATAAACATTCTTCCTTTGTGCCCCTTTTTGAAGAACAAGGAAAACTTTCCCATCCCTAAGCCTTCCAGCTGACTTCTACTCACCTCTCTTTGCCCATGTCTAGTGCAGTCATTTGACAAGGGTAATGAGATGACCATAAGTGGCTTCAACCAATTAAGGTTCACATCCCTCTCACCCCCAGTGGAGCTGGAAAAGGACCCAGGCTCTTTTAAAAGATAAGACTTCTTAGAAGAGGATTAACCCAATCATGGCTTTATTAGCAAGGAGGGAGGGAATGGCAATTGAGTAGACAATCAAAAATATTGCCAAGTAATTTATCAGCTATCAGCATATGACCTTGGGCAAGCTATTTTATCTCTCTGAGTCACACTTTTCTCATCTATAAAATTCAGTGTTCTCACTCATAGGTGGGAATTGAACAATGAGAACACATGGACACAGGAAGGGGAACATCACACATTGAGGACTGTTGTGGGGTGGGGGGAGTGGGGAGGGACAGCATTAGGATATATACCTAATGCTAAATGACAAGTTAATGGGTGCAGCACACCAACATGGCACATGTATACATATGTAACAAACCTGCACGTTGTGTACATGTACCCTAGAACTTAAAGTATAATAATAATAAAATAAAATAAAAAATAAAAAAATAAAATTCAGATGATAATAATACCTCAAAAGTCTTCCATATGTATTAATAAGACATGTTTTCTAATTTAAAAAAACTTGCCAATTGTCTAGTATATTTTTAGTGCTCCAGTGATGTTGAATATTACTATTCTATCATGGTTTTGAATCCCTTTTTAAGGCATGTTTCAGTTGTTGTGGTCTTTTACGCATGACACCCCAACTTCAACCTATTTGTCAAGCATCTACTGAACAGCCCAGACAGCAGGACTAGTATCTATTTCATTCTTGCTTTTCTATATGCTACTCTAGAAACTGACACCCTGACACCTGGGTGCATGGTCAGGAAGATGGGCCAGCAAGGTATGAGCTGAAACCCACTGGGGATTCACCATTGCCCTCTAATACCCATTCATTCTCTGATCCTCAAATTCTGCCTCTAACAATTTTCTAATTTATGACTTTTAAACCTCTTGGGTTGAGGGATTCAGACATGAACCAGTGAATATAAGCATCCACAGGATAAATCTGGCACATGTTCCAAGAGTTCCATTTTTCCTATAAGATTTGCAGTGGGTAGGGATGTAGAGCTAAATAATAAGATTTACACATCGATCAAATTTAATAAAGTAATCTAAAATAGTATGTTATTTTAACATCAACATAAACAGAATATGGAGAATAAAACAAAATTGTTGTGGATTATACAAATTAGAATGTAAGACTCGAAGAAGATTTCCTTTTGGAGTGGCTGATCAAACATCTTCCACTCCCTTTAGGGTTTTTGCTATAGAAAACATTAGAAGCATCATGCTTCAGATTAAATATAGATTCTGGACTCTTTTTAAAAATGCAAATGCTAAACTCCCTATTGTGTTTAGCAGATAATTTTTCTCTTTGATTAACAGAAGTGATGGGGAAGCATGCTGGCAATGCCTACCTGTGGGAGAGGTAGCAATCCCCCAAAAGCTGGAATAAATGGTCTCAGATAAGGGAGGGAGGGAGCAGTAGACACAATTTTGCCTAGGGCCACAGTCTAGATTTGGTGAAATCCCACAGTGATGAGACAACAGGAAGCAGAGGCTGAGTATGGATTTTGGTATCAAGTAATGTGGTGGTGCCCCTGGTCAATGTAAGGTAAGCCTTAGTTCTTCCTATTGCCCAGTGGACAAAACAGAAACTCCTCTATTGTGTTTGTGGTGAGAATCAAGTTAAGGAAGATAATGTGGACAAAGTATTTAGCACAGTTCTGTTGCATAAAGTTTATTATTTCCTGGTGCAAAGTATTTAGCACAGTTCCTGATACATATTTATAAATGTGATATAAACTATAAGCCTACATTACTGACTTGAGAGCTCAAAAAGCCTCTTTCTGTAATTATTGAAGCCAATGTCTACGAGTGGTGATTCTGTGATCACTAGTATGTTATTTCTGTCTTACAAGGGTGAAGGGGGAACATGCCCTACTGTTATAATCCTAAGAACACCAGGGGCATATTTTATGCAAGGGATTATCCCAAGAATGGGGCAGTTTGGTCTTATCCTCAGTCACGTAGCTAATTACTATTGGTAAACCAAGTCAACAGAGGAGAGATGATCCCTTTGCTACTTAGTTGTTATAACAACATGAGCTGGATAAGAAGATAGTGGGGCTAACAAAGATAAATCAGACATAGACCTGCTTTTTAAATAATTTAGCTTCCAGATGGGAAGGTGAGACATGAGTCTCACTAACTCCTGGGCTCTAATAAAGTGCTAAGTTCTCAAAGTTAAATGTAAATTACCATGGGAGTTAAAAAGAAACCACAAGTTGTCCCTACTTCAAAGTCAAACTATTTACAAAGGAAAGGGATCAAGACTTAATGGAGGACTGTTTTAGTCAAATGATTACAGTTATAAGGAACAGAAACACACTTGGTTCACTTCAAGTAAGGCTGCCATTTTTGAAATTCTTAATTTTTGAACAAAGAACCTCCCATTTTCATTTTTTACTGGGCCCTGCAAATTATGTAGCTGGTCTTCAATGGAACCCAGGGTTCAGGAAAGCAGGTTGGGAAGAGGAAGGGTCTATGAGCACAAGATAATCATCCTTGTAGTCCTGGCTCCTACCATGCACACCCACCGCTCCTACCACTGCCAACTAATTAACTCACCCTACACTGAACATATCTTGTGTGTGTTGCTTAATTATGGCTTTTGCTTGCTGAAAACTTCTCAAAGACCTATGGCCTCATGGCCTCTTTTCCTGCCTTCTACAAACTTGCAGTTCCTCCTTTAGCTCACATTAAAGCTGCCCAAGAGGGAATATGATTGGTCCAGTGTAGTCAGATCCCTAGTGGGCAAAGCTGTCTTCTGCTCACCTCAGAATCTGCTGGTCCATGCTCCAGGGCCAGCCCAGTTAGCAGTGGCAGAGGAAGAAGGGGGGCACAGATTACAAGGCTGGGGAGTTACAACATGTGACCATTTGCACTACTTCCCTCAGAAGTAGAGTTATAGGTGGGAATCTCTGTAGAAAGGACTGTAGATGTGGCCAGAGTCCTAAGACCTGGCATATCTGGAAAAGGGAGATCACATTTTGGATTGCCTTGAAAGATCAGTAAGCTATAGACACATGCAGATGGGCAGTAAGGTATTTCAAGGGGGCTGAGACATAGAGACAGGGAAGTACCAGCCTAGGAAACAGGGTGGCTGCAACCAAGGGTATGTGAATGGAGAACTTAACACACAGCTAAGGGATCTTAATTTTATTTGGTTTGCAATGATAGAATGAATAGAAACCAATAGCGAGAGTTATCTTAATTTTTACTTCTTTGCCCCTAGGAAAGTCACTACAAAGCACTCTGACAAATCCCCATGGCGTAAGCTCATTGGGTTGAGGGCTCATCTATCTCTGCTTCTCCCTGGCTTTCCCATCTGTGTGAAGAACACAGGCTGCCCGCCAGCCAGGGAACAGATACTCAATCTGGCTGGAAGCTCCTCTGCCTTCTTCCAGAAACTGAAATTGGACACAGCTACAAACACGAGGCACCTTCTAAGCACAGGTCCCCAAGGGTCTCAGTGCCTCTTCGGGGATGTCTTATCTGACAACAAACTGCAAGGGTCCAGCTAAATGGTGTTGGTGTTACAGCATTCTAGGGTTTCTCCAAGTTACTTGGCTTTATTTCCACCCAACCACCTGCAAAAATGCTTTTCTGTAGCAGGAAAAAGTCTCCTGAAATTCAACCTGTTTTTGTTTCCTCAAACATTTCTGTGCATGAGGTAGTGCAGTGAGGGAATTAAATACTGCAGTTCAATTTCATTTGCAGCTGCTGGGCTGGGACCTGGGGATACACAGTGAATAAGACCTGCCTCTATTTTTGTGGCTCTCACAGCCTCAGTGAGGATAAAGGACAATGCTAATGACAATGACTAACACGTGGCGTAACAAACTAGGCACTTGGCCCTGGTCTCCTGCTGGCAATAACTCATTTCATCCTCACAACACCCCTATAAGGTCAATACTACGTTTATTCCCATTTCACAGATGAGGACCACAAATGTACTATGCAATAATGAGAAAAGCTACACCAGAGATATGGATGAAGTGCTCTGAGAGCAAAGAGAGACTTGACAAATTTTGCGATTAAGTTTATGGTTTCACAAGGAAGTAACAACTGAGCTGACGCTTGAAATATCTAAAGGGTTTGTTTCTTCAAGCTAGAAAGGACAAGAGATGATTCCAGGCATAGGGAACAGCATAAGCAAAGGTGCAGAGGCACGGAGTATGTTCATCCTGGACTAGGCACATCTATTCTGGCTGAACCCAGAGTGCATAGCGCCTAGTCTATGGAGAGGGGCTGGCGTTGATGGCGGAGATTGGGAATATGACTCGAGCTCATGCATAGAAATTGGGACTATTCTATAGAGTACCAAGAAGTATCAGGTGCTTGGGGGATGAATAGCTCGAGCAGTTGTTTTTACAAGAAAGCTTTGGCAGAAGAAGGGAGAATAGAAGGGAAGTAGGGTTGGAGGAAATAAAGGACAATGGAAGAGCCAGGTAATGGTTTTCGTAACAGATTTGAACGGTTCAAACCGAAGCAGCGACAGGGGAGGAAATACATTCAACATACCCTCCAAGGGTAATGCCGACGGCTGGTATTGAGCCCTTGTAGGAAAAGGAAGACAGAATGCAAGGTGGTCAGAACTGAGTTGATGAAACAGGGGTGGGTAAATGTGAGGACACCTGAAGGAAAAAAGAGTAATTAAACGTTAGTGTGTTACCTGTTGACCACAAGATTAAAAGAAGCCCGATCAAAATGCCTTGCTTTGGCAGAGCGGACAGGAGATTGGGGAGCAGTGAAAGGACTCTGGAGGATGAGGACAAGGAGGGTGAGGAGATAAGAGAAGATGAAAGTGTGGGGTCAGAACAGGATAAATGTGAGCTGACACGAAGTGCAGGTGAAGGCCGGGAAAGCGGCCCTCCCTCAGCCCATGGAACTCCTCGCTCCAGCCACAGGGACCATGGCTGTTTCCAGGGGGAACCAGGAACAGGAAAGGAAAAGGAATGGGTGGACACAATCATAGTCCTTGGATGCTTAGGTTGGTGGGTAGTATCTCTCCGCTCGGAAAAAAATGAGACAGCATCTCCTTTCATCTCACTTCTCCAACCTTAGTCTAAGGCTCTCCTCATCAGCACAAAATGATGATGAGGGAAGGAGAGTGAGGAAAGGACCTTCATTTTTATTGCTATTGCAAGTGGCTGAGAGGGTTCACTCTTAAATCACAAAGTGAAAAAAAAGTTTTGAGTGGCAATTATGTAAAAACATTACAAGGCTTCCTACCTTCTTAAACAGTAAATGCATGCATACCTTAACTAATAAAAGTTTATATAAATGTATATTTGAAGTACTAATAATTATTCTGACAAATGGGATGTTTTCAGTAAATTGGCTGATATTATTAACAGCATTTTAAATTTTCTTGATCACTTAGGATTATGACTACAAAGATAAATGTGTCTACACTACAATGATGCCTTATGCTAAGGTATAGAAAGTTTCTGGCTCAGAGAAGTCCCTCCGTAAACAGGAGGCTACAATGGCTTGAGATGGTCACGCCATTGGAGGTCTTGAGTCTTCTTCAATAACACACGTTCTGCCTTCTCTATAGGATTAGCTTTCCTTGTTGCCTGTGCTCAGCACAGCATGAAGAGAGGAAGCATGGTCTAGCTGGGTACCAAGGATGTTGCAAGAGATCCGGGGCCACAGAGTAGGAGCCGGAGAAAACCCAGAGAAGCTGCTGACAACCATGCCAGTCCCCTGCCCACTCTGCCTCTTGCCTAGGTCTGACAAAACTGGAGAAATTAAATTCTTTTTCAGCTTTCATTTTCTTCATCCCCACAACAGACACCAGTGTGGTAAGCACAAAGTCAGCAGGTCTGACTTACAAGAGGCTGAACACCCTGTTTTACAAATGTTTGTGAAACCAAAATAACTCATCTTTAGTGGCCAAATTTTAACAATTATAAACAGCTTTCTACTTTTAGAGTCACTGGCAAAATTTTTGTTTTTCAGGTTCCACTATTGAGAAACATTTTTCCAAAAATACAAACAATATATGTGTGTTATAGGAAATACAAATACGCACAAAGAAGAAATTAATTCACCCATAATCTCATTCCCCAATGAAAACCACTAATATAACATGTTATGGTCTTTACATATAGACATTCATTTTTTCTTATTTTTTGGAATCATATACTTTATACTACTTGCAATTATTTTTTTCTGACCTGTATTTTGTGTCTACATTAATAAGACAATGAATATAATTTTACATCCTTTTTATTACATAATATTTTCCTATTGAATATTAAAAGTGACTATTTTATTCTAATCTGATCATATTCATTTACACTTTTCCACCTTAAATTTCATTTTCTGTATCCTCACCCTCTTGAGTCCTTCATACCAATCTGTGCTTTTACTTGCCCAGGTCAATAGGACCTGTGTGTTTCATCCATGGGCCAGTACTTCCCTCTTTTTAGGAAAGTCCAGGCTCGCATTGATGCAGCCTGTGATCTTCCTCTTCCCACACCTCCAGCCACCTGCCCACTTCCCCAGACTGTCTCAGCTTCTGCTCACAGAACATGTTCATGTTCAGCCACCTAGCTCTTTTGAGAAGGGTAGCTTGTTAACAAGACCATAATGCTCCTGTTCACATAAAGCATGACACAGAGGAAAATCTTTCTTTTTTAGGCCATGCCTGCAAGTCTGATCTTTCCCAGTCATCTTTCTTGGTGGATCACAGTGTGTGTTCAACAAATGTTTGTTGAATGGATGAATGAATGAATGAATGAGTGAATGAATGAATTAGAGCTTTACATCTTGGAAGAAAAAAACATGATCTACTGTCAATTCCACATTATGATGGCTTTTCTCTATTTAAACCACTGATAAAGAAAGAGTGGTTGGCACACTCTTCTGCGTAAGAAGTATAAAGCAACTGATCATCAATATCATCTAATTATAGAGCTAAAAGGAGTATTAGAGTAATTACGCATAATAAATTATCCCTATTCTTATGAGATGTCAGATCTAAAGTCACTTTCTAGGTATTATTTTAACAATCATACCCCGGCCCAACACACACACATATCCTCTATCTCTACTTCTAAGCTCTTAAACCAGCTTCTATCATAACCTCAGCAAAGAGCTCCCATGATAGAGACTTACCTATTTTGGAATAACTTTGGATGTGGTTACAACCTTAATGAGAGTCATAATTTATAGGAATAGTAAGTCATCTAAATGTTAGAACAATTGACTGTAGAAAAAAAAGGTAGGTACTTTTAATCCATTTTACCTTACCTGGAAATCATTTATAATGTAGAATTTTACATCCACATGAGTCTTACTGTTATTTCCCATAGGTCAATAACTGGACTAACATTTCTAAATCTAGACATCTGTTGGCCTTGATGAACTGATAGAGACAAAATATTGGCTATTCAGAGAAGGTTGAAAAAAATGGAATATAGGATAAATCGTGCTGTCATCCTGGAATGGTGCCAGTTATTTGGAGTAGAATTTAAAATTATAAATCTTCACTCACAATTCCTCAACTCACAGCCTCCCCCAACAATTATTGGACAATATGATTTCTAAGAAAATTGTAGACTCTAAAATTTAATGATTATATATTTAAATTTTTATGTAAGATGACCTTAGATAATACAAAATAATATGTATATCAAGGAAATGAGGGGGAGATATTGAGGAGGGAGTCACCAAGAAGAGCTGCTTTCAGGAATGGGTGGAGAGTAAGAGAGGGATAAAGTGAGTTGAAGAAGTATAGAAACTATATATACCTTAATATTTTAAAATAAAAAACAAAAAAGGAGAAGCCTAAAACTTTTAAAAGTTACTTTTGTTGGAGAGGCTATGCTTTTTTACCCCAACACAGCTCTAGTACTAAAAAATATAGTTCAAGACTTCCTACGCATTTCATTTATAGAAGTGTTTGGAAGGTTTTTGATAAGATAAACAGTTTAATGGAAAGTCTCAGACTCTGGAGAGCTGAGATATAAAATAATAATAATAAATGATACTAATATTAGCTACTATTGTTTTCTGAGCACTTGCTAAGTACCAGGCATTATGCTAAGACATATATAACCTCAATTAGTCTTTACAACAATCATAGGTAGAAGTTATTATCATCCTCTTTTATAGATGAGACTCTAGAGACCTAAGACATAAAAATAAGAATAAAAATGGATACTAATATTAGCTACTGTTTACTGAGCATTTACTAAGTACCAGACACTATGTTAAGACATATATAACCTCAATGAGTCTTTACAACAATCCTACATAGAGGTTATTATTCTCTTTGATACATGAGGAGTCTGAGGCTTTGAGAGGTTTAGGAAACTGTCCAAAGTCTCACAGCTGGTAAATGCTGATGCATGGTTTGCTTTATTGCCATGCAGTGTATGCTTTTTTTCTAGTCATGAATTGTAATATAAATGTATCTTTTTCGAAAAACCCATGACTTTCTCCATCACAGACTGCTTGGGTTTGAGTCTTTGCTCAGGCACTTCCTGGCTTTCACCTGGAACAAGCAATTCAAACTCTCCTTATCTGTAACATGAAGAGATATTAATATCTACTTCCTCAGATTGTTGGGGTGATTAAATTACCTAAGGTATTTAAAGTACCTTACCTTGACCCTAGCATGACAAGGGTTAGTCCTTACCTGTGTTGATGACACTAGTTTCCTGTGTGGGCAGGAAATCTTTACTTTTGATTTTTATTTATTGTTTTAAAAATTTTAATTAACAAAGACTGTATATATTAAAGGTATACATAATGATTTATGTACACATTGTGTAATGATTGTTACAGTCAAATTAATGAACACATCCATCACTACCCATGCTGTACATTAGATTCCCAGAATTTGTACATGGTATAACTGAAAGTTTATACTCTTTGATCAACAAATCCCCATTTTCCCCATCCCTCAGCCCCTGACAACTACCCTTCTACTCTGTTTCTATGAACTTGACGTTTTTTAGATTCCACATACAAGTGAAATCATGTAGTATGTGTCATTCTGTCCCTGACTTATTTCACATAACATGAGTCCACCAGGTTCATCCACATTGTCACAAATGACAGTATTTCCTTCTTTTTAAAGGCGAATAGTATTCTATCATATATACATATGCCAAAATTTCTTTATACATTTATCCACTAATGTACATTTAGATTGTTTCCATATCTTGGCTGTTGTGAAAAATGTTGCAATAAACAAGGGGGTAGAGCTATCTCTTCAAGATACTGATTTCATTTTCCTGCATCTTTCTGAGCACCATTTTTTCCTAATAGATAAGATGGAGAAGTTGGACTATGTGATCTTACAAGGTCTTTTCAGCTTCTATGATCATTGTTCTCTGATTAAGTAACTGTAGTTGGGAATAACTCCTGGCAACATCTGGAATGAGGGATGAAGGAGAGCCAGCAAAGCCTCCCTGTCAGCTGACTCCCGCTTCGGGAGAGTGCATGAGAATTGGGCAATTGGACTCAAATTCATGGAGATTTCCCTTAGCTCCCAGGGAAAACTCTGATAAAGAAGACCTAATTATTTCTATTTAGTTTCATCTTCACACCGGTTTGGGAGCTGTTCTTTCCTTCTTAGAATGATAAAATCCAAAGGACTTCTTGCTTAATTTAGTATCTCTTTGTTTTTAACTCTTGAATTTCAAAAAAGCAGCTACTAATAATTCTGCATTTATTATAGCCAACTCTGCAAGAATTTATATCATGTAAGTAGACTGATTTGTTATGTTTGAATGTTTGTTCTGAATATGTGGCGGTATACTGTTTCCATGGTTTGCTTTATTGCCACGTAGTTCATGCTTTTTTTTTTCCAGCTATGAACAATACATTTGGCAATGCTGGTATTCTGTCACTATGACAATTTAATGTTGAACAAAATACATGGGAAGAAAAGGGAACCCATCCAATGTGGTGAGAGTTGACCCACCAGCTTCACAGCCCAAAACATATTATAGCAAGTTGTGCTGACATATTTTGACAATTCAGAACAATTATTCATCCAGTAGCCATCACGTTTTTTGAAGAAGGCTTTTATAACACTACCCTTAATCAACAATATCAGAATTTATAAACTCCCCTAGAGCCCTGGAATAGTTTGAAAGGGAGCTGGAGGGAAAAGTTGAAAGACACACTGAACTAAAGATCATAGGTGGGATGGCTGACATTAAGGATACACTTTGATTCCCCGATTCTTCATTAAAACCTAAACAACAAAATCCTTCCAAATATCAGAGTTAACAAAATTTAGTTTTCTTCAATATGAATGTCACTTGCCAGAATGCATGTTTGACTGTCCCCAAGTGGCTGTTTACCTGAGGTTTTCTGTCTCCCATCCTTTGATAGTAATTTTCTTTGGAGATTAAGATGCGAGTATTTCCCTGATGTTCTTACAGTAATTACACTACCAAGAGTTTGGGGCGATTCAAGATAAAACAGAGGCTGACAGTTTGTAGGGCTGTCTTCCACGCCCATCCTCACACCTCACACTCTTCTGGTCACCATGCTTCCCTATCCCAAGCCCAGTGTCCCGACTCTGGCCTACCCACTTGCCAATGACATACTTGGATCCAAAACCATCCCTCCTCCCACTCACTGAAACATGACTCTGATTTTCCAAGAATTGGAGGCTTATAAGGGTCTCCTTGGATATTGCTTCCAGCTCCACTGATTTATGCATCTGTTTAATAGACCTATTTTGAGTGTTCATTTTATGAGGCCTCATCCATATGCTTAAATACTCTCTGAAACTTACATATCAATCACTCAGTTACCATTTATCCCTTATCAAGTGCTCATCCAACTTGAACACCTCCAAGGCTGAGGAGATCTGAAAGGGGGTGTAGGGGCAGGGGCTCCTTCAGGCAGCCCGTTACAACTTCAGAAGGCTTTGTGAGGAAGTATTTATTTATACTGAGGCAAAATGTATCTTCCTGAAGTTTCTGCCCATTAGTCCCATTTCTTCCTTTTTCACAGGGTACTCCTTCAAAGATTTGGCAATGGCTATCGGGTCTCCTTCATCGTCTCTCTACCAAGTGACTCATCCCTAATTCCCCCCACCATTTTTCATATAAAACTTTAATTTTTTTAACCTTAATCTGAACATAAGATTACCCCTCTTAAAATGCAGTGCCAGAGAAGCCAGAAACAATCCCTCAGATACAGCCAAGTTGTTCATACAACAGAAGAGCTGAATTATTTCCTTCCTCATTCTCCAACCAGACATTTGCTCATCTCTCCCATAACACCATTCGTGCCACCTCAGTGAGATGTGGCCCATCTCATGTCACCTGCTTTTTCTCTGTTTTCCACTACTCTGAACTCACTTGCTCCAACTTGCCAAGCTCATACTCACTTAGCAATAAAGATCAAAGATTCAAACCACCAGCTTCACCATGATTTGTCTAGATGACCTTGGCCAATTCAACTCAGCCTGTCACTCCAAGTCCCAGTTTCTTCAATCTACAGAATAGGGATTGTAATAACCATCTCCTAGAGCTGTTGAAGGGATTGAACGAGTTATGATATTTAATGTCCTTTACAAAATGCCTCGCACATAGGAGTGCCCCAATATTTCCTTAATATGGTACCCTGTTATTTTTTTAATCATTGCTATCTGTAGACATATCTTTGTGAATCCCCTTCGTTATTACACTTCTAACTCTTGTCCAGTCTTTTGGGGAAGTTGTTTCAGTTGTTGTTGTTTGTTTGAACATTCTTTTCTAGCTCTTTTTATCCTTTATTTATTTTCTTTGAAAGTTAATAGGTAAGACTAATGGTGGTGTTATGGTTTGGCTATGTCCCCACCCAAATCTCAGCTGGAATTGTATCTCTCAGAATTCCTACATGTTGCAGGAGGGACCCAGAGGAGGTAATTGAATCATGAGGGTGGGTATTTCCCGTGCTCCTCTCGTGATAGTGAATAAGTCTCATGAAATCTGATGAGTTTATCAGGGGTTTCCACTTTTGCTTCTGCCTCATTTTATCTTGCCACCACCATGTAAGAAGTTCCTTTTGTCTCCTGTCATGATTCTGAGACCTCTTCAGACACGTGGAACTGTAAGTCCAATTAAACCTCTTTTACTTCCTAGTCTCAGGTATGTCTTTATCAGCAGCATGAAAACGGACTAATACAAGTAGCTAATAAGAATAGAAGTACTGTTGCTGAGACATCAAGGGAAAGGAAAGCAACACACTTTAAAGAGAAATTAAACAACAAACAAAACCAGTCCCATTAACCTTTGGTAAGCCCAGAAATCAACTAGGGAATTATTCCATTTCTCACCTTCACTCACTTCCTGCACTCCAATCTGGTTTCTATTCCCATCAAGCCCACAGAAACAGCTTTTGCAAGGTTCAGCAGTGATGTCTGCTTCCACAAATCAGAGGACTTTTTTTATTCATTGTCTTACTCAATTCCTTCAATAGTATTCAACAGCAATGACTACTTTCTTGAACTGCTCCTTCCCACAACTTCTATGACACCACAATCTCCTGGGTTATTTACGTATTTTTGATTTTTTAAAACCCCTCTGGCTACTTTTTTTTCAGACTCACTCAGCTCATCCTACTTTTATTTGGCATAAATTTTAGAGTTCCCCAAGGATTTGTCTCAGAACCTTTTTCTTCCTCTCCCCTTCCCCTTCTCTCCTTCTCTCCATTCCTCCCCTTCTTGCCTCTCTTCTCCTTCTCTCCTCTGTTTCTCTCCACTCCTCCCCTTCTTGCCTCTCCTATTTCTCTCCTCCCCTCTCCTTGTCTTTTCTGCTCTTCTCTCCCCCTCTCTCCACTCCTTCTCCCTTCTCTCCTCTTCTTTCCCCCCTCCACTCCCCTCCTCTACTCCCCTCCCCTCCACTCATCTCTCTTCTCCCCCCATCTCCTTCTCTCCTATCTTCCCTCTCCTCTCCCCCTCTTCTCCCCTCTCCTTCCCTCTCCTCTCCTTCCTCCCTCTCCTCTCCTTCTCCCCTTCTTCCCTCTCCTCTCCTTCTCTCCTTCCCTCTCCTTGTCTCCTCCCCTCTTTTCTCTCTCCAAACTCTCATTCCTCGGTATCATTCACACCTGAAGTTTCAGTAATACTCCAGACATTGAGTACTCTAATTTGTACCTTCTATTCTAACTATCCTGGTAAGTTCTGGATGTGTTTTCCAACTGCTTAACTACACATCTCTATTTTAGTATCTCAAATTCAACATGTCTAAGAACAAACTCACAATCTTCCTGTTAGTACATGACCCTTTGCACCGTATCTTATTTAGTTACAGGCATAACCATTCATCTAGCTGCACATGCCAGAAACTCAGAAAATCATCTGAGATACGCACTGCCTACATCCAATCCATGAGCAACCTCCACATTATCTTTAGAATCTGTTTTCTTTTCACGATTTCTACTACTGTATCCTAGCCCAAGCTGCCATCAACACTCATTCACACCACTGCTAAAGCTTCCAAACTGTTTATCTGCCTCGACTTTGGCCACCCTGCCAAGATCTGTCCACATAGCTACCAGAGTGATCACACACACACACGCACACACACACAAACGATTGTTACTCCACTGCTTTTAGGCTAAAGAACAACGTCAGTACACAGTGGTAGGGAGAGTCCTGACTCCCTTTCTAGTCTTTTCTCTACCTGCCCCTGAAACTTCTTTGCCACAGCCACATTGACCTCTTCCCATTTCCCAGTAAAAGAAGCACCTTGCCTCTTTAGACCTTTGTACATGCAATACCCTTAGATATGCATCACTGAGACAACTCACTTCAGGTCTCCCTCTGAGTTTCACCTCTTCAGGAAAGTTTTCTCTCACTGCCCACCCCAGCCCTGGTCTACCTCAGGTTCCTCTGTCATACATGTTTAGATAAAAGTCATACTTTTCCTTTAGAGCACTTACCTCGATTTGTGATTATTCATTTAGCATAATTATTTGATGAATATCTACCTCCCCTACTGACGATCAACTTTTAAGAGGAATGGCATCCAATTATTGTGCCATCCTATCTAATCAGAGTCTGTCTCCTAGTGGGAGCCCAGGTGATATTTGTTGAAGGGATACATGGATTTCTTTATCCTACTCTAATTAAATCTGCTTTTCAAGGCCAGGCACGGTGACTCACACCTGTAATCCCAGCACTTTGGGAGGCTAAGGTGGACGAATTGTTTGATTCTAGGAGTTTGAAATTAGCCTGGACAACATGGTAAAACCCTGTCTCTATTAAAAATACAAAAAATTAGCCAGGTGTGGTGGCACATGCCTGTAGTCCTAGCCACTTAGGAGGCTAAGGCGGGAGGATCATTTGAATCTGGGAGGTCAGGGCTGCAATGACCTGAGATTGCACCACTGCACCCACTCCAGCCTGGGCAACCAAAGTGAGAGCCTGTCTCAAACACACACACACACACACACCACATACACACACACAATCTGCTTTTCATTGTACATCAACATTCTAGATAAGTTTTGTAAATATGTGTTAAATATTATTTTCTCCCAAATAAGAACCTTTACTGTTTTTCATCCAAAATATTTGGTATATCAGTTAACTGCGGGTCGAACTTGCCTGTATAGCA
This sequence comes from Homo sapiens, assembly GCF_000001405.40. Classification (NCBI taxonomy): domain Eukaryota; kingdom Metazoa; phylum Chordata; class Mammalia; order Primates; family Hominidae; genus Homo; species Homo sapiens. The sequence continues at coordinate 106,520,245 of NC_000007.14, forward strand.
CATTTCCCAATGTGTCTGCATTACCTGGGGCTTTATTTGAAAATGCAGATTCATAGATTCTTTGCAGAGCTACATTTCTGGGTGAGGCCAAGGGATCTTCTTTTTAAACAAGCACCATGAAATGATTCTTCTACATGCTAAGGTTTGAGAACTTTGTTATTCAGACTGGACATCAAGGAGATGATGTATTCTGAGCCCTAAACAACTTATATACAGACTTCCAGAATAAAGCCTGCTTCTAAGTAGGAGAATAACTTTACTATGTTCTATAAAAAGGTCACTTTTTTTTCTCCTGTAAATACGTAGGAACACAAGTGACAGAGCCCAAAATGTTTAAGGCTTTCCATAGACTTCACTCCAGAACCATAGAGAACAATAAGCCAAAGGAATTCCAAAATGATACACCAGATAATGAGAAAAGGATTTGGCCAGAGGCAACTCCTGAATATCAATTTACATTTAAGAAGTCAAACTAGGCTCATACCTGTAATCCCAGCACTTCAAGAGGCAGGGGCGGGAGGATGGCTTGAGTACAGGAGTTCAAGTCCAGCCTGGGCAACATAGCGAGACTCCATCTTTACAAAAAAAAAAAAAAAAAAAAAACTTAAAAAATAAAAAAGTAGCCAGGCATAGTGGTATGAGCCTATAGTCCCAGCTACTGGGGATGGAGGAGTGGGAAGATAGTGTGAGCCCAGGATTTCAAGGCTACAGTGAGCTATGATTGTGCCACTGCACTCTAGCCTGGGCAACGACAGAGTAAGATTTGTCTCATTTAAAAAAAAAAAAAAAAAAGTCAAACTTATTCCTCCTTTTTTTTTGTTGTTTTTTGTTTTGCTTGCAACATGGGGTTCAAAACTTGCTTTTCTACCAGCTTAAAAAGACTGACAAACAGTTTGGTTTTCACTAGTCAGGAAACTAGGCTTCCATCCATTTTTCTTTAGCATTTTTTCAGGCTCCTGGCTTTAAAAGACGCATTTTGAATATTGTCTCTTGCAGAGCAGACATGCTGTTTCACACCTTGTCATGGAATGCAAGTAGCAGATACTTTCCAGTTGTAAAAGCAGAAAGAGAAACCAAGACAAATATCTGCCCCCTACTGTCAGCAGTTGGGTGTCTGCCTGCCTAGTGGTCAGGTATGACTAGGTGGCAAACACCTGAGGGTACAAAATGGGAAACAGTAAAACCGTTAGGGAAGCCTGTGATTTGACTGGATATGGGTCCTTTTCTCCACCTTCCTGGTGGAGATGGTTGTCGGAGATCCAAATGGGGAAGAGGGCAGCAGTCACCTCCATTCCATACCCTGAACCTTCCTTATCTGGCATCTTTTGCTCTCCAGGACCACCAGCCACCAATTTATTTGTTTAATTATGTGTTTGCCTCTGAACCCAAGACAGACCCAAGGCAAGCCATGTGGACAAGAATCAAGGGACTGAATTCCTGGTCAGAATAAAGACCTAAAGTTAGCTGCAGAAGTAATGACCCAGTAAGTGCATATGTGACTAAGTCCTGTGGTCAGTGACAGTCGAGCTATTAAGAATGCAGGTCAGGCCAGGCATGGTGGCTCAAGTCTGTTATCCCAGCACTTTGGGAGGCCGAGGCAGGAGGATTGCTTGAGCCCAGGAGTTTGAGACCAGCCTGGGCAACTTAATGAGAAACTGCCTTTAAACTAAATAAAAATAATTGTAAGTCATAAAGTTTCAGTCAAACAAACTGAATAAGCTCTAGAGATCTACTGCACAACATTGTACCTATAGTCAACAATAATGCATTGCACAATTTTAAGAGAGTAGATCTCATGTTAAGTATTCTTACTAAAGTAAAATAAAATAAATTTTAGGGAAAATGTCCTTGGCTGAAGAGTCAAGACTAGTGATCTCCAAACATTTTAAATTTATAGCCCTCGTCAGGAAAAGATTTTTAAGAAAATATCCACAATATATAAATATTTCCTTATTTATAAACTATCTATATGTGCTACTTTAGTTTTACATTATGAATATTAAGATGTTTGCAAAAATAGACCTTGAATTTGTCTATAAGACAATTGGAGTAATCATTCTCATGTCTTTTTTCCATACCCCCAAATATTGTCTTATGGCACCCAACTTTCGAGACCACTGTTTTAACCAGAGAATTCTTCTGTATATGTAATAGGAACTAGACTGAGGGCAGTTTTATTACTTGTATTTCTCAGGAGTTTTGGTCATTAAGTTTTAGTTTGATAGCAACGATGGACCCATTCATGCAGGAGTGGGAGAGACCCCCTTAAGAATTATGAAAAAGGTTCACAGCAGCGTCGATTATACAAATGATGCTTTATCTGTACAATGAAATATCTTGTTCCCAATAAAAATAAATGTTCCAAAGATGCTTCAATGTCACGGGGTCAAGGCTGTAGGAGTTAAATTGTGTCTCCCCCGAAATTCGTATGTTGAAGTATTAATCCCTAGTACCTCAAAACGTGAACTTATTTAGAAATAAGGTTCTTGCACTTACAATTAGTTATGATGAGGCCACACTGGAGTAGGGTGTGTCCCTAATCCAACATGACTGTTGTCTTTATAAAAAAAGAGAGAAATTTGCACACAGGGAGAAAGTCATGGGATAATCAGAATTATGCTGCCACAAGCCAAGAAATGCCTAAGATTGCTGGCGAACCCCTGGAAGCTAGGGGAGAGACACGCAAGAGATTCTCTTTCACAGCCTTCAGAAGGAACGCATACTGCTGACACTTTGATTTCAAATATTTAGCCTCTAGAACTGTGGGAGAATAAATTCCTGCCGTTTAAGCCACCCAGCTCATGCTACTTTTTTACAGCAGCCCTAGCTGACAAATAGAGGCACCCTGCTGAGACACCATGTTAAATTGAAAATATTTGATATAAATGGTCCACATAATGTGATACAACTGTGTACACACACACACTCACACACACATATGTGGATAAAACCCTAGAAATGTTACTGTTTATCTCTGAGTTGTGGGTACTTTTGATATTTGTTTTCTCTTCATTTTTTCTATATTTTCTAAGTTTTCTTTAAAAATCTAAGGTTTTGTAAATATCTATACTTTTAAGTTTCACACTAATTTTATAATCAATAATAACTCAAGAGAAATGATTTCTCCCATTCCTAAGGTGAGTAACGATGACCGGATAATTCCATACAGAAATCTCGGGGGTCTGCATTCTCCCCTGTGTGCTGTGTGATGCTCTCCGGGGAGAGATGGGATGCAGCCGTCATCTTTGACACTCACCCCGCTGTAATTACCTGTTCTTCCCTTACCGGTGAACGCTCTTCACATAAGTCACTGGACTTCCATAAACTTTGGCTTCCTTATTTTTAAACTAAGAATAACATGGGTACTCTGACTCCCTCATGCCAAACAAAATATTATGCACAAAAGTCTGCTGACGAAATAGAAAGCCCCAGGATGCATGAGGTGTCAATCATGCTAGCAACAATGCTAACATAATTCTGTGGAAGAATACTGACAAACCCAGACGTGGCTGCCTGGCCTGATTTAGGAGAACAACACAACGGGGACTCTGTACAGCAGCAGCAGGTGCTCCACTGAGGCAGCCACAGTCACTCCACCATCTCAATGCTACATGATTGACAAGCCGGGGTCACTCATCTATCACTGATATTCAGACACTCTGCTTTCCTAATGTGAGACAGACAGTTCCTGGTGTCTTGGCTTTAAAAGACTTGCCCATTTCTCCTCTTAGGAACCTCATTCCTCAGGGTTTAGTCTCTATCACATCTAGTTCCTCGCTTGACATCAAAACTTTTCCAAACTTTGGGTTCTTAGTCCTCAACTTTACTTTAACAGGAGGAGCTGTGGTAGCGGTACTTAGTAAGATATCCGCAGAGAGAGAGAGAGAGAGAGAGAGAGTGTGTGTGTGTGTGTGTGTGTGTGTGTGTGTGTGTGTGTATTTTTTTTTCTTTTTTTGAGACGGAGTCTCGCTCTGTCACCCAGGCTGGAGTGCAGTGGCGCGATCTCGGTGCACTGCAACCTCCACCTCCGGGGTTCAAGCGATTCTCCTGCCTCAGCCTCCCGAGTAGCTGGGACTACAGGAGCCCACCACCATGCCCAGCTAATTTTTGTATTTTTAGTAGAGACGGGGTTTCACCATGTTGGCCAGGCTGGTCTCGATCTCCTGACCTCATGATCCACCTGCCTCAGCCTCCCAAAGCGCTGGGATTACAAGCGTGAGCCACCACACCCAGCCGCCCACAGTATATTTTCATCACAACTGACTTCCCCTTGCCAGGACCTGCTGTCTTGTCCCATCATGTGATGCTTCTTTAGAATGAGCTCAGGAAATAACAAGTGATAGCATCTTAACTGCTGCAACTTAAAAAAAAAAATTCTATGCCTCTCCCATGCCTCTCACATGTAATGTATTACAAAGGGAAAACATTCTTTAAAGAGATAAAAATAAAAGGTGGAACAGATAAAGCTGAGGAGAAGATTCCCGGAGCTCACTAGCATCACGGAGATGTTAACCTATGTGTACAGTTTTGCAGTTTTGCTGCATATCCTGGGGTGTTGAGTTCTTCATATTTCTTATGCTTCTCTAATTCAGGTTCCTCTGCTGTGAGGTCCCATCCCACTAGGCTAGCCAGAAACGCCACCCGTCATTATCATGATCTCTCTTCTCTGTCAAGGTTCATGTGAAAGTTACACCGATCTAACCATTTGTAGATGGTCACCCTGAAATCTCCTGGTGTTCTGAGAGACCTGGGGGGAGGGTATTGCTGCTATTCAAGGACCACCTTACCCACAAACACAAGTTACCTTGTCCTGGCCTCCCTCCAAGCTCCACTGGAAGCTTCCCAGGTCTGTTTACTTTCACCACCCTATTTGCCTTATCCAAAACCCCTCCAAATTCAAGAAGAGACAGCCCTTTCTTCCTAGAGCCAATTCTTTAAAAACAAAAGTTTCTTACTTTTGCCCTCAGGGTCAGGAAAGGCTATGCTCTTTAGGACTATGTTGGCCTGGGTTGCCCTTTGGTAAGGGGGTGTAGGGAGAAGCTAAGCTGGAAAGAAAGGGAAAGATACCTTGTAGTCTTTGATTCTTCCACATCCATCAGCACAAAACACAAATCAATATCTCAGTAAATCATCCTGACACTGTTGGAATAATGGGTTACAGGCTCAGGTGTTATTAGAAAGGCAAAAGCTTAACCCTGAGAAAGCCCCAACAGTCTCCAAGCCATAGGTATCAAGGAGAAGTGCCTGCCTCCACTAAGAAATCACATCCTCATCTTATTACCTGGTGAGGGTAAAGAGAGGGCCACGCAGGGCAGAGCGCCAGAGAAGGAGCATGGTTCTGCCAGGTCAGTGGCAAACCAGAACCTGGAAATTCTGCTGGCTCAAATCACCTGGGCCAGCCACATCTGTCTCCTTGCCTATTTCATTCCAGGGTATTGCTTAGGGGCTTGACATGGCTTAAAGAACAAAAGGGACTTGGGGTCCTCAGGAGGCCTGTGTTGTGACAAAAATCACAACGTAGGACCCAAAGGGTCAGAAGTGAAGTCTTTGGTGGATAACGCTAAACAAACAGACCCAGGGCTTCATGATCCAGGTAGGGCGACCTATGGGTGGCTCTTTGCCAATCATGACCCAGCATATGCCATGGGAGGCCAACTTCAGCCCCACCAGGGATGGAAACAGGAGTCAGAAGGCCTTCCCAGGACGCAGGGAAATGTAATCTGTCCAGGAGTTCCTTCCGCAGAGGCATCTGGCCAATCAGGCTTCTCCTCACTCCTCCTCTGCTTTCTGCCTGAGCAGCTAAGGTCTGCAAGTTGGATTTTTGGTTTTTTTTTTTTTTTTTTTTTTTTGTTGCTGTTGTTGTTGTTGTTTGCCTCCTGCAAGAAAATAACTTTGTTTTCAACTGAATATATGAAAATTATACTTGTTTTCTGTACAATGTTTAAACAACATAAAAGAGTACCCAGATAAGAAAGGAAATCCTGTCGCAGTTTCATCAAAGGCTGACAGGACACACAGGCACCCAGACAGGCCACAGTTAGGCCTCTTAAGTCCTGATAACACTATTTAACATTAATTCACTATGTCTTGAGAGGGATGGCTTGGTGAAAATATCAGAGGCAATATCAAACCAGAGCACTCCATCTTGAACAAGGACTGGGTAAAATGAGCCTGAGACCAACTGGGCTGCATCCCCAGAAGGTTTGACTTTTTTTTTTTACTTTAAGTTCTAGGGTACATGTGCACAATGTGCAGGTTTGTTACGTATGTATACATGTGCCATGCTGGTGTGCCGCACCCATTAACTCGTCATTTATATTAGATATATCTCCTAATGCTATCCCTCCCCCTTCCCCCCACCCCATGACAGGCCCCAGTGTGTGATGTTCTCCATCCTGTGTCCAAGTGTTCTCATTGTTCAATTCCCACCTATGAGTGACAACATGCAGTGTTTGGTTTTCTGTCCTTGCGATAGTTTGCTGAGAATGATGGTTTCCAGCTTCATCCTTGTCCCTACAAAGGACATGAACTCATCCTTTTTTATGGCTGCATAGTATTCCATGGTGTATATGTGCCACATTTTCTTAATCCAGTCTATCATTGATGGACATCTGGGTTGGTTCCAAGTCTTTGCTATTGTGAATAGTGCTGCGGTAAACATACGTGTGCACGTGTCTTTATAGCAGCATGATTTATAATCCTTTGGGTATATACCCAGTAATGGGATGGCTGGGTCAAATGGTATTTCTAGTTCTAGATCCTTGAGAAATCACCACACTGTCTTCTACTATGGTTGAACTAGTCTACACTCCCACCAACAGTGTAAAAGTGTTCCTATTTCTCCACATCCTCTCCAGCACCTGTTGTTTCCTGACTTTTTAATGATCGCCATTCTAACTGGTGTGAGATGGTATCTCATTGTGGTTTTGATTTGCATTTCTCTGATGGCCAGTGATGCTGAGCATTTTTTCATGTGTCTGTTGGCTGCATAAATATCTTCTTTTGAGAAGTGTCTGTTCATATCCTTTGCCCACTTTTTGATGGGGTTGATTTTTCTTGTAAATTTGTTTAAGTTCTTTGTAGATACTGGATATTAGCCCTTTGTCAGATGGGTAGATTGCAAAACTTTTCTCCCATTCTGTAGGCAGCCTGTTCACTCTGCTGGTAGTTCCTTTTGCTGTGCAGAAGCTCTTTAGTTTAATTAGATCCCATTTGTCTATTTAGGCTTTTGTTGCCATTGCTTTTGGTGTTTTAGTCATGAAGTCCTTGCCCATGCCTATGTCTTGAATGGTATTGCCTAGGTTTTCTTCTAGGGTTTTTATGGTTTTAGGTCTAACACTTAAGTCTTTAATCCATCTTGAATTAATTTTTGTATAAGGTGTAAGGAAGGGATGCAGTTTCAGCTTTCTACATATAGGTAGCCAGTTTTCCCAGCATCATTTATTAAATAGGGAATCCTTTCCCCATTTCTTGTTTTTGTCAGGTTTGTCAAAGATCAAATGGTTGTTGTCTCACGTGTCCATGTGGAGAGACCACCAAACAGGCTTTGTGTGAGCAACAAGGCTATTTATTTCACCTGGGTGCAGGCGGGCTGAGTCCGAAAAGAGAGTCGGCAAAGGGTGGTAGGATTATCATTGGTTCTTATAGGTTTTGGGATAGGCAGTGGAGTTAAGAGCAATGTTTTGGGGGTAGGGGGTGGATCTCACAAAGTACATTCTCAAGGGTGGAGAGAATTACAAAGAAACTTCTTAAGGGTGGGGGAGATTATAAAGTACATTGATTTGTTAGGGTAGGACAGAAACAAATCACAATGGTAGAGTGTCATCAGTTAAGGCTGTTTTCACTTCTGTGGATCTTCAGTTGTTTCAGGCCATCTGGATGTACACGTGCAGGTCACTGGGGATACGATGGCTTACTCTGGGCTCAGAGGCCTGACATTCTTGTCTTCTTATATTAATAAGAAAAATAAAACAAAATAGTGGTAAAGTGTTGGAGCGGTGAAAATTTTTGGGGGTGGTATGGAGAGATAATGGGCGATGTTTCTCAGGGCTGCTTTGAGCGGGATTGGGGCGGTGTGGGAACCTACAGTGGGAGAGATTCAAATGAAGAAATATTTTGGGGTAAGGGCTGATATTGTGGGGTTGTTAGAAGGAGCATTTGTCGTATAGAATTATTGGTGATGGCCTGGATACAGTTTTGTATGAATTGAGAAACTAAACGGAAGACACAAGGTCTGAGTAAGAGAAGGAGAAAACAGGTATTAAAGGACTAAGAACTGGGAGGACCCAGGATGTCCAATTAAAGAGTGTCCAAGGGGGTTCAGCATAATTATTTGCTTGGTTGGCGAGTTTTTGGGCTCTATCCTTGAGTTTTTTTATGTTGTCATATACCAGGCCAGATAGATTTAGGTAAAAACAATACTCTTCATTTAAAAGTATACAGAGTCCCCTTTTCTTAGCAGTAAGTGGAGGCCTCGATGATTTCGGAGGAAAGAGAAATGCAAAGCCAGCAATTGTTTGTTAAAGGATTAAAAACAGCTAGGAGAGAGTGAGTGAGATTGATAGTGTGGTGGAGATGGCTGGGGAGAGGTAGAGGGTGGCTTAAGAACGGGAATGAGAATAAGAGTGAGTATAAAAGTAAAGACTAGAACTTCATCAGGGTGTAAGTATTGGAGGGTACCTTGCCACTGAAGATCATCTATCCACTTCAAGAAAGATTTAAGGGTGGCGATTTGAGGTAAAACCAGGAGCCACTAAATACCAAGAGCCTGAGAAACTGAGGCAGGAAGGCCAAACCGAGGAATTATGTCTGACAGAAGGAAGAAATGACCACAGTGGCCTTCTCAGACCCCGTGGGAAAGGCCTCTACCCATCCAGTGAAAGTGTCTACCCAGACCAAGAGGTATTTTAGTTTCCCGACTTGAGGCATGTGAGTGAAGTCAATTTGCCAGTCCTGGGTGGGGACAAATCCCCAAGCTTGATGTTTAGGGAAGGGAGGGGGCCTGAACAATCCCTGAGGAGTAGCAGAATAGCAGATGGAACACTGAGAAGTGATTTCCTTAAGGATAGATTTCCACGATGGAAAGGAAATGAGAAGTTCTGAGAGGCGGGCTAGTGGCTTGTAACCTACATGGAAGAGGTTACAAAATGATGACAAAATAGAATGGGCCTGTGAGGCTGGAAGGAGATATTTTCCTTGGTCCAGGAACCATTTGCCTTGTGTGGGAAGAGACTGATAGGTAGAAGTTTCAGTGGGGGAGTAGGTGGGAGTGACCAGATGAGAAGGAGAAAAACTGCTGTGAGGGATAGAAGTTGGAACGCTAGCTGCTTTTTTAGCTACCTTATCAGCATAAGTGTTGTCCTGAGCGATGGGATCTGATGCCTTTTGAGGGCCCTTGCAGTGTATGACTCCAGCTTCCTTTGGAAGTAAAGCGGCCTTGAGTAGAGTTTTTATTAAAGAGGCATTAATGATGGAGGACCCTTGCATAGTGAGGAAACATTTCAGCCCATAAAACAGCATGGTGGTACAGGATATGGGGTCAGTATAAATATTGACGCATAGTCCCTTTGCAAGAGTGAGGGTCCGAGTTAAGGCAATGAGTTCGGCTTGCTGAGAGGTAGTGGAGTGGGGCAGAGTGGTGACCTCAATGATAGATGTGGAAGATACTATAGCATAGCCTGCCTTTGCTGGTGTGTGGCAATTAGGCCTGGTGGAACTGCCATCAATAAACCAAGTGTGAAAAGGGTGAGGAACAGGAAAGAAGGAAACATGGGGAAATGGAGTGAATGTCAGGTGGATCAGAGAGATACAGTCATAGGGGTCAGGTGTAGTATCAGGAATAATGTGGGAGGCCAGATTGAAGTCTGGACCAGGAACAATGGTAATTGTGGGAGACTCAACAAAGAGTGAGTATACATACCTGAAGGAGCTGGGGGGGCAGAAAGTATATGCATCAAGTGTGAGGAGGAAAATAGATTTTGGAAGTTAAGAGAACTGTAGAGAGTGAGTTGAGAATAATTTGTGATTTTGAGGGCCTTTAAAAGTATTAGGGCAGCGGCAGCCGCTGCACATAGACATGAAAGCCAGGCTAAAACAGTAAGGTCAGGTTGTTTGGATAAAAAGGCTACAGGGCACAGTCCCGGCTCTTGCGTAAGAATTCTGACCACATAGCCCTGCACTTTGGCTGTGTGTAATGAAAAAGGGTTGGGATGAGTTAGGGAGAGCTAGTGTGGGGGCAGCTTCTAGGGCTGTTTTTTAAGGAATGGAAAGGAGTGGCGAAAGGATTTAGGATCTGTGGGGTCAGCTAGGTTTGCTTTTGTGAGTTTATACAATGGCTTAGTCCAGATGGTAAAACTAGGTATACAAAGGCAAAAGTATCCTACCATGCCCAGGAAGGAAAGGAGTTGTTTTGTAGAAGGGGTTAGGGTTTGGGAGATTAGCCGGACACGATCAGCAGGGAGAGCACATGTGTTTTCATGAAGAATTATGTCGACATATGTAATGGATGAGGAAGAAATTTGGGCTTGACTGAAGTAATGGGGGCTGTCTGCGAAGCCTTGCGGCAGTACAGCCCAGGTAATTTGCTGAGCCTGATGGGCGTCAGGGTCAGTCCAAGTGAAAGCGAAAAGAGCCTGGGATGAAGGGTGCAAAAGAATAGTAAAGAAAGCACGTTTGAGATCCAGAACAGAATACTGGGTTGTGGAGATGTTGTGGAGGGAGGTATTGAAGATAGGAGAGTATATGGCTTTGGCATCACGGGGTGGATAGGCAAGACAATTTGGTTGATAAGACACAGATCCTGAACTAACCTGTAAGGCTTGTCCGGTTTTTGGACAGATAAAATGGGGGAATTGTAAGGGGAGTTTATAGGCTTTAAAAGGCCATGCTGTAGCAGGTGAGTGATAACAGGCTTTAATCCTTTTAAAGCGTGCTGCAGGATGGGATATTGGCGTTGAGTAGGGTAAGGGTGATTAGGTTTTAATGAGATGGTAAGGGGTGCATGATCGGTCGCCAAGGAGGGAGTAGAGGTATCCCATACTTGTGGGTTAAGGTGTGGAGATACAAGGGGAGGAGGTGAAGGAGGCTTTGAACTGGGGGAAAAGGCAGCAATGAGGTGTGGCTGTAGCCCAGGAATAGTCAGAGAAGCAGAAAATTTAGTTAAAATGTCTCGACCTAATAAGGGAGCTGGGCATGTGGGGATAACTAAAAAAGAGTGCATAAAGGAGTGTCCAAGTTGGCACCAGAGTTGGGGAGTTTTATGAGGTTTAGAAGCCTGGCCATCAATACCCACAACAGTTATGGAGGTGAGGGAAATAGGCCCTTGAAAAGAAGGTAATGTGGAGTTGGTCGCCTCCGTATTGATTAAGAAGGGGATGGACTTACCCTCCACTGTAAGAGTTACCCAAAGCGTCTGTGATAGTCCAGGAGGCTTCCGAGGTGATCGGGCAGCGTCAGTCTTCAGCCGCTAAGCCGAAAAGATCTGGGAAGGAGTCAGTCAGAGCCTTGGGCCAGTTGGACTGTCCAATTTCCAGTGGGGTCCTGCACAGATGGGACACCGCTTAGGTGGAATCCCAGGCTGCGGGCATTCCTTGGCCCAGTGGCCAGATTTCCAGCACTTGTAGCAAGCTCCTGGGGCAGAAGGTTCTGGAGGAACCCCTGGCAGCTGTGGTTCAGTTGTTTGGAGTTCTTGTGTGCTAGAGATGTGGCTGGGGTTTGTCTCACAGTGGAGGCAAGGAACTGCAACTCAGAAATACCTTGCTACTTGGCTACCTCTACTCTATTATTGTACACCTTGAAGGCAAGGTTAATTAAGTCCTGTTGTGGGGTTTGAGGGCCAGAATCTAATTTTTGGAGCTTTTTCTAATGCCGGGAGCTGACTGAGTGATAAAATGCATATTAAGAATAAGGCGGCCTTCTGGCCCCTCTGGGTCTAGGGCAGTAAAGCATCTAAGGGTTTCTGCTAATGGGCCAGGAACTGCGCTGGGTTTTTATATTTGATGAAAAAGAGCCTAAATGCTAGCTGATTTGGAAGAGGTCGGATAAAGAAAAAAGAAGCATTAATCTTGACTATGCCTTTAGCTCCAGCCACCTCTTTAAGAGGAAATTGTTGGGCAGGTGGGGGAGGGCTAGTCGTGGAACGAAACCATAAGCCAGGCCAGGTGTGAGGAGGGGAGGTGATAAAAGGATTATAGGGAGGGGGAACAGAGGCTGAGGAAAAATTGGGACCTGGCTTGGCCTGGCAAGGAGCAGCCTGGGGAAGAGGGGAGAGGTCAGATGGGTCCGTAGAAAAGGAAGATTCAAAAGACTCAGAGACGTTTGGGGTTGGGACTGAAGGAACAGACAGGAGAGAAAGAAAGATTTGGGATGAGTCTCACTGGGAGCAGAGACTAGGGAGGGACCAATCTGTAAAAGAATGCTTGGATGTCAGCCACCTCAGACCATTTGCCCATTTTTTGACAAAAATTATCTAGGTCTCGTAGGATGGAGAAATCAAAAGTGCTGTTTTCTGGCCATTTAGAACCATTGTTGAGTTTGTATTGGGGCCAAGCGGTGTTGCAGAAGAAAATAAGGTGCTTAGATTTTGGGTCAGGCGAGAGTCAAAGAGGTTTTAAGTTCTTGAGAACACAGGCTAAGGGAGAAGAAGGAGGAATGGAGGGTGGAAGGTTGCTCATAGTGAAGGAGGCAAGTTTAAAGAGAAGGGTAGAGACACGGAGAAGGGGGGTGGGGAAAAGCCCTGGGCAGCAACGTGGGTGAGCAGCCAAAGCAAGTGTCCCCGCAACTGACTTGCCACCAAGGGAATGTGGGTGAATGACCAAGGCAGGCATCCCCGCCGAGATCAGACACCAATGGAACGTGGGTGAATACTCAGAGAGGCGTCCCCGCAATGATTAAACACCAAGGGAAGGCTGCCTCCCCAAGTCCCTGACTGGCCCTGGAGTTTTGGGTCGGCACCAAATGTCTCACGTGTCCGTGTGAAGAGACCACCAAACAGGCTTTGTGTGAGCAACAAGGCTGTTTATTTCACCTGGGTGCAGGCGGGCTGAGTCTGAAAAAGAGAGCAAAGGGTGGTGGAATTATCATTGGTTCTTATAGGTTTTGGGATAGGCAGTGGAGTTAAGAGCAATGTTTTGGGGGCAGGGGGTGGATATCACAAAGTACATTCTCAAGGGTGGGGAGAACTACCAAGAAACTTCTTAAGGGTGGGGGAGATTATAAAGAACCTTCTTAAAGGTGGGGGAGGTTACAAAGTACACTGATCAGTTAGGGTGGGGCAGAAACAAATCACAATGGTGGAATGTCAATCAGCTAAGGCTATTTTCACTTCTGTGGATCTTCAGTTGCTTCAGGCCATCTGGATGTATATGTGCAGGTCACTGGGGATATGATGGCTTAGCTTGGGCTCAGAGGCCTGACAGTTGTAGATGTGTGGTGTTATTTCTGAGGTCTCTCTTCTGTTCCATTGGTCTATATCTCTGTTTTGGTACCAGTACCATGCTGTTATCATTACTGTAGACTTGTAGTATAGTTTGAAGTCAGGTAGTGTGATGCCTCCAGCTTTGTTCTTTTGGCTTAGGATTGTCTTGGCAATGCAGGCTCGTGTTTGGTTCTATATGCAATTTAAAGTAGTTTTTTCCAATTCTGTGAAGAAAGTCATATTGGTAGCTTGATGGGGATGGCATTGAATCTATAAATTACCTTGGGCAGCATGGCCATTTTCACGATATTGATTCTTCTTATCCATGAGCATGGAAGGTTCTTCCATTTATTTGTGTCCTCTTTTATTTCACTGAGCAGTGGTTTGTAGTTCTCCTTGAAGAGGTCCTTCAAATCCCTTGTAAGTTGGATTCCTAGGTATTTTATTCTCTTTGAAGCAATTGTGAATGGGAGTTCACTCATGATTTGGCTCTCTGTTTGTCTGTTATTCGTGTATAGGAATGCTTGTGATTTTGGCACATTGATTTTGTATCCTGAGACTTTGCTGAAGTTGCTTATCAGCTTAAGGAGTTTTTGGGCTGAGACAATGGGGTTTTCTAAATATACAATCATGTCATCTGCAAACAGGCATTCTTTATCACACGATGAGATAGGAGGTTGACACAAAGACCCTGCTGATAAAACAGAATGTGGTAAAGAAGTCAAACAAAATCCACCAAAACCAAGATGGTACTTAAAGTGACCTCCGGTCGTCCTCACTGCTCATTACATGCTAATTATAATTCATTAGCATGCTAACAGATACTCCTACCAGTGCCAAAACAGTTTACAAATGCCATAGGGACATCCGAAAGTTACCCTAAATGGCCTAAAAGGGGGAGTCGCCCTCTGTTCTGGGAAATCCTTGTCCCTTCCCTGGAAAACTGATGACTAATTCACTCCTTGTTTAGCATACGATCGAGAAATAACCATAAAAGTAGCCAGCCGGCAGGGCTGCTGTCAATGGAGTAGCCATTCTTTTATTTCTTTACTTCTCTAATAAACTTTAACTTTACTCTGTGGACTTGCCCTGAATTCTTTCTTGTGCAAGATCCAGGAACCTTCTCTGGGGGTCTGGATTGGGACCCCTTTCCAGTAACCAAAGTGACAAGTGTTTATTGTATTTTTTATTTCATTTCCAAGGATACTATTCCATCTGGTGGGAGAGTGCCAATGTACGTTTCTTCATTTACTTAGTACGTTCTGCATGGAGAACTAAGTTAACTGTCACCCAATTTTTAGTTAATTCCAGTGATCTTTTAGTAGCCCTATTTGGGGTGATCTTAACTCCAGCTGTGGCCCTAGGCCACAGAAATTTTCATTTTGAAACTTTGGTGTATATTCTTTTAGCTTTGTGTGTGTGTGTGTGTACACACACACGTGTATATATATATATGTATACGTATATAGGTATGTATATATAAAATAAATAAACACAAAAAGGATAATGTTGTACACACTGGTCTTTTAGCTTTTTTTCTCCCCAACTTGTCTAAGAGAAGAAAATCTGACTAGGTCAAATTCCCTGACAGTGATGGGGTCAAAGCCAAACATGATGCTCATAGGGGTAACTCTCTGGACACCCGTTTCATGCTTCTTCCCTTTGTGTGGTAAGGCTGGATCCCTGGAGTGCATCAACAGTTTTTCTGTTTTTCTTATTTGTTTGCTCCAACGTATTTGTTGTCCAGATCACAGATGGTAAGACTTAGGCTTCTGGGGAGCGACAAACCCCACCTAATCTTGAACCCAAACTTCATAATCCATCCCAGTGTGCCAGAAAGTTGTTCATTACAACTGATCAGAAGCAGATGATAAAAAGTGGCCTCTTACGTAAGACTTGCTTTTGTTCCTTAAGGTTCTCACTCCTTCATGAACTTCAAAAAGAGACTGAGTTGGCAAGGCTAAGAGGGTAGTAGAGCATTCCTGGGTCCTGTGATCATCAACTCATTACTGTTGTAAAGCCTCTCTGACATTTATTACTGCTTTATTTATGTCATGCTACATGTGGACATTTCCCCCCTAGTGATACACAGAGATCTACCTCAGCGTTTTAAACCATGACTGTAGTGAACACTGTGATGTGCCCTCCAGGTACCCCATTCAGGGGAAGATTTATTGCCCCATGACTGGGAGTGCTGTCTGCAGACAGCCCCAAGCTGCTAGCCATGCAGGATGTGCTCGAGTTGTAGAGCACCACCTCGCCCAAGGTCACACCCTTCTTAGGTTAGCCCACTTCCAGTGACTGATCACACTGGCATAAAATGACCAGGTTATCTGACCCCATACACGACAATTCTAGCAGGCTATTTTAGTTCCAGAGCTTCCTCCTGGAGTCAGTTAAAGGTGTCACTGAAGAATGATACATGATACAGCTTTGAGCAAAGAGATATCAACCCAAGTCCAATGGCAATTTCTGGAAATTTTCATTTTCTTGATAGAAATACTACCCTGTTCTAGCTGGTTTTTGTTGTAGGTAGAACAATGACCCTTCCACCTCTAAATATCCATATCTCAATCCCTGGAACCTGTGAATATGTTATCTCACATGGCAAAAGAGACTTTGCACATGTGACCAAGACTCTTGAGATGGGGAGATTATCCTGGACGATCCTATACAATCAGAAGAATCCACGTAAGAGGGATGCAAGAAGGTTATGATCGGGGAAGGAAATGTTAGAACAGAGGCAGGGAGTAGTAGAGAGTAGTCAGAGAGATTTGAAGAGGCTGCACTGATGGTGTGAAGATGGAGGGAGGGGCCATGAGCCAAGGAATGTGGACAGCCCCTAGAAACTAGAAAAAAATGAAATAGATTCTCTTGAGAGCCTCCAAAATGAACACAGCACTACCAATACCTTGATTTTACCACAGTGAAACTGAGTTTAGACTTCTTAACTCTAGAACTGTAGATAATAAGCAGCAACAGGAAAGCAATACAGCTTCCATTCCCCTTTCTCCTACCTAGACTGTGGATAAAATGGATGGAACCGTGGCAGCTACTTTGACTTTAGGGAGAAAAGGCCAAGAATTGTACAAATAACTTGTCTTGACACCTTCTGAACTAATGCCAGCAGTTGCCTACCTCCAGATCCACTGTTGTATGAAGAAAGAAGACAAAAATAAAAGACAAAAAACACTTCTTACATACTCAAGTTACTTTAATCACATTTGCTTCACATCACAGTTGAATGCAATTCCTATCATGCAGCAGTCAAAAAAATGTAATAGAGGTCTTTTATTATTTTGAAAAGATATCCATAACATACATTAAGAGAAAAAAGACATGTTATAAAGTGTCTGAAGTATGAATCTGTGTGTGATGAATCGAATGATAAAACATTACTTCTAAGGTTAAATTCCAAAATATTAATTGAAGTTTATCATATTTTGTATAGTTAGCTTCCCTGCTATATTTTGCTTTTGTAATAAAAGTAAAGGTGTTTAACATTTTTAAGGGAGGCTGATGAAGGCAAGATAGATTCACCAAAAGCAGTTCAAGGATGAATAGCAAGTTAGCATAATCAATGTTTATCTGGACATAGAAGAGGAAAATAGAGATTGATTGACAAAAGGAAGTTTTGTAATAAAAACAGGATGTGGCAAAGGCCAAGACAGGACATAGAGATAAGTGAGTATTTATACATCGATTCTAGTGGAGTCTAAGGAACGAAAGAACAAGTGTGAACACCAACCAAAAGACCAGAAAACAAATTATAGTCATGCATCTCATAATGAAGTTTCCTTCAAGGACAAACTGCATATATGGTGGTGGTCTCATATGATTATAATACTGTATTTTACTATACTTTTCCTATGTCTAAACATATGTAGACACACAAATACTTACCATTGTGTTACAATTGCCTACAGTACTCAGTACAGTAGCACGCTGTATAGGTTTGTAGCCCAGGGGCCATAGGCTATATACTATACAGCCTAGATGTGCGGTAGGCTGTACAATCTAGGTTTGTGTAAGTACAGTACACTCTATGATGTCGCACAATGACAAAATCCCCTAGCGATGCGTTTCTCAGAACATACCCCCCTTTGTTAAATGCTGCATGACTATACTTGACTTATACTAACAAATAAGACATTTACTTAAAGTTTACATGTTGCAATGTTTTCTAAAGAAAAGCCATGTTTTTTTGAAAACACCTCATTCAACCGTTCTGTTCCCCTTTGCTTTATTACTCTTCATAGCACTTTTCTGTCATGCTATATTTTTTTACCTTGATTATTTGTCTCCTTTACAAGAATTTAAGTACCATAAAAGAAGAGAGTTGGCCTCTTGTTTTCACTGCTCTGTCCCCACTTAGCACAGTGCCTGGTATACCATTGGTCTCAGTAATTATTTGTTCAGTAAATAAATATACTACAGCAAGGATTGGTAAACATTTCTGTAAAGGGTCAGATAGCAAATACTTCAGGCTTTAAAGGCCAAGAGGCAAAATTGAGGATGTTACTTAGGTACTTATATAACAACTATTAAAAATGTGAAAACCATTCTTAACTCCTAGCCATATAAAAATAGGCAATGACTGGATTTGGCCTGTTGTCCATGGTTTGCCAGCTCCTGAGCTGAAGAATTAACAACTCAACACAAATAAAAACTATCCTTCAACTATCCTTACTTAATCTCATAAATCATTTCTGGTTACTTTCAGGAACAAATGTGGGAGCAATATGATAGTTACCAGTTCTGTGTCTTTCTAGAATGAGACATGTCACTTTTTCACATCTAAATGTTATAAGGTGATAATTTAGGGTAGGAACAGCTCATCGTAGTAACTATTACTAAAGGCCTGCTCTATGTTAGGCACAACACCAAGAACTGTGGGTGCACTTCAAGTTTTAAACTCAGCAGCAAAGACACACGCAGACAATAAAATATATTCTTAATTTTTTGAGAAAAGCAGGCAATCAGCTACAATTTACTCAGAAATTTGAATGAATTCTGTTTTTAAAATTTCCATACAGGGCACATATTAAAGAATGTGTCGTTCTGATTCTAGGATTGTATGGTGCCAAATCATATCCTGTTTCTTACATTTTTCATCTACCAGGATGTTTTTAAGTTTATTCATGTTCCCGTGCATGCATTTATCTCATTGCTTTTAACTACAGCTCAATGTCCCACAGGATGCATCTGCCATATATTACGTATTTACTATTCGGTGGACACTTGGGTGGCTTCCAGTCCCCTGTAGCCATAAGCACACTGTCATGAACATTCTCACACAGTTCCCTTTGCGGACCTGGGGGAAGCTCTGTTTGAAGGCTTCCCCAGATGGGTGTGCTTTTTATAATTTACCAGCAGTGCCCAAGGGTTCCCATTTCTCTGTGAACTCTGTGTCTTTTTAGAAAAAGGGATATCACTTTTTCACCTCTAAATGCAATCCTTGCCTTTAACTATCTAATAATCACCACTATGATGCGTTTAAGGTGATGATTCCCTGCTTTAATTTGCCTTTCTCTGATTGCTGGTGAAAATTGTACAATTCTCCATATTTCTGCCATTTGGGTTTCCCCTTCTGAGACTGGCCTATTTGTAAACTTTGACCATTTTTCTGGTTCTTCTTGCTCTTTTAGAAATTCCTTCGCTGATAATCCATTGGCACTTGGGGATAATGTCAAAAAAAAAAAAAAAAAACAAAAACAAAAAACTTCTCCCAGACTGTCACTTACCTGCTAACTCTATAATGACCATCATCTTAATGACCTTAAATCTTGGATTTGATACAAATTTTCTGCTTTTTAGATTTTTAAAAGAAAACCCTCCTCATTCAGAGACCACAAATGTTCTCCTAGCTTTTTTTTCCTTTGTGTTAGCTCTATCATTTCACTCCTTCCCATTTAGTTACTTAATCCATTGGAGATGATTTTTATATGTCATATGAGACCCTATCTTTTCCCCACTATTTTGGGATGCCTCCACTAGCCTATACCAAGTTCATATATATATAGATATACAGACACACATATATGCATATCAGTAAGTCCTCACTTAACATTATTGACAGGTTCTTGGAAACTCTGACTTTAAGTGAAAAAACATATGAGGAAACCAATTTTGCCACAGACTAATTGATATAAACAAGAGTTAAGCTCCTTTGGCGTATTTCTGGTCACAAAAACATTATGAAACTTCTAAATAAAGACCAAAACACTTGCAATATTAAACACTAAAATAAATCTGAGCTATACATACATTTAAGAAAGATTAATAAAAACAAGATAATTATTTATCCAATTTCTAGTGAGTGACAATGGTTGTGGTAGTGAGTTAAGGAATAAATGTTTGCAAAGAAAAAATGGTCAGAAGCACCTCCTGCCCCCATGCAGTTCAAAAACAATCAACTCCAAGGCCAGGCATGGTGGCTCATGCCTATAATCCCAGCACTTAAGAGGCCAAGGCAGATGGATCACTCAGGTGACCTCAGGGTCAGGAGTTCAAGACCAGCCTGGCCAACATGGCAAAACCCCGTATCTACCAAAAATACAAAAAATTAGCCGTGTGTGGTGTCAGGTGCCTGTAATCCCAGCTACTTGGGAGGCTGAGGCAGGAGAATTTCTTGAACCTGGGAGGTGGAGGTTGCAGTGAGCTGAGATCACGCCATTGCACTCCAGCAATGCAATGGGTGACAGAGTGAGACTCTATCTTAAAAAAACAAAACAAAGCAATCAAATCCAGTGGCTCACTGAGCTCCTTCTCTTTCCTTCCTTCCTTCCTCCTTTCTTTCTTCCTTCCTTTCCTTTCTTCTTTTCTTTTCTTTTCTTTTTTCTTTTCTTTTCTTTGGAGACAGAGTCTCGCTCTACGCTCTATCCCCCAGGATGGAGTGTAGTAATACGATCTCGGCCAGCTCACTGCAACCTTCACCTCCCAGGTTCAAGCAATTCTCCTGCCTCAGCCTCCTGAGTAACTGGGATTACAGGTGCGTGCCACCATGTCTGCCTAATTTTTGTGTTTTTAGTAGAGACAGGGTTTTGCCATGTTGGCCAGGCTGGTCTCGAACTCCTGACCTCCGGTGATCCGCTGGCCTTGGCTTCCCAAAGTACTGGGATTACAGGCGTGAGCCACCACACCCAGCCACTGAACGCTTTCCTACCACATCAGTTACTGTCATGCGTTTGTATGATTATTGTCTACTTTATGAATTTTTATTTGACAATAATTTGTATTCATTCATTTATTATATTGCAACTGGCATATTCCAGCAGCTCAAAGCATGAAGCGGGAACACACCCTGGAGAGGACACCATCCCACACTCACTCACACTGGGATCGTGTAGACACACCAACTCACATAACATGTACATCTTTGGGACGTGGGAGGAAACTGGAATACCCGGAGAAAACCCACACAGACATTGGGAGAACGTGCAGACTCCACACAGTGGAGTTTCCCTGGCTGGGAATCCATTTTTTTTCATATCAACATTATAATTAAATGATGTTGAATGAAATTATGTTATCTGAGGATCTGCTGTGCATATATAGTTCTCTATTTCACTGCTTTGTCTACCTGCAAGTACCACATTATTTTTTTTGTCTATGACTTTGTAAAACATTTTAGTATCTAGTGGTGTGAATCTTCCATTTTATGTTTTTATGTGGTATAGTTGCTTTTCCTAATGTGAACCCTTATTCTACTTTATATATTTTGGAAATAGTTTATCAGGTTCCCTACCCTCTCCCCACCCTAATCCCGCAGAAAAAGAAAAATTTTACCTGAATTTTGGTTGGATTTGCTATGAAATTATAGATTAATTTGGGGGTCAAATTAATATGTTTAAAAGGTTAAGTCAGTTGTGCAGAATCTGGATTTTATAAAAAATAAAAGTAAAATGTTGTTTCATTTATGAAACAGGATTATCAGGGAAACCACTACTGCTGGTCTCAGCTGCTTACAGCACCCAAGCAGTAGTTCACAGAGAAGCTGCCTCGAGTCTGCCACTGTCCCTACTTTTGTCCATAACCATAAATGATGACTTCTATTATCTCTTTCCAAATGTCATGCAAATTCCTCTCAGTAGCAGAATCAAACCCAAAAGCTCCATGGCAAGAGGCAGGGATAATGCCAAGTTGACAACTATCCACCCAGTACAAAAGAAAAACAAAAAGTTCTTAATAAATGTTAAGTGATTTTCAATAAAGTTTAAAACACACAATATCAAAGATATTTTGAGTCGAAGCATATTTTAACTGATTCAGTGATATGACATATTATTTCACTTGGAAGCATTTCAACTATTTTAAGATTTGCAGAGGCTCACATTTAAAATAGGATGAATCTTTCACAAGGAATAGTATTTCTGGAAAGATCAAACAGTCAGTATGATATAGTATTCCCTCACTGCTCACCCCTAGCCATAGGTTTATTAAACTGTACCTAGTAAGAACTTTATAATGTAAGAGGGGCATGAAGAATTTCATGACTGCCCAGACACCAGCAATAAAAATGATTCAATGTGGGGGTGAATATGATTTATTTTACATAATGTACACACTGTGTGTAAATGACTGAGTCATTATTGGTTATAAAGTATAAGTAGAATTATTATCCAGAACAGTGGTCTCCAAACTCTATTGATCATACATCTTTGTCCATAAAGTTGCTTTGATCATACACAAATATGGAAATTAAAAAATAAAATTAGAAAGAGAGTTTCTAACATTTCTTTCCAGTTTCCCAATGGACCACCTTATGCAGCTCTTGTGGGGCACACACCCCCTGTAATGAGCACTGACTTATCTACTCTCCTGTGTTTTGTCCACATTCTTCATCTAGCTGGTCAAAGCTAGGAACTGAATAAACGTTGCCCATTACATGTAGAAGGATGCGTTGATCAAGACCTAGAGTCAATACTAAATTAAGCACAAAACTGATCAAGAACTAGAGTCAAGTTCACTCCACTAAATATCATACCTGCCAGGAGGGGGCAGATGTGAACAGGGCGTAAGAAAATCCCTACTCAGAGACAGAGAATGTGGAAAAAACAAGCAGCTAGAGGGAGGTGGGGCACAAATTCTACAAGACACACTGAAGCCAGCCAGAGATAGCCCATGGCTAGAACAGGAAACAGTCTGAAAACATCAAACTAAAACCAGAATACAAAAACAACTGCCAAAGACAGAATAAAGAAAAATGCTGGGGTTGGGGATTTGGGTGTGTAGTTCACAGTGGTGAGTGGAAAAAAAAAAAAAAAAAAAAAAAAAAACCAGGAGCTTTCATCCAGAAGCCCAAAGCTGGAGTGAAGAAGAGCTTCAGACAGTGCCAGAACAAATTTCAAGAGCCAGGCAGAAATAGTCAGGACTTCCAGGGCTCAGAAGTTTATGAGGCAACTATTTTGAAACTATTCCTGCAAGTAAGACTCTTCTAAAAAAACAAACTAGTATTCTCAGTCTTGTGATTTCTGATCATAAGGAATTCTCATTCTTTCCAATCTGGGAGATATGCAAGGCTCTGGCAGACTTTTTGAAATGTTAGAGCTCAAAACACAAGTCAAGCAGTTATAGCACATTGCTGAGCAGACAGCACACATTCACTGAAGATTTGTTTACCATTGATTTATCCTGCATGAATGATGTTCCACAGAGGAACACTATCCATAGTGAATACCCCAGGGGCCGTGGAATGTGAAGGCTCTAATGCTCTTCAAGGACCAGGTGCTGTTCTAGGCCCCAGGGATACAGCAATGAACCAGATAGACAAAGCCCCTGCCCTCCTCACACTCACAATCTAGTGGGACAACAACAAATAAAGAAACAAACAGATAATAAATTCCAGATAGTGAAAGTTCAGTGAAGAAAATCAAGCAAGGAGATGGACTAGAGTATGCTGAGGGTGGAAAAGGTGGACTCTCCCTTAAAGAGTAGTCGGGGAAAAGACTTGTTTTAGAGATGTGAGCAAGCCTTGGGAATCTCTGAAGGAAAAGCATCCCAGGCAGAGAGAATAACAAGTGCAAAGTTTCTAAGGAATAAATGACTTGGTGTGTCTGAGAACACAGCAGAATGGCCAATGTGGCTGGAGAGGACCGAGTGAGAAGAGAGAATGTTCAAAAAGTGAGATTTGATGTTTAGCTTTTTCTGTACTTGTATAGGCCTGATTATGTGGCTTAGCTAAGGTTTCCTAAAGAATCTTCTAGTAGCTGCCATTGGTTTGTAAAATAAAATTGGGGCTGTAAAAATTCAAAAAAAAAAGTGAGATTTGAGAGGTAAGCAGAGCTTGACTTTGAAGGGTCTTGAAGGTCATGGTGAGGAGTTTAGATTTTAGTCTAATGTTATCAGATGTACTTTTTTTTTTTTTTTTTTTTTTTTTTTTTTTTTTTTTTGAGACGGAGTCTCGCTCTTTCGCCCAGGCCGGAGTACAGTGGCGCTATCCCGGCTCACTGCAACCTCCGCCTCCCGGGTTCACGCCATTCTCCTGCCTCAGCCTCCCGAGTAGCTGGGACTACAGGCGCCCACCACTACGCCCGGCTAATTTTTTGTATTTTTAGTAGAGACGGGGTTTCACCGTGTTAGCCAGAATGGTCTTGATCTCCTGACCTCGTGATCCGCCCGCCTCGGCCTCCCAAAGTGCTGGGATTACAGGCGTGAGCCACCGTGCCTGGCCTATCAGATATGGGTTTTTTAAAGATCACTCTGGTCACAGGGTCTGGCTGTAGGGAATCGGACTGCAGTGTAGGGAATTGGCCCCTGGACTGTAGGGGCTTAAGAGAGGAAGCAGTGGTGTGCTGGAGGCACAAGAGCTATTAAATTTTCAGGAATTTGTGAACCAATTGTTAAACACAACAATTATTGAAAATTAAATTATATAAACTCACAAATAAGTGATATTAAAAAAGATTGTGAAATGGCATCATTTGTCTGGGGTGATTCCTGAGGTTCGTCATCTCATACCAGGGAAATAGAGGAAGCGGACGCACAAGGAGTGAGCTTAAGAGCAAAGGTTTAATCGGTGAAAGAAAGAGAAAAGAGGATAGCTCTCTCTCTTGCAGAGAGAGAGAGAGAGCAGCGCCCAAGTGGGTCTTCCACTTCTGTGGTAAAATGCACAGGGTTTCATAGACTGGCTTGAGAGGTGGTGTCTGATTTACATAAGGCCCAAAGATTGGTTGTACCAGGTGTGACATTTATATAGCGTGGGAAGAAGCTGGCCATCCCACCCTAACCTTTTATTATGCAAATGGGTTTTCTACCTGGCTGATGCCATGTTGTCTGCTCCTTACTGCACACGAGGTTGACAAAGAAAAGGGAAGATGGAGCCGCCATGTTGAACATGTCTAGCCCCTAGGTAGCCTTTTCCTATTGGCACAGCTGCCAGCATTCACCTGTGCAAGCTTCCAGCTTGCTTATTATCTCTGTTTGCAGCTTGATTTTACAGGCTGCTCTTTGTTAGAAAAGAAATGATTTGGGGGCTGCTTTTCACCGAAAAGAAAACCTTATGGAGGACTTTCTTACCCTTACTGTCTGCCTAAACAATTTCTAGCTCCTGTATCAATTGTAAATAATTTTTAAAAATCACTTTCTAATTATTTTACTACATTCACCATTATTGATGCACTGGAGGTTACTTACATCTTTTTATCTGTGCCTCTCTTCCCAACTCTCTGTTCATTGACATCATGTTGGTAGTTTGAAATGGCCGTGGTGGAAGTGTTTACACCACAGAAACTGGTGAAGACTACAAAGTAGGGCTTTTCCTCTTAGACAGCAAGGGGAATGTTTACCATCCACCACTGAAACAGGAAGACCAGCATCATGACAGCAGTCTGTGTGAGAGATAGTGGCCATGAAAACGAGGATGGTAGCAGTGGTGATCTGACAGTGACACAGTTTCACATAGATTTAAAGGTGAAGTCAGCAGAACTTGCTGATGTATTACATGTGAAAAGCGAAGGAAACAGAGGTATAAATAATGACCTCTGAGATTTTGAATGTGAGATTGGATGTAGCAATAATTAAAGAAAAGTTTCTTGAGACATTTTCCTTTCTAGGGCGTTTGTCAAGGTTTTTAAGATAGGTATCCTTTCTACAAGATAGGTGATGTTCTACAAGATAGCAATACTTGATGTAACAGATATGGTAATCACATAAAGTCAATGTTTGTCTTTTTTTTCCACTATGTACAGCATCCGGTATATAGTAGATGCTCAGTGTCTAGTCATACCCCTAGAATGGGATGTTATCTTCTGTATTTTGGATTTACATGTATTTAGGAATCTACAAGAAAAGCCATAGTCATTTCACCAGAACCTAGACATTATATCAACTGGCTTGAAAATGGTAGTTGAAAAGAACTGAATCACTTATTGAAACACAGAGCTCTCTAACTAACTGGTACTACATACCTAGTGGGCTATCCTCATTGGTACTGAAGACAGTGCTTTTTAGAGAATCTTATAACACAGTAAGGACACCTTATTTTTAAAGAGAATTAGGCCAAGATTTCTTTGTGAATAGAATTCCTATCATAATGCCTCACTTGATGAGGATGGGAACAACAGATGTACATGTTAATATAAAATTAAAGTTTAACTTTAAATGTCTACCAGCCACCTTTTATCACCATCCTTCCAAAGATAGTATCTCCTCCAGCTATAGTTTGACTTTGCCTCACTTAGTATATTTCCTTTAAAACACTTATCACATTTTATTAGCTTCGTTATTTATTGGTTTGTTAATTGCCTGACTCTTCCATTTGATTATAAACTGTGCGAGGACAAGGACCTTGTCTGTATCAGGTACTGCTGTAGTTGCAGCAACTATTACACTGCTTGGCACACAGTAGGATCTCAATAAACATTTGCTGAATAAAAAGATTGAGTATTTGATGAATGATCATAGAAAAGGGCAATAGGCCAGACAGGTATAAAAGGCATTTAACAATTTATCAACCTAGCAACACCTCACGTTTTATCAAATAAACAGCTACTCTACTGAGGTCTACTAAACAATGCTTTGTAAATACAATACATAAACAGCTTCTATTTAGCATGCTGAAGAAAATCTTGCTTGAGAGGTGGGTGACATGGTCCTTCTGTAAAATTTTGAAAAGGCTTTTCATTTGTTGGAAATAGCAAAACCTACTCTAATTCATGTAGGAAAAAATAAATAGGTTAACAGATGTTAGATAGCTCATAGAGTCTCCAGTAGGCCTAGAGAATTATACTTGGAGGCTACTCAGCTAGAACATCTAGAACATACCAAAAGACAACTCCAGCAAAAACCCTGTTTCCCAAGGACAAATAAAGCAGCTTGTACCAATGACACTGTGCCCTGGATGCTATAGGCTCACCTGCTGCTCTCCCCTTAGTCAGGGTTGTCCAAAGAAACAGAATCAATAGGGTGTGTGTGTGTGTGCATGTGTGTGCGTGTGTGTGTATGTTTTCATCTACTCATTTCTCATAGGAATTGGCTCATATGATTATGGAGGCCAAGTAGTCCCACAATCCACAATCTGTCATCTCCTGCTGGAAAACCAGGAAACTGAAATTCAGTCCAAGTTCAAAGGCCCAAGAACCAGGAACACTGATCTCCAAGGGCAGGAGAAGATGAACATCCTAGCTCCAATACACAGTGGATTTGCATTTCCTTTCCCTTTTGGTTTTATCCAGGCCTTCAACAGATTGGATGATGTCCACCGACATTGGTGAGAGTAGATGTTTTTTTACTCAGTCTACTGATTGAAATGCAAACCTCTTCCAGAAATGCCCTCACAAACACACCCAGGATAAATGTCCTACCAGCTACCTGGGCATCCCTTAGCCCAGTCAAATTCCATAAAATTAACCAGCACAACTCCCATAGCAGAACACAGGGATAGCCACTATTTCCAAAGCATACTTTAGATAGTGATTTTTTCTTTACATCACTGTCCCTCAAAATGAAGCTTTATTTGGGTATACCTGATACGAGAACTGGGTCACATTTAGTATCAGGTAAAGGTGGCAAAGATTTCTTCCTTGGGAAGACTGGATTCATAACATGGGAAATTACTGAAAGTAAGAATGATGGTCAAATAAGCTGGTAGATGATGAAAACATGACACATCCATTATGGCCCATCATTTATTTCACTCTCCTCCACACTCAAACTTCCAGATTATAACTACACTATCAACACTAAAAACAAAATGGTCATGTCAATATAACCCAGCTCTCCATTGTTACAAACAAAAGCACACTTGTCCCCTCCTTAAAGATAGAGAAGATAATGTTTTATGCCTAAATCTGGCTTTAAGTCCAGAATCTACAGGTGATATACATCTCTCCTCTAATTCTGTTATATCTGTATTCTGAATCCAATAAACTAAACCATAAAGTTAACCAATACATCCTATTTTAAAAAAGAGGAAAAATGGAAAATTATTTAAAATATATACATATTTAAATGATACAGTAAGAAAAAAATATGGGTAGATACAATAATCCTCTTTTCTGCATCTGTTCACAAGGCTGTGGCTGATATTTATGACTTCTGTCCTCCACTACCCATTCCATATTCTTTGTCCTCAGTCAGCACCTCGGGTGGTTGGGGTTCTTCTCTTGGTAGTTTGACTCACGTCATCTTTTCTCAAGGATTGAACTCTGGCTAGTCCTGCCTATGAGAGATTGCAGTGGTCTTCCAAAAACTTTTACTACAAGATATGGGGTACTGGGGGTACTACAGGGGAGCCAACATAATATTAATAGCAGGAAAACTAACCACGTCAGACCTGCCCCATTGTGTATAAAGTACACTATTTTTCCTTAGTCATTAAGAGCTCACCCTGGTTAATTCTTTTTTATTTTTTGCCTGTTTATCCAATGACATTAGGAGGTCAAGATGTCTGGGTAGCTGTCTTACCTCCAATTCAGCAGAACCACTGTCACATGCCCTGGTGGAAGCATCCCTTCTTTGGGCACTTGTGCTCTATCTACCCCAGCAGGGGCCAGTGTCATGGGGATAAGAAGCAATATTTTATGAGTCTATCATGAGGAGTAATAGTGAAAGGTGCCACTTCCACTTCCATCCTCAGTTTCCTGGCACATGATTTGGCCAAGGGTACAACTGGTAGAGTATTTATTGTATAGGAGTGAAAGAGGCCTTTGTCAAATTTGTTTTCACAAAGTTTATCAACAGCTTATTGTTTATAAAGCCACTGAACCATGCTTTAAAATGATTAATTGTCAGAATTCAATATTTTTCCACATGAATTTGTGTTACCTTTGGGATTTTTCAATAAAAATGCAACTGTCTAAAATCCCTAGGCATTATTTCAGTGATATCATAATCATGGAATCAACAGAGGATGAACCCATGAAAATATAGAGAATCTTACACTTCTTTTAGAAATTGGGTATCCACATGAAGAAGTAGAAATGTGACATTATAACTACCATTTTGGAATGATGCTTTGTATTAGTCAGCTTAGCCTAGATTGATGACAGCCCCCAAATCTCAAAGGCTTACAACAGCAACCAAATATTTTTTGGTCACAGTAGATGTCAGCTGCATTAGCTATGATTCTGCTCTCCATTTTCAACCTAGGACCAAGTTGGAGTACCAGCCCTTTCACATCTTGGGATATAAATCTCAAGTGGTGAAGGGGAAAAAGAAAGAAAATGTTAGAACCTCATGAAGGCTCTTAATATCTTTCACTAAAATGCCATGTGTCACTCTCACCCACATTGGCCAAAGCCAGTCAGAGGGCCTGATGTGGAGTAGGGAGCATCTTGATGCCAGTGGGAGAGGAAGCTTATGCCTCTCAAATAATTGGGAACAGTAATGCAAGCTGTCCCATGCCCTGACATGAATATTTACTCCACTCAAGGCAAAGTAGTGCAATCTAAGCTGAAACTACTTTAAAAATGTTTAAAGCTTTTTATTTGGTTGGATAAAATAGATTTAAAAGAACAATCTTAAATCTTTTCTTGGGGCAGTACATTTTCTTAATATTTTTCTTCCATAAAAGGCAGTAATCAGGAAGCTTTTATTATCATAGTTGATTGGTTTTAGAACTTCAGTATAACAGTGCCGTCCAGAGCATGAAGAAGATGGCTTTTCAGTCTCTGTTGGTACATCGTCATGAGCCCTAGGATTTACACAAGAGAGTTTTTACTCACATTAATATTCTGAGAGGTTAAGTAAATTTCCTGAGGTCGTGGTCATATTAACTGGTGCATAATGGATTCAAACCAAAGATGATTCCAATATTTAATATACTAATCTTTCCATTTCATATTGATAAAGAAATCCTTGTTATTTGCTTGTTACTGTGTGAGATAAGAAGTTCCATGTTTTCTGTATGTCTTTAATGATCTTCAACCTCCTTTGGGACTCTACTTAAGATAAGCCTATGTCCTTAATTATGTCACCATGGATTCTGCCCTGGTGTATTCTGCCTTATGTTTGTGATTACATAGTTTGACTACAAGCTTGGAAAAGAAAGACCTAATATGATGCCTTGAATCAGCTGCCACTACATATACCAGAATATATTGTATTGCTTCCACTGAAAATTTTGATGTTATATTTCATTAATTCACCACTCTGGGTTGATCGAAAAGTACTCTAAGATTCTGTAACAGATCTATAGTTACTGAATGTGTGTGAAAGGAACAAATCAAATTGTTTTCCAGCTTGCAGGATGAATTATCTTCCTATAAAGGGTACCTATTATAAGGAAATTTTTCTTATAAATTTCAGCAGGCAGCTCCTAATTTACCTTATTCATTTTATACAAAACACATTGAGAAACTGTTTGCATGAAGTCATTGATTAGAAGTTACGTCTGGAATTGCTGTTTTAAAATACTCTAAAGGGATATCTTTTATAGGCTTTACTACTTAACACAGCCCACCAAAGAATGTTTCCCCATGAGCAATAACTAGGAATCTTAGTTTAACATATATATTGAATTTCTAGAATTATTTTGGCAGAGGAACACTTGCAATAGATACCTCATCAACAGGACTTTAAATAGCCTTGCCGACCCAGGGTTTTTAAAAAAGAATTTGGGGAGATCAGGAACTTAAAATTATTCTAAATGTCATCTGAAAAAAATACATACATGGAATGACCTGGAAAGGAGGAGGAAAAGGTAAAGGAGAAGGAAATAAAGAAGACTTGTTTGCCAACTAGAAAAACATTATTATAAAGTTACAGAAATTAAAAACCATCACTGAGCCAAAAGCAGGGAGACAAATCAATGTAACAGAATACAATGCCAAAACAGTCCTATAAATATGAGAATTTGGTATATAATAAGGGTATCATTTCAAATCTGTAGAGAAAACATGGTCCCTTTAATAAATGATATTGTGAAAACTGGCTAGTGTTTTAGGGTAAAACATTTGGATTTCTGTATCATTCCTTTGCCAAAATAAGTTCTGAATGGATCAATGACTTAAATATTTAAAAATAAAATTAAATATAAAAAGTACTTATTATGGATTAATATTTTTATCATGTAATTTCCTTGACTTTTCTGCATTTGTTGTTAAGGTGCATGTTTCATCGAAGCAAGGACCATCTTTACTTCAGTCACCATTGCATCTGTAATTCCTAGCATATCATCAGGCGCCCTCAGAAAATAGCTGTCAAAGAGCTAAATGAAAAAATTAATAGTTTACCAGACATAATTACTAGACACTATTGTTTCTTACAGTGGTCTGCATATCCATCTGTCCTGTTTAAGAAACTTATGGATAGAAGGGAACCTAACCATTCACATTCATCACTTGTAGGGAAAAGATCAATGAAAAAAACTAAATATCTCCTGAGGTCGATTATGGGGGTAAATAAGACTTGGGTAGGCTTCTCACCACTCAGCCAAAGAATACAAGCTTAACAAGAGTCAGTTATGTTGAATTACTGACATGCTGACATGCTGAGATTTTGCCTTTTCTATCCCCATCAGATTAACTGATAGCTTACAAGGCAAAACAGAAATCATTCTGGAGTCTCATGTCTACACCTGAGCATCAGTCTTTTTTTTTTTAACCCACAAACACTGGTCTTTGCAAGGTACTATAGTTCACTCCCCTGTCATAGAATACCTACATCTCTGTTATACATGACTTATAATGAGACTCTTCAATATGGCATTCTCTTGTTGATCAGCTGCCATGGCATTCATTCAGTATGGTAGAGAAGAGCACATTGATTGTTATTGCTATTGGCTAAATTTCCTGACACCTTGTCAGAATGACAAATGAAGGAAGCAGCAAGTCCTCACACAACCATGACTTCTTAGGCAGCATCACCTGGGGTTTCAACACCAGTAGTTATAGCAGGTAGACCATGAGCTTTGGGCCAAGACATGCCCAGTTCCAAACCCTAATTTAGACACATCCTAGAACCACAACAAGGTTTTTCCTTACTTGAAAGACTTTGTCAAAGGCTTGTTCCTGCTAGCTGACTCACTGCTGATACAGGACACGAGGAACCCCAGACATCCCACCATTCCTCATTTGGTGTCTGCCCACTTACACAGAACCCTGTCTGCCTCTTCTCTTGAGCCAGGCCCAGGTGGTAGGGAGCCACATTAAGAATGGTGGACAAAGAATGATAAACTCTCTCAAGCCCATTCCAGGACAATCCAAGTAATCTAAAGGAGGATTCATACAGGAAAACAAGTTAATACAATTAACCAGAATGAAGGGGTAAACTAGAGAGTTGGAAGGAAAGAGAGGAAAAAAACATAAGCAAAAGCTGAATGGTTGGGTGGTTCAAGGCCTAGATACTTTCATTAGGCCTGGAATTAAGTGGAAAAGCAATTCAGCTGCCTTCTGCATGAGAGAAAGAGAGAGGAGCCCGCATAAAGGCCATTTATGGTCCAGGACAGAGAGATGAAAGAAAGAGAATTTTTAGAGCCTGACAGAGAAGTTAGGAGGGAACAGTAGTAAAAAAGAGGGAAATTAGATAAGAAGACATTTTGAAGAAACACATAATTTGTTTATGTTTAAATATTTTATTCTTTGTGTGGTCTCAGTGGAAAATTGCCAAAGGGATGATGTGTTTTACTTGCTTCACAAAGGGCCTTGCACAGGGCCCCATGCACGCTTCCCATCCTTTATGGCTGACTCCTGCAATACATGTCCCCTAAACTCAGAGAACTCCCTTGAGGATCTCTTGTGTGGCCATTGCCCACATTGCTCTGGGATATCATGAGCATTGTTGCCTTGTACAGCTTTGCGGTTTACAAGAGAGTCGCTAAACATTTCACCAAAGTCATTCTGAAGATCC
Organism: Homo sapiens; assembly: GCF_000001405.40. NCBI lineage: Eukaryota > Metazoa > Chordata > Mammalia > Primates > Hominidae > Homo > Homo sapiens. Next base: position 106,552,946 of record NC_000007.14, read on the forward strand.
CCTTTCAACAGTTTCATGCAATGGCGATTTTCACTTCTGCAAAACTGCAATGAAGGCCACATCATCTTTTTTCAAGGTCTGTGAGTCACTTGAGATTATGGCTGTTATTAATAGACTGCAAAATCAACCATCTCCTTCTTCACCTCAGCCAGTCAGTTGAGCATTCAATATGTATTGAGAACCTATAATGCCTTTGCCTTCAAGAGGCACAGGTCAGTTCTGTCCTCAAGAAGCTGCCCCCAAGGTGTCCAGCTATGTTCCTATCTGGAGGGAGGAGAAGGCCATCCTTAATCTTTGGGGCTGATGAGTCCAGCGCTTCTTCAACATTTCCTGTCTCATAAACCCCTCCCCTCCCATTACTTTCTCTGAAAAAGTAATTTGATATTCTGGGAGAAAGGAGGAGTTTGGAGGGCAGGAGAGGTTTCCCACACCCCCAAATCATTCCAAGATGTCACTAAGGGCAGTCCTCTTTAATTCTTCATCTGCTGCTTTGGGGCATCTACCATTTGCTCAGTGGCACCATCTCACATGAAATCAAATATCCTCAAAATCCATCAACTGACGTCTTCTGTTGGAAAGGGATAACTTGGGTCTACTTCATTGGAACCTTCAAATTTAAGACTCTTGCCTAAGACTGTGGGTTGCTCTTCCATTACCACACCAATCAAATCAGCTGAATCTTAGAGAGCAGGGCTCTGAAGGAATAGAGGAGGGGTGAGAACACGCCAGGGGAGGACAGCAAGAGGTAAAAGATAAGTCTTTGACAGTCAGATCCCTGAGTACTAGGAGTGGACGTTTGGAGGCTCACTGAAAGGGAGAATGGAAAGATAAAAGACACCATAGAGCCAGGATGAACTCTGTCTACCACTGCACTTTGATGAGGTCCTGCTCAGTACATAGCTTAGAAAAATTCAAAGTCAAGTCAGGTCCCCTAAACCCTACCTAGCTAGGAATCACTGTATGTTCCCCTCCCTGAGTCATTTAAGTTGGCATAGGGGCAAACCAAATTTGGGGATGGTTAAAAGATAAAAAGGTGATTGATTTCCATGTCTATAGTTGTCATCTTACTCTAAGACCTCCCATAGTTTAGGGTATTATCAGTGTTATTAACTTTATTGAGCTCTCCTAGTAAACTAGACGTTTCAGGAATTGTACATACACAAAGTCACAACACATACACATCTGCATTTGAAATTCAGAAGCTGATGAAAGTAGGCCATACATGGGATGGGTCTCAAATCCCTTTACATGAAGAAAAGTCAGAGTAGCCGCCAAGGCACTCCTCACTCCTCACAGAGGAGTTGGGATTTTGGCAGAGGCCCAGGATGGGCACAGGTGTCAACTTCTCAGAAGTAGGTATACCAGAAAGAGAAGCTGGTAGGGGGAGGAACACATATGCTCTAAGACCAGCACTATCCAGTAGAAACATAATGGCAGCCACGTAGAGGAAATTTTAATTTTCTAGTAAACACATTAAAAAAGCAAGAGAAATATTAATTTAAAAGTATTTTCACCTATATATCAAAATATTTCAACATGTATCCCAAACCAAAATTATTAATGAGTTATCTTACATTATTTTCATACATTTTATTATTATTAAAGTTCTAAGGTACACGTGCACAATGTGTAGCCTTGTTACATATGTATACATGTGCCATGTTGGTTTGTTGCACCCATCAACTTGTCATTTACATTAAGTATTTCTCCTAATGTTATCCCTGCCCTAGCTCCCCACCCCACAACAGGCCCCAGTGTGTGATGTTCCCTGCCCTGTGTCCATGTGTTCTCGTTCAACTCCCACCTATGAGTAAGAACATGCAGTGTTTGGTTTATGTCCTTGTGATAGTTTGCTTAGAATGGTTTCCAGCTTCATCCATGTCCCTACAAAGGACATGAACTCATCCTTTTTTATGGCTGCATAGTATTCCATGGTGTATATGTGCCACATTTTCTTAATCCAATCTATCATTGGTAAACATTTGGGTTAGTTCCAAGTCTTTGCTATTGTGAACAGTGCTGCAATAAACATACATGTGCATGTGTCTTTATAGTAGCATGATTTATAATCCTTTGGATATATACCCAGTAATGCGATCACTGGGTCAAATGGTATTTCTAGTTCTAGATCCTTGAGGAATCACCACACTGTCTTCCACAATGGTTGAACTAATTTACACTCCCAACAGTGTAAAAGCATTCCTATTTCTCCACATCCTCTCCAGCATCTATTATTTCTTGACTTTTTAATGATCACCATTCTAACTGGCGTGAGATGGTATCTCACTGTGGTTTTGATTTGCATTTCTCTGATGACCAGTGATGATTAGCATTTTTTCATATGTCTGTTGGCTGCATGAATCTCTTCTTTTCAGAAGTGTCTGTTCATATCCTCTGCCCACTTTTTGATGGTTTTTTTCCCTGTAAATTTGTTTAAGTTCTTTGTAGATTCTTGATATTAGCCCTTTGTCAGATGGGTAGATTGCAAAAATTTTCTCCAATTCTGTAGGTTTCCTGTTCACTCTGATGATAGTTTCTTTTGCTGTGCAGAAGCTCTTTAATCAGATCGCATTTATCTATTTTGGCTTTTGATGCCATTGCTTTTGGTGTTTCAGTCATGAAGTCCTTGCCCATGCCTATGTCCTGAATGGTATTGCCTAGGTTTTCATCTAGGGTTTTTATGGTTTTAGGTCTTACGTTTAAGTCTTTAATCCATCTTCAGTTAATTTTTGTATAAGGTGTAAGGAAAGGATCCAGTTTCAGCTTTCTACATTTGGCTAGCCAGTTTTCCCAACACCATTTATTAAATAGGGAATCCTTTCCCCATTGCTTATTTTTGTCAGGTTTTTCAAATATCAGATGGTTGTAGATGTGTGGTGTTATTTCTGAGGCCTCTGTTCTGTTCCATTGGTCTATATATCTGTTTTGGTACCACTACCATGCTGTTTTGGTTACTGTAGGCTTGTAGTATAGTTTGAAGTCAGGTAGTGTGATGCCTCCAGCTTTGTTCTTTTGGCTTAGGATTATCTTGGCTGTGAGGACTCTTTTTTGGTTCCATATGAAATTTAAAGTAGTTTTTTCCAATACTGTGAAGAAAGTCAGTGGTAGCTTGATGGGGATGGCATTTCACGATATTGATTCTTCCTATCCATGAGCATGGAAGGTTATTCCATTTGTTTGTGTCCTCTTTTACTTTGTTGAGCAGTGGTTTGTAGCTCTCCTTGAAGAGGTCCTTCAAATCCCTTGTAAGTTGGATTTCTAGGTATTTTATTCCCTTTGAAGCAATTGTGAATGGGAGTTCACTCATGATTTGGCTCTCTGTTTGTCTGTTATTGGTGTATAGGGATGCTTGTGATTTTTGCATATTGATTTTGTATCCTGAGACTTTGCTGAAGTTGCTTATCAGCTTAAGGAGATTTTGGACTGAGGCAATGGGGTTTTCTAAATATACAATCATGTCATCTGCAAACAGGGACAATTTGACTTCCTCTTTTCCTACTTGAATACCCTTTCTTTCTTTCTCTTGCCTGATTGCCCTAGCCAGAACTTCCAACGTTATGTTGAATAGCAGTGGTGAGAGAGGGCATCCTCGTCTTGTGCTGGTTTTCAAAGGGAATGCTTCCAGTTTTTGCCCATTCAGATGATATTGGCTGTGGGTTTTCATAAATAGCTCTTCTTATTTTGAGGTACATTCAATCAATACCTAGTTTATTGAGAGTTTTTAGCATGAAGGGGTGTTAAATTTTGTTGAAGGCCTTTTCTGCATCTATTGAGATAATCATGTGGTTTTTGCCGATAGTTCTGTTTATGTGATGGATTACATTTATTGATTTGCATGTTGAACCAGCCTTTCATCCCAGGGATGAAGCTGACTTGATTGTGGTGGATAAGCTTTTTGATGTGCTACTGCATTCAGTTTGCCAGTATTTTATAGAGGATTTTCACATTGATGTTCATCAGGGATATTGGCCTAAAATTCTTTTTTGTTGTGTCTTTACCAGGCTTTGGTATCAGGATGATACTAGCCTAATAAAATGAGTTAGGCAGGATTCCCTCTTTTTCTATTGATTGAAATAGTTTTGGAAGGAATGGTACTAGCTCCTCTTTGTACCTCTGGTAGAATTGGGCTGTGAAACTGTCTGGTCCTGTTCCTTTTTTTGGTTGGTAGGCTATTAATTATTGCCTCAATTTCAGAACCTGTTATTGGTCTATTCAGAGATTCAAATTCTTCCTTGCTTAGTCTTGGGAGGGTGTATGTGTCAAGGAATTTATCCACTTCTTCTAGATTTTCTTGTTTATTTGCATAGAGGTGTTTATAGTATTCTCTCACGGTGGTATTTCTGTGGGATCAGTGGTGATAACCCCTTTATCATTTTTTATTGAATTTATTTTTCTCTCTTTTCTTTACTGGTCTTGCTAGTGGACTATCCATTTTGTTGATCTTTTCAGAAAACCAGCTTCTGGATTCATTGATTTTTTGAAGGGTTTTCTGTGTCTCTATCTCCTCCAGTTCTTCTCTGATCTTAGTTATTTCTTGCCTACTGCTAGCTTTTGAATTTGTTTGCTCTTGCTTCTCTAGTTCTTTTAATTGTGATGTTAGGGTGTCAATTTTAGATCTTTCCTGCTTTCTCTTGTGGGCATGTAGTGCTATAAATTTCCCTCTACACACTGCTTTAAATGTGTCCCAGAGATTCTGGTACATTGTGTCATTGTTCTCATTGGTTTCAAAGATCATCTTTATTTCTGCCTTCATTTTGTTATGTACCCAGTAGTCATTCAGGAGCAGGTTGTTCAGTTTCCATGTAGTTGTGCAGTTTTGAGTGAGTTTGTTAATCCTGAGTTCTAATTTGATTGCACTGTGGTCTGAGAGACAGTTTGCTGTGATTTCTTTTATATTTGCTGAGGAGTGTTTTACTACCAATTATGTGGTCAATTTTAGAATAAGTTCAATGTGGTGCTGAGAAGAATGTATATTCTGATGATTTGGGATGTAGAGTTCTGTACGTACCTATTAGGTCTGCTTTGTCCAGAGCAGAGTTCAAGTCCTGGATTTCCTTGTTAACCTTCTTTCTCATTGATCTACTAGTGACAGTGGAGTGTTAAAGGCTCCCATTATTATTGTGTGGGAGTCTAAGTCTCCTTGTAGGTCTCTAGGAACTTGCTTTATGAATCCGGGTGCTCCTGTATTGGGTACATATATATTTAGAATACTTAGCTCTTCTTGGTGAATTGATCCCTTTATCATTATGTAGTGGCCTTCTTGGTCTCTTTTGATCTTTGTTGGTTTAAAGTCTGTTTTATCAGAGACTAGGATTGCAACCCCTGCTTTTTTTTTTTAATTTTTTTTCACTTTCCATTTGCTTGGCAGATCTTCCTCCATCCCTTTATTTTGAGATTATGTACATCTTTGCACATGAGATTGGTCTCCTGAACACAGCACACTGATAGGTCTTGACTCTTTATCCAATTTGCGAGTCTTTGTCTTTCAACTGGGGCATTTAGCCCATTTACATTTAAGGTTAATATTGTTATGTTTGAATTTGATCCTATCATTATGATGTTAGCTGGTTATTTTGCCCATTAATTGATGCAGTTTCTTCATAGCAACGATGGTCTTTACCATTTGGCATGTTTTTGCAGTGGCTGGTACTGGTTATTCCTTTCTATGTTTAGTGCTTCCTTAAGGAGCTCTTGTAAGGCCGTCCTGGTGGTGACAAAAACTCTCAGCATTTGCTTGTCTGTAAAGGATTTTATTTCTCCTTCATTTATGAAGCTTAGTTTGGCTGGATATGAGATTCTGGGTTGAAAATTCCTTTCTTTAAGAATGCTAAATATTGGCCCCCAGTCTCTTCTGGCTTGTAGGGTTTCTGCCGAGAGATCCGCTGTTAGTGTGATGGATTTCCCTTTGTGGGTAACCTGACCTTTCTCTCTGGCTGTCCTTTTTTCCTTCATTCAAACTTGGTGAATCTGACAATTATGTGTCTTGGGGTTGCTCTTCTCAAGGAGTATCTTTGTGTTCTCTGTAATTTCCTGAATTTAATGTTGGCTTGCCTTGCTAGGTTAGGGAAGTTCTCCTGGATAATATCCTTAAGAGTGTTTTCCAGCTTGGTTCCATTCTCCCTGTCACTTTCCGGTACAGCAATCAAACGTAGATTTGGTCTTTTCACATAGTCCCATATTTCTTGGAGGCTTTGTTCGTTTATTTTCATGCTTTTTTTCTTTAATCTTGTCTTCTTGCTTTATTTCATTAATTTGATCTTCAATCACTGATCTTCCACTTGATTGAATTGGCTGTTGAAGCTTGTGCATGCGTCACAAAGTTCTCATGCTGTGGTTTTCAGCTCCATCAGGTCATTTAAGGTCTTCTCTACACTGTTTATTCTAGTTAGCCATTCGTCTAACCTTTTTTCAAGGTTTTTCATCTTCTTTGCGATGGGTTAGAACACACTCCTTTAGCTCAGAGAAGTTTGTTATTACCGACCTTCTGAAGCCTACTTCTGTCAACTCATCAGACTCATTCTCTGTCCAGTTTTGTTCCCTTGCTGGCAAGGAGCTGTGATCCTTTGGAGGAAAAGACCCTGTTTTTTGGAATTGTCAGTTTTTCTGCTCTAGTTTCTCCCCATCTTTGTGGTTTTATCTATCTTTGGTCTTTGATGTTGGTGACCTTCAGATGGGGTCTGTGAGTGCACATCTTTTTTGTTGATGTTGATGCGATTCATTTCTGTTTGTTAGTTTTCCTTCTAAGAGACCCCTCAGCTGCAGGTCTGTTGGAGTTTGCTGGAAGACCCTGTTTGCCTTGATATCACCAGTGGAGACTGCAGAACAGCAAATATTGCTGCCTGATCCTTCCTCTGGAAGCTTCATCCCAGAGGGGTACCCTCCTGTTTGAGGTGTCTGTCGGCTCCTACTGGGAGGTGTTTCCCAGTCAGGTTATACGGTAGTCAGGGACCCACTTGAGGCAGTCTATCTGTTCTTGGAGCTTGAACACCATGCTAAGAGAACCACTGCTCTCTTCAGAACTGTCAGACAGGGACGTTTAAGTCTGCAGAAGTTGTTTTCTGTCTTTTGTTCTACTATGCCCTGCCCCCAGAGATGGCATCTATAGAGGCAGTAGGCCTTGCTGAGCTGTGGTGGGCTCTACCCAGTTTGCACTTCCTGGCCTCTTTGTTTACACTGTGAGCTACTCAAGCCTCAGCAATGGTGGACGCCCCTCACTGCATCAAGCAGCAGCATCGCAGGTCGATCTCAGACTGCTGTGCTAGCAGTGAGCAAGGCTCTGTGGGCGTGGGACCCACCAAGTCAGGCACAGGAGGGTATCTCCTGGTCTGCAGGTTGCTAAGACTGTGGGAAAAGCACAGTATTTGGTCAGCAGTGTACTGTTTCTCCAGGTACAGTCTGTCACAGCTTCCCTTGGCTAGAAAAGGGAAATCCCTCCCCCAACCCCTTGTGCTTCCTGGGTGAGGTGATGCCCCATCCTGCTTCAGCTCGCCCTCCATGGGCTGCACCTACTGTTCAACCAGTCCCAACAAGATGAACCAGGTACCTCAGCTGGAAATGCAGAAATCACTCATCTTCCGCATCGATCTCCCTGGGAGCTGCAGACTGGAGCTGTTCCTATTCAGCCATCTTGGAAGCCATACTACGTTTTGGAAATTCGTGTTATTTTATACTGACAGTGCATCTCACTTTGGACTAGTCACCTTTCAAATGCTCAGTAGCCATGCCCTTTTTCACTTTAGCTGGCTGGCTGAGGTGAAGAAGGGCATGGTTGATTTTGTGGTCTATCAACAACTGCCATAATCTCAAGTGACTCACACAACTGGAAAAAAAAATGGCATTATGTGATATGTGACCCTCATTGCAATTATAGGCAGTGGCTACCATACTGGACAGCATAGAACCTATACCATTACCATTATAGGCTATTCCGAAGGTGGATAAAGGCAGCCATGAGGCCCAGGCTCATGTTCCAGAATCTGTGTCCAGCACAGGTGGCTTTGCCAGGCACACCAGGTAAGTTCTAGGCCAGTGCTTCTCACCCATTTTGAAGTGACACATTGATGTGCCACAATCAGTTCTGAGGTATGCTATAATGTGTTACTAATGGTTTAAGGTACCAACAATTGCAAATATTTAAAGAGGATATTCAACATTATTTATCTCATTCATTTGTATATTGACTTTCCTTTTAAGTGGGAGAGAAAGGGGTGCATTTATGGCCACTGTATGGGAAATTGTGTTTAACCCTTGCACATGACCATGGGGGTATCATCTGTGTGAACACTCATTCATATTTTGTTGCAGAAAAAAGTAGATAAGTACAAAGCTTTCCTAGGAAGTCTCCACACTTGTTTAATACCTTTACACAAGCAGGTTCTTGATGAATATGGGGCAAGCTGGAAAGACCCACTGAGTCATCTAAGCCCTGTTCTGCTGGCTTGCCCCATTTTACTATATTCTGCAATGAAATCACAATGTGCATTGAGCCTGATCCCCAACCTTTCTTCCTGCCAAAAGTGATGGAATTCTCCCTGTTCTTATGGGTACAAAAATTCTAGAAAGAAAGATAGTGGTGGATAGTGGTGCTTCAGATACTTTTTGGATAACATATTTTTTAACATTCAGACTTCTCCATGTCCTTTAATTCTATCTACTCAAAGTGTGGTCCTCAGACCAGAAGCACGAGCGTCATGTGAAAACTCTGTAGAAATGCAAAATTTCAGGTCCCAACCCAGACCTGCTGAATAAAAATATTCACTTTACTAGGATCGCTAGGAAATTCCTGAGCACATTCAAATTGAAAAGCAGTGTCTTAGCCACATTTCCTGGGTGCTCATCTCAGTTTCCTGTGATTTAGGCAGGCCTTTCCCTGGTGCCCATCTGAGTAATGGGCCTGTTTGAGCTATGTCTCTTCTAGAAATTGATATAGTTACCAGAGTATATAACAGGAACAGCACACAAACTTGGGAACCGCAATGGTTAACTTGGTATCAATTTGACTGGGAAATGGGTGCCCAGATTTGGCTCAACATTATTTCTAGGTGTGTCTGTGAGGGTGTTTCCAGAAGAGATGAATGTCTGAATAGGTAGACTGAGTAAACTGAGTAAAGCAAATGGCCCTCCCCAATGTGTGTGGGTATCATTCAATCTATTGAGGATCCAAATAGAACAAAAAGGTGAAGGAAGGAAGGGAGAATTCCCTCCCTCTGATGAACTGCTTGAGCTGGGACATCAGTCTTCTCTTGCCCTCAGACTGGGACTTACACAGTCAGCATTTCTGGTTCCCAGGCCTTCGGACTCAGACTGGAACTACCCCCTCAGGCCTTCCTGGGCCTCCAGCTTGCAGGCAGCAGATCCTGGGACTTAGCCTCCATTGATGGCGTGAGCCAATTCCTTATACTAAATCTCTTTCTAGATATATAAATATATCTTACTGGTCTGTGTGTCTCTAGAAAACCCTAATACAAGAACTATCTCCAGGCTAGAGATTGGTTGGTTCTCTTCATTCATCTCAAGCCTAAGGAAACATCCACATAGAAGTCTCAAGTTGTGGATAGATAGGCCAGCATTTACTGTACTCCCATCTTGGCTAAGGAATAGATCCTGAAAAACTCAGAGGGAAATTCAAGTGCCCTGGCACTTCCAAGCCAGTTTTGCAGCCTGCAGCATTTTGTACTTCTCCACGACTTGCTGACCACCCTCCAGGATCCTAAAGCACCCTTCATGTGTGTTCAGGTTTCTAACTGAACTCAAGACCCCTGAGACTGCTCCTGTTCATATTGACACACAGCTAGACAGTGGGCTACTGGGCTAAAAATGTGACAATTTCTCATTCGAAACCCAATTGAGCCTTTAATCCCAGCACTTTGGGAGGCTAAAGCAGGAGGATCACTTGAGCCCAGGAGGTCAAGGCTGAAGTGAGCTGTGATCATACCACTGCACTGCACTCCAGCCTGAGAGACAGAGTGAGACCTTGTCAAAAGGAAGGAAAGGAAGGGAGGGAGGGGAGAGAGGGGGGAGGGGAGGGAGGGAGTGAGGGAGGGGAGGGAGTGAGGGAGAGAGAGAGGGAGGAAAAGAGGAAGGAAGGAAGGAAGGAAGGAAGGAAGGAAAGAAGGCAGGCAGGCAGGCAGGCCAGCCGGCCTCAATTATTATTTGGAGTCCTCTGAAAGCTGAAGGGAGATAAAAGTCAATGGCACAAGAACACAAACTCACTCTTTTGGGGTAGAACCTGTGTGATAAGCACAGCTGCTGAAGTGACGCAAATCAGTTAAAGAAGGCAATCAGCCAGACCTCAAATCATCACATCTAGTGCTTAAAAGAGAGGACACAGAAAGTACAAAATCTTTCTTGTAGAATGATCAAATAGAAAATTGAAGAAAGTTATTTTAGATTTTTTTAGACATTTATTATTAGAAATAAACACCAATGTAATACTTGTCACAGGTAAAATCTATCCATGGATGCTAAAATTAATGGGTAAGAGTATAAGAAACAGAACGTTTAGATAGTTTCAACGTATCTTTGTGCAAGTATTTGTTAATTACAAGGAGGAAAATATCAATTTTACAGTGGAGAAGCCTGGCAGACACAACCTTAAGGGAGTAATCAAAGTTAGCATCACCAGAAATAAGACGTATTGACTTCATTTGCCCACTGGCACGATGCCAGCATCTCTGAGAACAACACTCAGCCTGTAGAGATTCAACATCAAGCCTAAGGCTTTCCACACACTGGGTGCAACTAGTCTCCTCTTTCTACTGTTTATTTAAGGTTACAGGTTGGATCTAATTTGGACACTTGCCCAGACCATTTTCACAAGAACTCTTAAACCCATCTTCCTCTGGGTCCTTTGAGGAGAACTTTGAGGCTCATAATGAGATCCACCATATTTGGACCCAAAGGGTAGTAGTTGCTACCCTGCATTCCTTAGGGAGAAGCAGAGAACCCACTTAAGAGAATAGCAGCCAAGAGTTAAAAGCACATGACTCACCCCAGAGGCTCTGAAAAATTTCTAAAAAGAGGAGAATCCAGCCCAGATTCTGGTATATAGTGGAGAAAGATGGTGTTAAGAGAGCAGAAACTACCCTTGTGTTGGCATAACCACAACGCACAGAGCAGACTAGGAAGACTCAGGCACAGAGAGCCTCATCAGTGTCATCCAAGAGCAGGCTGACTTTGGTTATTGAATGAGATCAAGAGCTGGGGACTGAGGAGTTGGGTGTGTGTGCCAAGCATGTCACCCCTGCATGTCATGTAGCAAGTGCTCATGGCTTTTGGTACATGAATGAACCAATTAAACTTAATTAAATGATTAAGCTTAATTAAGCTATAATCCAGGCTTTTGATTTCCCAGCAGTGGGTATAGCTCAGGAGATTTGGATTTTATCTATTTAGGGAAACTTCATATAAACGAATGTACAAATCCGATCTTAGCCAACAGAGAGGGTGTTAGTCTGGGGGAAAATACATTTTATTTGGTTGGCCCGCTTGGTCCATCTCATTGTAGCCAAATCCAACAATGAATAATTTTGTTTGGTGGCCCCTGATGCAGTTTTGCATTCCTCCATGGGAGGAATGATGAGTGCTCTCAAATTTTGTCAGGCAGACTGCTGCCTCCCTTTCCGCTCTGGGCACATTCTCACAAACTCAAGGGACCTGGAGCATCAGGGCTTCTCCTGGCTTGGTGTTAAAGGTACACTGACACATGCTATCTTTGACCCTTCACACAGGACTCCATGGGACACCAGTCTTCTATAGTGCAATTCACTTGTCTTGACCTTCTTGCTCATGCAATTTGACCTTAGCTACCTTAGTCCTATGTCCTTTCAGTCACCTATTTTTTCTGGGAGGTGACATTAATAATCTTTGATTATTAAATCTTTTATATGGTGGTTCTTCTTCATTTCAATCTCAGAGGATAACTTTCTAAATTCCTTTTTATATTTTATTTAACTCTTTTTTTGAGACAGGGTCTTGCTCTGTTGCCCAGGATGGAGTGCAGTGGCATGATCATGGCTCACTGCAGCCTCCGCCTCCCTGGCTCAAGCGATCCTACCACCTCAGCCTCCTGAATAGCCAGGACTACAGGCACATGTTACCAAGCATAGCTAAATTTTTTTCTATTTTTTGTAGAGATGAGGTCTTGCCATGTTGCCCAGGCTGGTCTTGAACTGAGAAGCCATCTGCCCGCCTCAGCCCCCCAAAGTGCTGGGATTACAGGCGTGAACCACCATACCCGGCCTGTTTCCAAGTTCTTCTTACTTTGCTCTCTTTTAATTATCTTTGTGTCAAAACATAGATCAAAATTTTCTGTTACATAATATGGGACCCCTCACACAACTGTCAGTGCTGTATTAAGTGAAGACAAGAGGGATTCAACTTTTCACTATACAACTAAACTCTTTAAGAATTTGTCATCCAACAATTTTTCCTCTAGCCACTGTGAATTTCTTATGGTTCTTTCCTTAAGTTTGGTTACAATAATCAGACCTCCACTCAAATTGCTTAAGTAAAAAGGGAGAAATCTCAGGAGGTTACCTCTTACAGAAATATGACTTGACCACAAAAGAACCGGAACTAGAATTTGGAGGTGGTTCCTAAACCTGTTCTTTGCATTTCTGAGTGGTTGGATAGTCTGTCTCTCCTACTGATTATCAGGGATGACTGGTTACCTCATCTTCACAAATGGAGATGACTGTTTCCAACTCCTCTCACTTTGGTCACTTTTAGTGTGTGTGGCCCAACTTGCCACCAGCTCCACATCTATAGGATCTAGATAACCCCATGGCTCCATATTACAAAAATAATTTAAGATTAGCATCAAGATGTTTGCATAAGATGTTTGTGAGAGATAAAATGAGACTAAAATAAACACTGCAATGGTACTTATTAGGATTGAGGTGTAAATATGACTCTGAATTTCATAGGTTTTTTTGTCTTAGATAAGAAAGCCATGCGACAAGAGAGGCAGAGTCAGAGAAGATGCTATGCTGATGGCTTTGAAAACTGAAAGGGTCACAAGTCAAATAAGATGGGCAGACTCTCTGTCTCTGGAGTCTTCCTCAAGAAAACTTCTAGAGTTTTCCTAGCTTCTAAGCCAGGAAATGTGAGGAAACAGACCCTCTTCTGGAGCCCCCAGAAGGAACCAGCCCTGTGAATGCCTTGGTTTTAGCCCAGTAAGCTTCATTTCAAACTTCTGACCTCTAGAACTATAAAAGAATAAATTTGTGTTGATTTTTAAAAAATCTACTATTCTTTATATATAGACATACACACACACACACACACACACACACACACATTGTATTCACAACCTAGCGATGCTATAACAATACCGTAAACTGTTTAAAATAGAAATTTTTTGTCTCACAGTTTCAGAGGCTGGAAGTCTGAAGTCATGCTGTTGGCCGACCCACATTCCCTCTGAAACCGACAGGGGAATCCTCTGCCTCTTCCTGGCCTCTGCTGGTTTCCAGCAATCCTTGGCGCTGCTTGGCTGGCAGATGCATGATTCCAACCTTTCATCTTCACACAGCATTCTCTCCGAGCATCTTCACATCATCTTCCCTGTGTGTCTGATTCTGTGTCCAAATTTCTTTTTTCACAAGGCTACCAGTCATACCAGATTAGGGCCTGCCCTAATGACCTCATTGTAACTTTCTTATCTCTGTGAAGACCCTATTTCCAAATCCAGTCCCCTTCTGAGGGACTAGGGGCTGGGACTTCAACATATCTTTTCTGAGGGGACATAATTCAACCCATAAAACATACATCTACAGATAATTTTATGTAGAGGCCTAAATATGGCCATATGCATACATTTTCATTTATTTTTAGTGACTTTTTAAACTTCTTTTAACTGAGCTCTGTCCTTCCCTTCTTCTCCCTCTTTCAACGTCAGCAGCCTTCCCTCCTCCCCGACCATGGCAACCAATCTCAACAACCTAATATGCATCCTCTGTCCAGCTCTCTGTACTTAGATAATCCCATACAGATGTACACACACAGAGTTTATCATTTTTTCCCTCAATAGGATATATGTGCTCTTTTTTCCTTCAGTAGTATCTTATGGGAATCCCTCCAAATCATTTGGTTTAACTGTAATTCATATTTTTATTCATTAAAAATATTACTTTGTTTGAGAAATATTATAAATTATTAAGCCACTGCTTGGTTGATGAGCATTCTCTTTTTTCCTGTTTTTACTCTCTGAACAATGCTGCAGCAAACCTCTGTGTTCGTATGTCCTTAACACTACCCTTTTATTTCTACTGGGCTACACTCCAAAGAGTGCAATTGCTGGAACGAGGGGTACGTGTCCTTTTAATTTTAATAGATATTGTCAAATGTATTTCCCAAAAGATTTTAGCACATCACAGTTCACCAGCAGAGTATCAGAGTACATTCCTGTCAGGACTCTGAGCCCAAGCTAAGCCGTCATATCCCCGGTGACCTGCACATATACATCCAGATGGCCTGAAGCAACTGAAGATCCACAAAAGATAACATTCCACCATTGTGATCTGTTCCTGCCCCACCCTAACTGATCAATTGACTTTGTGACAATACACCCTCCCCGCCCTTGCGATAACGTACTTTGTGATATTCCGCCGCCCTCGAGAATGTACTTTGTAATATTCTCCCCCACCCTTAAGAAGGTACTTTGTAATATTCTTCCCATCCTTGAGAATGTACTTTGTAAGATCCACCCCCTGCCCACAAAAATTGCTCCTAACTCCACCGCCTATCCCAAACCTATAAGAACTAATGATAATCCCACCACCCTTTGCTGACTCCTTTTTCAGACTCAGCCCGCCTGCACCCAGGTGAAAAAAACAGCCTTGTTGCTCACACAAAGCCTGTTTGATGGACTCTCTTCACACGGACGCATGTCACAATTCCTATCTCCAACACTAGCATATGATATTATAGCTCTTTTCTCCAGTCTAAGTGTAAAATGGTGTTCTATTGTTAACTTCCATTTGCTTTTTTCTGACCACTAGTGAATATGAGCATGTGGGCTAGCCGTTTCAATGTCTGTGAAGTGTTTATCCTTTGTGCATCTTTATCTCATCATTTTGCCCTTTTCTCATCAAATTTAAGAGCTTTTATCATAGGCATAAACTGTCACTTGCATTACAAATGTACTTTTCTTATTTTGTATTAACCTGTTGACTTTATAATTTTAAAAGTCTTTCCTTTCCTTCTTTTATAGCTTCTAGTCACAGTTTAAAAGGTCTCTCCCACCCCTAGAATATACACATAGCCTGCCAGATTTTTAAACAATACCTTGTTATATTTTTTACATTTAAAATTTTAATCTGAAATGGATTTTTCCATGCGGCATAAGGAGTCCATATTTATTTTCTTCCAAATGGAGAGCCAGTTGGGCCAGTGCCATCTATCATACATCTTTTCCCCATTGTTTTATATTAAAGTCTCATTTATACTGGGATTTGTATCTGGCTATTTCTAGCAGCCACTGTAAAGAGGAAACACAAATGCCTGGAAGGGTAACCAACATTTTAGCCATTGTAATTTTGAGGTGTTGAGAATTTAGGTAATTATTCTTCATTGCTTTGCTGTATGGTTTTTTTCCATAATAAACATGCATTATTGGTGTTACAAAAATAAATGGATGGTGGGGGGCAGGGGGAGGACCAGTAAACACAATTAGTTTCATCATTCATAGTGTCTGTCCCGGGACAAATACAAGCCAGCAACTACCAGCAGCAGCATTGCTATTCCTGGAATGGAGACCTGAGAAGATTTTACCCTCAGGGAGAAATGTAATAGGGTTGTTCCCAGAGACACTGGAAAATCTCTTTAAATGCCAGCTTGCCGGAGGTGGGGACTGATTAAGTTTTGGGAAGTCATTTCATTCAGTAAGCTCATTGTGAAATAAGCATGAGGTGGTGATTTAATGTGTGATTGGCAGGCATTGCATATTCAAGCACAAGGAGTTTAATTGATTGGAAGAGCAGGTTGCCCTGAGCTGATGCAATAAATACTAAGGTTGAGTGTGCTGTTTGAAACTAGTGAAGTGATGCAATCATCTCCCATGTTCAGCAGCAGCCTAATTGCTGGCAAGAATTTAAATGCTTAAAACGGTACTTGGATGATTACAGAGCACATTCAAATTATGTAAAAGTGACCAGATCCCATAGCTCCAGGGCACAGCATCTGTCCTTAAGTGATAAGGGTCAGTTAAAGCTCTAAAACTGTAAACAGTGCATTGGCCCCATTGAAGCCCCTGGAGGAAATTTGCAGAGTCACAGCCATCTGCTGCCTAAAATAACAAGTAGCAGGGTCCCTTCCCAGCGCAAAATGGCCACCTAGCAGCACAGCCCAAGGTGACCTGCACAGGCTCCCAGCCTTTTCCACCTTGCACATTACCTTAGGGAAGGTCAAAGTATGAGTATTAGCCAAAACCTTCTACAGTCCCCTTGAAGGCCTGGGATTTGCAGGAACTAGTGTCTGCTGCAAATAAAAGTACATACTGGGATTCCAGTTCATGCCGGAGGAACCCTAAAACAGTAGTGAATGGTTTCCCCAAGCCTGCTTATGTTAGATATGAGTTCTAAATTTCAAAGAATATGTCAGTATGTTCAATTATTTGTCTTCTACTTTTAAACTTCCTCATAAAGCAACCTTTTCCGATTACATTCTCCACCCTGACTCATTCTGATTACCTGCTCTGTCATAACCATTTTTCCCGCCAAACCACTCACCCCCGCCACTCTCTTTAAGTTAGCCAATCGGAATTAGTTTAGCCTGTGCTGTCTAACCCTAGCCAATAGAGGAACGACACAGCAGAGGGGCCACGTGCCCATCAGGGACAAGAACCCCTTCCTTTCCCTTGTCCAAGTGTGCGCTCATCATTGCTCCATCTGTAAGGGCACACTCTTCTGTAGAAGTAACTTGCCTTGCTGAGAATTAAAAATAAAATTTTATATTCGCGTGCTATTTCTTTTGCGGCACCAAAACTTTATAACAATTAGAGTAAGTACAACATCACATTTCTTGGCACAGCTTTCTACTCCCCCCACCCCCCACCCAAGTGTGCAAATAGCAGAATGCCAAAGCTGGGCTCAGTAAGTCAGTGGGGAGCCAGAACTGAGTGGCCCATGTAGGCTGCTCGCTGAGGGTCTACAAACCCAAAGATAAATTTTAAAGTATCAGGATTACATCTCTTTCAGGTAATTCTCCTTAAAACAGAATTCTTCATAACTGAGTCTATAAACACTGTTGGCCCTCAGTGAGTTTGAGATGATATTCTATGATGCTGATGAAATACAAAACTATATTTCCACAGTCGGTTGATGCCCTCCTTATGACAGCCAGAGAGCCTCATGATGTCTCAGTGGAAGGCTACTCCACCTTCATCTACAGGTGGTCTGAGGGAGGAGGATCAGGGTCAGGGCCAAGAAATTTTGGGTGGGGAAGGGCAAGCAGGGACCCAGCAGTTTTTATCTTCTCCATTTCAACAGATCTTGAGGCTCTAGAGTTTTACTTGATCAGAGTCATAATCCCAGTCTTGAGCATTTTAAAGCAGGTGTTCCCACGTATCCACCTTGACCAATAAATAAAAATCTCCTATATGTCTTTTAACATAGAGAAATACATTAGAATTTCCTGGCCTGGAATACCTTCCAAGACAAACTGGTCAGGAGATAAAATGCCTAAATATTGGGGGCGTCTTCCAAAAATTCTAATTTTGGTTTTGGAATTATGTATATTGAACCCATTATTTAGCTAAGAAATGAATG
This sequence comes from Homo sapiens, assembly GCF_000001405.40. Lineage (NCBI taxonomy): Eukaryota > Metazoa > Chordata > Mammalia > Primates > Hominidae > Homo > Homo sapiens. The sequence goes on from NC_000007.14 coordinate 106,570,714, forward strand.
ACAGGATGAAAAGGGTGTTTCCCCTTCCAGGTGGCCAACAATTTTTGATTCCAAATATTTAATTAGGCTGGCTGAGTTTTTTCACTTGTGATTGGTTTTTTGCTTCTGTTTCCCCTTTCCTGGTTTTTGGCTGCAGAACAGTCCTTACAAGACTCAGCACTTGAAACTTGAGTCCCAGATGTGCCAGACTAAAATGCAGAAAAAAAACCCGATCTTTAAATTATTAGCAACACCCTTGATAGCAGATGAGAAATTTCCTCTTCAAAGACACAGGAAGTGGACTTGTATACAGTTCAAATGCAGCAGCAGGGCATTGAGAGAGTTTGAAAACCTCCAGGTCCTGAATGAACACAGCCTGTCCTCCAGGGTCAGGAACTCAGTGTCTTCCAAGGCCGACCTTCCAACTTGGTTGAACTCTATTTCCTGATGTGCTGAGATAACGCAATAAAGTTGCAAGTAGCCCTCCTCCCCCCGCCCCACACTCCCCCCCACACACACTCTTGCCTGTCCTCTCCCCAGTCCTACCTGTCAGGACAGTTCTCAGGTTTCCTATAAGAGAAACAGGTGGGAAGGCGGAGGAGAGGGATGCTTTGGTTGGGGAGAATGGTGCTGAGGGCAGCCCTGGCATGGGAATGACAGAGGGTAGGAAGTTGCTGAAGACTTCTGCATAGCCCTCGTGTGGAACAAGAAAACCAAGGGCTTTATTTATTCTGACCTGTCTTGGTGGCATAGACAGCGTCTGAGTGGACATCTGCTCTGTTCACCTGTCCATCCCTCATTCCCCCTTCTTCAGCTAAGCAGCTGGAGTTTTTATTTTGGGGAACCACCTCATTCTCAGACTATGAGCTTTAGGCAGGGGGCTCCTTCCCCTACACCCCCCTGCCCATGTTCAGGGTGACATGGAACTCAGGCTGAGCCAATCAGCATCATTCTCCTGGGTCACAGAGTTTTATTGGAAGGCGATCCCTGGAGGGTGCTACCTTAGTGAATGGGTGACCTGTAGGAGTGTGAATTGGAGCCACCGAGCTTGCATCCCCAATGCCTGTCCTCTAAGAGCCCACCATGGGGAAAGACAGCAGTGGATGCAGAGGCCAGGAATGGAGATGGACTTCTACAACCATGATGTGAACCCAGGAGTGACTGAAGTCACTCTAGCCCTGGCTTCTGAGGTTGTGTTATAAATTCTCCCTTTATTTTTTCTAATCTGTCCTAAGGTTCCGTTCCTTGTAACCAAACATTTCCTGATTCATCTAGTGGTCTTTTGACCACATTGCTTTGGGAGCTGAGCTGTTTGAGTGTGAAACATACCTGCATGAAGCTTCCTCTCATTGGAACTGACAGTAAGTCTCTTCCCTTAGACAGGTGACTTCTGTCAGCTTCCCTAACTTCCTCCTCTTCAGGTTAACACTCCCAGTTCCTTGTAATACTTTTCACAGGAGTTTCTCGGATGCTGAGTTCCTTTATTTTTTTTTCTTTTTTCTTTTCTTTTCTTCTCTTTTTTTTTTTTGTTTAGACAGAGTCTCACTCTGTCACCCAGGCTGGAGTGCAGTGCTGCGATTTTGGCTCACTGCAACCTCTGCCGCCCGGGTTCAAGCGATTCTCCTGCCTCAGCCACCCGAGTAGCTGGGATTACAGGCGCCTGCCACCGTGCCCAGCTAATTTTTGTATTTTTAGTAGAGACAGGGTTACGCCATCTTGGCCAGACTGGTCTTGAACTCCTGACCTGGTGATCCACCCACCTCAGCCTCCCAAAGTGCTGGGATTACAGGTGTGAGTCACCATGCCCAGCCCTTCACTTTTCTTAAGTATCTTTCACCCAGACCTACTCTGTCTCAGGCACTATTCTAAGCATTTGGACTCATGCAACCCTCACTTTCTGACCATTTCACAGATGGAAAAATTGTGCATGAAGGGGTTAGGTATGCAAACTGCTCAAGGTCACTACCTGATAAGGTAAGTGGCAGATGGATTCAAACCCATCTTGCTGCCTCCAGAGTTCATGTTCTTACCAGGACCCCACACTGTCTCTTCAGGGCACACTCCTCTAAACATAATTAAGTTTGTCTTTAGCTCTTTCAGAGAGTATTTCCTAAATCTAAATGCAGCATTCAGCTGTGGTCTGAGCTCTGGAGTGCTGTGTGGCCATTCCCTCCCTAACTGGAGAGTCTGTCATTCATTTATGCTGCCTGCGATGGCATGGCATTTTTGGCCACCACTGCCCACTGTTGACTCACCTCGAGCTTACTGTACCTGGTTAATATATGTCTGTGCATCTTCCATTGTAGTCCATTCACATTTTTGTCTGTCTTCATCCAAAACTTTTACTGGGTGTAGATTTGGTATGCTTTAATGATGTTTGTTCAAAGAACACAAACATGAAAATTCAGATGTCAAGTTCTCTCCTCAAAAGGGTGTGGAGTTTCTTATCTCCGAGTTGCTTTTCTTCTCTTTGGGAAAATGAGAACTAGTTAGAACTCCTCAGTGCTCACTTAAAACAAAAAGAAGGCTGGATGCAGTGGCTCATGCCTGTAATCCTAGCACTTGGGGAGGCCAAGGTGGGAGGATTGCTTAAGGTGAGTCAGAGACCAGCCTGGACAACATAGTGAGATCCCATCTCTAGAAAAAAAATAAAAAGCTAAAAAGAGAGGGGGAAAAAAAAGAAAAGGGCATTCTAAGGAAGAAGAACCACATGAACCACTAAATTAGAGGTTCCTACCTGCAAGTCATAGCAGCATGACCCAAGTCATTTGCTACTTGTATATATTTGCAGATAAGGTACTTTAATGATTGTGTATAACTTAGAAAAGATGGAAGTTTTCCCTTGAGTAATAGTGCTCTCACCCACTGGCCTTCTTTCTGCTGTTTCCTCTAAGAGGGAAAGGAAGGAGGCAGTGTACCCAGGATTATAGCCAGCAGGAGTGAACACACTCACACACTTCACAAAGGAGTGAACAGTCCTCCACCATTTGTACATGGCATAACAAGGGTGGGAACTGCTGCACCGGACCTGAAGCCCCTTAAAGAGGGAGGATGGGATCTTATTTGCCTTTGTGTTTGCAGAGCTTGCTTCAAAGTCTAGCAATAGAAGGTGCTCAATATATGAGTGACAAATGAACAAAGATGTAGATGAATAGGTATATCAGTGGGAACAAGTTTGGTGCCATTGTCCTGGGATGATAAGGAGAGTAACGTGAGAGAAAGGTCATCTTGGGTCATCGGAGAAGGTAGCAGTGGCTGGCAAAGCAGAGTCACTGAATGTTAGGCAAGAGTGTTGGTAGTGAACAACCTGTAGGGTGGCAGGAGAACCGAGCTGGGCCTTAGGATACCAGAACTCTAATCCCAGTTCAGCCACTCACTCACTCTGTCATTTCCCCACAAAAGGCTTCTGTTTGCTCAAAGATGAATAAATCATAACTTGGGTTTCTTCCCCAACTGAAATTTTGAGATGCAAGACTTCTAGGCATTTAGTAGGACAGAGAAAGCCATTGGTGGCACTCACAGCCTCCGTGCAGGATGGCGCTTCCCTTCCTGGCACACAGCACCTCGTTGCTTTGTGGGTGAGTCTTCATTCTCCAGCCTGACTGTCCTCCAGGTTAGAGATTTTCTCAAATTTCTTATGTGCCTTCATGACACTCAGCATGGCAGTAAATTGAGGATCTGGCAGTCCATTCATGGGCTACATCCAGCTTGCAAGGGTATTTAGTTTGGCTCTTTTTATAAAGGGTATAGCAGGCAAGCAAGGCGCAGTGGCTCACACCTGTAATCCTAGCACCTTGGGAGGCCAAGACGGGCAGATCACCTGAGGTCAGGAATTCAAGACCAGCCTGGCCAACGTGGTGAAACCCCATCTCTACTAAAAATATGAAAATTAGCCGAGTGTGGTGGCACGCACCTGTAGTCCCAGCTACTTGAGAGACTAAGTCAGAAAAATCACTTGAACCCAAGAGGCAGAGGTTGCAGTGAACCGAGATCACGCCACTGCACTCCAGCCTGGGCGACAGAGTGAGACTCCGTCTCAAAAAAAGAAAAAAGAAAAAAAAAAGTATAGCAGGCAGAATCACAGCCCCCAAAGATGTCCACATCCCAATCGCCAGAATCTGTGAATATGTTACCTTATACGGCAAAGGGGATTCTGCAGAGGTAATTGAAGATTTCTTGATAGTGAGATTATCCTGGGTTGTCTGGCTTGGCCCAGTGTAATTACAAGAATCCTTTAAAAGGGCATGTGCTGGGCAGAAGAGTCAGAACCAGAGGGATGGCACCATGAGAGTCACTGCTGACCATGGCAGCTTTGAAGCTAGAGCTGTGAGCCCAGGAATGCAGATGGCCTCTAGAGGCTGAAAACAAACTCTCCTGAGAGCCGTCAGAATGAACGTCGCCCCACCAACACCTCAACCTTAGCCCAGTGAGACCCTCTTTGGATTTCAGACCTTCAGAAGTGTAAGATCATAGGTTTGTGTTGTTTTAAGCCATTGTTTGGGGTAATTTGTTATGGCATCACTAGGAAACTCATACAGAGGGAAATGTGAACGTTTTCAGGCAGGACAGGCACTGCCCGTATTAGGCCCACAACTTCTCATTGTCCACCACTAGGTTTGATGTGCTCGGTTCTGCTACATTTCTGTGGCTTGGTTAAGCCATAGTTGTCATTCAAGTTATTAACTAATTGGACAGCAAGAACATAAGGCTGAGTATCAGAAGTTGTGGCCCTTAACTCTAGCACTAACCAGTGATAAGACTGTGGACATGTCCGTTGACCTCATTTGGCCTCCCTTTCTTTGTAAAATCAAGGGGTTATACCAGACTGTCTCCAAGGACCCTTTCTACTTGAGAATACCATGGCTCTGTGATTGTTTTATTCTATGTAATTTGGGTTTGGATGCTGCATTGGCTATTCCTGCCCTTGTGGTAGGATGGGAATAGTTCGCAACATCAGCAAACATTCACTAAGTGCCTGCCTGGCACAAGACATGCATGGCCTGGGATGAACAAAGAACTCGGACCTCAGCCCCTGAACTTGCCATATGGATGCAGTGCTAGAAAAGGCTAATGAGACCTAGATTCTCTTCAGCACCAGCAATGTTATATTTGTCAAAGGCAACTGATAACTAATGTGCCAATATAACATTTACACATTGAAAGTTTTATTTGTTCCCTGAACCAAGGAATGGAAATTCTTCTATTGTCTTCCCCTCTACTTTTTAATCTCCCCATATTTCCTGACACATTCTAAGGTCTGGATATTAAGAGTTTAAATATTGATTATTGCTTTTCCTTCCTTCTAATAGAAAGCAAATAGCAGTATGTATTTTTTAAAAAGAATAATATTTTAACATTTTTCTCCACTGAACTTAGAACAGGGAAGGAAGGTTGGGAGAGAAAAGCAGAACACAGGAACACAACACATGGCAGGAAAGACAGAGAAGATAAGAATGTTCCCAAATACAGTTAAAGGCACCAGCTTGGCATTTTCTATTCTGAAGGAACTTTTACCATAGGGAGAGAGAGACAGGGGTGAGTTGATCAGCTGTGCTAGGGATGGAGCATAATTGTCTCCCTAAATAAGAGCTTTGCCCATTAAAGTGGCATGTAGGTAAGTTTTTAAAATCACCCTGGTTTTCCAATTTGTAAAACTATATCTTATAAAAAGGAAAACACATCTACAATGTCTATATGCTTCAAACATCTTGTTGTACACAATGTATAAAATTTTATCTGTCCATTTAAAAATAAGTATGTACATGTTAAAGAAATTAAATACAATTTTAAAAAAGAAAGACATCATTTTACTATCATAAGAAAAACTGTCTGAAGCAGTAATATGTCCTAGTTCACTGGGCATGATCCCTTCAGGATGCAGGCCCTTAACCCATACTGGAGTGGGGGGAATCTCACCAGATTCCCTGCTGAGGGGAAGCTGTGAAGCAATGTGAATGGCAAGTTCCTAGAGATGCAAAACTCACAACATCAAAAGAAAGGACAATCTAATCTTACCTTGTACCCCTACATGTTTATGTACTGAGAGGAGATATCCAGGGAAAATACATGGCAGAGAGAAGAGGAGCTCATGGCTCCAAACTGTTTTCGTCACTATTGTAGTAGGGACAATTCTTCAAGTCTATAAACAGACTGCAAAATAAATATCGCTGTCTATTGTCTCTGATTTGAATTAATTTCTGGCTAAAGCCACATTCCACTGTAGTGGTAGAAAATTTAACTTTAGGGTACATTCCCTTTTCCCCATGATGTGCCACAGTTCTGGGGTCCTACAAAGTGCCACTTCTCTGACGTGGGAGTGTCCACGTGCTCCAGGTGACCATTGAGGCAGCTGCTGTCCAGGCCCACAAGGCGTCATAGTCTGGTGGTCTCCACTGCTGGTGTTCCACAGAATTCTTTGGCCAGGCTGCCCACAGCCCTTCTGCCTAGACACACTATGCAGCCTCGCCTCTAGGGTCCTGCTACCTCAAGGTATCCCTGCTGTTTCTGGACCCACAGTCCTCTTTTTCTCCCCCTAACTCTGGAGGGGGTGGTCTTTATCCAGAGTGAAGCTCCAATCTAACATTGGCTTCTTCTACATATTGTTTATATCAGAAAATCTTGTTCTGCCTCTTCCCTCTTCCCAGACCACTAGGAATTAGGCTTTTGGAAAACAAAAGTCAGCAAGACCACTTCTGTTTTCCAATCTGCCTCATGCCTTCTGAGGCAAGGAACACGGAGTGGACTGACTGTTTGAATAGAGGTGAGGAAAAAATACACGGAGGGAAAGAAGGAATGTATACCTGGAAGTATTCTGCAGCCACACTAGCTACCCTTTGTGGATGGCAACCTGGAAAGGGCTGCCTACTCCCACCTCTTGGAAGGGGAGTGTGCTATCAGCACCCCTTCTTAGGGATGTGCATTACTCTCCCAGCACTAGCAACATGAGAGACTCAATCAGTGTTTGTTCTTTCTTGCCTTCTCTCATGATTACAACACGAAGGTTGAATTTAAAAGCGTTCTGCTCAAAGAGCAAAATTCCTTCTCTCCTGTCAATTTTACTCTATGACAAACCAAAGAACCACTCATCTACTTTGCTGAGTAGATGCTCAATTGTACATACTGTGTCAAGAATTTACCTTCATTGCTCTTCATCTACAAATACCTGCCCAACATGTTCAAATTTCTTAAATTTTTTAATGTTTTCATTTAACCCAACATATAAAAAAACTATTTCAACAAGCAATCAATATAAAGCTATAACTATTTTACATGTTTTATTAAGTCTTTGTAATCTGGGATGTATTTTCATTTATGGCACATCTCAATTAGAACTAGTCACCTTTTAAGTTCTCAATACCTACATATGGTTAGTGGCTACTTTGAATATTTTTTTTAACACTGGCAGCTGGAAAAGATCATCTTGTTTCATCTCGCTTAGTCTAACATAAAAAGAAAGTAGTACTTTGAATTTACCTAGAATGGCTTGAAATAGAATTATCATCAACTATTTGGCGAACTCACCTCAGTGAGGCTGCTATTACAGGAATACTAGGAGAAAGGATAGGTACAATTAGTAAAATAAGAATTTATAACTGGTATGTCTGCATTTGTATATCACACAGAGATTTCAGAATATTAAATGGAAGATGTCAAGGAATTCATAGTTCAACAAAAAAGAAGGTTCAACTTCTAAAGTACTCTGCACAGAAAGACATAAATGAATTGTTTCAAAATTGCATTTGTCAGCCAACTGTTTGGAATTTGAATTTTTTTTTCATAAAAACGTTATAAACTATGATTTGCTTCCCGGGCAAAATTAGACTAAGGTTAAAACAAAACAGGAAAATACAAACACATCAAAACTTGGTATTTCTCCTTAATGCCATTTTAATGGAGAAGAAAAGCTCAGAAGGCTTAACCAATCACTCTGTTTAGTTTTAACTGAGAGCTGAAAACATATATTGGATTTTCAAAAATGTTTTAGACTTTAAGGGAATTAGCTTATTGTATTCTGTCCATGCTCACGTTCTTCTTTGTTCTTCATGCTATATTCATATAGTATTATTGCCAATAATCTTAGGGGAGGGACATCAGCCACATTCATAGCCAATGGAGGACAGCAATCTAAAACAGAAGATTAAGAAAGCCAGGTGCAGTGGCTCACACCGGTAATCCCAGCACTTTGGAAGGCTGAAGCAGGAGGATTGCTTGAGCCCAGAAGTTCGAGACCAGCCTGGGCAACATGGTGAGACCCCATCTCTACAAAAATTTAAACAATTACCCAGGTGTGGTGGTATATGCCTGTAGTCCCAGCTACTTAGGAGGCTGAGGTGGGAGGGTCACTTGAGCCTAGGAGGTCAAGGCTGCAGTGAGCCATGATTGCACCACTGCCCTCCAGCCTGGGTAACAAAGTGAGACCCCGTCACAAAAAAAAAAAAAAAAAGCCGGGCGGGGGGGTGCCGGGCGCAGTGGCTCGCATCTGTAATCCCAGCACTTTGGGAGGCCCAGGCAGGTGGATCACTTGAAGTCAGGAATTTGAGACCAGCCTGGCTAACATGGTGAAACCCCATCTCTATTAAAAAAAACACAAAGAATTAGCCAGGCGTAGCAGCGCATGGCTGTAATCCCAGCTACCCGGGACGCTGAGACAGGAGAATCGCTTGAACCTGGGAGGCAGAGGTTGCAGTGAGCCGAGATCGTGCCATTGCACTCTAGCATGGGCAATAAGAGCAAAATACCATCTCAAAAAATAAAAAAGAAAAAGTAAGAAAGTTTGAGAGACACTGAAGTAACTTTGCAGGAAATTAAAGAGAAACAAGAAGGAGAAAAAAGAGTAAGAGTGAGGGAATTGCTTGCAATAGAGAAGTTACTTGAGGTGCAGTTAATGGAACTGAGAAATGAGAAAGGTGTGTGGAATTACCCTAGGAGGAAGGTGTGTTAAAAGTGCACAGAAATCAAAATCCAAATGCCTTCAGACAGGTCCATGAAAGAAGCAGGCTGGGTTAGAAAGAATAGGAAATAGGGGGGACTGTGGCAAACTAGAGAGTTTCAAGAAATACATATTTATTTTTTCGTGAAACATCGGTGTGAGCCAAAGCCAAAACCTCTGTAAGCCGAGTTTTGTCTGCTGGCCACCATTCAGAACTTTCAGCAAAGAGATGAAAAGCAGACCTGGAATCAGACTCCCTGGGTTCACATTCCTGCGTCACCACTCAGGATTCCATGACCTCAATTTCCTCATCTGGGCCAGCATGGTGGCTCATGCCTGTAATCCCAGCACTTTGGGAGGCTGAGGCAGGCAATTACATGAGAGCAAGAGTTCAAGACCAGCCTGGGCAACATGGCGAAACCCCATCTGTACTAAAAATACAAAAACTAGCTGAGTGTTGCAGTGCATGCCTGTAGTCCCAGCTACTTGGGGGGCTGAGGCACGAGAATTGCTTGAGCCTGTGAGGCGGAGGTTATAGTGAGCCAAGATCATGCCACTGCACTCCAGCCTGGGTGACAGAGCAAGAGACTCTGTCTCAAAAAAATTTTTAAAAAAATCCTCACCTATATAATGATAGTTTCTACTTTGCATGATTGTGGTGAAGATTAAGTAAGATAATGTGGGTAAGGTACTTAGTGTAGAGTCCAGCAGGCCTCTCTGTAAGTGCTTAATGAGCATGCACTAGAATGTAGTTTCACACCTGTAATCCCAGCACTTTGGGGAGGCCGAGGCAGGCAGATCTCTTGGGCCCAGGAATTTGAGGCCAGCCTGGGCAACACAGCAAGACACTGTCTCTATAGGGAAGGGGTGGGGAAGAGTGGATGGGTGTGGTGGTGTACACCTGTAGTCCAAGCTACTCAGGAGGCTGAGGCAGGAGGATGGCTTGAGCCCAGGAGGTTGAGACTGCAGTGAGTCATGATCACACCACTGCACTCCTGCCTGGGTGACAGAGTTAAGATGCTGCCTCAAAACTTTTAATTAAAAAGCCTAATTCTATCCTTTAATATCTTCCTGAAAAGCTTTGTCCATAAGAGAAAAATTGTATTACTAATTATTTGAACCTCCATGCTACTGGCTTTAACTTCAGTCTCCAGAATCAAAAGACAGCAGCTCCAAGCCGACCCCCACTATAGGCAGTATATTTAGCTATGACCCTTTATTTAGAAAGGTGAGATTTTCTGGCTCATCTAAAGGCAGACTGCATTTTAAAAATTGTTATCATATAAACACTGAGAAATCTAACTACAAGAGAAATTTGGTGAGGGTGACAACAGGATACCCAATCAGCATTTCCACCTCAGGAGATGTAGAATGGTCACAGGCTGCATTTGTATGAGAGTCTGGGTGGTCTCTGGAAGAGATGGCTCAAAGGATTTGGAGAGGTCTATTGTGCCAGCCAAGGACTCTTTAATGGGAAAATGACAAAGGGTATCACCAACCATGGGGAGAGCTCATCTTGAGGCTACGTTCATCCTGGGTCACCAAGTGCTTGCTAATAAGAATTCCTGATTTTTGCACCTTGATTTTGTATCCTGAAGCTTTGCTGAAGTTGTTTATCAGATCTAGGAGCTGTAGAAAGCAATTTGGAGATTTCTCAAAGAACTTAAAACAGAACTACAATTTGACACAGCAAACTCATTACTAGGTATATATCCAAAGGAATATAAATCATTCTACCATAGAGACACATGTATGCATATGTTCATCACAGAACTATTTACAATAGCAAAGACACACAATCAACCTAAATGCCTATCAGTGGAGGACTGGATAAAGAAAATGTGGTACATAAACACCATGGAATGCTACATAGCCATAAAAAGAATGAGACGATGTCCTTTGCAGCAACATGGATTGAGTTGGTGGCCATTATCGTAAGTGGATTAACATAGGAACGGAAAACCAAATACTGCATGTTCTCACTTATAAGTTGGAGCTAAACATTGCATACACATGGATGCAAAGAAGGGAACAGTAGACACTGGTCTACTTGAAGATGGAGGGTGGGAGGAGGGAGAGGATCAAAACACTACCTATCGGGTATTATGCTTATTACCTGGGTGATGAAATAATCTGTACACAAAACTCTCATGACATGCAATTTACCCATATAACTAACCTGCATATGGACCCCCCAAACCTAAAATAAAAACTGGAAAGAAGAAAAGGAATTACTTTGAGGAGTGGTATTGTTTGGTCTTTCAAATGCTATCCATCCACAGAGGAGCTTTACATCCTTTTTCCTTTTTATCACATTTCTTGAGAAAAAGGTGAATATGAAAGACCTAAAGGTCTTGGAGAAAAAAAATAAAACTTGAAAGCTCGGGTTTGCTGTAAGGCACTTGGAAGACAAGCCCATCCTGGTGGAAGCCTCGTAAACAACCCTGAAAAGAGAGAACTCTGCTATCTGGGAATGAACAGCCACAGGAGCTGCCAGAGTAGCCCAGACAGAGGCACCGCATGGTGCCTTTGCTCTTGTGAAAGTAAAATAAATCTTGGGCCCCCCAAATTAGTATGACCTATGACCTGGAAGCCACCTCCCTGCTTTGAGTTGTCCTGCCTTTGCTTCAAGTTGTCCCAACTTTCCAGACCGAACCAATGTTCATCTTACATATGTTGATTGATGTCTGATTTCTTCCTAAAATGTACAAAACCAAACTGTGCTCTGACCACAATGGGCACATGTCATCAGGACCTCCTGAGGCTGTGTCATGGGCCCGTGTCCTCAACCTTGGCAAAATAAACTTTCTAAATTAACTGAGACCCATCTCAGATATTCAGAGTTTACAGTCTCAGTAGCAACTAGGAGCACAATGTGGCCTAGTGTGAGAGAGCCCCTGGGGGGCCATGGGGACTGTTAGGAAAGTGAGCATAGTGGCGGGTACTGGGAATGTCATCCCTGATTCTGCCACCAGAGACAACCCTCCTATGTCATCCTTGCCCCATGTGCACCTGTTATTTTTACCTACTGCAGTGTATTCTTCTAAGTTGGTTTCATCTCTAACTAGACAATGGCTCCAGGAGGAGTTGAGTCTTACTCATTTTGCATCCCTACCCCCTAGCAAAGAGCCTAGAATTTTATCAATGAATGAGTAGTAGGGTTCAGCGGTAAAGGCTACTTAATGACTACTTCTACTGTCACACATATCCTGTGATTGTCATTATCTGGCTGGTATGGTTTAAGGTAAAATGAGATTAAATTAGAAACTGAGTTACATTATAGTGATTTGATAGAGAACCTGAGAAATGAAGCTGTAATCCCCTGATTTTCAACTAAGAAATCACAACTATTCTAGTATCTTCATTAATCCACAAAAGAATTGATGTGCTTTCTTGGGAGTATCCTGTCTTGTTTGATCCGCATGATCAAAGAGTTTTTAATGCAAGAATCATAGAGTGTTAGACTGGTTACAAAAATGGCTGCATTTCTCCACCCCTCCCTGTATCCACACCCATTACAATGTAACTCTGTGGCTCCTACCATCAGGAAGTGGAGTCTATTTCCCCACCTTCTGAATCTGGACTAGCCTTGTGAATTGCTTTGACATAGAATGTGATGCAAGCGACAGCATGCTAGTTCTGAGCTAAGGCCTCTAGAGACCTTGCATATTTCTCACTCAGAACCTTGCCCCCATTATATATACAAACCCAGGCTAGCCTGCTGGATAATCAAAGACACATGGTCTAGCCACCCATTGACTCAGCTGACAGCCAGCCAACCACCACACATGTGACGTCATCCTAGACCAGAGAGCCCCCAAAATAGCTGATACTCACAGAATGTTGAAAAGCTGTTTTTCTACTCTGGTCAATAACTTTGACAGTTACATTCTACCCTCAGTCAAACCAGTCCCTCAATTACTTTCATATTGGAGAATATCCAAAGGGGAAAATGAATCAAGTCTTCATCCCTTTCTTGACACAGATTTTGAAAATCGCTAAAAAAGAATGAGTCTACTTGCAGAATTGACTCTTTCCAGGCTTCCTACCAACTGATAACAGAAATATGGGTGTTATACATGCATGCTAATAAAAGACTTCACCAAACTGCTTTATATAAAAAGAGTATACACACACATAAATATGCAAGGCTAACAAAAGGAACTTAATCTAGGTGGTGAGTTGTATTAGTCTGTTCTCACACTGCTATGAAGAACTACCTGAGACTGCATAATGAAGAAAAGAGGTTTAATTGACTCACAGTTCTACAGGCTTAACAGGAAGCATGGCTGGGAGGCCTCAGGAAACTTACAATCATGGTGGAAGGGGAAGCAAGCATGTTGTATCACAGCAGAGCAAGAGAGTGAGTGAGCGAAAAGGGAAGGGCCACACACTTTTAAACCATCAGATCTCATGAGAACTCACTATCACGAGAACAGCAAGGGGGAAATCCATCTCCATGATTCAATCACCTCCCACCAGGTGCCTCCCCCATCACTGGGGATTTACAATTCAACATGGGGTTTGGGTGGGGACACAGAGCCAAACCATATCATGACTTAATACCAAAATGGCAGACCCAATGTTTGTTAGTTAGAATGAGGTTCAGCTGTGAGTGACAGACAGCCTCCCCACCCCCCATTTCCACTCCATCACCTAAATGACAGTAGCTCAAACAGGGTTGTAGTTGATTTCTCTTACATCAACGTTTAGGAAGAATGTTAAGACCCGTTGACTCCTGATGCCAGAAGCCCAGGGTCCTTCTATCTGGTTGCATTGCCATAGGTGGCCTTGATCCCATGAGCCAAGATAGCAGCATGTGCATCCCACACAGTAGGATGGAAGAAAGGAGGGGGAAGAAAAGGCAAGCAATGCTACTGCTATCACCTCAACCAATTAGCTAACACAGCCAGCTGCAAGGAAGGCTCAGAAACGGAATCTCTGAGGCCATTTGCTCAGCTTAAATTCAATTACTATGGCATTTGGAAGACAACTAGCAATCTCTGTCATAGAATGCTTAATATCATGTGATAAGTTTCTACTATGTGACAGTAGTAACATCTTAACTTTCCAGTGAGTTCGGTTCCCAATTATGTTTATATATTGGCTGTTTGTAATCTGGAAAGCAATTTCTCACAAACATTTCGACTGGCTATCTTCCTAGGTCAATAAATACAACCTATTCTAGCCCACAATGTCCTTGAAATATAATTTTCATTTTTACTCAATGATCCTTTATTCCATCAGTCCAAGGGAAAAAAAATACATTCCAAATGACTACAGATTATGTATCTCAGGGGCAGGAAAGTTCCTCCTAAAACAGGAAAGAATGAAGAGAAAGGGGACCCTTTGGGACTATGAGGGTGCCGTACATTTGCATCCAAGAAAATAAATCTTCTTTTCTAGGGCATTAGTCATTCTATTCTAAGGTTCTGAATTGGGGAACACAGGGCCCACTGGGGGATGACAGATCAAGATCACATTCTGACACATTCTAACCTCATCTTATCTTTGTTGAGGGACTGCACTTCTATAGACCACACAGCCCTAAATATACTTACAGGGCACATGAAGGGCAAGGTCGAGCTGTCCTGGGACCTGGAGCCACCCTTTGGCTTCACTCCTCCCCAGTTCCAGGTTTTACTATATTCAAAGGCTTCCCATGAAGGCCAGTCTTTAACCAAGTCCACAATTGGCTTACCTGAGGAATTCTTGCCTGTGTGTGTGATAAACACATCCACACCTCCAGAAACACAGATACCAAGAAACAGAAGAGCCGAGCAAGACAAAGACAGAGACAGGGTGAAATGTGAAAAATTCAGAAGCACTTAGATTCTGTCATTTCATAGGCATCTAAATCATGGGGGACATGGACCATGAGGCATTTCCAACACAGAAATCTTTGAAATGATTTAATTTGGTAGTTGACGTTGTTTCCCGCTCCCATCAAGCGGTTTACCATTGCTGACAGATGTCTTTTCTGATTATCGCTGGGAGTCTTGCAACTTTGAAAGCTATTGATTAATGCATCTGTCTTCCCAGCCTTGGAAACCTTTTTACTAGGCTGCTTGAGAGAGTTGGTTAAAAATTCATCTTCCTATATTCAAGCTCTCTAAAAATTTGTATTAGGCTATATAAGCCATATGAGGGAGAGAAATACAGGTTTCCAAGAATAGGTTTTAAATGGGCTTGAATTCTTTTTTGGTCTACCTTTCAGGAATGTGCTCTGCTAGCTGGCTAAAGGGCATGCCGAATGATAACATAGCCTCCTTCTAACTCACTTTCAAATAGGGAAGGGCTATGTGGCGAATTTTGTGTGTGTTTAATTTTATAAGCAGACTAAGTTTCTTTCAGGAGGTTGGGTTTTGATTTCGACTACCCCAAGAAACGTTCCCCAGAACTTTCCTTTAGGTATATACAAAATAGCTTTTTCTGTTGTGTTTCACTAAATTGTTGGGCAGTGAGATAAACCCATCCATAAAGTCTCCTGCCACTTCCTGTGGGGAGGCTGGAATACTGCAGACACTAACTTAAGGTTGGAAACAGTTTGCACAGGTCCAGGGTGACTCCTTACACAGGGGCCTCACAGCAACTGGCATGCACAGTGTCTAGGCTGTTTCCAGCAGAGCTAGACCTGTCTTCTCTTTCAGAAATCAAATAAGAACCAAGACCCTGCTGAGCTATTCTTGAACTTTCCTCTTTTCCCTGGGCATTTTATATCATCCAGCAAACCTTGCCCTTAGATTCCGGTGCCTAACCATCCTTTCCTCCCAAGGATTTAGGGACATTCAAACGTATGTTTTCCACTGAGTAACTAAGGATTAAGAATGTACATATCCTTGCATAGTACTTCTCACATCAATACGATTAGTTTGTCCTCTTGGTGCAAACACAGGGATGGTGATCAAAATATTTGATAACCTATAAAGCATGGCAATCCGCAATAAAAATGGAGGCTGGCCATTATGTGAGCTCAGTGTATACCGCAGAATGTTGGCCATGTCGTGAGTGGAAAGATTTCTTCTGGTAATCAATGTCCAGGTTGGAAGATTCCTACCGTGTTCCCATCTTTCTTAAAAAGAGGACATAACTCTTACTGGCCTGGAGCTCGTTCTTGTAGAGGATTCATCCTTCGCTCTTCTGGGAGTTTGAGTGACAGTGTTTATAAGATGTGGCGAGGCTGAGGATCTATCTGTAGTTTCTAAACACGCCCATCAATTATAGATTATCCCTTGCTTCCAATCAGTTACCAGGGTCTCTCAATTCTGCCTCCTACATAGTCCCAAATCATTTCTGTCTTCTGTCCCCTCTACCTCTTTGGTTAGGCACTCTTCCTGCCTTGCCTGGATTTCTCATAACTGGTGTCCCTGCTGTAGGTATCCCATTCTAACCCATCCTGAACACACATGCAGGGAGGGTCTTCTCAGCACAGATCTGAGTGTGTCACCACAGCGCCTACAATATCTAAATGCTGCCCTGTAGGAAATAAAATCCAGCCTCTAATAATTCCAAGCACTTTGTGATGTACCCCACAATGTTCCCACATGCTATAATCAAAGTCCTATGCTCTAGCCAAGCCCAGTGACCTAAAGCCCCTTGAAGGCGCAGCTCTTCCTTACCTCAGTGACTTTGTGGGAGCTACTCCCTCAGTCTAGAGTCTGGATTGGAAGTCTTTCCTGATCTGTCCAGGAATATTCTCTACAATCTCAGAGAGCCTTATCTAAAAATCAAAAAGACTCTTCTCGAGGTCTTCTTTATAAATGGGACCATGTGTCTGTCACAACAACCCACCCCTACTAAGTGGGCTGTTTACTCCCAGACATTTACTCCTAGAATGAGTGGAGGAGCAGAAAGAATAGGAGTTTAGGGTCTTAAGAGGACACTTATTGCCTGGGATGATATTCACTTAACATCTATTAAGTTGTAGCATGTGACATCGCCATTTTTGTAAGTCAAAAATGGTAGAACGTCGGCCACTTCATATAGTTCAACCTACTATAAACCACGATCTCCATTCCCATGAAAGAAAATCCAGCTATTAGTCTCCACCTGCCAGGTCTGCTGTGCAGTGGTTTAGCATCGTGGTCAAAAGCTTGGATGGCAAACTCAGAACTGGATTAGAGTTCCACCTCTGACTACTTGCTGTGTGTCACCTTGGACAAGTTATTTGCCATTTACAAGCCTCAGTTCTTACATCTATAAAGTTGGGGATAATAACAATGCCTTCTTCATAGAGAGATGGTGAGAATTAAATGAGATCATTTGCATAAATGGCCGAGTTCACAGTAAACACTTTCTAAATGGCAGTTATTGTGAGCATCAAATACAGTATGTGGCTCGCTAAAATGCTCTACAAAAATTAATTTTAATTACCCTGTGTATAACTTAACAGTACAACTAATTTGCAATCTGATTGCTTTGTTGATGAACATAATCTTTAGATCCTGAATACACTGTAGAATTCCTTTCTCCTTTTAAAAACCTTTATTCACAGTATTTATTGACCAGGACCCTGGATGGGGCCTGCCTATGCATTTCCTTCTCTTTTCTTCCTGCATAGTTCATGTGCTATTAGTAGGACCTCAAGAGACTGGAACAGAATTACCAGGGACCCCAGCACCTGCCCCATCCTCTTTCTCAAACTTCTAGACTCCCAGTGTCTACTGAAAAAGGCAAACGGGTAGGCAAGCAGCAGCACCAGGACAGGTGAGTAATGAGGGTATTTTATCTGTGAGACTGTAGTAACGCCATCCTGGGGGTGAGGTCTTCACAGGATGGCCGTGTGTATTCCTCTGTGGGCTATCTCCTGGCTTGGCCTGTGTTTCCAAGGTCACATGGAGCTCCAAGCCTGGTCACCTAACTGTCTCACTGGCTGACTCTGTGTAGCACTGAGAAGGAGAAAGATAATGGACTAACTGTGGCAGTGCGGGCCAGGTCTGGCATCTTCAAGTATGCTAATCAGTCTTTCGCTTTTCCTCCTTTCCTATAGCAAAGGCCCAGAGGGTTTGGAGCATGTGGCTCTCATCTGCTTCACAAATGACTGGGTGATAGCTGTCCTCTGACTTCAAAGAAAAGCTGTTTCCTTACTGAAAGGCTTCACATTGAAGTTCTCAGGAGAGGAAGACTCAGTCTCTCCCAGATGACCCATAGCTCTGTGCGGCAGAACCACGGTGACAGTTTGTATAGGGCTTTCCCTCCCAGCTTCCTGGGCTTCCTCTGACTCTGGTTAGAGGAGGTGCTCAAGGGGAGAGATCGAGGCCTCTGCTCCTTGCTTAACTCAGTCCAGGGCAGAAGAGAGAATCATGATGCTCCAGCCAGAGAGCCCTGGGAATGGCTGCCAGTTCCTAGGTCTGCATCCCTCCTATTCCTGCAGCCAGACCCCTCCCCTCCTCGCCGTCACCATGCTCAGGCATGGGACAGTCCCGCACCTGGGTAGGGTAAACCTAAGAAGTCTATGCAACAACAGATAGAGTGACTCGGCTTCTTTGTTCTTGCTACTTGAGCCTTGTGCCTTCATCTTGATAACTGGCTTCCACATGATGGTGAACAGGCTCAACCTGTTTCCTAGTTCCCCCGTCTTGATGATTTGCCTGATACCTAGTTCTAAAAGGTGGGGGCCTGCCTAGCTCTAAAGGACTTATGGCCAGCCAGAATTGAAGAGAACAGCTGCTCCAAGAACTGCCTGCCATATGACATGGTACAGGAAGGGGCTGGTGTTCACTGCTGGAGACAAGAGAAAGTGGTCAGCAGAGAGGCAACAAGAGAAGAGACAAAGGGGAGAGCTAGGAGAGGAGCCACATGGCGCCAGGAACCCGTAGTTAGCTCTTCCGCCTCACGTGGTTTTGATGGCCTGAATACAACTTGATTGTACCCACCTGATTCATGAGGGGACTCCTAGGGCTTTGAGATAAAGCAATGTCAGTGGGAAACAAACAGAAAACTACACTAAGCATTCCTTTTCAGCCATTATTTTAAACATAGGGTGTGTACCTGTGAGGCAGCAAGAACACTCTTAATTACTCCCTTACAAAAAAGTCTAGCTCATTTCCACATCTTTGCTTCCTTTTTAACTTTGCCAAAATGCATACCCAAGCACATTTTGGAGGAGCATGTCCTCAGTCTGGTCACAGTCACTGTGACATCTTGGTCTATTGAATGGTGCCTCTAGAGTTGTGCTCACTGAGCCTCAGCAGCTGTATATGGTAGCTCCAAATTTGATTCCAGGATTATTCCGTCTGCATAAGAATTTTATCGAGTCTATTTTCTATGTCTATTCGGAAAACATAATATATCCTCAACCAGTTATCACAATCTTCATTAAAATTTGAATTTATCATGATCCCTTCCCTTCCCATCACTAACTAGTCCTCCTGGCAGGATTTGCCTCCTAACTCGCTCCATCACCTGGGCTGGAGTGTGGTGGCATGATCTTGGCTCGATGCAACCTCCACCTCCCAGGTTGAAGCAATTCTCCCACCTCAGCCTCCTGATTAGCTGGGACTACAGGTGTGTGCCACCATGCCCAGCTAATTTTTTGTATTTTCAGTAGAGATAGATTTTTACCATGTTAGCCAGGCTGGTCTTGAACTCCTGACCTCAAGTGATTCACCCATCTCGACCTCCCAAAGTGCTGGGATTACAGGCAGGGGCCACTGCCCCTGGCCTAGGACTCAATTTTTTAACCTCTGCTGCTGGTAATCCATTGAGATCTAGGTATGCAAACATAATAATGGTAATAACGGGCAGCTAGAATTTACCAAGAATTTCCTATGTGTCAAGTACTGAGCTAAGGGCTTTACAGGCATTATTTTATTCTCACAATCTCTCAGTGTTGTCATCTCTAGACTTCCATTTCTAGAAATATGACAGAATGGATATCCCAAAAAGCCTCTTACTGCAAAACATCTAGAACTGATTTATCAAGAACAACAAGCAGACTTGTAAAAGCAAATCTGAGCTGGTGAGAAAGAGAAGGAATTTCCTAGGAGTGAAAACAACAGGAAGAAGCTGAAGGCAAAGGAAGTCAGATAAGCCCTAATAGCTTTGTCTGGCCTACCGAGTTGACTGATCCCAACCAAGGAGGCTGGGTTTTAAAAGCCACTCAGAAAAACAAGACTAAGCCTTGAGCCAGCTCCAATTAGAAAGCTGAAACTTAAATGCCAACATAAATGTATTGGAAAAGCAGCAAGGCTGAAAAAAAGCACTGATCATTCATGTTGAAAAATTGGATAAAGAAAAGCAAATGAAATCCAATGAAGGTTGAGTGAAGGAAGTTATAAAGAACAGAAATTGGCCGGGCACGGTGGCTCATGCCTGTAATCCCAGCACTTTGGGAGGCCAAGGCAGGCAGATCAACTGAGGTCAGGAGTTCCAGACCAGCCTGGCCAACATGGTGAAACTCTGTCTCTACTAAAAATACAAAAAAATTAGCTGGGTGGGCGCCTGTAATCCCAGCTACTCGGGAGGCTGAAGCAGGAGAATCTCTTGAACCTGGGAGGCAGAGGTTGCAATGAGCCAAGATCACACCATTACATTCCTGCCTGGGCGACAAGGGCAAAACTCCATCTCAAAAAAAAAAAAAGACAAAAAAAAGCAGAAATTAACAGAAAACAAAACACTTGCATCTAAAGCTAGAACCCTTGAAGAAGTACAACTTGAGTGGAAAGAGGCAACTAGAAAAAATTCCATCCACTGGCACAGGAAGACTGCATAGAAACTTGCCTGTCTTGGCCTGGGTCCAGGTTGGAATTCAAAAGGTTCCTATGGAATTCATAAACACAGACCTTCCCTTGCCCAGGTTGGAGCAAGCAAACAACTATTGGATAAAGGAGCATGAAAGAAGTCCCGGGTTGGCAAGGTCCCTACAAAAACCCGGAAAAAGCAAAGACGAAGCACCAGAGACCCTCCACATGGGCTGTGCCCACTCACCGTCCAAGGAAGACGGCCCCTCAAGCCTGTTGAATCCAGTTTCTCTTCCAGACCTCCAGATCCAAGTCCATACCCATTCTCTTGAGTCTTGCTTCTCAAAGCAGGGCGCTGGAACCAAGTGCATCAGCATCACCTGGGAAATGCGAATTTACTGACCCCTAGCTCAGACCCACTGAATCAGGAACTCTGAGGGTGGAGCCCAGCAATCTGTGTTTTACCATGCTCCCCAGGTGATCATGATGCACACTCACATTTGAGATATTTATACCCATTCTTCCTCCTGAGGAGTACCACGAGGACAAGCACGTTTAATACATTCCAATAATGTTGGAAACTACTGCTCTGGATTTTAATGATATCTTAGGCTTATCGAACCCTAAGAAATAAAAGTTTTAGAACACCAAGCAGGGTTTTTATTTTCAAAGCTTTGGAACTTATATGAGTCATTCTTTTTAGGTTTTATATAAAATAGTAAACCTTTAAACACATAGAGTTTTAGCTAGAGAATGAAATTATCTTACATAATTATTTATAATCTATGCAATAATTAGCATAAGACTAAGAGATACCAATTTTCTTCACATGAATAGAGCATAATTTACATAAATTATAATGCTAATAATCTATTTTCAGTCCAAAATTTGTGTGTGTGTGCTGCGTTTTCACTTGCATAGAAAAAACCACTATGTCACATAGAATAAGCATTTATTCTGTTGCTTGGAGTATGTGAATAGTTATTAAATTAGGATTATGTTGCTTGAGATACAAGTAAATCATCTAGTCACCTCTGATTCCTCACACCATGATTGGTTAGTTCTTACTTACAGTTTTCCATAATATTTATTTCAACTTCATGTAGGTCTGAAATGGTCACAGATCTCATTAAAAATGAGAACTTTTATTTCATGGAGTCTATGACATCATGTTTTCTATTTCATATTGTTGTTTAATCAGAACATGTTGGTGTTCCATAAATTTGCTTGTGTCATATTGTAGTGAAGATAAGAGGACTTGCTGCTTTAAGCAAGATCTGAGGATACTCTGGGGTCCTCTGCATTGGTTCAGTTACTACAGACTAAGGTTTATTGGCTCAGTTCTGTGAACCTATAACTTCAATGGATAATTTTTTTAAATGATCAGACCTTGGCACAAACTCTATGTCAGTAATTACAACAAAAGATACTATTTGAATAAGAACATTTGTGTCCACTAAGCAAAGCATGTCTGACCTAATTCCAAAGTTTCAGACTAATACAATCAGTGGTCAGAATACCACCTGCTTTCATTCTTTCCACTTAAGCACATGGCAGGGTGTGTGTCTACTGGCACAAGTGCAATCAGTGTAGGAACTCGGTAATTTTGAGAACTGCCACAGGTGGAGAAAGTATTTTTAGGCATGCTACCTGCTCTGCCCAAGCAATCTTTGCAGGTGACTCAATTTCAACCTGAGTCTCCTCACTCCACATCTCCTCTTCTTTAACACCTCTCCCTCAAATAGGTCCTTTACTCTCCAGACCCACAGTCAGACCTACTTTTCTGGACAGAAGGTGTTTGGCCCAGGGAGTCCAAGCCAATTCTGGCTCCTGCCATGACAGACAGATGAGCCATCAGAGAGAACAGCTCCACCTCTGCCACCAGAATGACACACATCCCATATGCATCACCTTCACTCATATCAACATCTCCTTCATTTTCTTTTCCACAGCCATCAACATCAACATCCTCATCAATGTTTCAATGGGTCATGAACACCAGTGCAATTATTACCACGATCTGAAATGCCGTCACTATTTCCTACTTGCTAAGAAATGGTGTGGTCTGTTGGGAAAAGAAAAACAGCTCTAAAGCCAGGCTGAAATACTTTCAAATTATAGCTGTAGTTACCATTATTTGTGAGACTTGGGCAAGTTCCTTACTTTGAACATTATTCCTTAGCTGCAAAATGGAAATAATACCTTCCACCCATGGTACCAGCAAAGATTAGACGAGATAAAATACATAAAGAAGCTAACACTGTCATGGCTCCTAGCTGGTACTCAACAAATGTAAATTTTGTATGTTGTAGATCTTCAGTAAATATAGAACAAGTGACTGAATGGATACCAAAGGGAACCAGATATTCTTAATAAACACTTTATTTAGGCTAAAGGTTTTTAAACATTAAGCTGTTGTTCATAGCCCAAACTTTCCTTCAAGTACAATTGCATGCAGAAGGTCAACACTGAAAAAAAAAACAAACAGAGCTGCTTCCATTAAAGCAGGGGTAGGGGTTCTGTGGTCCTCTTAGATCCATTTGTCATTGCACATCAAGTCACCTTTGCCCTGGACTCCCAAAAGCACAGTTTGAAAACCACAGACCCAGGATATATTCTTAAAACTAAGTTTTACTATAACTTTAATCTAAGTTCCACATATTTTTGGTTAGTTCTATTTTCTTTTTGTTAATCTAAATGAAATCTTTATCATTACATCTTCTAACTTGTATTGTTGATACATTGGAAAGCTACCTTTATAGATGAGTAAATTATCTTAAAATTTTTTCCAAGTTTTTCAGTCTATTTTACTGGCATTTCCCAAGTACATGATCACACTGGATACAAATGATGATTTTTTTTTTCTCCTCCTTGTCAGAATTTTTCATGTTTTGGTGTATGCCCAAGAACTTCCAAAATAATGTTACATAAAAGTTGTCATGGTACCCATCCTACTTAGTTCTTGATTTTAATTAGCTTTCTTTTAGGCTAGTTATTCCTACTTTGTTGCCAGAGTCCCAACCCCCTGAAATTCTGATTTAATTGGTCTGGAGTAGGTCTCAAGCAACAGTAATTTTTAAAAACTCCCAAGGTGATGCTTATGTTCAGAGATTGAGACCCGCCCCTCAGTTCCAGGTAATTTAGCATGGATATGATGTTGGCTTATTTAATATTGATATTCTTTATCATGTTTAGGAAAAATTTGGTGTTCTTGGTTGCCTAAGATTTGTTATTTGTTTGCTTTAGAAATAGTGTTACAATGGTCTGTTGAGATGATTGCATTATATATTTATATATTTTTTTCTTACTGGATATATTAAAGTGATGAATAAAACATCCTTGTATTCCTCAGTTAAACTCAATTTGGCCATGGCCATGGTAATTCCTTTACTGCATTATTCAGTTCAGTTTGCATTTATAATTTGTAATGATATCTTTTTATGTAGTCTCTGTAATAATAACAATAATACTAGCATTATGTTTAAGGATTAAATGTTTGCTATGTTCCAGATACTGTTCTAAGTTCTTTAAATAATTATTTTATTTATTTCTCAGTCTTTCATCTATGGAAACTGAAGCAGAAAAGGATTAAATATCTTGCCCTTGGTCATACTACTAGAACATAGGAGAGCCAGGATTTGAACTCAGGTAGTTTGGTGCTGGAGGACATGCTTTAGGGCACTATTTCATGCCACCTGTCCATGCCATCATGTGTCACCTGGGTGACACTGAATAACAAGTTCTTTAGCCTCTCACTTCTTCAGTTTGCTCATCTGTAAAATGAGGATAATAGTTATCCCTCCCTCATAGGGTTTTAGGAGTAATGTGTAAATTAATACTTGTGAAATCTCAGAACCTTGCCTGGCACTGAGTAAGAACAAAATCAAGTGTTTGTTAAATAGAACCAAACCAGGCCATCTGGCACTCGGGTCTTATACATGGCCTCTTTGGCATCAGGGTTATACTGGTATTAAGAAAATGACTTGAATAGCTGACCCCAGAATCTTTATTGGAGGAAATTCCTTGATTAAGCAGATTTCTTCCATGGTTTTTTGTAAATTAGTTTTCTACTTTTCCATAATAAATTTGTTATGTACATTTTCTCAAAACTCATTTATTTTCTATTTTATTGGCATATATTTTTAAATAATAAGAAGCTTTATACTGTAATCACCTTTTACTTCTTTTGTTTATTTGAATTTTCTCTCTGTTTCTTTAAAAAAAAACCCTAGTTTTGATTTTATTAATTTTGTTTTGGATTTTTTCCCCAACAAGCCAGTATTTATCTCTTAATGCTATTAGTTTTATAAATAATGTCTGATTTATATATCTATCTTGTTGAGTAGAATGCTTCATTTATCTAGTTTTAATTCAATCATTTAAAGTAATAGGAAGCATCAAACACCATAGAATTGCCTATGTACACTTTTGGGCACATGCAACCATTTTTGATCTGCACTGTTACTCATCAACGCGCTTGTGGAGGGTTGCTCCAATCACTTCATTCACAGTCAGCCCTTTTCTCAGTCACAATTATTCCCTCCCTACTTGTTCTCTAGCCTCTCCCTTCTGGGGCCTCTCTTCTAAAACAGCTATTTTCTTGACTCAGTTTATCTCCTTCCAACATATGATTATACGTAATTGCAACGAGGGAGGTGAGGTTAGATGATTTTCATTCATTTTTCTGATCCAGTTGTGGAACACAAACTCACAAAGTCACAATTGATAGTTCTTCCCTATACAAACAAGAAGTAATCAGAAAACATAATAAAAGAATTGGTGCTATTTACCATAAAAGAAGAAGAGGAAAAGGAAGAGGAAGAAGAGGAGGAGGAAAAAGGGAAGAAGGGAA
Source organism: Homo sapiens (assembly GCF_000001405.40). Lineage (NCBI taxonomy): Eukaryota > Metazoa > Chordata > Mammalia > Primates > Hominidae > Homo > Homo sapiens. The sequence continues at coordinate 106,596,155 of NC_000007.14, forward strand.
GGAAGAAAAAGAAAGGATGGGAAGGAAGGAGAGAGGGAGTAAACTTAAGAAATGTGCAGTAACTACACAAAAAAAAGACTTTCAAAAAACTTTCCGAGAGACATTTTAAAACAAAATCAGCTTGAATACAAATGAAGAGCATTTTTAATTGAAATAGGAAAAGCTAATATGGTAAGACTGTCAATTCTTTCTAAATGAATATGTAAATTTGTTGCAACCCCAATAAAATATTAATTGATTTTTTAAATATAAGAGCAGCTGGTTCTAAGACTTTTGTATAAATATCAAAATTCAAGCTTAGCCAGAAAAAAAATCTACAAAGGAAGCATAATGAATTAGGCAAGCCCTATTAGATAATAAAACATATTATAAAGCATTTGTGATTAAGCTAGATGAATGAATTGATAGAGAATCCAGAACTAGACTCAAACACATATGCAAATTCAGTTATGACAAAGGTGACATTTAGAAGCAAATGCATTCTTCAAATGATAGTGATTCTATTCATAAAGTTATAACACTTTTTTCTTACCAATGTTTTATTATTATAATATTATACATTTATTATAGTTACATTTATTATAAATATTATGCACTTTTTAATATAAATGAATCTGTAAAGTCCTAGGAAAAAAATAAAGGAATTATTTTATATTCTGGATTGGGGAAAAGCCCTTTTAATATTTACTAAGTACTTGTTGCCAAGCAATTTTTAAGCACTTTACATATATTTATTTATTTAATTCCCACACAATGTTATAATCCCCACTTTACAGATGAGAAACTAAAGCACAAAAAGGCGAAGTGAACTTGGCGCTTGGACCAATAGTTCAAAAGCGGCAGAGTGGAAGTACAAAGCCAAATGGTTTTACTCTAGAGCTTGTGTTCTCATAAACTACCTGGAAAAAAGACAAAGATGAAGGCCAGTGGCAGGTCCTGGTGCAGCTTGCTGGGCTCCATCCCTCCTTGGCTGTGAAGCATAGGTAGTCCCTGACTGTCATGTCCACAGATGGGTCATTGTTAGCACAGGTATGACATACTGTGGCATTATTATTTATCCTGTGAACGAATAGCAAGGTGGCCCTGCTGGCAGGAGAAGAAATTGTGTACTACCTGGACGTGAGAACCAGGTGATATGATGTGTGAAAGGCAGTTTTGCAAACTGGTTAAGTAATTATGCTAGACCTGGCAAGACCTTACTCTAGAAACACAAGATATGATCACAAACAACCCATGTGTTTCCCACAAAGAAGAGAAAGCTGAAGAGGCAAACTCAGCAAACTTCTGCATGCCCGATGGCCAGGGCGTACTGGCATACTTGTTTAAAATATACCTATTGTGCGGATCAGTAAGCTATAACTTCTGCAGGATTTATATGTCAGATAGCTCATTTTTGTCAACCCTCCAACCAAGCTTTCTGAAGAATTACTTCAACTCGTTCTTCACTGTCTACTCCAAATTAAATTCCAAATGGAAAAATATTTTGATATAAACCAATCTATAAACTTCCAGAAAAAAACATGGGGAATTATTTTTATACTCCAGAGTGAGAAAGACCTTTCTCATTAAGCTCAGATGTTATAATGAAAAAGAAGGATCATTTTTACTATGTTAAAATTTATGTATGGAAAAAATAATGTCAAAGACAAATAAAAACTTGGGAAAATATTTGCCCCACCCATAGCATGCAAAAGGCTAATTTTCATTATACATTCGAGAGTTATTTCAAAAAAAAATCATGAACAGAGCACACAAACAGAAAATTCACCAGAAAATAAATATAAATGGCATAAAAATATAAAAAGATATTCAACCTTAAAATTTTAGATGGTAATTTAAAATAAAATGAAATATCACTATTCATTTACTGGACAAAAATCTTTGCTAATGCACAGTATTGATGAAAGGAGAGAAAGAGACACTTCCAGACAGTGAATAGACAAATTGGTACATCTTCTTTGGAGGACAATTAAAAATGATACTAGTAATAATAATATAAATAGCTTACTTTTTTTGAGTATCAGCTATGTCAGATAGACGTTCTATGTGTTTCAGATATTCTAACTCATTTACTCCTCATAACAACCAAATGAGGTAGTTTCTATCACTATCACTATGAGAACACTAAGGCACAAAATGATTAAGAAACTTGTTCAAGATCACATGTCTAGTAAATGGAGAAGCTGAGATTCAAACCCAGAAAGTCTGGAAAATTCAACTTAAAACACCACACCACCACACACACACGCACACATGTTAACTACGGGTTGTAATAGATGTGTTAATTAATTTGACTGTAGTAATCGTAGTAATCAGTATCCAGTGTACATATATGTGTATCACATCAACATGTTGTACACCTTGAATATATATATACTTTTTATCTGTCAATTAGATATTTTTAAATTAAATAAACCAAGCTTGACAACACCCATAAAAATTCAAAAATTTTATACCCATTATATTCATTAGGATTAGATTTAGGTACTTGACATAGAAAAGAAAATAACTGTTGCTTAAACGAGGTAAAAGTTAATTTCTCTCCCAAATAAATAAAATCTGGAGGTATATAGCTTAGAACTGGCAGGGCAGCTCTTACCCTATAAAGTCCTCAAGAACCTGGCTCCTTCCAGCTCCCCACTCACCACCAAAAGGGTGTGGCCCTAGGCAGCATGTGAAGTACAAAAACGAATAAAGAATAGAGGACAGAAGGCACTTGTCATCTGTCTCTCAGAGAAGTTTTTCAGAAGCTGTCACGCGACACTTCCCGTTCCACTGCTCTAGCTGCAAAGGAGGCTGGGAAATGTAGTCTTAATTCTGGGCCGCCATTTGCACAGCTTTGCATTGTATTACCATGGAAGAGGAGGAGAAGGGAGATTGAGGGACATGTGGCCAGCTCTTTCCTTCCTGCTGACACCACAATTCAACTTCTAGGAAAATTTCTACTAGATTAATGGCACATTTGTGTAACAACATATTACACTGATTATTCCCCATTTATCCTTCCTCTCCCTGCCTACCCTGTACCTTGCAGACTGACCTCCATGGACTGCATCACCTGGGCTTCCCCAACCTCTGACTTCCACTTCTATTCAGCAGCTGGAAGAACCAGCAGAAAACCAGAGAGCAAAAGGAGATAGCAGTCAGGGTATTTATTCCTCTTGCTCCTACTCTGATGGCTGCAGTTTGGCTACTGGCTCCATTCCTCACCATGTGGCTGTAGCTCCGTTTGGCTGGCCTCTCTCCCACAGCCATGGTCTCACTGGCTTCTAGTAACACTGCTCCCTCCCCTTATCCCTTCATGCCTGGGGTGGTGAAGGCTTGTCACTGTTGGGAGTTCCTGAATGTTTAGCCATTTATTGCTGGTTCTATTCATCCTGCCAGCACCTGTGTAAATAGTACCTCCATGACTAAACTCGTCAGGTAAGCTTGGGATGTGCCATCTGCTTCTGCTGGACCCTGATTCATACACATACGTGCAAGGACTTTCATTACAGCAGTGCTTGAAATAGTAATAGACCAAAACAAATTAAATATTTATCAATAGGGAACTGATTAAATATCATGCAGTTATAGTAGTAATATAATGTAGCAGTTTAATAAATAATGGTGCACTATCATGTACACTTAAAAATTTGCTAAGAAGGTAGACCTCAAGTTATGTGTTCCTACTGCACTAAAATAATAATAATGTCTTTATGAGCTAAAATAGAGAGCTCTTGATGATAGGATGCTACCAACTGTATATTAAAATATAGATATAGATGTACAGTTAGGTTTGGATTTAGATATATTTGCATGGTGTGTTATAAATGTATATGTAATATGCATTTCTATACTTAAAGGTTTTTAAGGAAAAGACTAGAAACTGAGACTGGTGGTCACCTCTGGGAAAGAATAATGGAGAATAGGGTAGGAAAGAGCTTTACTTTCATTGAATATCCTTTTATACTATATGAATTTTTACTACATATATATTACCTTAAAAAACTATTTAGAGAAAAAAATATTAATTTTCCTTAGGATACATATAATAGGGAAGCATACGAATAAGATAGTAGCATTCCTTTGAGATTCCATTACTATAAATCGGATTCCAATTTTCTCTCCCCACCACTGTCTGCCCTCTCGTAAACCCTCCTCCCATACGGGGGCACACCAAGGGCCCTCGCTTCTAATGAAGGGCAGTACCTCATCCCCTGGATCTACTGTGGTCCTTACTGTGCTCTCCCTATGCATTGGTGTCAATTAAGGGAGTACATGTTCTGTTCCAAAGCTGTAGGAAGTGCTAGAAACCAGGAAAATGAATGATCCCTGTCCTCAGAGAGATTATTTCCTATGGAGGGACATAAAAATGTAAGAGGTGTCAACAGGAGTGAATATAGAAATTGGAGACAGGGCACAGAGACGGTGTGGTCGATTGTAATCAGGGACTAAAATGCAGAACTGGAAGGATTTCCTGAGAGGTGAGAGAGGAATGTGGTGGCAATGGTAATAAAAGGAGAATGGGGTGCCCTCTGAAGACAAGCAAAATAGAGGGCATTTGAAGTAGCAGAAACAATGTAACTTGAAGCAGGACACTTAAGATAATTTAAGACTACTGATGGCAGATTAAAACGGGGAGCCAATCAGCTGAAGGTCATTGGTGTCATCATCATCCTGGAGAGAATCAAAAGGGAAGGGTAGAAGAATGGGTTAAGAATGTCTATTACAGTCATTATTCAGGAAAGAAAAATAAAGACTAGCTAAATGTTTGATTACTACTTTAGACTGCATTAAAATATGAGCATATTAAGATGTTGCATCAAAATGTTCTTGTGCCTTTTGAGGGGAAGACACATAGGCAAGAAATAATAGAGCACACTGGGGAAATTGCTGATAGTTCTTGAGGCATGACAAATAGCAAGGGAATAATAAGGCTGCAGAGGTGGGGGCAGTGGCTGTATGATAAAAGTCTTTTCTATCATCCTGGAACAGCCAGTATTTGGCTGGGCAGTGATGTAATCAGTTGTGCATGTTAGAGAGATTACTAGGAGTATGGAAGTGAGGCCAATTAGGAGACGGTGGCACTAATCCTGAGTGAAGGTGGAGAAAGGATAGGCACACAAGAAATGTTGATGCAGTAGAATCAGCAGAAGTTAGTTATTAGTTGAAGGACAGAGGTGAGGAAACAGGAGGAATTGAAGAAATCTATATTTCTAGTGACCAGATTGGTAGGGGTGCCATATACTTGGATAAAGAATAAAGGACGAAAAAGCCTGGGGAGAATGTGTGGAGCTTGAGGTTACTTGTGAGTTCCAACTTCATGATTTCACTTATAATCTCTTCCTATACTCAATCTCTCTTTTCTCTGCTCTTCAATCCTCAAGTCTCCCGTCTCCTTCTTACCACAATTTTGCCTAATTAATGCCTACTCCCTCTTTAAGAATTAGCTCAAGCAACCTTCCATCCAGAAAGTCCCTCATGACATTTTGTCTTCTTCCAATGAAGGCTGAGTTAGGTGGCTTTTCCTCCCACAGTCTGGTAATGTTCTGTGTTTATTTCTATCATTATACCTTAATGCACGTCAAATTATTTTTCCTTTACAGATCAGTTTCCCCTACATGATGTTAAGCTCCTTATGGGTAGGATCTACGTCTTCCTCTCTAGTTTCCCCAGCATATAGCACAGTGTTTATTAGGATGTGATAGGCACTCAGTGATTGTTGAATGAATGAATAAGTTTTGAGTGGGAGAAGAAACACTTCTTTTTCTTAGACTTAGGTAGAACCATTGGACGGTGTCAAAAGTTGTAGTTATTAAGGGCTAAGTGAGAGTTTGAAGGTATCTGCAGTCTAAGTCTCATCTAGGAAGTAAGAGTCATTCCCCAAGAGAAAGGTGGGTTGAGGACAGTGATGGGCATTTGGAATTGCTGCTGTGGAGAGTGAAAAGGGGAGGAGCCCAAAAGGTCTGGTTGACATTGGCAATAATAAAATTATAATGGCAGTGACCCCAGTGTCTGTATGATTCCCTCTAGCAGTTCAGTGGGCTGAGTGTGAACAAGGAGGGGGTTGACAGTGGAACTCATCAAGATCCACAAGGCGGATTCAGCAGAGGACAAAGAAGCTCTGACACAGAGTGACAAATGGGTATAGATTGGATTAGGAAGAGAGGTGGAGCCACAAGAGACAAGACTGAGAGAAATGAGAGTGAGGAAATGAAAGACTATAAGTCTACATCATGCTGAAGAAAAGAAATTGTGGGGTAAGGTAGTGGTCAGGTGTGGCTCCTTTGAGAGACTAGGGTGTTTACTTTGAGATTCCTGAGTTGGACCTCTTTTTTGGGGTGATGTCAGAGCCTAGGTTTTAGTGCAGCCATGGAAGTAGGTTGCTAAAGGGACCTGGAAGTTAAGGTTGTAGGAATCAGAAAAGTTAAATAACTTTAAAGCTGCATATTGAACTTACTGTATCAAGATTCTGAAGTTACCCACAATAAAGGCAGGAATGGAGTGAGAGGAAGAGTAGGAATGGGGTTGCAGAGACTCCAGTGAACAATGGGTGTGCCCAGAGATTGAGTAGATGGAGTGAGGCAGATGGAGGCAGGAATCTCAAGGGAAAATGGAAAGGCATTTTGCATGAGAGTTGGAAAGATAATGGTCTGGAGTGGTGATGGGGAGTCTGTAGAATACCAACTGGCCTCTCCCTAACTCTGGAGTTTTCTTCATACTGGAGCACCCTCTCCAACAAGGCAGTCTTTATCTTTGCTCTTTCTTCTGGTGCCTTGATTTAGCTTTCCAGGATGACTCTTGATTTGTGTCCCTAGCCTTGTGCTCTTATTTTTTGTGTTTCTGTGGGTATCACTCCACACTCGCAGAATGCTATGATGCCTTTTCTCATTACAACATATCTGTCCTGTTTTTTATTTCCTTAATGAAAAACTAATAATTAGCTCTGCTGTGAATAAACTAGATTTCCCACTAGATAATTGCCTTGGTCCATTTTTCTTGCTATAAATTCTTGCTGGGTAATTTATAAAGAAAAGAGGCTTATTTGGCTCATGGATCTGCAGGCTTACAAGAAGCATGGTGCCAATATCTGCATCTGGCAAGGGCCTCAGACTGCTTCCACTCATGGCAGAAGGTAAAAGAAAGGTGAAGGCAGGACTGTGTGCAGAGATCTCATGGCAGGAGAGCAGAAGCAAGAGAGAGAGGGGAGGGAGGTGCCAGGTTCTTTACAACAACCAGTTCTTATGGGAACTAAGAACGGGAACAAACTCACTCCTGCACCTAGCCATTCTTGAGGGATCCACCCCCACAATCCAAACACCTCCCGCCAGGCCCCATCTTCAACACTGGGGATCAAATTTCAATGTGAGACTTGGCGGGGCCAAACAACCAAGCCAAATATTCATGCCATAGCAATGATAATGAACTAACATGCTACTATGCCGAAGAAATATATTTGCATTAGAAAGATCCTCCTAGATAAATGATGGCATAATCCAATCTACCCTACAAAGTCAATAAATAAGGAAGCCTGTTGGTGTACCTCAAAGCACACAGTCATGTGTTTTCTAGAGCTGCTTCTTTTATGAGTTTAAATCCCACATGAGCAGTTATTTCAAAGGCAAATTGTTTTAAGTTAAGAGTGAAAGATAAACAGAAATACAGATAATTTTGAATTGTTGGGAAGAAAGAGTAGAATAAGTGTCCTAAACCGACAGTCATTCATGCAAGAAAGCCTATATTCCCAGTTTCAGTTTAAGTAATTTGTGGGTTATACCATTAAAAACATCTCTGCTCTAGCTGGGCATGGTGATTCATGTCTGTAATCCCAGCACTTTGGGAGGCTGAGGCAGAAGGATCACTTGAGCCCAGAAGTTCAAGACCAGACTGGGTAACAAAGTGAGACACCCATGTCTACAAAAAATTAGTTGGGTGTGGCCGTGCATGCCTGTGGTCCCAGCTACATGGGAGGCTGAGGCAGGAGGATCACTTGAATCCAGGAGGTTGAGGCTGCAGTGAGCCATGTTTGCACCACTGCACTCCAGCCTGGGCAACAGAGCGAGACCCTGTCTCAAAAAAATAAAATGAAAATCTCTGTTCTTGCCTTCCTCTTTATGATCTGACTGTACCTGGCTACCATGAAAGCTGCCTGACATCTGCTAAAACAACCCCATCAACAACATATGGTAATTGAGTACCCTTAAAATACTGTAGTAGGTGTGTGGATAGAGGATATCACATATAAAATATGGTCCCTGTCCTTAAGAAACTTAAAACTTAAGAGAGAACTAAGACAAGTAGACATGAACAAGTAAAAGTCAGAACCTGTGTTAAAGCAATATTACTTTCTTTCAACATCAAGGATCCCACATTCTGTTGCTTTGGAATTGTTAGTATTGCCAATGCATTAAAAAGTTCCTTTCAGTATTGGAATCTTGTAGAAGGTTGGTCTCTTCTGAGTACTCAAACCTGTGCATTAGTTTCCCAAACCTGTGCATTACGACATCAGCCAGTCATATGGTAACTGTCAGATCAGCAGTTTCCTCATCCTCCACTTCCTGCAGAATCTGCTGGCACTTTTGTCTGTCTATGATACCACCTGGCTTAACAAAGTAGGTCAGAGAGGGCTCTTGGCTCAGACAATGACAGGCCCTGGAACATGCTTTAACTGAAAGAGACTGTGATAACATCTTCTGTAGAGACTTAAGACTAGAAATATCAACAAGAAGGTTACAGCTATAATCTTTCTTTTTATCTTTAACCCATTTTCCTCTTTCTGTGTTATATAGCCTGTGCTCTAATAAAATATACAAATCCAACACATTTCTGTTATTTTACCATAGAGTGTTACAAAAATACCATCTTACATTGTATAGTACATTTTCATTAACTGTACAAAATTCTTCCAAGTCTATGAATTCTTTTTATCCTCAAAGAAAACTCCAAAGAAGTATTACTGACCCAATTTACACAGGCCTGACTTCAGGTTCAGGGCCCATTTCACTCCACCATTAGAGCTGAGTAAGCATTTATACTACTCACCTGCAGGGATGGGAGCTCCCTTCCTTGTAGAGCAGCCGAGCCTACTTCTAAATGTCACCCTCGCTGTTTCTCTGGATCCTACTTCTCCCGCCTGCCAACTCTTTCTGCTGATTCTCTGCATAGAATTCAATTCAATGAAATTCAATAGGCAATTAATGGATGTCAGCCACAGGCCAAACACCATGCTAAGAATTGAGGTTATTAAATTAACACTCCCCAAGGAGTGGCTAGACTAACTGGGGAGACAGAAAAGCAAATTATTATAATGCGGCAACTACCACAATAGAGGGATGCACACGGTACCTCCTTAGTTCCAAGAAGGGAATAATTAAGTCTGCCTGATAGACTTAAGTAAGTGGCAGTTGGGTCAGAAGTTGAATTATCAAGGTTAAGAGGGCATTCTAGGCACATGGATCAGCCTGTGCAAAGGTAAAGGAGTGGGGAACTGTAAGAAGTTCAATTTAACTCCCCTTTCATCGGTATCAACACCCAAATGCAATTGGAAAAAAATTTCCCTTACTTCTAGGCCACTGACCTTAAGTGAGGTCACTAAGCCACTCACTCACTCACCCACAGCCCTAGACTACTATATTACAACTTCTTTCTCTGCAAGCTTCCAAATATTCCCAACCCCTTCGTTAGCCTGCATCTGATACCTTTGCTTACTATTTCACTGAGAAATTTGTATCAGTGAGAAGAGAACTTGCAAAATCACCCACCAGCACATCTACCATCCCACCTCATCTATTCCCATGTATTCTGCTCTCACTGAGGTTAATACGGATGACCGGTGAATCCCTCTCTGTGCTAACTCTTCATTGAACACTAGACTTGAGGCATTCTCGCCTTCTCAAGGCCATTGCTGCAAGCAATCTCCCCACTCTCCCATATCATTATTTCCCTAAGCATATAAAAATGCTATTATTTCTCAAATCTTAAAAAACTCCCTTCTTGAACTCATTATCATCCCCACCCCCTGCCACTGTCTCATTTTCCTTCACTTTCTAGCAAAACTCCTTGAAAGAATTGTCTCGCCCACCGTATATAGTGCCTGTCTCCAATTCTCTGTCGAACTCACTCCAATTAAGCTTTTCCTCAACACTGCTGACACTGCTTCTGTCACATGCTGATGATCTCTACATTGTGAAACCCAATCGCCATTCCTTTGACCTCATCCTACTTGACCTGCCATCAGCCTTTGACCCATTTGATCCCTTTCTCCTTGAAACTTGTTTGTCACTTGACTTCAGGAATTGATTCCCTCCTGATAGTTCTCTTTCTCCTCCTCCTTGAGTTTCTCCACCTACTCCAGTTTCCTTGGCTGGTTTCTCTGCATCTTTCCTAGGACTCAGTTCTTATACTTCTCTTCCTCATCTACTGCTCTCACTCTATAGGTGATTTCGTTCAAGCTCACAGCTTAAGTACCACATAAAACACTGATGATTCCCATGTAAACCTCCCCTCTGAACTCCAGACTCCTATATCCAACTGTATACCCAAATGGGGCTTAGATGTGTATGATAGGCATCTCAAAATCACCAAGTTAAAACACCAACTCCTAATATTTTCCCTAAAACTCACCTTCCTATGATGTCTAACAGTAAATGGAAACTAGCCCCATCCTGTGGCTCAGCCCAAAAAACTTAGTGTTATCCTTTTTTTTTTTTTTTTTTTTTTTTTGAGACGGGGTATCACTCTGTCACCCAGGCTGGAGGGCAGTGGTGTGATCTTGGTTCACTGCAACCTCCACCTCCCAGGCTCAAGCAATCCTCCCACCTCAGCCTTCCAAGTAGTTTCTGGGACTACAGGCGCATGCCACCACGCCCAGCTAAATTTTTTTTTTTTTGTATTTGTGGTAGAGACAGTGTTTCACCATGTTGCCCAGGCTGGTCTCAAACTCCTGAGCTCAAGTGATCTGCCCACCTTAGCCTCCTAAAGTGCTGGGATTACAGGTGTGAGCCACTGTGCCCAGACATCATCCTTGATTCCTCTTTTTTTTTCCCCTCTCGGATTCCACATTCAGTCCACCAGCAAATCCTGTTATCTCTACCTTCAAAACATAGGCAGAATCATAACCCTTCTCATCATCTCCACCACTTCCAACGTTATTCAAGCCAAGGACATTTCTAGATTATTAAAATGCCCTCTTTATCTGTCTCTTTGATTAAGCTCGTACCTCTCACCCCATTCTACTCTCCAGACAGTAACTAGAGTAATTCTTTTTGAATATAAATTAGATCAGGCCACTCAACTGACTTACCATCTCACCTGGATGAAAAGCTCAAATCTTTCAATGACCTTTGCATCTTACATGATCTGTCCTCCACCACCTCTCTAACTAAATGAATGAATGAGGAAATGAGTGAATGAATGGTAGGGGAGAGGAGACTGGGATGAAAGAAATGCCAAACATTTTTAGTCAAACTAATGAGTTCATGCTTTATCTGAATAGAATGGATAATGAGCAAAAGTAAAGAGGTTTAGTAAGATAACTATCTCCAATAAATTCTATTTCTAGGATCCAGCCCACATGTCACCTTCTATACCAATCTTAACTTCATTTATCTGCCAATCTTCCATCTGCACTCAGAAATCCAGCCACAGAAATCCAGCCTCTTTGCTGTTCCTTTAATATGCCACATACCCAAACTTCCATTTCTTTGTCCTCTTTGTTCCTTTTGCCTGGAATGTCCTTTCAATCTGAAACATGTCTACTCCTGCATCTAGACTAGCCTTAAGTTCCATCTTTTTGTGAATCCCTCCCTAACTGCCCCAGAAAGAGTAATATCTTTTCTCCTTTGGGCTTCCAGAGTATCTCTTACCCACCTCTAGTACAGATTTTATCACATCACTATAGTTACTTGTTTACATACTGGCAGGTCTCAAGAGGACAAGATCCATGATCAGTTCTTGGATGGGGCTCCTGCACTTTACTCACCTAGAATCTTCAACCCAGTAGGTGCTCAATACCTGTGTTTTAAATGAAAAGGAACTGGGAAAATGAAATGAAAATTAATAGAGGAAAATATATAAGAGAAACTAGGAAAGCGAGGTGTTGTCAAAATGAAAAGAGAAAGGATTTTCAGGAAGTAAGAGGTGCTCAATGCTCTAGAGATTTTAAATAAGCTGACAGAAGTCATTGTATAAAACAAGTAGGAAAGAATTAGAGATGTAATAGCCAAGGTTCAGCAGCATATAACAGAAATCACTTTATATTTAAGCAGAAAGTGATTTAATATGAGGAATTAGATGCTGATAACATCTTTTGAAGGGCTGAATAAATGGGCTCTAGGCTGTGCCCCCTGGAATCCCAGAACAATCCCACTCAGAATTGTCCCCGCTGGAATCCCAGAACAACCCCACTCAGAATTGTCCTGCCAGTGTAACCTGGATCTCTTCCACAATGGGAGGTCTAAAAATGGTGGCCACTGGAGCTGTTGGCTTCAGAGCCACAATAACTGCTAGCTCTGCATGAGCCCAGACAGGTGCCCTGCACCTGCCTCTGGATACCAACGACTGGCCCCTAGAATCTCTGCTAATGCTGCTGCAGAAAAACATACCTCTGTGACCATGTGCTTTAGTTTTCTATTGCTGTGTAATAAATTACCACAAACTTTAATGGCTTAAAACAATACCCATGTATTATCTCACTTCTACAGGTCAAAAGTCCAGGTGGGCTTGGCTGGGTTCTCTGCCCTAAGCAGAGAGTCAAGGTGCAGCAGGCTGGGTTCTTATCTGTAGGCTCTGGGGAAGAATCTACTTCCAAGCTCATTCAAGTTTGGCAGAATTCAGTTCCTTGCTATTGTAGGACTAAGGTCTTTCTAGAGGTCACTCCCTTGCATGGGCTTTTTCATAGATCCTCTCATAGCATCACAGCTGGTAGCAAGATCCCTCATGTGGGATTCCCCAGCCCCCAAACACTAATCTCTCTGACTTCCTTTACTGCCTTCAGCCAGAGAAAATTCCTTGCTTTTAAATGGGTTCATGTGATGAGATTAGACTTGCCCAGGTCATCTCTCTATTTTAAATCAACTATGCGAGATAACAGTATGATCACAGCAATAGCATCTCTTCATAATCATACGTTCTGGGATTAGGGTATGGAACCTTGGCTGCTATTTTTAGAATTCTGCCTCCCACATTATGCTTGCCAGAAACAGCAATATAACCAATAGATACACCTTTCATTAGTCAGAGTTCTCCACAGAAACAGAATCAATGGGATACATTTCTATAGAGAAAGAGATTTATTATACGGAGCGGCTCCCATGATTATGGAGGCTGACAAGTCCCAAGATCCGCAAGGTACGTTGACAAGCTGGAGGCCCAGGAGAGCTGATGATGTAGTTTCAGTGTGAAGCCCAGCAGTCTCAAGAACCAGGAAGAGCCAATGTTTCAGTTTGAGCCCAAAGACAGAAAAAAATTGAGGTCCTAGTTTGAAAGAAGTCATGCAGTAGGAATTTCCTGTTACTCATGAAAGGATCAGCCATTTTGTTCTATACAGGCTTTCAACTGACTGCATGAGCCCACCCACATTAGGGAGGGCAATCTGCTTTATTGTCTACTGATAAAAATGTTAATCTCATCCGAAAACACCCTCACAGGAGCACTCAGAATGATGGAGTTCTTTTGGTTGTTGTTTGCTTGTTTGTTTGCTTGTTGAGTTGGGATCTCACTCTGTCACTCTGGCTGGAGTGCAGTGGTGAGATCTTGACTTACTGCAACCTCTGCCTCCCTGGCCCAGGTAATCCTCCCACCTCAGTTTCCTGGGTAGCTGAGACCACAGGTGCATGCCACCACACCCAGCTAATTTTTTGGATTTTTGGTGGAGACAGGGTTTTACCATGTTGCCCAGGCGGGTCTTGAACTCCTAAGCTCAAGAAATCCACCCACCTTGTCCTCCCAAAGTGCTGGGATTACTGGGGTGAGCCCCTGCTCCCAGCCTCAGAATAATGATCGACGAAATATCTGGGCACATAAAATTAACCATCACACCTTCCAAATCTCATGCAAGTACCCTACGTTAGATTGGCCGAACCTAAGTCCTATCCAGAACTCCAGGTACAAGGGAGTCAGGCAATGCAGAAAGGCACATGGCAACAGTTTCTCTCAAATATTTTGACCCCATGCCACTATAGGAAATGCATATTTTATCACACCCAGTATAAGCACACATATATGAGTACATGAAATAAAATTTTTATAAGACATTACTTACCTTTACTAAGTGCAATGTGTTCTGATATTTTCTTTGTGGTTCTATTTCATTTTTTAAAAATTTCAACCTATTGAAATATAATCGATAAAGAGGCATTCTATTAATATATATTTAAGGTACACAAACTGATGTTTTTATATAGGTACGCTTTGGGAAATTGTTTCTATTTTATTTTAAATCACTCTGATCTTGACCCGCTAAATGGTTTCATGACCTTCCAATAAACGAGGTATCATTAGGAAGGCAGACTGATTTTGAGGGTCAATCTACTGTACCCATTACAAATGACCTTAGGGAAGCCATTTTTCTTCAGTTACATGTCTCACAATGCCTGGAAGATATAACAAATTTCTTAAGTTGAATTGACTGCAGACAGTGGGCTTTCAATTCAAACTGAACACAGACTGAGAAAAGTCTGAATCTTTTTACAGGATAGGTCCCTGAGTATTCAATAAAATAAAAGATGGATATCAAGGAATGCCCTTTTGCCCACTCCCCACCTCAGGAAGGCTAGATTTGAAAGTCCACTGGAATACATGGGACCCATTTTTCAGGGGGAATAAATGGCTACCAAGGCAGTGTTCATGCACAAAGTAAACATGAACAAAGTGAACATGATTAAATATCATAAATTGTTGCTGAAGCATGTAAAAATTGTCAGCTTCTGAGCCACTTATAATAACTACTAAATGACTGGCTTTGATTACCATGTCAATGCTTAAGGCACAATTTAGAGAATGTTGTTACTAAGACAACCCTCCCTTTCAACAAGTGCCCAGGTTTCATATTTCTGTTCCACACCCCCAAGATGGTGAGCTGTGTCTCTCCAGGAGGAAAGGCTCTAGTGAAGAATTCATCAATTTTCTACTCAATCTCTCTTACAAAACTACTCTCTGGGAAAATGACTTATTGTTTAAGTGTTTACTTTTTGTTATTTGAGCAAGCAGTAGGCATATTCGTGAATCCATTTTCATTTAACTGCGCTCATGCTCCAAGCAGCTTACATGGATCAGCCCAGAGAGGTTAACCTCAATCAATTCTCTATCTCTGTTGCCACGTCACTGCAGAGTTTCACATGGTCAGATTTCATTGTCTGACTGTGAAAAAATTAAGAACTTGGCTTTCCTAAACAAGAATCAATTCTCTATCTCTGTTGCCACGTCACTGCAGAGTTTCACATGGTCAGATTTCATTGTTTGACTGTGAAAAAATTAAGAATTTGGCTTTCCTAAACAAGAAACGTATTATAGAGTCTTCCTCATTCGGTTACATAAGAGTGTGAATGAAGAACAAATAGGGGCATTGTCTGATACAGAAAGTAAAGTTTTAGGGCTAGGTAGCTTGTGGTTGTTTTAACAAAATCTACAAATTGTTTAAAAATGAGAGTCTTGAAATCAGTGAAATTATGATGGCTTGGGGAACTTTTACCAATAGCATTATCAAATATCTGGATATACACTCTATATAGGAGCAATAAATCTCAATCATTTGTTTAAGAAAGATTTGATGAGCACCTCCTATGTGGTGTTTATTGTTCTACTGTAAATGCAGAAGTGATCAAAATAGACCAAGTTTTGCTCATTATATAGCTGGAAGAGGCAGAGGATAACTGGGAAACAAATAATGAAAGGACAAGGTAAAGGGCACGTGGGACACAGCCAGCTCAGAGTTGCCTAAAGCAAACACACACTATGCCTCTATCCCACAGTTCCAAGAACGATGACACATTTCTCTAATTGCTATGTATCATAACTGCCAGAGTGTTTCCCTTTCTCCCAATTGCATGTATTTTTTAGGAAAAGGTATAATTTATGGGATTAATACTGGGGATTCGGAAAATCAGTGGATGCCTGAGGATCAGTTTTGAAAATTGAGCAATGCCATAGTAGTTCTGGAGGTTGACAGGCAGAATATCTGATCACATACTTTAAAAAACACACAAACAGCTTCATTGAGGTATAACTGACATACAATAAACTGCTTGCTATGGTTTGAATGTGTCCCCCAAAGCTCATGTATGGGAAACTTAATCTCCACTGCAACAGTGTTGGGAGCTGGGGCCTAATAAGAGGTGATTGGTCATGAGTGATCTGCCCTCATGAATGGATTAATGTTGTTAACCCAGGAGCAGGTTTGTTACCTGGGGAGTAAGCTTTTTATAAAAGTGAGTTTGGCCCCCTCTTGCTCTCCTGTATGCTCTTTGCCCTTCTGCCTTTCTCAGTGGGATGATGCAGCACAAAAACGCTCACTGGATGCCTTTGGACTTCTTTGGCATCTTTGAATGCTTTTGGACTTCCCAGCCTCCAGAACCATGAGCCAAATAACTTTCTGTTTATTATCAGTTACCCAGTCTGTGGCATTCTGTTATAGCAGCATAAAATGGACTAAGACACTGTACATATTTAAAGTACACAATTTGATAAGTTCTGATATATGCATATACCCATGTCAACATCACCATATCAACGTAACGGACATATCTTTCACCTCTAAAAATGTCCTTTGTTATCCCTCCATCCTATACCTCCCAATGCCCAGCCCTAGGCAATCACTGGTCTGTTTCCTGTCACTATAGGTTATCTCACATTTTCTAGAATATCATTCTCTCTTTTGGGGAATCTGGCTTCTTTCACTCAGAATAATTATTTTGAATTTTAGCCACCTTGTTTTATGTATCAATAATTCATCACTGTTTTGCTTATTAACATATGAATGCACATTGGGATTGTTCCCACATTTTGCCTAGTATAAATTAAGCTTCTGTAGACATTCCTGTAAAATTCTTCTTATGGACAAATGCTTTGATCTTTTTTTTTTTTTGGAGATGGAGTCCTTGCTCTGTCACCAGGCTAGAGTACAGTGGTATGATTTTGGCTCACTGCAACCTCTGCCTCCAGGGTTCAAGCAATTCTCCTGCCTCACCTTCCCAAGTAGCTGAGACTACAGGTGCACACTGCCATGCCTGGCTAATTTTTGTGTTGTAGTAGAGACAGCTTTTACCATGTTGCCCAGGCTGGTCTCAAACTCCTGAAGTCAGACAATCCGCCTGCCTCGGCCTCCCAAAGTGCTAGGATTATAGGCATGAGCCACCGCGCCCGGCCTGCTTTGATCTTTTTAGTGACAATACCTGGGAGTAGATTGGGTCACATACGGGGTGCATGCTTAAATTTTTTTAAAAAAATACCTAACTGTTTTCCATAATAGTTGCATTTTCACAATCCCATTAACAGTGCATGAGAGTTCCAGTTACCACATCATTTAGTAGGTCAGTCTTTTAAACATTCTAAAAGATGTGTATTGTTATGTCATTGTAGTTTTTATTTGCATTTCCCCTAAGGCCTTATAATGTTCAGCAGCTTTTTATGCACTTATTTGCCGTTCATATATCTTCTTTGGTAATGTGTTTGTTCAAATCTTTTGCCATTTTTAATTGGATTATCTTCACAAAATTGAGTTTTGAGAGTTATGTTCTGGATACAAGCCCCTTGTCATATAGGTCATTTGCAAATATTTTCTCCCAGCCTGTGTGTTATCATTTAATACTTTAAAAAGTCTTCCAAAAAGTAAAAGTTCTTAGTTTGAGAATGTCCAATTTTTTTGTAATGAATCATGCTTTTGGTGTTGTAACTAGGAAATCTGCCTAATCCAGGGTCACAAAAAAATTTTTAAATATATTTGAAAGATGTTTCTCCATTGCATTCTTGATTGTATCAGTTCTGTTGAGAAATCTGCTTTTATTTGTGTATTTTTCTCCAGGTTCTTTTAAGATTCCCTTTTTATTTTTAAATTTAAGCAACATGATTATGAAGTGACTTAGCATAGTTTTCCTCATGTTTTCCTGTGTTTGCAGTTCACTGGGCTTATTAAATCTATACATTTAAAATTTTCATCAACTTTAAAAATTCTTGTCCATTATTTATTTATTTTTTCTGCCTGTCTCACCCCTTGGGGATCCAATTACACTTGAAGCATTCTTTTCTCTATGTGTTTTGTTTTAGATGGTTTCCATTGCTATGTCTTCAAGTTCTCTAATCTTTTATTCTGAAATGTCTAATCTCTCATTGATCCTACCTAGTAATCTTAGACTAGATTTTTAATTTTAGTCATTATAGTTTTCATCTCTAGAAGTTTATTTTGGATTTCTTAACTTGCATGTCTTTACTTAACATGCTCAATCTGCACTCTAACTTCTTGAACATGTGGAATATGGTTAAAATAACCATTTTAATGTTCTCTACTAATTCTATTATCTGCATAATTCCTGGGTCAGTTTTGACTGTCTGATTTTCCCCCTTATTATGTGTTGTATTTTCCTGTTTGTTTGCATGCCTGGTAATTTCTGATTGGATGCCAAACATTGTGAGTTTTACTTTAGACGGTGCTGGATATTTTTGTATTCTCATAAATATTCTTGAACTTTGTTTAGGGATTCAGTTAAATTCCTTGGAAATAGTTTTAACCTCTCAGGCTTGTTTTTAAGCCTTTTTAGGCAAGACCAGAGCAGTAGTTAGTGAAGGGATAATTTTTCTTCACTGCTGTGGCAAAACTCTCCTTAGCATTCTACCAAATGGCATGTGAATTATGAGGTCTTCCACACCAGCTATTGAGAACAGGGATTATTCCTGGCCCCGTGTGATCCTGGGTATTGTTTCCTCTAATCCTTTTGGGTGTTTCTTCCCTTGGTCTCAGCTAGTTTCCTAATACACATTAGATATTAAATATAGCAGCCTCCATGGACTACTGACTCCATCCCCACAATTTAGGGAAACTCCTCAACTCGGCCTCATTTCCTCCTCTCTGTACCGTGGCCTGAAAACTTTGTTCAGTCAGTAAGTTAGGGCAATTTTATGGATCTCTTCATTTATTTCCCATCTCGCAAAGATCATTGTCCTTCATTGACTGACATCTTGTCTTGAGAACAATTGTTTCATGTACTTTGTCTACTTTCTTAGTTATTTCCAGCAGGAATATAAATCCAGTCCCTACTGCTGTATTTTGAGAGGAAATGTTAACTCTAAATTACATTTTAATGTTGAGTCTTACTTCTCTGGTTTTGTTTTCTGATTTTTTTTCTTCTTAGATGGTAGATTTTATGTGGACATATGGGAAATGACAATTGCTAGACATGAGGAGAAATTACAGGGAATGAGCAGACATATGGGAAATATGGTTTAAAAAGAACAAAGAGAAAGAATTGGGAATGAAATGAGAACAAATGGCCAGATCTGGGGAAAGGAGTTGATGGAGAGTGTCAAAGTCATCTGAAATCCCACCTCTCACCTCTGCTAGGCCAAACGTGTGACTGCAGAAGGATTCAAGCTCATCACTTCAACTTGGTAACTTTAATCTGTCAGTGAGCTGGTCCTCCCAGCAACCTATCAAAGACAAGGTGCATAAATTTGTCATCTCTATTTTTCAGAAGGAGAAACACCAAAATTGTTAGACAACAATCTCAAAATTGCCCAGAGAATAGGGCCTGGTTGAGAACTAGAAATCTTAAGTATATCTTGTTACTACTTTTCCCAAATGGTTATCTAAGCATCACTCATTGTGAGAGGAAGTCACTTCACTTCTCTAAGTTCTCAGTTTCCTTATCTGGAAACTGGAATAAGAACTCCCACATGAGAGGTCAACATGAGGGTTTACTGAGATGGTGCGTGAAAACCTGTGCGCCGTGCCTGACACTGAATATTACATGTACAGTTCTGTGTATTTTCTCTTCTAGAGGGAGATACTGGAAGAATGTCTTAAATACAGAGATGAATCAGCCACCATGGGCTGTCAAATAAGAGCTGGACAGAGGACCAGCCTACAGGCCCACTCCCTACTCTCACCAGGCTATCCCAGCCCTGGGCTATCTCCTAATTAAAGAATCAAAGTCAGAAGACCTGGACTCACCCTCTAGGTATCTGACCTGGGGACAATTATTTAGCCCCTCAAGGAAGTAAAGGCATGAAGGAGACACTTGTGACAGGAGAGAAAAGTAATTCAGGCAGACAGAGCCAAAAATTCCTGAGGGCAGAAAAGGACCTGGTGTATTGATAGCAAGGAAGTCAGTGTGGCTGGAATGGAGAAGAAGGAGAGAGAGGAAGAGGAGGGAGGAGGAGGAGGGGGAAAAGAAGAGGGGGAAGAGGAAGAGGTATGGGTAGGTATGGAGAGGGTGGGAGGAAAAAAAGAAGGTGAAGAGGAGCCAGAGAAGGGTGCAAACACTGACAACAAGGTATAAGCCATTGCAAAGCTTGGCTATGCAAGATCCTCCCCTGCACATTCCCTGCCTGTCTTCAGCCTGTTTTCTCCACCAAACAATGCTCATTCCATTCTTAGCATCTAATGGAAGCAAGAAGATGGAAATAACCTAAAACTCCAACAATAGAGTTTAAAGAAATTAACATCTAAGATTCATACCTCTGAAGAACATTTATGACTCAGGAAAATGCTTACACTATATCACTAAATGAAAAAAGTGGGAGTGAGTCAAAGCTGTGTAGCTAATTTTGTTTAAATGCATGCATATACACATCCTTTCTTTTTCCCAGAGAATTATACCACAGTGTAATAAAAGTGCTTACCTCTAAGTGGCTGAATTATAAGCATTTTTAATTTTTTAATTATTTTTCAACTTTTTTTTTTTACAACAAACCTATTACTGTTATAATCAGAAAATAATAACACTCATAAATGAATTAAATAATTTAGTCCAGGATATCATCATCTTCAATAACATATTTCAATTCACAAATTTATTAGGTACTCTCAGGGTATTAAGAGGGTTTAAAATAGCCCAGTGTTAATGCTGCCCAGGTCTATATTGCAATATGAATTCATAAGATATTATAGTTATTTGAAAATTATATAAATGGCTTTATATCATAGGCTATTTACTTTGGAGAAGAATTAAATGAGCAGATTTATCTTAGACCCCATTTGCTGGAATTAACTTGAAAAGTATTGTCTTAAGTAGGTCTGTCTCCAAGATCACATTATATTAAAAGACCAAGAACTAGTAGAAAATCAAGACCCACAATGATAAATGTCACTGTAAAATCTTATTACTATTTTTTAACCAAATATCTTCCTCCAAAATATTATAGTGTTTGATATTATAGGTGAACCTCTTTAATCATTTCAGTGTATAGATTTTAGAACATACTGAAATGATAAAATGAAAACATATTTTATTTTGTATAACCTTTGGCCTCTAACTTCCACAACGCTTAAAAAATAGACTATTACCAGCACCATGGAATCTTTCCCTTGTGATCACTCTCAATTACTGCCTCCATCTCCCTCCCCCAACTTAACCAATACCCTGACTTCTAACACTATAGATTAGATTTGCCTGTGTTTGAAGTTAATAAAACTGGAATGAAACAGTATGTGTTCCTTTATGTCTTGCTTCTTTCACTCAACATTACTGGGGTTGTATCCATGCTGTTTGATACAATAGTAACTTAGCAATTTTCATTTCTGTATCCTATTCTTTTGTATGAGTATTCCACAATTTAGTTATCCATACCACTGTGTGTAGGTATTTGTGTTGTTTCTAGGCTGCAGCTGTTATAATAAAGGCTGCCAGAAGGATTCCTGTTTCACTGGATTTAGATAGAAGCATACTCATTACAGCTGCCTTATTTAGGTTAGCTGCCTTGGTCTTGAACCCTGGCTGCACGTTACGATCACCCTGCTGCCTGGGAACTAGTTCTGCAAGTAATTCTGATCTGGGCTGGAGTTAAGAACCAATGTGCTAGATATTGAGACCCCACCCCCAGACAAAAAAGGAGAGTAATCCAGTTTAGGGGATTCTCAATGAATTGCTTTCTGGAAAGAGGACAATTAAATGCAATGTAAAAATTGATTTTGTTTGCATTGACTTTATCCTTCATATTTTTACTTCAATTTCCTAAACCAAAAGATTATAGGTACTGGTTTTATGATACTTGTAAGTGGCCTCCAGAGTATTTTGAAAATTCCCCAAATTCTCGAAGGAAGGTTACTTTATATGTGGCTTAAAGATGCATGTGTCATAATTTAGCATACCTTGGGTGGAGGATTAGGCTATCAAAAATTCAAACAGACATGACTTTGGTGTCCCAGCTCCACAAACAGTGAGACTTCAAAAAGGCAAGAGTTAATTTTCCTTGGTCCAGATCATAGCCTGGAATTAAATGAGCTCTACTTAATAACTACTGTTGCAACTGAAAATTTGGTTGGTGCTATTTAATTCCCTGAATTCTTGAAACTGTTTTTTGGACTCATGCCCAGGAGCTGTCTTGATAAATGTGTCTCAGAGAATGAAAAACAAAAATGGACAGCATGGCTCTAGAAAGTACAGTAACAAATAGTATGGAAATATCACAAGATCTAAAATTTGCTTTCTCTTCAAGTTCAATCTCCAATCATTGATAGATAGGCAAGAACAGAGGCCATAAACCCAATTATTTTGTCTTATGTGTAGAATACGTTAGAAATTTAATATTATTTATATGTAGCCAGGTAGTAGAATGCCTTCAACTTCTAGTGTGATGAGGCCTGTTTTAGGTCCTGTCTGACCCAGAATAACTCCTCCAGTAGCCTCCTCTCCCACCTGACTTGACATGACTTTAACCACTGACCAAGAAACATTATTTGAGCTTTGACTATGTGATAGATTTCCTGAAAGCTTCTGTAGGGCCAATAAAGACTCCACCTTGGGGTCTTCAAGGAAATTGGAATCTTTTGGGGGTAATCTTACACTCATGCAAAGAAAACTAAGATTGCAAAGCAACCATGATGTGTCAGAAGCCCAGTGAGCTGGTGGTCAGTAAAACCTTCTCATAAGCAGTAGACATGAGCTGAATCTTAAAGGATGGTCAGACTTCTAATAGGTAGGCAGGAAGGGGAAGGGCATTTCAGACAAGAGCAAATGTGAAGAAAAAAAGACGGGAAAATGTTCAGTAAACAGTGAGGAAACCAATTTCATTGGAGTGGGAGATTCTTCTAAAGCATGGCAATTAAAAGTTTGTGCACTTGTGGTCAGGAGTTCGAGACCAGACTGGGCCACGTAGCAAGACCCCATCTCTACAAGAAAAAAAAAAAGATTTGTGATTGCAACTAAAGACAGAGCAAAAGATGGTGTACATAACCCACTAGTTTCATATTCCAGTGTGAAAAGATCTTGATGACAGCGAGGAATTAGAGACAATCTTCTGACCAATTGAGATGGTAACAACTAAGCAATTGGATAGAAACAAAACAAAATTCTAACCAAAATTCTCTAAATATATTAAATAATACCAAAAATAGCAGCAATTGAAATCTACAACCAACTTAAGACCACCCTTATGATGTCCTGCCCCTCCCAGCTGCTCAAGCACAAAGCCTGAAAGTCATTCTTCATCCCTCCCCCATCAATCCCTCCTACGATCTGTCCATCACCAAATACTTTCAGCTCTGCCTCTGTTTCTTTCCACCACCATCACCCTAAGCCAAGTCACCTGATCTCTCACCACACTCCAACTGATCTTGCTGCTTTCTTTCTTAACCTCTGTGCCCCCTCATCCTTCCCACTTCAGCCCCAATACCTGATTTACACAGCAGCTAGAATGCCATCTAACAATCCTGAATCTAATGAGATTATTCTAAAACATTCCTAAGGTCCCCACTGTACCCTTTATAATAACATATAGGATCTGTAACCTGACAAGGCCCTCTAGTTCCTAAGGAGGTACCCATTCTAATGCCATCTTGCCTCATGCTTCCCTTATTTCAGTGATTGTGTCCACACTCTTCTCCTGGTTCCTTAAACTAGATCCATTCTTACCAACCTTCTTACAGTGCACTTTGTACCCACTCTGCCTGGCTAGCTCCTAGCATACCAATGGCCAAAGTTGAAGTGCCTCTTCCCCACAGGCACTTGCTTTGACAATCCCCCAATCTAAAATTTTGTCCTGCATGTAATTCTCTCCATGGATCCTTGTCTTTTATTTCATGGCACTTAACACAATTTATAATTATACATGTAACTTTTGTGTTTGTTTAAAGCTTTAAGTGTCATGCAAATATAGACCAGGTATGTATGGTTCATCACTGTATACCGAAGCCTAACAGTACCTGACACCGAAGGTGTGCAATAAATATAACTTCAATGCATGAAATGAGGAAATTCTCACTAGCTCTTTGTGTGCCGAACCACAATATGGATTCCAGTTCTCAATAATCTCTAGCACTAAATTTAGTAACTCATTTGATCAGTTACTTATAAGTAGTCTTTTTTTATATGTTTAATAAAGAGAAGGGTTAAAAAAAAAGAGAAGGTTGCTTTTCCCAAAGACAGAATAAAAATATTGCATTTTTAGATAGTTTATACCACATATGAATGACATTTTGACCTACAAAAGCCCTCACCTTTGAGACACAGTAACACATAAAGGCAGAGAGAAATAAGTTTGGAAAGTAAATCATAATACAGTCATACTTTGGAAATATTGCAAGTTTGGTTCCAGACCACTGCAATAAAGAGAATATCGCAATAAAGTGAGTCACATAAATTTTTTGTGTTCCAGTGAATATAAAAGTTATATTTACATTACATTGTAGCGTATTAAGTGTGCAATACCATTGTATCTAAAAATGTGCATACCTCAATTTAAAATACTTTGTTGCTAAAAAATATTAACAATCATCTCAGCCTTGAGCAAGTCCTAATCTTTTTGCTGGTAGAGGGTCTTGCCTCCATGTCAATGGCTGCTGACTGATCAGCATTATGGTTGCTGAAGGTTGGGGTGGCTATGGTAATTTCTTAAAATAGGACAGCAATGAAGTTTGCTGCATCAATTGACCCTTTCACAAAAGACTTTTGTGTAGCATGAGATGCTGTTTGATAGCAATAGAACGTCTTTCAAAACTGGAGTCAATTCTCTCAAACCCTGCTGCTGCTTTTATCAACTAAGTTTACGTAATGTTCTAAATCCTTTGTTGTCATTTCAACAATGTTGACAGCATTATCGCCAGGGGTAAGTTCTAACTAAAGAAACTACTTTCTTTGCTTATCGAACTCCTCATCCATTGATCATGAGATTGTGGCAACTCGGTCAATCTTTAGCCTCCAGTTCTAATTCTAATTCTCTCACTACTTTCGCCATATTTGCAGTTAATTCCTCCACTGGAACCCTGCCAAGTCATCCATGAGGGTTGAAATCAACTTCCAAATTTCTGTTAAAGTTGATACTTTGACCCATGAATCACAGATGTTCTAGTTGGCATCTAGAGTAGTGAATCCTTTCCAGAAGGTTTTTATTCACTTTGCCCAAATCCATCAGAGGGATCACTGTAGCAACTATAGGCTTACAAAATGTATTTCTTAAACAATAAGACTTGAAAGTTGAAATTACTTATTTATCTATGGGCTGCAGAATAAATGTTATGTTAGCAGGCAGGAAAATAACATTAATCCCCTTGTACATCTCCAGTAGGGTTCTTAAGGGGCCAGGTACATTGTCAATGAGCAGTAATATTTTGAAAGGAATCTTTTTTTCAGAGCAGTAGGTCTCAAAAGTGGGCTTAAAATATTCAATAAATCATGCTGCAAACAGATGTGCTGTCATCTAAGCTTTGCCGTTCCATTTATAGAACACAGGGAAAGTAGACTTAGCATAATTCTGAAGGACCCTAGGATTTTTATAATGGTAAATGAGCATTGGCTTCTACTTAAAATTACCAGCTGCATTAGCCTATAACAAGAGTCAGCTTGTCCTTTGGAGCTGGCATTAACTTTTCCTCTGTAGTGATGAAAGTCTTGGATGGCATCTTCTTCCCATACAATGCTGTTTTGTCTACACTGAAAAGCTATTGTTTAGTGAAGCCACCTGCATCAATTATCATAGATAGATCTTTTGGGTAACTTGCTGTAGCTTCTACATCAGGACTTTACCTTGCACTTTTATGTTATGAAGATGACTTCTTTCCTCAACCTCATGAACCAACCTCTGCTAGCTTCAAACTTTTCTTCTGCAGCTTTCTCACTTCTCTCAGCCTTCATAGAATTGAAGAGAGTTAGGCCCTTACTCTGGATTAGCCTTTAGCTTAATTAAATGCTGTGGCTGATTTAGTCTTCCAGCTATACCAATCAAACTTTTTCTATATCAGCAATAATGCTGTTTAACTTTATTATTCATGTGTTCATTTGAGTAGCACTTTTAATATTTTTAAAAATGTTTCCTTTGCATTCACAACTTGGCCAGCTGTGGTTCAAGAGTCCTAGCTTTCAGCTTATCTTGGTTTTTGTTGTGCCTTCCTCACTCAGCTTAATCATTTCTAGCTTTTGATTTAAAGAGAGAAACATGCAAACTCTCCCTTTCACTTGAATACTTAGAGGCCATTTTGACTTCATTTCAATATTGTTGTGTCTCAGGGAATAGGGAGGCCCAAGGAGATGGGGAGAGATGGAACAACTGGTCAGTAGAGCAGTCAGAACACACACAACAGTTACTGATTAACTTTGCTGTCCTATATGGGCATGGTTCATGGAGCCCCAAAACAATTACAACAGTGACATCCGATATCACTGATCAGAGATCACCAAAACAGATATAATAATAATGAAAGAATTAGAAATATTGTGAGAATTACCAAAATGTGACACAGTGAACACATGCTGTTGGGAAAAAATGTTGCCAATGGACTTGGCTCAATGCAGGGTTCCAGAAACCTTCAATTTGTAAAGTCACACAAAATCTGCAAAGTGCAATAAAGCAAAGTGCAATAAAATAAGGTATGCCTGTAATATAGTGTTTATTGAGTGTCATGTGCCAGGCTTTCTGCTACATCTTTTATTGGCATTATCTGTGATCTTGCAACCATTCTGAATATAGGTATTATTGTCCCCATGTTACAAATGGGAAAAATAAAACACTGGAGTATTTGCCCATGATTACAGAGCTAATAAAGGGAACCAGAAGTTTGCAGGAAGGATTGGTGGAGCAAGATATTTAAAGGATCTACAATTTGCCCAATGTAATCTCTGTGAAATTATCAACACATTATAGAATTTCTTCCTCTCTCGATATTTTCCATTTTTGCTGAAATGACATTTACCTATATTCATCTTATTTTTCATAAGAACCATAAATGCATTTTTGAATAATGAAGATCATTTAAGCTGGGCACAGTGGCTCACACCTGTAATCCCAGCACTTTCAGGGGATTGCCTGAGGCCAGGAGTGTGAGACCACACAGGGCAACATAGCGAGACACCATTTATACAAAAATGAAAGTAAAATTAACCAGGTCTGGTGGTGGTAGTCCCAGCTACTTGGGAGGCTGAAGTTGGAGGATAAATTGAGCCCAAGAGTTCAAGGATGCAGTGAGCTATGATCATTCCACTGCACTCCAGCCTGGGTGACAGAGCAAGACCCCGTTTCTTTAAAAAACAAAACAAAACAAAAAGATAATTTAGAATTAAATGTTTTCTGATCCTAAAGTTTTGGTTGAAGAGACTTTAGGATTAAAAAACACCACAAAACTAAATTAAGTTTATAAATAGTATGTGTCTGACCCAACAATAAATAAATACTAGCCTTTGACTCAATACTTGAGAAATGTGTGTGGCTCCCTGACATGTGTCACTGAGTCTGAGTCTGTAGGCTGGGTGAGCAAATATTTAAGCATGAGTAAGAGCAATGATGGCCCCTTTGGCAGTCCTCAATGCACTAGCATGCACTAAAACCAAAACACACAAGGAGATTCAGCACTGTTAAGAAGAGAAATCCAAGTTGACTTGGCATGAAGCAGGAGGCTGATTGAGAGCTTTGAAACCTCTTTAAACTTGGACATTTCAAGAATCCTGGAAGAGCACTATTGTGAAAAAAACTAGGAGACCTGCCAGGTAAGCCCAACTTGGGGTATACAATCAAATTCTTTTCTTTATGAGCCTCAAACTAAAGTTATAAACACCAACTATTTTAAAGAGGAATGCCACATTCCTGGTAGAGGGAAAGATTTTCCCATAAAAAAATAAGAAAAGAGAACTACTATACCCAGGAGCTTTATGTATTTTATTTATTCCATATAATAACTTCCTGGAGTTGGAATTATTTCTCACTTACAAATGAGGAAACTATGGCCCAGAGAGTTGACTTAATTTATCCACAATCACACAACTTGTGATGGGGCTGGGATTTGAACCGTAACTTTTTGACTTCAGATACCTCTTTCTCTGGTAGTCAGCTGTTTACTGTGGTTAAAGGAAGATTTGTAAATTTATCATTTAATCGAGAAAACTACAGTGTCACAGGATCCTGAGGGTGAAAGACATGTGATTTCAGCACCATGTCTTATTTATCCTTATAGCCCTTACAGTGCCCTATATATCATAGATATGCAATGTGTTTGTAGAATGATGAATGGATGACTGTGTGGATGAATGGATGGATGCATGGACGGATGGTTGGATGGATGGATGCATGAGTGGGTGGGTGGATGGATGGATAAATTCCATTATCCCTGGGCTGTTCAAATTCACTGTCTTTTCCATACTGAGGGCCTATTTTCCAGAAGACAGCAGGTAGTATATAATATTGTGATATTGTACTTCCTTCCTCTAGGCAAACTCAGGCAGGAAAAGGAGTTTTTAACAATTTGTCACTAATTTTTTTAGCCACTTTTCTGGGAAGTTAAATGCATATTTAGGTTATTGCTGTTGTTTTATTCACATGAGGATAAGGAGCATCTCACCACCTTCATTTAACGAGGTAAACATGCCTCATTTGCAGCTGCTTCAGTTCAATGAACGCAGGGGGTACTGTACCTCTTTATATAAATTGTTCCATCTCCCTTCAGGTCTCACCCTTTTTGCAAAGTCCCATATCTTGCATTATTCCTGGGAAGCTAGTTCCATTTTCCCTTTAACTCAGTCTCACAGATTTAATTTTTGCCAAAGCCAACCCCAAGCTGCTGCCCAACCAATTCTCAAGGTATCTAAAGCGGACTTCTTATAAGTGTCACCACTGAGGCCAAAGGACTCTCCAGTGGGATTCAGCCAGTATTTTTTTTCCTAGACATTGGCATTACTCAGAGCAGGTAGGAGCATTAGGGAAAAGGAACAGGAACTGGGGATGTCATCTTCATGTTGGCCTCTGCTCCCTTGTGGTAAGCAGGGCGGGTGTTCTTGGGAACAGGGCTGGTATCTTTGCCAGCGGTCTCTGTCTGACCTCCACATCTTTCTTCTTTCTCCCAGAAGACTTCGTTTCCTCATTGGGTATTTGTGTCTTGTCTCTGTTAACTTTAGAGAGAGATGAGGAGAGTCTTGGCTAACAGAGTCTTATTTTACATTCTTTTCTAGGAATGAGTGTTTGGTTTCTGCTCTGGAGGTGCTTGAGAAGGGCAATAGATCTTATCTCCAAGTCTTATTTTCTAAAGAGGTTCCAAGCCATCGATACGCATGATGTGAGTAGCAATCTTTCTCAGATACTAAGTGGAAACTGATATTCACAAGCAATGTTCTAAGTTTGCCAAATGGCAAAACCTGTGGGACAAGGGGCATGAGAACTAACCACACCTCTCTTAACAGCTTCAGCATCCCAGCAGCCATTTCCTGCTGACCGCTGAGCAGGAAGAGCACATGACCCTGGCTGGAGCCGCCAAGAGGGTGGAGATGATCAGAAATCCTTTCACTGTCAAATTCAGAGAAGAAACATGCTGAGAAGAGGCACTTCCTATGCCAGGCCTACCTGTGCCGTGAGGAATACATGTAGGAGACACTATTTGAAAAGGTAAATCATTTATCAAATTCTAGGGGGAAAGTATTAGAGTACAGTGGCTTGTGGAAAACTGAGAGGGAAATTCACCTCAGAAAATGGGAGGTTTATTTAACGCAGAAAATAACAATAGTATTATTTTTAGAGTGTGTGTGTGTGTGTCTATACCTTCATTAATACTAAGTACTCTTCAGAACACCAAATATGATCTTCCCAACCTCAAATTCAGAAGGGAGCCATCTCCCAGTTTATTCCAAACAGCCCCTATTATCAGATATATATTTTTTCTAGGTCGCCACCTTGCTGGAACAACCAATGCAGAGATAATGCTGGGCCCTCTAATCAGTTGAACAGTGGCTTCAAAAAGATAGGTCAAAGTTATAATCTCCTGCAGCTGTGCATGTGACTTTCTTTGGAAATAGGATCTTGCAGGTATGATGAAGGTAAGGATTTTAAGATGAGATCATCATAAATTTAGAGTGGGTCCTACACCTGATGACTCGTGTGCTTCTAAGGGAAGCAAAAGGGAGTTATAACACAGGGACACCTGGAAGGCCATGTGAAGGCAAAGGCTAACATTGGATTTATGTTGCCACAAGCCAAGGAATGACAGGGGTGCTGGCAACTGCAAGAACTGAGAAGACAGGCATGGAACGAATTCTTCCTCAGAACCTCCAGAAGGAACTCACCCTGCTGACACTTTGATTTCAGACTCTGGCCTCCAGAACTGTGAAAGAACAAGTGTCTCTTGTTTTAAGCCACCCAGTTTGTGGTAATTTGTCACAACAATCCAAGGAAACTAATAGAAACCCCACACATTGGGTATGAGCATAGAAGTAAATTGGAAATGACTTACATTGCCTTGACATACTGGAAGAACCTGTTTTTCCAGATCTACGTGACAATTGAAACAATAATTTCTTTCTTTCTTTTTTAAGAGACAGGGCCTCTTCGCTCTGTCGCCCAGGCTGGAGTGCTGTGGTGCTATCACAGCTCACTGCAGCCTTGAACTTCCAAGCTCAGGTGATCTTCCCACTTCACTCTCCCAAGTAGCTGGTCCTGCAGGCACACCACCATATCTGGCTAATTTTTCAATTTTCTGTAGAGACAAGGGTCTCCCTACATCGCCCAAACTGGTCTCAAACTTCTGGCCTCAAGCAATCCTCACTCTGCAGCCTCCCAAAGTGCTGGGATTACAGGGATGAGCCATCACAACTGGCCTCAGAAGGAATAATTTCTATATTAGACAGAGGACACATGTTTAAATTCTAGCAATCTTGCCTGAAATCTCTGCAAAATTAAAGTGAGGGGCAAGAGGGAAGGCCTAAACTCATACCCTTGGTGAATTCAGGATGCACCAGGGTTTTATTTGCAGGAAGGCCCTGAGAAGCCTCATGTGGACAGTGGTTAGATCCTGTGGAAGTCTCCAGGGCTAAGGCTCTAAGTGAGTAGAGACCAGGGACTGCTCCTTCATCTCCACGACAATATACAGATGGAGAAGTGACTGGCACCAGGGAAGAAGGAGGGAGTAAAGGGAACCAGGTTTAGACTGAAAATGGGGACAGTATTAAGGTGCAGCCCAATTTTGCATCTTTCACCCTATTTTATGGCCCTCCTTCTTGCATTGGGTAATTAGAGAGGGTGTGATGATGGACTGAAACACAAGTCAAATGATTGATTCAGCCGCCAGTGGAGAAGAGGCTGTGAATGCAAGGTTCTGTTGCAGACTGATGAACAGGTAGAAGGGTTGTTGCCCTACTTGGGCAGGATGGCTGTTGGAGCAGAGCAAGATGTAGCCACAATTCTGGGTAGGAGCAGCCATTTGTGACCTTGGCTCAGCAGTAAAGCAGCATCCACATCTAGGAGGGGTACAAAAATATTGACTAGAAGAAAACAAGGGTAATTGCAGCATCTTAAGCCTCATTAGAAAAACCCCATGGACCATTTAACCATGTAGAATGATTTGAGGGCCTCCTTTGTATCTGTCATTTGTTGGCCAGATTTTGTTCATTCTGCCATCTCAATATCTTTTAAATCTATCTTTTCCAATCTTGCACTTCAGTTTGTCTTTCTCTTGCATACTCCTTACTCATCTCCTTGCTTTTTGTCCCATTCCTCCTAGGCCTATCTTCCCCAGGCCTGCCAAAGGGATCCTGCAAAAAAGCAAATCTGATCATATCCCAGCTCTCAGACCTCTCCACTCGATGTCCATCAGCTCCAGGAGGTGCCTTCCAAGGCCTGAAGGTTGACAGATCCCCCAGGATCCCCAGGGCCAGCCTACTCTGCAGCCTCACCTCCCATGCTCCCCTTATGCCAATTCTCAGCAGGTTTCTCCCCTGCTTCATCCCCTAAATGTTACCCTCCAGTGATATTATTGATCACCTTCTGAGCATGCGATGCCTGCCTGTGACTTTCCACACAGTTTCCCTGAGTCAGGAAATGTTCTTTTTGCTTGACAACCTGGCAAAGTCTGGTTAGCTTTCCAATTCAGCTAGGACCAGAGCCTTCTCTTACCTTTACATCTACCCACCACACCCCTGAATTAATTTAATCTCTCCTCCCTCTCTACTACCTCTTTAAGTTAAACTTAATCCTCTGCTGGTACCTGTTACACAAGTGTGAGAATTGAGAATTCTTACTGTTTAAAGGTCCACTTCCCTACTAGAGTGGAGTTTTGTTTTTTGTTTTTTTCTTTTTCTTTTTTTTTTTTTTTTTGAGATGGAGTCTTGCTCTGTTACCAGGCCATAGTGCAGTGGGGCGATTTCAGCTCACTGTAACCTCCGCCTCCTGAGTTCAAGTGATTCTCCTGCCTCATCCTCCTGAGTAGCTGGGACTACAGGCACCCGCCACCATGCTCAGCTAATTTTTGTATTTTTAGTAGAGATGGGGTTTTACTATGTTGGCCAGGATGGTCTCAATCTCTTGACCTTGTGATCCACCCTCCTCAGCCTCCCAAAGTGCTGGGATTACAGGCATGAGCCACCACACCCCACCTAGAGTTGAGTTTTTTAAGAGCAGAACTGCACAGTGTGTACACAATGAATGACTGCTAAATAAAATATGTTAAAGAATCAGCTAACTAAAGCTTTGATCCTAATTATAAATTCCTGTTTATCAAGGAATTTTTACATTTTCAAGGGACTGCAGGCTCCATCTAGTCCTATCTCTTAGCCAATTGTATCAAAATATCAGGATCTGGGGCCTGGGCATCAGTGTTTTTTTAAAGCTCTCTAGCTAGAGAAAAGGACTTCAAAACTATTAGCAGCCAGAGTTGAAAAGCTCTGATCATGTCTACTCACCTGTGAGTGGGCAGTGACTTCCTATACCCATGCTTAGAAGATAGACATCTTATTCTTCTTAGTTTTTAGAATTTCTGGGGATGCAATTCCTGAATCTCCCTTGCCTTATAAAGTAATTTTCTGCTTTAAAATAAATAAATTGTAGCTCTAATTCATTTTTTCAAACAAAAGATTGTTTTTATAATTCTTACATGGCTTTGAAGTCCTTTTCTGGGCATCTGATCTTTTGTCTCCTATTTGGCATGACGTTCCTTTAATTTGCTATGTCTTTGAGAAATAGTTCTAGCATTACTGTTTCCTAAGAAATTTGGGGTCATAACAGAATGAGCTGACCCATGGATAGTTTATTTTTAGCCTAGAGATTTTCATCCAAGCCTGATAGCAAGTAGTAATACTCAATTTCTTTTTTCCTGCTCCAACACTTTTCTATGGTCTTGGGCAAATCATTTTTTTCAGGGAAGACCCCAGCTATCAAACGTTTGTTTGGTTACAAATATTTCTTAGCTCCCAAGCCAAAGCAGAACGTTTAACATGGAGCCATTAACACCCCAGGATGCAAAACTCCGAGTTGTCTGCTGGGCATTCTTCAGTTTTGGAAAGTGAAGGAGGGCATCTGCAGGGGACCATCTGGAAGCAACAATGATTAAGAGATCACTTGGGAGGTTTTGAATCTGAAAACCTGCACGTAAATGGCACGTTCTGTCATTAATTTAAGAAACCACCACCTCTTTTCTACAAACTTTAAAATTTCATGCCCAAACAGAATTCGCCTGCCTTTTCAAATCATGCCTGTAACAGCAGAAATGCAGAAGTCGGCCCTGACTTCTCATTTTGCCCATTCTCCAAGGGTCTGTTTGCATTGGTCCCTCCCCGTTTCATCCACAGCCAGGTCCCTGCTGCTCCCTCCTTCATCCACAGCCAGTTCTCATCCAGTGGAGAAATCCACTTAGCTAGCTCTCCTCCTTGTATTGGCTTTCTCATGCTGCTGCAACAAATTACCAGAATTTGGTGGGTATAAACAACACAAATACATTTCTAGGGGTCAGAAATCCGAAATGGCTCTTAGATAACTAAAATCAAGGTGTCAGCCGAGCTTCATTCCCTCTGGAAAACCCGGCACAGAATCTTTTGTTTGTCTCTTCCAGCTTCTAGAGACTGCAGGTGTTCCTTGGCTAATGCCTCTGTTTCCATCTTCAAAGCACATCATTGCAACCTCTGCTTCCCTCATTCCAACCTCTGCTTCCATCATTCCAACCTCTACTTCCATCATTCCAACCTCAGCTTCCCTCATTCCAACCTCTGCCTCCATCCTTCCAACCTCTGCCTCCATCATTCCAACCTCTGCTTCCCTCATTCCAACCTCTGCCTCCATCATTCCAACTTCTGCCTCCACCATTCCAACCTCTGCCTCCACCATTCCAACATCTGCCTCCATCATTCCAACCTCTGCCTCCATCATTCCAACCTCTGCCTCCATCATTCCAACCTCTGCCTCCACCATTCCAACCTCTGCTTCTACCATTCCAACCTCTGCTTCCACAATTCCAACCTCTCCTTCCCTCATTCCAACCTCTCCTTACCTCATTCCAACCTCTGCTTCTATCATTCCAACCTCTGCTTCCCTCATTCCAACCTCTGCTTCCATCAGTCCAACCTCTGCTTCCATCATTACAACCTCTGCTTCCATCAGTCCAACTTCCGCTTCCATCATTCCAACCTCTGCTTCCATCATTCCAACCTCTGCTTCCATCATTCCAACCTCTGCTTCCATCATTCCAACCTCTTCTTCCCTCATTCCAACCTCTGCTTCCATCATTCCAATCTCTGCTTCCCTCATTCCAGCCTCTGCTTCCCTCATTCCAGCCTCTGCTTCCATCATTCCAACCTCTGCTTCCATCATTCCAACCTCTGCTTCCCTCATTCCAACCTCTCCTTCCCTCATTCCAACCTCTGCTTCCCTCAGTCCAACCTCTGCTTCCATCAGTCCAACCTCTGCTTCCCTCAAACCAGTCTCTGCTTCCCTCATTCCAACCTCTGCTTCCATCAGTCCAACCTCTGCTTCCATAGTTCAACCTCTGCTTCCACATTCCAACCTCTTCTTCCCTCATTCCAACCTCTGCTTCCATCATTCCAACCTCTGCTTCCATCAGTCCAACTTCTTCTTCCCTCATTCCGACTTCTGCTTCCCTCATTCCAACCTCTCCTTCCCTCATTCCAACCTCTCCTTACCTCATTCCAACCTCTGCTTCCCTCATTCCAACCTCTGCTTCTGTCAGTCCAACCTCTGCTTCTATAATTCCAACCTCTGCCTCCACCATTCCAACCTCTGCTTCCATCATTCCAACCCCTGCTTCCATCATTCCAATCTCTGCTTCCCTCATTCCAACCTCTGCTTCCCTCATTCCAACCTCTGCTTCCATCAGTCCAACCTCTGCTTCCATCATTCCAACCTCTGCTTCCATCATTCCAACCTCCGCTTCCATCATTCCAATCTCTGCTTCCCTCAAACCAACCTCTTCTTCCCTCATTCCAACCTCTGCTTCCATCATTCCAACCTCTGCTTCCATCAATCCAACCTCTGCTTCCATCATTCCAATTTCTGCTTCCCTCATTCCAACCTCTGCTTCCATCATTCCAACCTCTGCTTCCATCAGTCCTACTTCTTCTTCCCTCATTGCGACTTCTGCTTCCCTCATTCCAACCTCTCCTTCCCTCATTCCAACCTCTCCTTCCCTCATTCCAACCTCTGCTTCCCTCATTCCGACTTCTGCTTCCCTCATTCCAACCTCTCCTTCCCTCATTCCAACCTCTCCTTCCCTCATTCCAACCTCTGCTTCCCTCATTCCAACCTCTGCTTCCGTCAGTCCATCCTCTGCTTCTATCATTGCAACCTCTGCTTCCATCATTGCAACCTCTGCTTCCCTCATTCTAACCTCTGCTTCCCTCATTCCAACCTCTGCTTCCCTCATTCCAGCTTCTGCTTCCATCGTTCCAACCTCTGCTTCCATCGTTCCAACCTCTGCTTCCACATTCCAACCTCTTCTTCCCTCAATCCAACCTCTGCTTCTATCATTCCAACTTCTGCTTCCCTCATTCCAACCTCTGCTTCCATCATTCCAACCTCTGCTTCCATCATTCCAACCTCTGCTTCTATCATTCCAACCTCTACTTCTATCATTCCAACCTCTGCTTCCATCATTCCAACCTCTGCTTCCATCATTCCAACTTCTGCTTCCATCATTCCAACTTCTGCTTCCATCGTTCCAACTTCTGCTTCCATCGTTCCAACCTCTGCTTTCATCATTCCAACCTCTGCTTCCATCGTTTCAATCTCTGCTTCCATTGTTTCATCTCATTCTTCTGCTTTTGAGTCTCCGGCCTCCCTCTTATCAGGCCCTTTGTGATTACACTGGGCATATTCAAATAACCCAGGATAATCTTCTCATCTCGAGATTCTTAATCACATCAGTAAAGTCCCTTTTTGCCATGTAAGTCTACGTATTCACAGGTTTCAGTGATTATTATATGATTCTTTGGTGGGGGTTGGGGAGAAGAGCATAATTCTGTTTACCATGGGTCCTGAAGCCTTCTGGCTAAGCACAATTTTGATCACTTGCTCCTTTCACTGCTAAAAGGTATTGAGTTGAATGTGTCCCTACCATGTCCACCCAGGAACTTAGAATGTGCCTTTTTTTGGAAATAGAAGATAGACATCTTATTCTTCTTCCTATTTCTTAAAATCTCTGGAGATGCAATTCCTGAATCTCCACTACCTTATAACTTTCTGCTTTAAAATGAATAAATAAAATTTTGTCAAAAGAAACTTGTAGCTGTCATAATTCATTTTTCAAATAAATTTTAACATAGTTTTTTGCGGGTATATTAGATAAAGATAAGGTCATAATGGATTTAGGTAGACCCTAAATCCAGTGTGACTGATGTCCTTATCAGAAGGGGAGATGTACACACAGACAGACACACAGGAAAGAAGGCTGTGAGACAGTGGACGTAGATTGAAGTGATGCAGCTACAAGCCCAGGAATACTGAGGGATTGCCAGCAACTAACAGAAGCTAGAAAAAGGCAAGGAAGGGTTATTTTCTAGACGCCTCAGAGGAAGTATGGTCCTACTGACACCTTGATTTTGGACTTCTAGCTTCTGGCACTGTGGGAGAACACATTTTTGTTTCTCTTAAGCCCCCAGTGTGTGGTACTTTGTTATGGCAGCCCTAGAAAACTAATACAGTTGTGTTGGAATAGAGGCACCCACTTTTGTTCATAGTCCAGTTTTTTCATGACAGTTTGACTGACATCAGCTGACAACCCGTAACAGCTTTCTTTGTTCCATTTGTAATATACAAAGATCTTTAAAAATTATCAACCCTGTCCCTGGGGCTTTTCCAGTTGAAACCTCAGACTGTCTTCTAGCATAGAGGAAATCAAGTGTTCTAGATCAGAGATTGGAAAAGTGTCTGTAAAGAGACAGATAGTAGATATTTTAGGCTTTGCAGACCAAGAGGCAAAAGTCTTATATAACTACTTATAAAACAAGAAAGAAAACACATTTTCATGCATTTTTTACTGACAAAATTTAAAATATAAAAATAATTGTGTATAATTTTTTTGTAGTACAGGTCTAATAATGACTGGAATTCTTTTGAGGGTAATAACATTTCACTGCATTGGGATTCAAATGTGATTGGCCCATTATCAATGTTGATTGCTAATGTTCATTTGTTAATGCTGATCTATGCTGAGATTGTATCTCATTGAGTATTGCAATTCCACAAGTGAATGAGTATTTCATCTTTGAAAATATCTTTTTACGCGATAAGAACTGCCAAATACTAATATTGATTCGTGAGCATATGATTTTAATTGAGCATATTGATCACTTGAAAGGCATTTGTAGGGTTCTATTAAATGTTTCCCTTGACATTTTTAGCATATGATTACATTGCAAATTAATAGCTTCCAGTTGAAGGCTCAATGGAAGCCCTTCAAATGTTCGGTTAAATGGATTTTGAAATATGGAAATTTGTTTTGCCCTTGCATTGAGTCCAAAAGATGTTACTGAGACTGCAGTTAGAACTCAGAAAATATAACCACTGCAAATTTGCAAGGAAAATTGCATGGAGATCTCAATTCTTGTTTTATCTTTTAGTAACACTGGATGTGTATAGGGCAGGTTGACATTCAAGTAATGTTAGTTGTTGAAATGACTTTACTGCAGTATAAATTTCTTATATGAGCACTGCTTGGCCTTGTAATTTTAGGTGAAATTCATTAAGAAATACTATGAAGTCTACAGCAAAAACTAATTTCTAAAGCCATTCAGTATTGCTTAGTAGTGGCTGAGGACCGTTCTCATTTTAAACAATTTCAACTTCAGCCCTGAGCTCCAAAAAATTACAATAAAACGTTACCACTGCTGAACCACTGAATTGCTGTGTGGTACAGCAAGTCAGGATATTCAGCTTCTCTTTCTAACAAAAATTCATGGAACTGATTATGGTTATGTCCATGAGAGTGAATGAGTCTACCACTGAAACTTGGATCAATGACACATACCAGATAAAAACATTTTCAGCAAAGAACCCACTAATAAGTAACACAATAAATAACTGTAGATTTTAAATGCCTTACATTTTCCCAACCTTTGTAAATTTATCCAACTAAGCATTTTGCAGCTTCATACATATTTTTACTACCATTAAGTGTGACATATCGTAGTAGATTCCGTCTCAGATTGTACTGGATTAGTATTTTCTCAAATTCTTTGAAAATCTCTTACAATTTCACACATATTTTTACTGTCATCAGATTTGGTATTTCTTAGCAGATTCTACCACAGGTTGTACTAAATTGGTGTTTTCTCAAATTCTTTGAAAATATTCTCACCTCTAGTTGCTCCATGCAGACTATTTATAGAAGCTAATTCTTCAGTCACTTCCAAATTGGCATTGATTCCTTGAATCAGTAACAACTGAGCAGTATCAGTAACATTGTGGGCTCATCGGGAACCAAGAAAAACCACCCTAAATTATTTGTCTTTTTTTTTTAAATTGACTATTGATGTTGCTTCCAATGTCCTCAACTCTCTGAGCAATTGTTCTTACTGGAAGGCTAAAGGTCTTAAACAAGTTTATTTTCTCTGGACACATTTCTTTGGCTGTTGTAATTGATCTCAATTTAGTTAACTCACCATGGGTAAACCGCTTTCCTTGCTTGGCTAACAAGCCACTCAGAAACTTCTTTGGTTGCAAGCTCATTCTCATTTTTTGTTTTTGTGAAGAAATTCTGCTTTGATGAGAAATTCAAGTTTAAATTTTTCTAATCATTGCTTTCCTGTGAGATGAGAATGTCACAATGATTGTTCAGTCTGGTTATGTTGACATCTATTGTATTCTTTTAGCATAACTATATTGTCATTGCATAGTAAGCAAAATGTCTTGCCAAGTAATTCTATTATATAGCAAAGTAATACACACTCCACTGTATCTTAAAAGCTTGATATTCAAAGTCTACTTTTTCTTTCTTGTTATCACTTGATGGGTATTTACTGTTAATAATAAGAAATAAATTTAAGAGAGGGAAAAGAGGAAGGAAGGAAGGGAGAGAGGGAGGCGGGGAGGGGGCAGGGGGTAGAAACAAAAACAAAGAAAGAAAAGAGGCCAGTCGCGGTGGCTCATGCCTGTAATCGCAACGCTTTGGGAAGCTGAGTCGGGCGGATCACCTGAGGTCAGGAATTCTTCAAGACCAGCCTGGCCAACATGGTGAAACCCCATCTCTACTAAAAGTACAAAAATTAGCTGGGTGTGGTGGCATGAACCTGTAAGCCCAGCTACTTGGGGGGCTGAGGCAAGAGAATTGCTTGAACCCAGAAGGTGAAGGTTGCAGTGAGCTGAGATCATGCCACTGCACTCCAGCCTGGGTGACAGAGCAAGACTCTGTCAAACAAAAAACGAAAGAAAGAAAGAAAGAAAGAAAGAAAGAAAGAAAGAAAGAAAGAGAGAGAGAGGGAGGGAGGGAGGGGGAGAGAGAGAGAGAGAGAGAGAGAAAGAAAGAAAGGAAGAAAGAAAGAAAAGAGAAAGAAAGAAAAGAAAAGAAAGAAAAGAAAAAGAAAAGAAAGGAAGGAAGGAAGGAAAAAAAAGAAAGAAAAGGGAAGGAGGGAGGGAGGAATGTCACTGTATGATGCTAGAAATGCAGTTGAATTTTAACTTTCACTGCAATTTACAGCATTCCAAGCAGTAGTGCAAAGTGAGGATCACCATATACAGTCTCTGCCACAGCTACTCAACTTTGCCATTACAGTGTGAAAGGACATAGACAATAGGGAAACAAATGAGCATGACTGGGTTCCAGTAAATTTTATTTGTGGACAGTGAAATTTGAATCTCATAATAACTTTCATGTGTCATGAAATACCCTGATTTATATTTTCCCCAATCTTTTATAAATATAAAAACCATATTTATTCCATGGCCATATAAAAACAGGTGGTCTACCAGTTGTGGCTGGTGGGCTATAGTTTGCTGACTACTACATAGATCATTAGGTCATTTCCAAAGTTCATCCAGCTCTGTGAGCCTAAGATGCCCTTGAGACAGCAATCATCCTAGTTACTTCCTTTATGCAGGGCACCTGTCCACTTCTGTCTGCTTGAATATTTCAAAGAAAGGGATATGCAGTTTGCCTTACAACTTAACTTTTTTTTAACCATTTCATCTACTTTTATTTACTTTTGCCAAATTTATTCTTAGTTTGTTTTCTAATTGTTTACTTTTTTTAAGGAACAAAAAGCACAAAGATGAGAGCCATAATGTGTTACATCATTTGGGATCCATACAAAGGAAAAGACTTTTTTGATCTATTCATGCCCTAAAAATATACATTGCATAACAGTCCCAGAGGCTTCTCAATCCCACAAATGACTTAAGAACCAAAGTTCAAAGACAGACTAGTAGTTGTCAGGGTTGCAGGTAGGGAGAGAAATTAACTACAAAGAAGTAGCACAAGGGAATTTTGTGGTGTGGGGGTAGCAGAACGGCCTATGTCTTGTTAGTGATGATGGCTACAAGATTCTATGCATTTGTCAAAACTCACAAAACTTTACACCAAAAGAGTGAAGTTTACCATATGTAAATCTTAAAAGTGAGTAATAAAGAAACAAAATGTAACAGGGACATTGGTTTGAGCTCCAACATGTTAAGAACTTGGAAGTCATCTATGACATCAAAAGGAGAAAATTGATAGAGAAAATCCATAAAACCAAAAGATGGTTCTTTGAAAACATCAATCAAACTGATAAACTTCTAGCCAGGCTAACCAAGAAAAAAAGGCATAAATTGCTAGTATCACAAATGAAATAAAAATAACCACTACTAATCCCATCAACATTAAAAGGATAATAATAAAAGAATGCTATGAACAGTTCTATGCCCACAAATTTAAGAGAGATATTGGTCTGTAGTTTCTCTTGCTTATAATGTCTTTATTTGGTTTTGTTATTAGGGTAATGTTGGCTAATTCTATGCTAACTTAAATGAAATGGACCAAATCTTTAAAACACATAAACTACTAAAATTCACACAAAGAGAAGCAGATAAGTTGGATAGTCCTATCTTATCAAATAAATTTAATCAAGAATTAATAATCTTAAAAAAAGCACCAGGCCCAGATGGTTTCACTGGTTGAATTTATCAAACATTTAAGTAAAAATGATACTAGTTCTCTACAATCTCTTCCTGAAAACAAAAGCAGAGGGAACACTTCCAACTCATTTTGTAAAGCCAACATTACCCTAATAACAAAAGCAAATAAAGACATTATAAGCAAGAGAAACTACAGACCAATATCTCGCTTAAGCATAGATGTAAAATTTCTCAATAAAATATTAGTAAATTAAATCTAACTATGTATAAAAAGAATTAT
The DNA here is from genome assembly GCF_000001405.40 of Homo sapiens. Lineage (NCBI taxonomy): Eukaryota > Metazoa > Chordata > Mammalia > Primates > Hominidae > Homo > Homo sapiens. The sequence continues at coordinate 106,638,360 of NC_000007.14, forward strand.
ACAACATGATCAAGTGAGACTTTTTCCAGGTATGCAAGTGTATTAGTCAGGATTCTCTAGAGGTAGAGAACTAATGGGATATATATAAAGCGGAGTTTATTAAGTATTAACTCACATGATCACAAGGTCCTACAATAGGCCATCTGCAAGCTGAGGAGCAAGGAAAGTCAACCTGAGTCCCATAACTGAAGAACTTGGAGTCCAAAGTTCAAGAGCAGGAAGCATCCAGCATGGGAGAAAGACATAGGCTGGGAGGCTGGGCCAGTCTAGTCTTTTCAAATTTTTCTGACTGCTTTATATTCTAGTCATGCTGGCAGCTGATTAGATGGTACCCACCCAGATTAAGGGTGGGTTTGCCTTTCCCAGCCCACTGACTCAAATGTTCATCTCCTTTGGCAACATCCTCACAGACACACCTAGGATCAATACTTTGCATCCTTCAATCCAATTAAGTTGACACTCAGTATTAACATCACAGCAAGGCTACTTTAACATTTCAGAACAAGTTAATGTAATCTATCACAAGAGGATAAAGAAGGAAAATCATATGGTCATATCCACAGATGCAGAAAAGCATTTGGCAAAATCCAATACATTTGCATGATTTAAAAAGAGAACAAAAACAAAACTCTCAGCAAACTAAGAATAGGGGGATCTTCCTCAACTTGATAAAGCGCATGTAAGACACACCAATAAAAGTTATAGTTAATGGTGAGAAATGAAACACTTTCTGAAATTATCCTATCGCCTGATATAAAGAAGCCAGATAGGTGAAAGACATCCAGAAAGATCACTTTCCTTGTAATCTCTTTAGAGGTTTACAAACCAAAACAAAAAAACCACATGTTGGTTCTTCCTCTTTCTATATTGTCACTTCTTAGAATGGGATCAATAGCCCTCAAATATATCATTCTCTTCCCTCACCCATCAAACCATTTATTTGGGCTTTCTAAGCAGGGATCCAACTTTGAACAATCTTTTTACCTACTTGTAGTGTAACACACTCACCCCTTCCAAACTTTCAACTTTCAAAGTCCACACCTTCCAAGGTACCCTTCTTAACAACTTCCCCATTTAAGTTATATTCATTCCCAAGATACAGATTCTATGACTTCCCTACATAAAAACATGATCAGCTTGATTTTGAATAAAAACTACTCACAAATAGGATACATGTTTCTTCTTCCCATAGCACAGCAAGTTAGAGCCTATATTAATCGACAGAGATGATAACATATCAGGACACCAAGAACAATTCTGATCTGTTGAAGCTTTTCTAGTTCAACTCTGACACTAACGGTTGACTAGTCAACAGCTTGTGATTCTATCTTTAACTAGGTTGAAGAAAACGCAGCTAGTCAGATATTTAGAGTAAAAAACTCTCAGACACTGAAGGGTACCTTACGTCATCAGAGGGAAGTCATGTGCTGTCTCGGAGTTTACTTCTTCATTACTGTCAGAGGCATTCAAACTAGAGTGACTCCATCTTGAATAGTGACTGGGTAAAATAAGGCTGAGACCTAATGGGCTACATTCCCAGGTAGTTAAGGCATTCTTAGTCACAGGATAAGATAGGAGGTTGGCACAAGATACAGGTCACAAAGACCTTGCTGATAAAGTAAAGAAGCTGGCCAAATCCCAGCAAAACCAAGATGGTGACAAAAGTTACCTCTGGTCTTCACTGCTCATTATACGATAATTATATAATGCATTAGCATGCTAAAAGACACTCCCACCAGTGCCATTGACAGTTTACAAATGCCATGTCAATGTCAGAAAGTTACCCTATATGGTCTAAAAAGGGGAGGAACCCTCAGTTCTGGGAATTGCCCACCCCTTTGCCAGAAAACTCATGAATAATCCACCCCTTATTTAGCATATAATCAAGAACTAATAATAATTATAAGCAGCCGAGCAGCCCATGCCTCTGGTCTGCCTGTGAATAAGACATTCTTTTATTTCTTCACTTTCTTAGTAAACTTCCTTTCACTTTATGGATTAGCTTCAAATTCTTTCTTGTACAAGACCCAAGAACCCTCTCTTGGGATCTGGATTCAGACCCCTTTCAGGTAACATTACACACAGCTAAAAGATTACCTGCAAATAGCATGTCTGTCCTTATGCTCTGTTGATTTTTTTGGTTCTACAGGGTAAAATCCAGCGTTGCATAAATAATGGGTGATGCCAAAAATCTTCACTGTTAGTCATTTGTTTAGATGTCAGTTTCAAAACCTGGTTGTCTAGACAGCTAAAACTGGCTGAGTGCAGGGAGTTTCCAATTTCCACAAATGGGAATTGATGGAAAGAGTCAGCTAAGGAAACCAGCCTGAAAGCATGATGTTTCTGGAACCTCAAAGATAAGCCATTAGCAAGCTGAAGAGTCACTGGCAACAGGTTATGCTTTAAACGGTTCATATATAGGAGCTTCTTAAATATAGCTTCAATATAGACTCCACCTAATAACAAATGAATAGCACAGGGAGTAAAACCGAATCACAACAATGACAGCAATCCTTCCAGTAAAGAAGATACCAGGGAGATAATATATGCTGCACAAACTGTACATTTGACAGCTCTAGGGGTTGCCATTTACATAGTATTCCACATAAATCATGCCTGCTAGAGATGTGCAGTGCACAACTTGTGCAACCATAAGCAGAAAACCCCAAAAGATTCTGTCATTAATATATAACAAAAATGCACATGACAAAGAGCACAAATTTTATGTCTGAAGTTATAAGCATTATGAATTGTATTTATTTAAAAGAGAAAGATTGATAAATTGGATTTTGTCAAATTAAAACTTTTATGAAGGACACCTGTATGAGAACAAAAAGACAAGCTACAGACTGGGAGAAAATATTTGCAAATCACATATCCAGCAAAGATCTTTTATCCAGAATATTATATATACAAGTACATGAAAAGAAGCTCTGCAGTATTAACATTTAGGGAAATAAGGTGCCTTTACATATGTAAAAGAATGGCTAATATATATATATATATTTTGGAAGACAATACCAAATACTGGCAAGGATGTTGGGCAACTGCAACTGTCATGCACTGCTGGTGGGATGCACTGCTGGTGGGATGGTACACCTACCTTGGAAAACAGTTTGGCAGTTTCTAATAAAGTCAAACATATGTTTATCATATGACCTCACTCCAGGGTATTTACTCTAGAGAGGTGAAAACATATTCACACAAAAACCCATACAGAGATGCTTATAGCAGTTCTATTCATAATTGACCAAAACTGGAAATAACACAAATGTCATTCAACAAGTGAATGGTTAAACAAACTCTGGAATATCCATACAATGAAAGTTCGCTCAGGAAAAAAAAGGAACTATTGATATATGAATAATATGAATGTATCTCAAAGGCATTACGCGGAATGAAAGAAAACAGTCTAAAAAATTAAATAAAATAAAGTTCTATTTATATGATATTGTGGAAGTGCAAAGCTATGGAGATGGAGATCAGGGGTTGTCAGGGTTAGGGTGGAGGAGGAGTTGACTACAATGGGACAGCATGAGGGAATTTGGGGGGTCCATTGAACTGCTCTATATTTTGATGGGGTGGTGGTTATATGGCTCTGCGCATGTATTAAAGCTCAGCCAGACATGGTGGCTCATGCCTGTCACCTCAATACTGAGACTGAGATGTAATTATTATATACTAATGACAGAATCTTTTGGGGTTTTCTGCTTATGGTTGCACAAGTTGTGCACTGCACATCTCAACACTGAGACTGAGATGAGGTGGAAGGATTGCTTGAGCCCAGGAGGTTGAGACCAGCCTGAGCAACATAGTTAAGAACCTCTCTTTACAAAAAATAAAGCTGGGCGTGGTGGTGCACACCTGTAGTCCCAGCTACTCGGGAGGCTGAGGTGGGAGGATCACTTAAGCTCAGGACTTCAAGGCTGCAGTGAACTGAAGTCATGCTACTGCACTCAAGCCTGGGTGGCAGAGCTAGACCCTGTCCCCCCTCACCCTCCTCAAAATTAAAACTCACAGCACTGCCCACCAAAAAAAGTTAATTTTACGGTATGTTAATTAAACTATAAAAAAGCGTTTTAAAACCCTCAAATCTCTCTTCTATACCACTCCTGCCCCCACTCTCATTCCTGTCATTTTCACCTCTCCTGGACGACTGCAATTGACTCCCAGCTAGACTTCTCTTCAGTTGCAATATTCAACTCTGTTTTCTTGATGAATTATTATGAAATATTTCTATTGCACAAAATGTTATAAAGAGAAACAAAATCAGTCATATCTAAATAGCTCTACCCTCTCGAGATTGGGCAGGTATACCACTCCTTATGGTTTCCCCAAAACTGAGACCAAACGCGAAAATTAAAATAAGTATCCAAAAGAATATATGTTTGTATTATGTTACACACTTATACCATAGCTTAACAAAAATACAGCTTTATCATGGTGCTGGAAATAGAGTTTATTTTTATTTTTTATTTTATTTTTTTTGAGACAGAGTCTCGCTGTGTCGCCAGGCTAGAGTGCAGTGTCATGATCTTGGCTCACTGCAACCTCCGCCTCCTGGATTCAAGCAATTCTCCTGCCTCAGCCTCTTGAGTAGCTGGGACTACAGGTACATGCCACCATGCCCAGCTAATTTGTTTTGTATTTTTAGTAGAGATGGGGTTTCACTCTGTTGGCCAGGATGATCTCAATCTCTTGACCTCGTGATCCGCCCGCCTCGGCCTCCTCCCAAAGTGCTGGGATTACATGTGTGAGCCACTGCACCCGACCAGAAATAGAGTTTATTCCTATACCCACCCTATTTTATTCATTTGTGGTCCATTTCTGTGTTTCCTGACCTAGCCCCTAAGCCTACTGCTTCTGGCAGGTGCTAAACTAGTCCTAGTTGAATTGAATTTTTTAGCTGTTTCAACTCAGTAGCTCTTTTGACCTGTTGCCTTTGTCATGTGAACATGGAGAAAAAGTGGATGAAAGAGTTCACGTGCTAGACTTGGCACAACAATACTAATGCCTGGAAAAGAACAACAACATCCCAGAGATAGCATCTATTAAACAATTAATTGGCCATTTAAGAAACATGAGTCAGAAAATAGAAGAAAGAGAATTTCCCAATGGGCTACTAAAAAAAATGCACTGGAGTTAAAAATTGAAAGAAAAATAAAACAAAAGTATTTTATCCCAATGTTATTGCAGGTGCTCCTGGATTAACTAGACAATCGTGAGGCAAGTGATTTTAAAACAAACAAAAAAATTGTAAAATAGGCACTGGTATAATTTAGCAGATAATCAGAGCTGCAGCAGAAAACTACCTTTATTTGGAAATAATTAGTATGCCATAGCTACTCAGAGGAGCCACATTTATTGCTAATAGCTGATGCTCAGGTGGTGCTGATAGTTCTATCACCAAAACTAATTAAGGGTCTTAAAAAGGAGGAGGGAAACCACAAGGGGAGACAGAGATGGCTGAACAGATGGGGTGGCTCAGAGGCTCCATCAAACAGGATGCCTTCATTGCAAAGTGAATAATTAGCCTGGAAATTCAAACACACACACAAGGCCTGCAGGCCCCAGCACTAGTGCTGAGAAAATTAGGGGTCAAGCAGAAGAGCTAACAGTTATTGAGCACTTACTCTATGCCAGGCACATTACCTGATAGAAGCCTCACAACCACCTCTGTTTGCAGAAGAAGGAATTAAAGCTTAAGGAAGCTTTGTAGTCTGCCAAGCTCACACAGCTTGTAAAGTCATGCAGGTAAGCTCTACACCCAGTCATTCTGACTCCACAGCCCATGACCTTACTCACAACATACTGTCTCATGCATCCAAAATCAAGCTGTGGTGACTGCTCTGGTTTAACGTCTTCTCCAAAAGACATGTTAAAATGTAATGGCCATCGTGACAGTATTAAGAAGCGGGACCTTTACAAGGCGATTAGGTCATGAGGGCTCTGTCCTCATAAATGGATTAATGCCATTATCATGGGAGTGGGCTAGTTACGTTGGATGTGGGCAACTGATTAAAGGATGAAGTTTGGCCCACATTTCCTCCCTCCTGTCTCTGCCCCTCACTCCCTCTTGTGCGCACACTCTTTCTCACCACGTGATGCCTTCTGCCATGTGCGACACAGCAAGAAGGCCCTCACCAGATGCAGCCCCTTGATCTTGGAATTCCCAGCCTTCAGAACTGTGAGCCAAATAAATTTTTCTTTATATATTACCCAGTCTGTGGTATTCTGCTATAGCAGCAGAAGACAGACTAAGACAAAGATCCTTGCACCATTTCTGATGACCAGTTTCACAGGTACAGGTCTTGACTTACATTCAGAAATTTTCTAATTGTAGTGCTCTCTCTCCACTCCAGTTTGGAATTTACTTGTTTTCAGAACTCTGATTTCTGAGCTGAAATGATGTGAAAACGAAACTTGAAAAATAAATAATTGGATTAATGCATCAGTATGTTATTCCCTGATCTTAGCAACTTACCTACAGCTATCAGAAATATAATATGATGATAGAAAGACATATTGTGTCTAATTTAATCCATCGAGGCCAAACCCTGGAAGAAAATTTTTGGAGCCAGCACTTCTTTTTCTCCAGTCATTCATCCACACAACATGAAGAGCTGCCTGCTTTGTCTATGTGTAGGCTTGTTGGTAATTTTACTTCAGGTTTCAAGAAACAGAGACCCATTCAAGCTGTCTTAAGTAATGGGGGTTTGTTGCAAGGGTGAATGTGGAAAAATACAGGATTCTCAACTACTGGATCACACTACAGAGAAAAAGAGGAACCACAACAAAGCCAGGCCTCCCAGACACTGTGATTAGTTCAGAAACTGGCAAATCGGTGACTGAGTTACCCATCAGCCTCTCAGCAACATGACCTGTTGATTCCTCTTTCAGAAGCTGGCTACTACTGCATTTATTTTCACTGTCATTCTTTACCATATTGTATCTGCTCATTCAAATATTCTGCTCACTTGTGCTAATTGTAGAAACATATGGAAAATATAGAAGGTGAAACCACCATTCAGGTGGTTCTTCAGTATTTTTTTCTACACATACACAATATTTTTAAAAATAAAAAGATCTACTCAGCAAGTGGTGCTGGAACTAATTGAATATCTGCACAAAAAGACAGAAAAAGGCCAGGCGCGGTGGCTCATGCCCATAATCCCAGCACTTTGGGAGGCTGAGCTGGGTGGATCACTTGAGGCCAGGAGTTCAAGACCAGCCTGAACAACATGGCAAAAGCCCGTCTCCACTAAAACTACAAAAAATTAGCCAGGCATGGTGGTGCATGCCTGTAATCCCAGCTACTCGGGAGGCTGAGACATGAGAATCACTTGAGCCTGGGAGGCAGTAAGTTGCAGTAAGCTGAGATTGTGCCCCTGCACTCCAGCCTGGGTGACAGAGCAAGATTCAGTCTCAAAAAAAAAAAAAAAAAAAGAACAAGAATAAAGAAAGAAAAGAAAAAAAACGAACTTCAACATTGTATCAGATCATAAACAAAAATTAACTTAAAATGTGTCATAAACCTAAACCTAAAAGCAACAGATATAAAATTTTTATTTAAAAAAACATAGAAAAGTATGATGACATTGGGGTAGGCAAAGATTTCTTAGATCACAAGAAACGTAAGCCATATTCATTGACTGTGACAAATGTATCATACTAATGTTAATAATAGGAAAAGGTGGGTGTGGAGTATATGAGAATCTTCTGTGCTATTTTTGCAAGTTTTCTATAAATCTAAAACTAAACTAAAAACTTTATATCAAAAAAGCATCAACCATTAAATTAAAAAATGAATAAATTGATAAATTAAAAGAATTTGCTCTTTGAAAGACACTATTATAAAAATGAAAAGACATATTATAACCTGGGAAGAAATATTTGCTGATCACATATCTGACAAAAGAACTGTATGCAACATATATAAAGAACCCTCAAAAATCAGTATTAAGAAAATAACCCCAATTTTTAAAAATTTGAATAGAAGTTTCACTAGAAAAGATATATGGATAGCTTATAAGCATATGACAAGATGACTGATGTTAGTCATTAGGGAGAGGAGATACCATTACATAACTATAAGCATGGCTCAACTTGAACAGTACTGTGAGCTGAGAGAACACAAAGCAACTGGAAGGCTCACGTGTTGCTGGTAGGATTGCAAAGTGGTACAGACCCTTTCAAAAAGAGTTTGGCTGTTTCTTAAGCATACACTTACCATGCAACCAAATAATTCCTGTCTTAAGATGTTCACTGAAGAGAATTGAAACATATGGCCTATACACAAATATTCATAATCATCAGAAACTGGAAACAATCCAAATGGCTGGAGCTGGTAAATGAATAGATTGTGATATATCCATACAATGTAATGCTTTTCAGCAAGAAAAGGAATGAGGTATTGATACACACAACAAAAAAAACTTCAAAAGTGAAAAAGTGACATGTAAAAGGCATATATAGCATATTATTTTATTTATCTGATATTCTGGAAAATGAAAAACTATAGTTTTCTAGTGCTATGGTCTAAATGTTTGTGACTCTCCCAAATGCATATGTTGAAACCTAATCTCCAATGTGATATTAGGTGAGGCTTTTGGGAGATGATTAACTCATGAGGGTTCCATCCTCATGAATGGAATTTGTGCCCTTATATAAGAAACCCCAGAGAACTGGTTAGTCCCTTTTACCACGTAAGGACACAGAGAGACGGCACTGTCATGAGGAAAGGAGCCCTCCCCAGACACCAAATCTGCCAGTGCCTTGATCTTGGACTTCCCAACCTCCAGAACTGTGAGAAATAAATTTCTATTACTTATGAGTTACTTAGTCTAGGGAATTTTGTTACAGCAGCCCAAACGAACTAAGACAACCAGAGACTGGGAGTAAAGGGAAGATATTGACTACAGAGGTACATGAGGAAACTTTCTGGGGTGGTGGAAAGAGTCTATATCTTGATCATGGTTGTGGTTACACCACTGTATACATTTGTCAAAACTAATCGAAGTGTATACCTGAAAAGCAAGAATCTTACCATATGTAAATTGTACCTCAATAAACTTGAGTTTAAAAAATAAAACTGAGATATCTTCTATATTATTTTATATACTGTCTCTCTTTCTCACTTAACATCAGAGCACTAAATACACCATGAAAACATGACTTTAATGACTACATCAAATTTTACTGTGTGAGTATATGGTAACTCATTTAATTATTGTCCTGTTGTTGAACATTGTTTAGTTCCAATTTTTTAAACGTATATTCTCACATGAGCATCTTTGTATAGCAATTCAGTCTTTCACTACTGCACTGGAACAAATTCCAGACATGAGCCAAGGGTATGAGTGCTAGTGTAAGGTTTTGAAAATTTACTGCCAATTTTCTTCCCAGACAAGCTTACACACCTATCATTGGAAGAGCGGGTCTTTAATAAAAATCTTAAATATATCTTTTTTAAAGAACATGAAGCAATAACACAAATAGAGGTTTATTCAAATTACTCTGGGTTTGTAAGAAAACGAATAAATCTACAGAAAAGACAGTCTTCTGTGAAATTTCCAGAGGTCCTCTACAATCAGTTTTTTAATAACATTTTCCATTTAGAAGAGAGATTACTTTTTCCATTTATAATATATTGCTTTGCATAATGAAGAACAAATAGCAAAATAATTCATCAAAATCCTATTTACACATGTATTTTCAAGAACAACCATTTATTTCAACTAAGATGTCTCCCTTCTTTTAACCCTTTTAACCATTAGTGCCCACAACAAGTAAGATTGTTAGAATTTTCATAGGAATCTTTCAGTGTTACAAATTCTGTATTTCACAATAAAATCCTAAGCTCACAATATTTTTTCATGTGCTGATGCCATATTCAAGACACAATTTATGCTAATAGATGACTCTTCCTTATAATAGAAAAAAACCAACCTTATTGAGTTTCTAACAATGTCCCTACTCACACGTTAGCTCTGCTGCAACTAAGATAAACACATTGCTTACCTAACATTTTAACTATAAAGTAACCAAAATAGAACAATAACTCTTGACAAAGTTGAATTCAGTTTCAAAATGTCTTCACGGTGAGTAAATAAAATTTCCGAACCTGGGTCATGTGATCCTGGAATTCTGATCATCATCTTTCATTGCTGACTTTAAAGATAAATAATGTTTGTCTGAATAGCTCCATCTGAAGCCCTCTTTTCTCAATTATTTATACAGGCATGAATATTGATAGTACAGTTTCATGCAGAACTTTAACCACATCATGAAACTTCAGAACACAAGGAACCCTGATTTGCCCAAATCCTCACAGCATGTTGGCAGTCATAAGACTGTGAACTCAGGTTCTAAGCCTTGGGATCTTCAGGCTTGGCCCACTCCACCTCTCTCTCTGTTCTACCTTGGCTTGGGTAACACATTTGACTGTCCATGTCAGGTTTCTCCCGCCAGATTGCTCAGTCTGTTAAGTGAATTTGAATTACACCAGTGAAAGTTCTATTCCAAACCATCCTTAATATTCCACTACATCTTCCAGAGAGACCAAAGCCAACTTCTAAAATCAAAGAAATGTATTTAGGATTTTTTAACAATGTACACTTCTAGCACATCAATTTCTACACCTAATTTTATTATCTGTTATTTTTAGGACTTTTTTTTAAAGGAAAATGCCACATTTTGAATAGACAATCAGAATAAATAAGAGATCCCTCCACTGTGATCTTTTTTTCTCTCTCTCTATCACACATACACACACACACACACACACACACAGAGTTTCCCACAGACTGTTGGTGTACACACCACCAAGGAACCTACCCAACCAATGCCAAGGCCATAAATCTCCCCCAGTCAACTGTTGGGTTTTAGACAAAGCTAAGTCTTTCCTCTCAGGGCTGGAATGCCATGGACTGAGGACCATTCAGCTCAGACATTCTTAAGAAGGCCATCCCAGGCCAGGTGTGGTGGCTCACACCTGTAATCCCAGCACTTTGGGAGGCTGAGGCAGGTGGATCACTTGAGGTCAGGAATTTGAGACCAGTCTGACCAACATGGTGAAACCCCTTCTCTACTAAAAATACAAAATTAGCCTGGTGTGATGGTGCATGCCTGTAATCCCAGCTACTTGGGAGGCTAAGGCAGGAGAATCACTTGAACTCAGAAGGCAGAGGTTGGAGTGAGCCAAGATCACACCATTGCATTCGAGCCTGGGCAACGAGAGCAAAATTCCATCAGAGGAGAAGAAGAAGAAGAAAAAAAGAGGAGGAGAAGAAGGAGAAGAGGAAGAGAAGGAGAAGAGGAGGAGAAGGAGGAAGAGGAAGAAGAAGAAGGAAGGAAGGAAGGAAGGAAGGAAGGAAGGAAGGAAGGAAGGAAGGAAGGAAGGAAGGAAAGAAGAAGGAAGGAAGGCAGGCAGGGAGGGAGGGAGGGAGGGAGGGAGGGGGGACAACCATCCCAAAGCAAAATTGAAGGAGGCAGTGTATCCATCGGTCCACTCTCTACTCCTAGCATTTCTCTCTCCTTGTGTCTTCTCTCCTTCCAGGTCTCCAGGCCTCTTGTTCCCCTGCTGTCCCCAGTTCCAATTACCTGAGAAGCCTATCTCATGTTTGACTCCCACAGCAAAGCACTCTAAAAACGAAAGTCTGAGAAAAGCTAACCTTCCCAGCCAAATGAATCAGCAGAAGAAACACAGGACAGAGAACCAGATGATGTGGATTCTCTTTCCAGCTATCCCACTCACTAGCTGAGCAACACTGGGCAAACCCGTTGGCTCTCTGGACCACAGCAGTGAAAGGAATGAGGTGGGCTGGGTTGTTTCTGGAGATTGTACTGAGCCACACCTCTCATGGTCTAGAAAGGCTACACCTTAATTGGAATAAAGGGCCCTCCAGCATCAGGGAGTCAGTGAGTGATGGAGATACTTCAGGTGCAGTGGATGCAGCAGGTACTCCCTGGCAGCAGCTCCTCCTGCCATGCTCTTGAGAGCACACTATGGAGCCCTCAGCCGACTGTCAAGCTCCACACTCAGAGGCTCTGTAGCACAATCTGCATTTGTTCCCCAGGTTTGCATAGTTACCCCGAACTAATTTGTCTCTTGACCAAATACTTCAGCAAAAAGCCATTGAATGTTTATCAAACCCTTAGGACATACAATTTTGATGAGTCCCTTCTGGTTTATTTTGCTTTGTTTTAAATATCCAACTCGAGAGCAAACTAGATTTTCAACAACAAAAAAAGTTTGTTTCACCAAGATAATATACATATCCAGAAGTTCTTTCACTGTAGCCATCTGTATCCCCAGAGCATTAGATTCTACCCTATACATAATTAAAGAAGCAGGCATTCACCTGCCAGTGACAATGAAAAAGCAGCAGACCCACCTGGTGTAGTGGCTGTGGATACAGAACATAAGAAAGAATCACCTACCAGCCTGCAAGTGCCATGGGGCAGGGATTTTATCCGTAGAACAGATCCTGCACATACAGGCTGTCTTAGTCTTCTCAGGAAGTTATAACAAAATACCATACATTGGGTGGCCTAAACAACAGACGTTTATTTCCCACAGTTCTGGAAGTCTGAGATCAGAGCACTGGCATGGTCAGGCTCTGGTGAGGGCTGTCTTCCTGGTTTGCAGATGGCCGCCTTCTCACTGTGTTCTTACACAGCAGAGAGTGAGACAGCAGGCAAACTCTCGTGGCTCTTCTTTAAGGGCACTTATCCTATGATGAGGGGCCTACCCTCATGACCTCATCCAAACCTAAGTACTTCCCAAAGGCCCTGTCTCCAAATGCCATCACATTGGTGGTTAGGGCTATAACATGTAAATTTGGGGGCTATAGAATCCATTCCATAACAGAAGCCTTTAATAAAATTTTGTTGAGTTTCTCAATAAAACCATAGGTGGATAAATGAACTGAGAACAAGAAAGAGAGCAAAGTGTGACTGATATAAATCTACCTGTTCTATGGAATTATAAGGAAAAATACATGCTTTTAGCCAAACCAGCCATCAGATAAACATTACAGGGCAAGTTCTATTAGCGGTGTTTTTTTCTCATGATTGCAAAGGGCAGTCGATCCATCCTACAGCTATGAAATGCATGTAAATGGATACCATGTGCTGGGGGCAACAAGTTCTGGTACAAAGGAATGCAAGGGTCAATTTTCCACCTCTGTTAGAATGTTAACTTGCATTTAAAGACTCTAGGAGTCCCCCTCTTCCTGTGTCACCATCCCATTTACTCACACATGTCTTGTTTTTATTTGAGTATTTTTTTTTGGCCCTATGTCCATTATCCTGGGTTTTTTGTTTGTTTGTTCATGCTGTAGTTTATCTAAGTAAAACCTGGGAATTAGAACTTTATGAAGGTGTTTAGGAGGGAAAAGAGAATCAGAATGAACTCAGAACTTTGTCCACCTTGTCTCATAGTGGTCCACAGAGTAGATATCATAATAAATTGGAAGAAGTGTCTGTAATGGGAGCTGCAGAATTCCAAAACAGAGAGGCTCCAGGATGGCAACTGTGGGGAAGGAGGGCTTAAAGCTCTGTATGACTCCCCATGTTTAGATTTGTGAAGTCTACTTTTTATAGACTTTACAAGTAATTTGAGACAAATGTTATATTAAATAACCTTCTCTTTTACCTGCCTGTGGCAATTAGAAGAGGAGACATACAGAATGACTTTAGACCATACAGATTGCCACGAGATCCTCCACCAAACTAAACAATCTAATCACAGGAGCAAAGGAATTTGTGCTTTTGTTCATTCATTCATTCTTAGACTTATTCATTTCCCAGACATTGAGTGAACATCTATGCTGTACACCATGAGAAATGCAAAGGTGAACAAAACAGGGTTCCTAAATTGATTTTCCCCATCTTGGGATTTCACAGTCCTAGAGGAGATTCCTCCAGGGGCTGATTAATTTATTTCACTTCCTCTAAAAGTGTTTATAAAGATTAGTAGAGAAAATGAGATGAGACAGATGTGGTTTTAAATCCCAGCTCTGCCACTTAGATGTGTGATATTTGGCACATTTCTTAACCACTCTAAGCTTCAGTTTATTCATCTACTAAATATGAATGATAATATCTACCTCATAGGATTGTTGAGGTTTACTTTAAAAAAAAAAACAAGCATAAAGAGCCTGGGATAGTACCTGGTGCACAGTAGGAATTACATCAATGTTAGTTTGTGTCTTCTGTCAGTCCATGTTTTCCTGATTATTTTGCTATCAGCTTGTGCTGAGTCTTGTACATCACTGCACTCCTCACAACACCCGGCATCCTTTCGCACATACCACTTTTAGTGAATCGGACCTCAATCTCCCACATAAGTTTGGCTGTAATAGACATTTTATGGACTGCAGCCTTTCTTCTTTGCTTCTAACACATGCCAATATAAAAATTTCAAGTAAGCAAACTGAGGCTTTATAAAGTTTTTTACATTACTACTAATAAAAGCTAACATTTATTGACTTGAGGCAAACCATGTTCCAAGCACTATTCTAAAGTGTTTTACATGTGTTACCTCATTGAATTCTCACAAGAGCTCTATGAGGTAGGTGCTATATTGTGCCTGTTTTTACAGCTGAGTTTACTGAGGAACAGAGAGGTTAAGTAGCTTGCTAAAAGGTCTGCTGCCAGCAAGAAAGGGAGGAAGGAGTTTTAAACCAGGCAGCCTGTTCCCCGACGCCAGCCTCTTAACCACTGCACCACACTACCTCTTGCTGAGAGATCCTGAGATAGTGATGATAAGTGGTGTTGGGTTGCAGGTACAATAAGAGACATCAGAGTCTACAGCCAACTCATTTGGTCACAAAATACTAGGAATTCATCAAAAGTGTATTTGATAGGTTTCTGTAAAAAATCATAACTCCATTTACAGATTGCTTCTGTTACACATAAAACTGAAGCAACACAACTAGTTCTTCTGTAAGATTTGGGAGGCAGTGTTGCAGGTTTGTCTGAACTCCATAAACACAATTTATTCATTCAACACCACTGAGCACTATGCACAAGACCAGCAATGTTGTAATGATACAGAGACAAGAAAGACGAGTCCTGCCAATGAGAAATTCACTATCTAGGGAAGATGACAGAAATACATAAGAAAGTATAATAATAACAACATAACTGCCCAGTGTGAAGTACTGTGGACATGCAACGGTAAAATAAATATCCTCCAAGACGCTTTACTTAATAAGGAAAAGGAAGAACTTCCTTTTAGAGTTCTGGAGGCATCCTTCAAGTGGGCTCTCATGAGTACATTTTTCATTCATTTCACAACAATTGAGAGTTGAACCCTGCTGAGCCAGCACCTCCCAAGATAAAAGTCTCCTCTTCTCAGCTGACTTCAAGCAAACCTGAATATTCTGCACATCTTCAAACCCTCCCTCTCTGCCATCCAACTCCTAGACCTCTCAATGTCTAGCTTTCTAAAATAAACAACATATAAGGTTGAATCAGACAGTTCTTTCCAGAGACAGGGTCTCCATTACACTATAGATCATTTCAATGGAATCCTGCCCAAGGACTAGAAGAGGAACACTATGAACCCAAGTCTCAAATGCTCGGTTTTATGACAGTTTAAGTTTGCTGGGCTTGGGTTAACATAGTTAATGTTATTCCCAATCTTAGAGCTGGTTTTGTATAAAGGATGGAGAAGAAAACAACTTAATACATAAAAGACTTTTTTCTAAAGCTCTGCTGTAAAATATAGGAAAACATAGGGGGAAAATGTCTTTTCATTTCATTTTAAGAGCAGAAGGAACAAAACTTCTTTAGCTTTGAAGAAGAAAGGAAGAATAATAAAAAGCAAACTTTTTGAAGGCCAGTTTTATAAAAGTCCATGTATCCACTTTGGAAAACTGTTTGGCAGTATCTACCAAAGATGATCATTTGCTGTGACCCAGTGTCTCAGCAAATTCATTCCTAGATATATACTCCAAAAAAAAATACATGCATATGTTCACCAAAAGACATGTTTTAGAATATTCATCAAAGCTTTATTTATAATTGTTCCAAACTGGAATCTACCCAAATGCCCACCAAGACTGGAATAAATATATTGTGGAATATTCACACAGTGGAATTCTATACACCAATGAGAATAAATGATCTACAATAATAGTACACACAACAATATAAATGAATCTCACAAACATAATTTCAAGTGAAAGAAGCTAGACACATGACCAATAATTCCATTTATGTAAAGTTCAAAAATAAGCAAAAAATATGCTGTAAGAAATCAAAATAATGGTTATCTTGGGCAAGAAGGTGAGTAGGTAATGGCTGATGGGGTGTTAGGGAGGACTTCAGGGGTACTCATAACTGTATTTTTTTAATCTGAGTGCTAGTTCCATGAGCCTATTGAATTTATGAAAATTCATCAAACTGTACGTTTATATGTACTTTTTATACATTTGTTTTTGCTTCAATAATTTTTTTACTCTGTAAGATTTAGAACCCTAAGCCACACTCTTTTTTTTTCTGTACTCTTTAAAGAATATGTACTTGAAAAAAATCCTTGAAAAGAGAAATATGTACACATTTTACAGTTAATTGTACTACTTGGAAGAATCTCAATTTAACTTTTCTATGAATGCTTTCGGAAGCTAAATAAGTCCAGTTTTGGATTCAGTAGACTACTTATTCAAATTTTCTGGGCTAAACATAGTGTTTGGTGTTTTTATGATTATTACTTTCCAATTGGGCTTTAGATATGTTTATTATGTTATAGATCATGGTTTAGAATGACATTTACCAAGACACAAGAGAGTGATGACAGTGAGAAGTCATTACTTCTGTGAAATCTGCAATTAGGCTCAATTTTTAGCTTCTTGTTCTTGTATGACTTTCATCTAATAATTTTCCAGGAAATTATTTTGTGTCAACTTCAGATAACTGCAACTTTGGCTTGTTCACCAATTTAGAGGATGTTCTATTCTCTGTGCTATGAGGAATTAAACCTAAATTACAGGCTTTATATCTGACATCCAAAAATGAGTGTGTCAATGCTTCAAATACAAGATTTTTTTTACTTTCAGTAATAATTTTCTGGTGTTTCAAGCACAGCTATTGTACTCACTTTGTTTCCTTTAACACCTGAATTATAAACTTTATACAAACTATAGCTTGGTTCTATGCATATAAATTAACATCATTTATAAGCAACACTTACTGAGCTTACTCTAAGCAAATATGTAGTCCAAAACTTTTGTAAGTTCTTGGATCAACAGCTTTAAATCTATTACTGTTATAAATTCTCAGATAGTTTAAAACACATAACAGTACATTCAAATGTCTTATAGAGATATAACAAAAGAAGATGTGAATCTTTAAAAAAACTCCAACAACAAAAATTGTAATAAATCAACTTAATCCAATCTCCTACTGCATAGTCAGCAAGCTAAAAAATTATATGATTTCCTTATGTCTTCAATTTTATTCATGCACAAATTCTCTTCTCTTCATTTATCTTACAGCTTTCCCAGAGCCACACAATATTCTTGGGATGCTGAGAAACCTGGAGAGCTAAACTCACAACGGACCACTCTCAGCTTATATACCTATTCTCACTGTGCATACCTATAATTAAGAGCATTTATTTAGTACTTCCTATGTGTCTAGCATTACTACCCTTTGAAAGGGGTAGTTATTAATCCTTATAATATCCCAATAGTTTCTTTCACTAATCACATTTGATAGTTGAGGAAGCAAGGCACAAAGATTTTAAGTAACTTACCTACAGTCTCAACACTTGCAAGTCACAAAGGTATGCATAATAATTCCACCCCAGGCACTGTGACTCCACAACTATTACACTACGCTTCCTCCAACTAATAGGAACTTAGGTACAAAGACAAATTCAGCCCACACAGTACTATCTATGAATCCGGCTCTTGCTGTGCTGTTCACTAATACTCCACTTCTGCCTTCTAGACTCTAATGAAAATTCTAGCCCTGCCCTTATTCTGTGGAACAGCCCATACCACTGGTACTCAAATGGAGCACTCTTACTTCCTTTCATGCCATGAAAGAGCAAGAGCTTTAGACCTTTTGTCATCGTCACAGGGGCACCTCGGGTCAGGATTTAGAGAATTCTGAATTTTGATGCATTTTTTTTTTGTAGGATATTTTATTGCTGGCAAACTGGTTAATAAGTTGGGCTTGTAGCGCCATCCTAAAAATTCGCTAGATAATTAAAGAATTGATGGAACACAGACTCCCGAGATAGCACAAAAAACAAATCTCGAGATTTCTGGGAATTTGAAGTTCACAAAAAAGTCAAAATTTATCAAATTGTAAATTAAGATGTTTTCTGAGTCACATACAAATACAAAATACCATTTCAAAAATGTTCAAATCATTAGAAAAACTAGACACTATGTATTCTCTAAAATTTATTTACAGTTAATAAGTTAAAAAGCAAAGTACAAGCAGATTATAAATCTCAACCATAAGCACATCAAACTGTCCAGGGAAACACTTTGATTCCATTACAAACAATTGTTTTCTAATGCGCTTAAGACATAACACTCTATCAAAAAATATTTTAAACACACCAATAAATATTAGGCATGTATGTCCATTAAAAACCATTAAAGAGTCCTGTGGCAATCCTTAAAACAATGAAAAACTTTTGAGTTCAAAATTGCTCAGATATTTTGTATTCAAATATTTTTAAAATTTACTTAAGAGTTTTCTAAAAAATAGTACTATCATTTGCACACAGCAGATCAATAGGTGTCAGTCACCAGCTTAAGTTACACTTGTCAATATTCAAACTTGAATAAAATAAACACACATCACAACAGCGACACTTTGCACTATCAACAATGAAGCTTGCCCTCAACAATTATGACGTTACTGGTTTTAGTAACATAAAAATACATTGCTGGTTGACAGGAAGGATAAAAATGACATCAAGAATCTCAAAAAGTTATGTGAGGTGCCGGTCACCACATTTAGGCACTCAGGAATTAAAAATCAAATAAAAGCATAGCGAGGTGATGAATTTCCTCCTGGCTTCCCCCTCTACTTGTGCCATATGAGATAAAAGAGAAGGCAAGAGAATGAACGAAGATCATGAGATTTCTTTCAAAAACTATACACAAGCTAAGCTACAGACTTCACTTCAGAGGAGTAAGTGGATGCCTCATTATAAAGGCCACTATGCCAAGTTTCTTTTCACATTCTGTGACAAAGTACCCATGAAATACTTTCACTTTCCTATTAGTATACCAGTCAACTATATTAGATGTTGCTTCACATTTTAAAAGTTGTCACATAGGTTTTTACCAAAGGGCAAAAATAAAGATTTTTTACATCTTATTTCACAGACTAGAAATGGCATAATTTTTGAATAGTCCAGATGAATACCATATTGAATTCAAGATGGACAATCAGATCCAAAATGGAATCAGATAGCCCATGTAATCCAAAGAAGCATTTATGTGAGTTCAAGTATGCTAAAGTAACAAGGCATAGGAGAGAAAAATGTCAAGAATCTCAGTTAAAATAAATGAATGGTGTCAGTGGTTATGTTTCAGTGGTGTGCTGAGCAGTTATCCTCCCAGTTAAGCCAAATTTCAAAATCCTCTGGAAAACTATCTAGATAAGCTGTATGTCGAAATTGCATTCTAATATGGCCATTGGGTTTATTTTTCATTATTATAAAACTATATACAATAGTAAAGTTGTACAAATACATTTTTTCCAGGTGCTAGTTAGCTATAAAAGTTAACAATATATTTTTGGGAAGAAAACCCTATGCATCTGAAATACAATTGGCAATGGAAGCTAATAACCAAAAGATATGTCTAAGCTTCCTATCACAAATATAATTTAACACTCTCCATCTTCTAAGGAATTATTCATTTTTATTTACTCATGTGACAGTGTTTGTACAATGCATTATCATTGAGTAGTGAATAAAAGACTGAGGCTTACTAGAAAACTGGCATCAAGTTATATATATGTGTGTATATATATATCATATTATTTCTTTTAACAAGAACACTGAAATTGAAGTCACAACACTCCTATACGGACTACTAAACTTGAAATACTCATTTCAGAAAGCTATGCCATTTGAATTCTAGGAACGCAAGAGTCAAAATTGTAACTCTCATTATTCTCCTAAAAAGCTGCCAAGCAGAGATAAGCTTTAGTATTAAAGATTTCACATGTCAAGTTCCAGCCCAGTATGGATCGTTTCATGGCAGAATACTTAAATTTGAAATAATAGTGGTACAAAAACACTACTTGACCCTTTAGGTATTGCAGTAAAAGCTGGCTGTGGCACTGCTGGCTAAAAACTATTAAGTTTTCCTGCCACAAATGACCAAAGGCACTTGGATAATCAAGAATTCCACACTGGGCCATATGGTATAAACACTATAAAAGCGTAAAGAAGGGTCAGTATTCTGTGTGTCTCGCCTGTTTGATTCCTGTGGTCTTCAGCTGTCAAAGACCTAGAACTGCAAACATATAATGAGTGGCAAAAAGGTTAAAAAAAATGTTGGGACAAAAAAATCAACTAAAAATCAACTAATTTTCATTATGTTTGTAAAACTGATGAATATTAGTCTAGACATTTCTTGTTATCCAACAACAAAAACAAAAAGGAAATAGATTTCGCCCAAAGTAACCTTAACCAGTTATTTGATACCAAGAAATGCCTCCACCCCTCTTGATCATTAATAGTTCTAAGAATTCTAATGGGTATTCTGTTTATCATTTTAGTGATAATGTTTACACACATCCATCTCTCCTATGCAACTCCCATTTTAAAATACATTATCCTTGTAAAATACATTACAAGGATAATGTATTTTAAAATACTTTAACGCATAATATTCCTAGATTTGTATGTTAGACCAGGACAGGGGGCCAAATCATCTCCAGTCGGATTCCAGTGACTCCTGTAACCAAAACCAGTTCTTCACAATTTATTCATTTTTTTTAATCACACACCATATGGTTTCAATGCATTTTTTTATTCAATTCAAAAGAATTTAACAAGTTAACTTTTCCTAAACAAAAGTTTTCATGTGTATTCTACCATTTTTAGGAGCTCAGTAAATATAAACATTGTTTCAATACAAAACCTTTAAAAATACCTTGAAAATGTTTAAACAGTTGTATTTTGCATGTCTTTGTTTGTAATCACTGAGCCCATACAAATCCTTGCACTACTAACAGTCACAAGCTTGAACCTCTTAAAAAATATCCTCGATCAAAGCTTTGGAATCCAGTAAAAATTAGGAAACGAGTGGGCTTCAGAATACCCTGAGCACAAACTAGTGCAACACCACATGTTCGAACTTCTGTCCACAAAGAGGGGTGACAGTGAAATAGAAAAAGGGGGAGATAAAGAACAAGTAAATTCTGGCTTTATTACACAAGCACGAAACCAAATTCCTTTGGAAAAATAATGTCTTCGGAGGACTTCCAGACCAGTGAGGTAGAGTCCAACAGTGAGAAAACGGATCTGCCCCTAAGGTCCTGGAGACGTCTCAATCGGTGGTCAGGAAGAAAGGGACCTCCCCTGCGGGTCCAGCTGTCCCCTCCCTCCGCAGGCCGGGTACGGGAGGCAGCAGAGGGCACACCTGCCCCAGCGTCCAAGACGACCGCGCCGCGGCCCGGGACAGGGACAACCATCCGGCAACTTCTTCGCGCGTAAAGTGCATTGGGGGCCGGGGTCCTGGCCGGATCTGTAAACACTCGACTGACACTTGTTCATTCCTCCGGGCGGAAGGCCTGTCCCAAGGTCGGGGCCGGCAGGAGGCGCCCTGGAGGCCGCACCTCATGCCCGGGGCACCGGGAAGCGGCGGAGCCTCACCATGGGTTCCAGGTTCACTCGCAGGACCTGGCGCGCCCTGCGCCGCGCTGCCGCCAGGCTGCGCTCGCCCCACACGTCGCTGCCGACGCGGATGGTGGGGAAGGTGGTCAGCGTCGGGGTGGCCGCCCTCCAGATCTCCTCCAAGGTGCGGCCCCCGAAGCAGGGCCCGGGGGCCACGGGCTTGGCCGGGCAGCTCTCCTCGGGGGGCGGCGGCGGTGGGGGTGGCGGCCGGGGCTTCCTCCTGCGGGCAGCGGCCGCCCGGGCTCCGCGGCGCCTCCTCCTGGCCGCTGCGCGCGGAACCGGCCGGCGCGCCTGGCCGCGGGCTGTAGGGGGCCCCGGGGGGTCGGGTACCAGGGCCCGGCAGGAGGAGTAGCCGTAGACGTCCTTGCTGCGCAGGATGTGCGGGGAGAACTGGTGCTTGAGGCTGCAGAGGAAGCTCCAGAGCTCCGCGTCCGAGCTCATGAACTCCGTGCTGCGGGGCATGAAGAGCTTGAAGGCGTCGCCCAGCGCCTTGGTGCTGTCAGCCAGCGACAGTTGCGACCGCGAGTACACCACCTTCTCCTCCCGCGCCTCCAACCCAGCCCCGTCTTCTGCCCTAAAGTCGCCGCCCCGGGCGGCCGTGGCCGGGGCGACCGGGCGCCGGCGCCGCCGCCTCTTCATACTGCGCCGCATCGAAGGCCGCTCCGGGCCACTCACGCTCGCCGGGTCCCACTACTGCCGCCGCCGTCCCAGTCCGCGTTGGCTCCGCGGCGGCGGCTGCTGCTGGCGTCTCTCGCTACTTTTCTCGCCTCCGCCGCCGCCCCTCCCCCTCCGAGGGCGGAGGACGCGGGCGAATATCCTGCTGCCCGGTACAAGATGGCGGCCGGCGCCCACCCCTGGGCTTTGTCATTGGACGGCGCCTCGCCCCCCTGGTTTCTCTTTCTTCTCCTCTCTTGCCTCTTTTCGCCGGCTGCCTTTCTTTAAATGTGCCCGCCTCAGGCCCCTCCCACCGCAGCCCCGACTCCACCCATTGGGTGCTCTCAGAAGAGGGGCGGGGACTGATGGGGGAGAGGCCAGTTCCTGGAAGATGGTGCTGGGGTGGGTGATGGCCTTTGAACGTAAGTCAACGGTTGGGTGGATCTAGGAGGGCTGCCACGTCTAGAGTAAGAGGGTGGATGTTGGCTACACCATGGGAAGAGTGACTCTTAGAGTGAGGGGGTGTGCAGTTGTGGATTGAGCTGGGAGCTCTACCAGTGTGGATAACAAAGGGAGATTTCCCTGAAGGATGTTCCTGGTATCATCACAGCTAGGGAATTTGGGTTTAAGTCTAGGGGAAATGGGCCTTTCGCAATTCCCATCCACCCTCTCAAAGGCCTCTTCTGGCATCTTCATTCAAAACTCTTCCCTGTCTTGACCCCAGCCCATCTCAAGAAGCCAGTAGTAATCCAGAATCATTCAGGTAATGTGCGTGGCTGGCAGCTGAGAGATTTTAGTCTCCCTCTGGACACTGGAGCCATCTTCATATTTAAGAGAGACCCTGCTTATCCAGAAAGCAAAACATGTCATACCCTATAAAACTAAATACTCTTTGCTCAAGTTGATCAAAGATCTATTACAATAAAGCCATTCTGTGAAAAGAAAATATAGTTTTAAATACACAGTTCTTTATGGATGCCAATTCGTTTTTCATTTAGTTTTAAAATGTCAAAGCCACCCCTATCATTTAGAAAGGATGCATCATCGCAGACAACAGATAAGGTTTCGTTGAAAAACACAAATTGTTCAAAACACATTACCTTTTGTATTGGGAGGAGAGTAGTGGACATCCTTTAGTCATCTTTTCTGTCCTCTATACCTAACTCAGTTCCTGTCAGGTAGTGGACACTCAATGTGTTTGCCGAATGAATCAATGAAATACCACCGATTATCCCAAATAGAGTCAGAAATGTTGAAACTGCTTAGAACAGGACAATTAGATATTTTATATTGCAATTTTCACAGAACTCCTTTAAATTTCTTAAGGTTAAAAGAAAAAATCTCCTGACACTTAGAACTTTGAGGTGGGCATGTGGATTTTACCCAGGAAACATCTTATTTTGCAGTAGTGAACAAATAAAGTATAGGAGTTTTGTGATTTACATGTAGTTGCTAATGGTTTCCTCAAATATTTGACCTGAAAGAGACCTAGTTCATTCTCCTTATTTAACAGGTGAGGAAATCTGTACCATAGAGGTTCAGTAACACAGCTGGCTGATAGCAGAACTGGGATTCTAAATCCTTCGATTTCTAATCTAGTGATCTTTGTATTTCACTGAAGGTTTTTCAAACTGTGCTGTCCAGACTCTAAGGAATTCAATAGAACATGCTTTATGCATAAGTAGAATGACGAAGGACAGAGCTGTACCCCTATTCCTACTTCCACCCCACCCAGAATTGAGCAGTTTTTCTCTGTCTTATAATAGATTTATGAATAATATTTTGTTTGTTCAGTTTCAATAAAACCTAAAATAAATAATTTGAAAGCTCTACACCAGAGATGTCAAATTCTTGAAAGCTCTCACCACACAATGAGTTTATGGCAAAAATAAAACTCCACACAATGGGCTTATGGCAAAAATAAAACATCTAACCAGGAACCAGCTCTCTAGCAAAATCATGGTAACTTTCTGAATAGAAAATCATTTTCCTAGAAAAGCACACTCTGATCTCAGAACAAGATTACAGAGCCAAATACCAGCTTCCTAAATCCTTATAAAGGAATGATATAGCAACAACTCTTTACATCACAATTTGCTCTTTCCGTAATTCTGAGACACATAGTAAAGTGAAATTTGAATAATTTCCATTGGAATACCCAAAATCTAGAGTGAGCCATGAGAAAGTTAGGGGGGCTTCATAATGAAAAGCAAGGATAAAACAAGGATTAAAGTAGACCTGGCTTTTCATATTGGAATCCCCTCCCTTCCTTGATAATCATCATTTTATAAATTCTTCAGGGTCTTTACCACATAAATATATTCCAGACATTTACATAAATGTATAGAACTTATTTCAATTAAGAAGATAAACCTTTTTTAAACACAATTTTGGTTCTAAGAAAACATAAGATCTCAACTTGCCAAGTATTCAAGAGTTCATTTTATAATGCATGCTCATTTAATTTACTTAAAACCAAACAATATTTTTTATGAAATACTTTTAGGAACTAATATCATGATAAAGTGCTTATGTTATCGTATACATTTAAATTTGACATTATTTGCTCTATTCTGTTTCCTCTATTATTTTTAATTTTTTCTTGACCTCCACCTTTTAATTAACTCTAATAGTCTTGCAAATGGTTCCTTATCTGTTCTCCATAAATAAGCAAAATTTACACATAGAAATAATGTATCTCTTCTAGTTCCTGAGACTTGAGATACTATGAAGTTTATGGAAAGTTGGCAAATTAAATTTTTGCTCTTGAGTAACGATATTTTACAACCCTTAGTTTATTCCTTTACCTCTCAAGGGTAATAATGCCTCCTATGTCTGCTAAATAAGTGATGAATAATAATAAACAAAAAAAAGCTGTATGTATTTACTTTCTGTATTCAATATTTATGTAGTTAAAAAATAAATCCAAGCCGAATAAAGTGATGGGAAAAATTAAATAAAATGTATCTTTTAGCTACCCAGAAGTATTGCTTTAGAATCCAATTTCTATAAAATAATCTGCCTCTTGAAAAGTGGCCAAAAAAATTTTGAAAATCTATATAAGTGGTTGCAAACATCAGCTCTGGAATCAAATAAACTTGGGGTCAATTATATCTTTACAAAAAAATATTCTTAGACACATTTTTCACCTTTCTGAGTCTCAGCATTCTCATCTATAAAATGAGTATAACTTCTAACTTCAAAGTTTTAAGAACTGGACGAGAGAATATTCATAAAACACTTACTGTAGTGCCTGGAACACAGCATTCAATAAAAGCTATTCCTATTTGTCTTATTTATTTTTGAGGATTTTACTTGGTTTAATCAATATATTTTAAGCCCTGTATTACAGAATGTCTACATATTTTTTTAAAGTAGTGGCATTGATGAGAGGAAAATAAAAACTTTACAGCTAGAAGAAACTTAGAGATCATCTAATGAGTCCAACATTGTTAATTCAGATGAGAATTCTGAGATGCCAAGAGATCTGCCTAAGGTCACAGAGCTGTACAGTGGAAGATTCTGAGCTAGAACGTAGATCTCTAACTCTAGTTCAGAATTGTTTCTAACATTCTACATTTTGTACTTAACCAAGGAGATAGCATTAATTGCTGGCTTAAATGATGTTAAATATAGCATGATTCAGCAAGAAAAAACTCAGCCTTGTCATTAGACCTATTCTAAAAGTAATTTAGATTTTTATACAAAAGTTAGCTCAAACCCTGATATGCTCTGCAACGGCTTAATGTGAAAAACATAAAGACCATATAAACTGAGAGGATAGGACTTTCTTTTGCTTATAGGAATACCTGTACTTTCCCTATTTTTCCCGCTAATTGCAACTAAAAACCTTGGATGTTATATATAAAGTATACATAAGAAGACTCTGAAAAATGGAGAAGAGAAGGCAGACAGGCTGGAGACCTCAGAGAACCCAAAGAAGGGCATGGCAGTGAGTTCCCTGGGTCTCCTTTCTTCTTCTTTTCTCTTTTTCTAGCAAATCTGAGACTGGGTGCTAGACAAGCCAACAACCCCAAAATGCCAACAGATGCAAACATAAAAAGCCCCAACAAAATCTTCTTCTCTCTAGCTACAGGACCGGGAAAGGAGGGGCAGCCTAACAAAACGGAAAGCTTTTAGAAAATAATTTTCCTACTGCTGCAAAACACCATAGAAAAAAATTATGACTTCTACCCTTGCCAGGCTATAAAAAGGCACCCCCACCACCTCTGCTAGGGTGGTATGAGAGGAGGCTGGATAAGAAATCAGGACTTTAATCCTTGTTGGGCAGTAAACAGGCAATCTGTACCCATGGTGTCAGTGGAGACCATGTGGTGAATATAACAAGACAATCCTACCCACCTTCTCGGCCCTAGTGAGAAGCCAGAATTCCTACCCCCATTCAGCAGTAATGAGGGGCTCCTTTCCCCATTTCAGGTATCAGTGGAAACAGAGGAGAAATCTGGACTCTGACTTGGCAGTATTGAGGCAGTGCCCACCCCACCCCCATTAGGACAGTGTCAGAAAAACAGCTAAAACATTTAAATAAGATCCAGAGTTGTATAATGTAATACCCAAAACATTCAGGTTTCAATAAGAAATTACTTACCAGAAAGCTCTCAAACTGAATGAAGAAAGATTATCAGTAGATGCCAACATTGAGATGAGAAAGATGTTAGAATTATATAAAAAAGATTTTAAGCAGCCATCAAAAAATATTTCAATAAGCAATTATGAACACTCTTAAATGAAAAATACAAAGCTACTTCAAAGAAATAGAAAATCTCAGCAAAGAATCAAGAGATATAAAAAAGAACTAGATGAAAATTTTAGAAGTGAAAAAAAAATACAACCACCAACATAAAAAGCTCAGTGGATGGGCTCAACATTAGAATAGAGGACAGAGGAAATAATTGGTGAACTTGAAGATAGAATAATAGATATTATCCAACCTGAACAGAGAACTAATAGGCTGATTTTTTCAAAAGCCCTCAGGGGCCTCTGGGACTATAAGATCTAATATTTGTGTCATTAGAGATCTGGAAAGAGAGGAGAAAAAATATGAGGCTGGAAAAATTACTTAAAGAAAGAATGGCTGAAAATGTTCCAAATTTGCAAAAGACATAAATCCACAGATTCAAGAACAAACCCAAATAAGATTAACCCAAAGAAATCTACATCAAGGTACATCAAAGTCAGCTGGGCATGGTGCCTCAGGCCTATAATCCCAGCACTTTGGGAGGCCAAGGGGGGCAGATCACAAGGTCAGGAGATCGAGACCATCCTGGCTAACCCAGTGAAACCCCATCTCTACTAAAAATATAAAAAATTAGCCAGGCATGGTGGCAAGCGCCTGTAGTCCCAGCTACTCGGGAGGCTGAGGCAGGAGAATGGCATAAACCCAGGAGGTGGAGCTTGCAGTGAGCCAAGATGGTGCCACTGCACTCCAGCCTGGGCAACAGAGAGAGAGACTCTGTCTTAAAAAAAAAAAAAAAAAAAAAAAGAAACATCAAAGTCAAACTTCTGAAAACTAGAGATTGGATTAAGTTAAGTTTGTACTTAATCCAAGGAGATTAAGATCCAAGAAAAAATACTGAAAACAGCTAGATAAAAACAACAGTTTACTTACGAGAGAAAAGCAATTCAAATGACAGCAGATTTCTCATCAGAAACCATGGAGGCCAGAAGGAAGTGGCCTTTTTTCACATGCTGAAAGAAAAGAACTGTCAACTCAAATTCCTATATTGAGTGAAATAATCCTTTAAGAATGAAAAGAAGATCAAGACATTCTCACATGAAGGAAAACAGAGTATTTGTTGCCAGTGGACCTACGCTAAAGAATGACTAGCAGAAGTTCTCTAAATAGAAAGGAAACAATAAAAGAAGGATTCTTGGAATATTAGAATAGAAGAAAGAACATGGTAAGCAAAAACTTGGGTAAACAGAATAGACTTTCCTTCTCCTCTTTAGTTTTCAAAATTATGTTTGATGGTTGTTATGGACTGAATATTTGTGTCCTCCCAAAATTTATATCTTGAAGCCCTAATCCCCAGTGTGACTGTATTTGGAGATAGGGCCTATGAGGAGGTGATAAAGGTTAAATAAAGGTCATAAGAGTAGGACCCTAATCCAGAAGGGCTGGTGCTCTTATAAGAAAAGAAAGATGTCAGAGGTCTCTCCTTTGCCACTATATGAGGATACAGTAAGAAGGCAGCCATCTGCAAGCCAAGAAGAGAGCCTTCACAGGGAACCAAATTGGTTGGCACCTTGATCTTAGATTTCCCCATGTCTGGAACTATGAGAAAATAAATTTCTATTTTTTAAGCCACACAGTCTGTGATATTTTATTATGGCAGCCCAAGCAGACCAATCCAATGGTTGAAGTGAAAATTAGTAACACTGATGTGGCTCTGTATGTATGTAGACAAAATATTTTAAACAAATATGTTAAGAGTCAGGATAAACAGACATAAAGAAAGATAAGGTTTCTATATTTCACTAGAATTGGTAAAAACGACACCAGTAGTCTGGGATAAGTTATGTATATACAGTTAATCCTTGAACAATGTGGGGATTAGAAGCACTGACTCCCTATGCAGTTGAAAATCCAAGTTTAACTTTTGATTCCCTAAAATTTTAACTACTAACAGCCTAACTGTTGACTAGAAACCTTACCAATAACATAAAGAGTTGATTAACAATATTTTGCATAAATACTATATACTGTATTCTTACAGTAAAGCAAACTAAAGAAAAGAAAATGTTATTAAGAAAATCATGTGGCCTGTAATCCCAGCACTTTGGGAGGCCAAGGCAGGCGGATCACAAGGTCAGGAGATCGAGACCATCCTGGCTAACACAGTGAAACCCCATCACTACTAAAAAAAAAAAAAAATACAAAAAATTAGCCAGGCGTGGTGGTGGGCGCCTGTAGTCCCAGCTACTCATGAGGCTGAGGCAGGAGAATGGTGTGAACCCAGGAGGCAGAGCTTGCTGTGAGCCGAGATCGCGCCACTGCACTCCAGCCTGGGCAACAGGGCAAAACTGCGTCTCAAAAAAAAAAAAAAAAAAGAAAATCATGTGGAAGAGTCATCATATTCATTAATCACTATTAATCACATCACTATTCATTAAGTGGAAGTGGGTCATCATAAAGGTCTTCTTCCTCTTCATCTTCATCTTCACATTGAGTAGGCTGAGGAAGAAGAGGAAGAAGAGGGATTGGTCTTGCTGTCTCAAGGTGGCAGAGGTGAAAAGAGGTGGAGAGGGTGGTACGGAAAACAGGAAAGGCAGGCACGCTTGTAACTTTAATTTAAAAAAATCCATATAGAAGTGGACTCTCACAGTTCAAATCTGTGTTGTTCAAGGGTCAACTGTATAGTGTAACACCTAGAGCAACCACTGAAAAAGCTATAGAAGGATATGTTCAAAAACATTACAGATAAATCAAAATAGAATTCTAAAAAAAGTTTAATGCACGGAAAGAAAAAAATAGAGAAATGCAAAACAGAATAAAGGGAAAACAAACCAAAAGGATTAGGCTATAACATAATATTTTGTATCAGTGCTTATTTATTAGTGATTGATCAGAAATTGCCCAAATTGGAAATGGACCAAGAAATTGGCCAGACCTGAAATTAGCTAGGCCTGATATTAACCAAAATCCTAAGGAACAAAGGGAAAAAGGTTTCTTTTCACGTTTAGTCCAAAACCTAGTTCTGTTTTCTTTTACCCATTGCCCTGTCTCCTAGAACTTCATAGAACCAATCTCCAAAAGTAAATTTTAGATTATGTCAAAACTGCAATGTAAGAAATTTCTTTATATTGTTAACTCATATTAAATTTAAAGCCAACTAGAAACCATTTTTTCCCATATGAATTACTGCAAAATTAAGTGTGCCCTGAACTATACTGTACTTGGAGCAGGGTCTCCAACTTTTTTGGCACCAGGGACCAGTTTTGTGGAAGACATTTTTTCCACGGACACCTCAGATCATTAGACATTAGTTAGATTCTCATAAGGAGCATGGAACCCAGATCCCTTTGCATGTGCAGTTCACAATAGCGATCATGCTCCTATGAGAACCTAATGCCACTGCTGATCTGACAGGAGGCAGAGCTCAGAGAGTAATGCTTGCTCACCTGCTGCTCACTTCCTGCTGTGCAGACTGGCTCCTAACAAGTCATAGACTGGTACCAGTCCACGGCCCATGGGTCGGCAACCCCTGACTTAGATGACTTTACATTTATCTCTGTTAAATTTCATTTTGTTGATTTCAGTACAACATTCCTACCTACTGTGGTACTCTTGGATCTAAATTCTATAATATCTGATTTTGATTAATCCTTTTAGTAAATTAGACCAGCATCCTTCCACCTTAAACCAAGTCACCAATGGCACTACCGGTTGGAACAGACTCAATGACAAAGACCTGTGTCACTCTACTGGAGACTTGATCATACTGACACACACCCATCTGTAAGCACTTTTTGCTTACGGTTGGCTCACTAGCCTCAAGACTTTTGTTATTATCACCCAGATCACAATTTATTATCCAGGAAGATATTAAAAGAAACATTGTCAAATTTTGTTGAAATCAAAATATGCTGTGTCTATGAGTTTTCCCCTAACCTACTAAACCTGATAAACCTATTAAAAATAAAATGAAGTCATCCCATAATTTTTTATAAGGTCTCAGACTATTTGATATCAACAGTGGACCACACTTGTACTCTCCTCTCTCTTAATAATTTTGGAGCTCCACTCTAATTACATGCAAAAATAATTAGCCAGTTTGACACTATTAGTATCAGATTAGAAGAATATTAACATATTAAACCATAAACATGGAAAAAAGATCTAAGTACTATAATTAAACAAGAGTCGACAAATTCATATTATTACTTTAAAAACAATATGATGCTTTTAGACACATAAGTAGGATGCATAAGTAGGCGTATAAAATTCCAGAATCATAAAATAATCTTAAAAAATTTTTTACTCAATACCACCCAGATTAAACCCCTAAAACACAATCCTGTCCCTTTAGTGCTCAGAAATCCTGAGTGGATCTACTTTGCCTACCAAATTGAGAACAAACTCTGTAAGCTGCTATTCAAAAGCCTTCAAATTATGACACTATCCAGCTTTTAGGACCCATTTATGCCTAGGCCAGAGCAAAACTTCCCACCAAACTTTACCTCAACATGTTCCTAGAATGCCTATTAATTCAGTCATTCAAATAACTTATTGAGAATCTGCTATAGCTGGAAAGCTGGGACTAAACTGTGAGCAAATTGTGTCAGGAATTTGCTTCATGATGCTTATAGACTAGTATATTAGTTACCACAAACTTGGTGGCTTAAAACAACACAAATTTATCATTTTGCCATCATTCTTGAGGTCAGAAGTTCAATATTTTTTTTGAGACAAGGTCTTACTCTGTCTCCCAGGTTGGAGGGCAGGGCACCATCTCGGCTCATTACATCCCTGTCTCCCCAGGCTTAGGTGATCCTCCCACCTAAGCCTCCTGAGTAGCTGGGATTACAGGCATGCACCATACTCAGCTAATTTTTAAAATTTTTTAGAGATGAGGGCTCATTATATAGCCCAGCTTGGTCTCAAATTCCTTGGCTCAAGCCATCCTCCCACCTTGGCCTCCCAAGGTGTTGGGATCATAGGCATGAGCCACCATGCCCAGCCTTAATGTAGATCTTACTGGGCTAAAACGAAGATGTCAGCAGGGCTGTGTTCTTTTCTGGAGGTTGAAGAGGTGAATCTGTTTCTTCACATGTCCCAGTTTCTAGAGACCACCCACATTCCATGGCTCATGGCTTCCTTCCTCCATCTTGAAAGCTAGCAATGTTAAATCTCTCTGACCATCCTTGAATAGTCACATCTCCCTCTGACTCTCCTCTTCTGCTTCCTTCTTGCATTTTTAGAGACCCTTGTGATTGGATTGGGCCTATCAGACAATCCAAGATAATCTATTATAAGTTCAGCTCATTAGCAACCTCAATTCCATCTGAAACCTTAATTCCCCTTTTTCATGTAACTTAATATATTTGCATGTTTCAGGAATTAAGATATGAACATCTCTGGGGCACCATTTTTCTGTCTACAGAGCTATAGGTTTAACTAGGAATCATACAGGTGTAACATATGTGAATACTCATATTCTATGTCAGACTCTGTGCTCCATACTTCACATGGATTACTTCATGTAATCTCACAGCAGTCCCTTGAGGTAAGTACTATTCTATATGCCCCACTTTACAGCTGGGCACACAGAGACTATTCTTTCCCCTTTCCAAATTTTACCCATCCTTTGAGGCTCAACAAAGCCATTGGTCCCTATATGTTCTCTTCCTTCTGTGAAGGCTGTGGCATTTTCATTTTCATTTCTCTTACAGCACACTTCCCCACCCACCCACACCCTCACCTTACCCTCACCCCTAGAAGAACCACTGTTACTGGCGGGGATGGGTTGTATCTCTCAATTCTGTTAGAGAAGAAGAATAATTGTGAATCATCTAGATTATAAATTCCCTCACAGTAATGCTGTGTTCTATTCATCTTTTTACTTGTAATTGCATGTAGCAATAATACCTTAGTATTTTCTCTGAAGGTAGTACACTAAAGTTTAAAGAATACTTTATCTGATGTGATCTTCAAAGAGCCAGATGAGGGAAACAAGAAAAAATATTCTCATTTTATGGATGAGCTTCAGGTGAAGCTAAGTAAGGTGCTCCAGTTGCTAATTGACATGCTCCAGTAAAGTGATAAAGCTGAATCCTGAATCACAGTTTTCTGATTCAAAGAGCAGCACTCGCCCCATTTATAAAAGGAGGTTGACTGGGTGGTTCCAAGATGGCTGAATAGGAACAGCTCCAGTCTGCAGCTCCCAGCATGATCGATGCAGAAGACGGGTGATTTCTGCATTTCCAACTGAGCTACCTGGTTCATCTCATTGGGACTGGTTGGACAGTGGGTGCAGCCCGTGGAAGGTGAGCCAAAGCAGGGTGGGGCATTGCCCCACCCGGGAAGCACAGAGGGTCGGGGGATTTCCCTTTCCTAGCCAAGGGAAGCCATGACAGATTGTACCTGGAAAAATGGGACACTTCTGCCCAAATATTGGGCTTTTCCCAAGGTCTTCGCAAGCGGCAGACAAGGAGATTCTCTCCCATGCCTGGCTTAGCGGGTCCCACACCCATGGAGCCTTGCTCACTGCTAGTGCAGCAGTCTGAGATCAAACTGCGAGGCGGCAGCCTGGCTGGGGGAGGGGCGTCCACCACTGCTGAGGCTTGACCAGGTAAACAAAGTGACCAGGAAGCTTGAACTGGGTGGAGCCCACCACAGCTCAGCAAGGCCTACTGCCTCTAGAGACTCCACCTCTGTGGGCAGGGCATAGCTGAACAAAAGACAGCAGGCAACTTCTGCAGACTTAAACGTCCCTGTCTGACAGCTCTGAAGAGAGCAGTCATTCTCCCAGCATGGCATTTGAGCTCTGAGAACAGACAGACTGCCTCCTCAAGTGGGTCCCTAACCCCTATGTAGCCTAACTGGGAGATACATCCCAGTAGGGGCCAACTGACACCTCATACAGATAGGTGCCCTTCTGAGACAAAGCTTGCAGAGGAAGGATCGGGCAGCAATATTTGCTGTTCTGCAATATTTGCTGTTCTGCAGCCTCCACTGGTGATATCCGGACAAACAAGGTCTGGAGTGGACCTCCAGCAAACTC
This sequence comes from Homo sapiens, assembly GCF_000001405.40. NCBI lineage: Eukaryota > Metazoa > Chordata > Mammalia > Primates > Hominidae > Homo > Homo sapiens. The sequence goes on from NC_000007.14 coordinate 106,672,644, forward strand.
CAACAGACCTGCAGATGAGGGACCTGACTGTTAGAAGGAAAACTAACAAACAGAAAGGAATGGCATCAACATCAACAAAAAGGACATCCACGCCAAAACCCCATCTGCAGGTCACCAACATTAAAGACCAAAGGTAGATAAAGCCACAAAGATGGGGAGAAACCGGAGCAGGAAAAGCTGAAAATTCTAAAAATCAGAGCGCCTCTTCTCCTACAAATAGAGAATGACTTTCATGAGTTGACAGAAGTAGGCTTCCGAAGGTCGGTAATAACAAACTTCTCCAAGGTAAAGGAGCGTGGTCTAACCCATCACAAGGAAGCAAAAAACCTTGAAAAAAGGTTAGACGTATGGCTAACTAGACTAAACAGTGTAGAGAAGACCTTAAATGACCTGATGGAGCTGAAAACCATGGCATGAGAACTTCATGACACATGCACAAGCTTCAATAGCCAATTGCCAATTCGATCAAGTAAAAGAAAGGGTATCAGTGATTGAAGATCAAATGAATGAAATGAAGTGAGAAGACAAGGTTAGAGAAAAAAGAGTAAAAAGAAATGAACAAAGCCCCCAAATAATATGGGACTATGTGAAAAGTCCAAATCTACGTTTCACTGGTGTCCCTGAAAGTGATGGGGGGAATGGAACCAAGTTGGAAAACACTCTGCAGGATATTATTATCCAGGAGAACTTCCCCAACCTAGCAAGGCAAGCCAACATTAAATTCAGGAAATACAGAGAACACCACAAAGATACTCCTTGAGAAGCACAACCTCAAGACACATAATTGTCAGATTCACCAAGGTTGATATGAAGGAAAAAATGCTAAGGGCAGCCAGAGAGAAAGGTCGTGTTACCCACAAGAGGAAGCCAATCAGACTAACAGCAGATCTCTCGGCAGAAACCCTACAAGCCAAAAGAGAGTGGGAGCCAATATTCAACATTCATAAAGAAAAGAATTTTCAACCCAGAATTTCATATCCAGCCAAACTAAGCTTCATAAGAGAAGGAGAAATAAAATCCTTTACAGACAAGCAAATGCTGAGAGATTTTATCACCACCAGGCCTGCCCTAAAACAGCTCCTGAAGGAAGCACTAAACGTGGAAAGGAACAACTGATACCAGCCACTGCAAAAACATGTCAAATGGTAAAAACCGTTGATGCCATGAAGAAACTGCATCAATTAATGGGCAAAATAACCAGCTAACATCATAATGACAGGATCAAATTCACAGATAACAATATTAACCTTAAATGTAAATGGACTAAATGCCCCAATTAAAAGACACAGACTGGCAAATTGGATAAAGAGTCAAGACCCATCAGTGTGCTGTGTTCAGGAGCAGAAACACACACAGGCTCAAATTAAAGGGATGGAGAAAGATCTACCAAGCAAATGGAAAGCAAAAAAAAGGCAGGGGTTGCAATCCTAGTCTCTGATAAAACAGACTTTAAACCAACAAAGATCAAATGAGACAAAGAAGGCCATTACATAATGGTAAAGGGATCAATTCAACAAGAAGAGCTAACTATCCTAAATATATATGCACCCAATACAGGAGAACCCAGATTCATAAAGCAAGTCCTTAGAGACCTACAAAGAGACTTAGACTCCCACACAATAATGATGGGAGACTCTAACACCCCACTATCAATATTAGACGGATCAACGAGACAGAAAGTTAAAAAGGATACCCAGGACTTGAACTCAGCTCTGCATCAAGCAGACCTAATAGACACTTACAAAATTCTCCACCCCAAATAAATAGAATATACATTCTTCTCAGCACCACATCGTACTTATTCCAAAATTGACCACATAATTGGAAGATAAAGCACTCCTCAGCAAATGTAAAAGAGCAGAAGTCAAAACAAACTGTCTCTCAGACAACAGTGCAATCAAACTAGAACTCAGGATTAAGAAACTCACTAAAAACCGCTCAACTTAATGGAAACTGAACAACCTGCTCCTGAATGACTACTGGATACATAACGAAATGAAGGAAGAAATAGAGTTGCTCTTTGAGACCAATGAGAACAAAGACACAACATACCAGAATCTCTGGGACATATTTAAAGTAGTATGTAGAGGGAAATTTATAGCACTAAATGCCCACAAGAGAAAGCAGGAAAAATGTAAAATCCACACCCTAACATCACAATTAAAAGAACTAGAGAAGCAAGAGCAAACAAATTCAAAAGCTAGCAGAAGGCAATAAATAACTGAGATCAGAGCAGAAATGAAGGAGGCAGAGACACAAAAAACCCTTCAAAAAATCAATGAATCCAGGAGCTGGTTTTTTGAAAAGATCAACAAAACTGATAGACCGCTAGCAAGACTAATAAAGAAGAAAAGAGAGAAGAATCAAATAGACGCAATAAAAAATGATAAAGGAGATATCACCACCAATCCCACAGAAATACAAACTGCCATCAGAGAATACTATAAACACCTCTATGCAAATAAACTAGAAAATCTAGAAAAAAATGGATAAATTCCTGGACACATACACCCTCCCAAGACTAAACCAGGAAGAAGTTGAATCTCTGAATAGACCAATAACAGGCTCTGAAATTGAGGCAATAATTAATAGCCTACCCATCAAAACAGTCCAGGACCACACGTATTCACAGCTGAATTCTACCAGAGGTACAAAAGGGAGCTGGCACCCATCTCACACCGGTTAGAAAGGCGATCATTAAAAAGTCAGGAAACAACAGGTGCTGGAGAGGATGTGGAGAAAGAGGAACACTTTTACACTGTTGGTGGGACTGTAAACTAGTTCAACCATTGTGGAAGACACTGTGGCGATTCCTCAAGGATCTAGAACTAGAAATACCATTTGACCCAGCAATCCCATTACTAGGTATACACCCAAAGGGTTATAAATCATGCTGCTATAAAGTCACATGTACACGTATGTTTACTGCGGCACTATTCACAATAGCAAAGACTTGGAACCAACCCAAATGTCCATCAGTGATAGACTGGATTAAGAAAATGTGGCACATATACACCGTGGAATGCTATGCAGCCAAAAAAAGGATGATTTTATGTCCTTTATAGGGACATAATTGAAGCTGGAAACCATCATTCTCAGCAAACTATCGCAAGAACAAAAAACCAAACACCACATGTTCTCACTCATAGGTGGGAATTGAACAATGAGAACACTTGGAGACAGGAAGGGGAACATCACACAATGGGGCCTGTCGTGATGTGGGGGCAGGGGGGAGGGAAAGCATTAGGAGATATACCTAATGTAAATGACGAGTTACTGGGTGCAGCACACCAACATGGCACATGTATAAATATGTAACAAACCTGCAGGTTGTGCACATGTACCCTAGAACTTAAAGTATAATAATACTAATAAAAAGTTAAAAAAAAGGGGGCTGGTACCATTCTTTCTGAAACTATTCCAATCAATAGAAAAAGAGGGAATCCTCCGTAACTCATTTTATGAGGCCAGCATCATCCTGATACCAAAGTCTGGCAGAGACACAATAAAAAAGAGAATTTTAGGCAAATATCTCTGATGAACATCAATGTGAATATCCTCAATAAAATACTGGCAAACCGAATCCAGCAGCACATCAAAAGGCTTATCTACTATGATAAGTCAGCTTCAACCCTGGGATGCAAGGCTGGTTCAACATACACAAATCAATAAACATAATAATTAACATAAACAGAACCAATGACAAAAACCACATGATTATCTCAACAGATGCAGAAAAGGCCTTCAACAAAATTCAACAGCCCTTCATGCTAAAAACTCTCAGTAAACTAGATATTGATGGAATGTATCTCAAAATAAGAAGAGCTATTTATGACAAACCCATAGCCAATATCATACTGAATGGGCAAAAACTGGAATCATTCCCTTTGAAAACCAGCATAAGACAACGATGCCCTCTCTCACCACTCCTATCCAACATAGTGTTGGAAGATCTGGCCAGGGCAATCAGGCAAGAGAAAGAAAGAAAGGGTATTCAAGCAGGAAAAGAGGAAGTCAAATTGTCTCTGTTTACAGATGACACGATTGTTTATTTAGAAAACCCCATTGTCTCAGCCCAAAATCTCCTTAAGCTGATAAGCAACTTCAGCAAAGTCTCAGGATACAAAATCAATGTGCAAAAATCACAAGCATTCTTACACACCAATAATAGACAAACAGAGGCCAAATCATGAGTGAACTCCCATTCACAATTGCTAAAAAGAGAATGAAATACCTAGGAATCCAACTTACAAGGGATGTGAAGGACCTCTTCAAGGAGAACTGCAAACCACTGCTCAACAAAATAAAAGAGGACAAAAACAAATGGAAGAACAGTCCATGCTCATGGATAGGAAAAATAAATTTCATGAAAATGGCCATTCTGCCCAAGGTAGTTTATAGATTCAATGCCATCCCCATCAGGTTATCACTGACTTTCTTCACAGAATTGGAAAAAACTACTTTAAACTTCATATGGAACCAAAAAAGAGCCCGCATTGCCAAGACAATCCTAAGCAAAAAGAACAAACCTGGAGGCATCATGCTACCTGACTTCAAGCTATACTACAAGGCTACAGTAACCAAAACAACATGGTACTGCTACCAAAACAGAGATATAGACAATGGAACAGAACAGAGCCCTCAGAAATACCACCACACATCTCAACCATCTGATCTTTGACAAACCTGACAAAAGCAAGAAATGGGGAAAGGATTCCCTATTTAATAAATGGTGCTGGGAAAACTGGCTAGCCATATGTAGAAAGCTGAAACTGGATCCTTTCCTTATACCTTACACAAAAATTCATTCAAGATGGATTTAGACCTAAAACCATAAAAACCCTAGAAGAAAACCTAGGCAATACCATTCAGGACATAGGCATGGGCAAGGACTTCATGACTAAAACACCAAAAGCAATGGCAACAAAAGCCAAAATTGACAAATGGGATCTAATTAAACTAAAGAGCTTCTGCATGGCACAAGAAACTACCATCAGAGTGAACAGGCAACCTACAGAATGGGAGAAAATTTTTGCAACCTACCCATCTGACAAAGGGCTAATATCCAGAAACTACAAAGAAGTTAAACAAATTTACAAGAAAAAATCAAACAACCCCATCAAAAAGTGGGCAAAGGATATGAACGGACACTTCTCAAAGAAGACATTTATGTAGGCAATAGACATATGGAAAAATGCTCATCATCACTGGTCATCACAGAAATGCAAATCAAAACCACAATGAGATACCGTCTCACACCAGTTAGAATGGCAATCATTAAAAAGTCAGGAAACAACAGGTGCTGGAAAGGATGTGGAGAAATAGGAACACTTTTACACTGGTGGTGGGAGTGTAAACTAGTTCAACCATTATGGAAGACAGCGTGGCAATTCCTCAGGGATCTAGAACTAGAAATACCATTTGACCTAGCGATCCCATTACTGGGTATATACCCAAAGGATTATAAATCATGCTACTATAAAGACACATGCACACGTATGTTTATTGGGGCACTATTCACAATAGCAAAGACTTGGAACCAACCCAAATGTCCATCAATGATAGAGTGGATTAAGAAAATGTGGCACATATACACCATGGAATACTATGCAACCATAAAAACGGATGAGTTCATGTCCTTTGCAGGAACATGGATGAAGCTGGAAACCATCATTCTCAGCAAACTATCACAAAGAAAACCAAACACTGCATGTTCTCACTCATAGGTGGGAATTGAACAATGAGGACACTTGGACACAGGGCAGGGAACATCACACACTGGGGCCTGTTGGTGCGGTGGGGGTCGGGGGGAGGGATAGCATTAGGAGAAATACCTAATGTAAATGTCAAGTTGATGGGTGCAGCACACCAACATGGCATATGTATACCTATGTAACAAATCCACACGTTGTGCACGTGTACCCTAGAACTTAAAGTATATATATATATAAAAAGACCAGCACTCTTTTCAGCCCTGTTTCTCCTTGCTCATAGTAAAAGCATTCTACAATTGTTTTGAAACAAGTATTTTAATGTTGAACATTACAGAATCTTGTTTGGCTGTCTATAAAACTTCACCCTTTCCATGTTTATCTTCTTCTAATTTAAGTCCTGATTGACATGAACAAACTAGATTATCTATTAAGATATCATCAAGCTCTTAAATTCTTTGAACAAAAGAGGTATAAAATAAATATTTTTAAAAGATGAGAAGACATAGAAAGTAAAGCTTAGTGGTTCTCAACCAGCTGGGAAACCAAGCCTATGGAGCTGATGTAGTGGCCCAGGGTCTGTGACCAGGGGTCCCTCATAGACGTGTCCAGTGGGGGATGTGGCAGCCCAAGTGAACACAAAACACCTCCCAGCTGGGGCAAGGGCTCCCACAGCACTGGCGTCCTTCAGGCAGCAGCTACCACATCCCGGCCTGGGCACACAATTTGTAGGGAATTCTCAGGGAATTACATTTGGTATGATTGGGGAAAAGAAAGAAAGAGGGAAGTTAGTTTAGATCCCAGTTTGTGGTCCTCCGTAAGAGCTACCAAACAACCTTAGGTATAAGCTCAGGTTTATGCTGGGTCAGGCATTGAGTATATGCCTGTTAGTCAATGGTGAACTTCTCCTACCAAAAAAGAAAAAGCAGTTACTCCTCTCAAACCCTACCCCATACAAGAACTTGCTCCTACTTAGCCAAACTTACTTCCTCTTTTAGAGGAGCTTTTTACTGGCCATAGACAAAGAGAGAGGGCCACAGTAGACTTTGTTAAGAGGCTTATCTTTACTATCTCACCATTACAATCAACATTTTCTCCAACTCCAATCAACATCTGAGGGGTATGACACACTACCTGTTCTTTCCTGTTTTGGACTTGAGAATGAGAGATCACGATCAGCAACGTTGTTAAACCTCAAATCAACCCTGAGACTGTCCAGCTCAGACATCTAGTTAATGAATCAGTAAATGTCCTCATATGTCCTGATGTCAGCTGTTACTTACAGCTCTACTCATACTGATACAGACCACCAGGAGATTGTGACACGCACTTCACCCCTTCAAGGATGTGCCTGACCCTACCGTGACCCCACTGACTGCCAGTGTTAGAGATTTCCCAGAACTGTTTTAGATTTCAAAATATGTGGAAATTACTTTCTTGAGAAATTCTTCCACATTCAGGTGAAACATAATAAATAATCATTGCCTCAAGCAATAAATACATGAATAATATGGAAAATATGTTGGAGAAGGAAAGACCAAAGAGACCAAAGGGTTCTGTCACTTACACGATATTTTGATGTAACTTACTTAACTCTTATTTTCAAAGATTTGTATCTAGATTTACTGGAATTATTTTCCCCAAATTGTGCCCAGGAATACATTTCTACTGTCTCATCAGCCATCTCCCACTCTTTGTCGAGTAACTAAGCTGTATTTTAACGAATCTTTTCTTTTCTATATAAATGAAAAGGATCAAGGATCCTCTCCCAAATCATTTTCCCAGCTTTTTTTGCATTTTCCTCTCATAAAGATTTTTCAAAATAATCAGATAGCACAATATATTTTATATGGTAGTAAATTTTAATATAAAATGCATTTCTTATGAAGACAACATTATAGTAACATTAATAAAAATTAAAACAAAAATACACTTGGAGTATCAATATTCAAATACCTATTTTTATATTTCTTTACTTCTTTTCTTGCTTTTGTCAATTTTATATTGTCATATAGTTTTTTCACTTATATAATCGATGCTTTTAATTCTGGCTGTTCATCATAATATCATATTTTTCCTATCAGCCTGCTCAAATACAATATTTGTGAGACATTGAGGATATTAGGACATTGTTTTCAGCTTTTATAGATTATAAATAATTTATTCATATAAATATGGATTATAATAATGTGCCTTTTGAACTTTTATTTTTCTTCTTTTCACTATGTCTCTAAGATAGATTCCCTGGGTTGAGAAGTAAGAAGAAATTTGAAACTTCTCAATACATATTGCCATGTTGATTTTTAAGCAGATTACACTGAGTTACAATACTTCCAGCAATATATGTCTCACCCCAACCTTTCCAGCTCTAGGTGTTTTATATATTTTAAGCATTTTTTCCTGTCGTTATTAATTATTAGTTTAGTTGCATTTATTCTATTATTAGTGAGAGTAAGCATTTGATTTTATATATCTTGACCTACACTTATTTGCATTACCTTTTCATGATCTCTTACCCCTCCTATGGTTTCTACTATTTTTTGACATTTTAATCAGTAATTTGGATGACAGTTGACAGGCTTATTGGTTTATTTATTTAGAGACATGGTCTCTCTCTGTTACCCAGGCTGGAGTGCAGCAGCATGATCATGGCTCACTGCAGCCTTGACCTCCCAGGCTCAAGCAATCCTCCCATTTCAGCCTCCCCAGTAGCTGGTGTGTGCCATCACACCCACCTAATTTTTATATGTTTTGTAAAGACAGGGTTTCATCATATTGCCCAAGCTGCTTTTGAACTCCTGGGCACAAGCGATACACCTGCTTTGACCTCCCAACACGTTGGGATTACAGGCATGAGCCACCATGCCCGTTAGGTTTATCAGATTTAGAGTTCCCATGGAGCGATAAGGGAGAGCTAATATCTCCTTCTAAACTACCTGAAATAATGAACCAATTCTACAAAATGTAATTTCACAGAAACAAGTATAAAATCTATAAGTAGGGTCCAGAAACAACTGTGGAAGTGTACCATAAAAGAACTATATCTTAGAAGCTGGGTGTGATGGCGTGCTCTCATAGTCTCAGCTTTTCAGGAGGCTGAGAAGGATCACTTAAGCCCATGAGTTCTAGGTTACAGTGAGCTGTGATCACACCACTGCACTCCAGCCTGGGCAACAAAGTGAGACTCTGTCTCTTAAAAAAAGAAAACAACAATAACAACAGAAACAAAAGCAAAAACAAAAACAAAAAAACCCTACTAACTGGATGGAAAATTACCTAAAGAAAAAAAAAGTAAAACAAACAAACAAAACCAACTACTTTATGGCAAAAACCACAATTACTTTTGCACCAACCTAAAACTATAAGATCTATATCTTAATAGCAGTGATGTTTAAAGGATAAAGGGACCTTCCATTTTGCAAGTGTTCACTGCTCAAAAACTATTGTGATTCTACAGCTACCTTACTAATAATAGATCTGTTCTGCAACCTTTTGACCATTCCTGGAGTACTGTGTATAGTTTTGGGACACTGGAGCCTATTCCCAAGGGAACAACCAGGAAAATAAAGTGACTCAACAGTAGGGCATGGAAAGAATGGATAGATGTCTGGGGATATTTTGCCTGGAGAATACAAGTCTCGTGTGGGATGTTATTAATGACCTGTAAGCACTTTAATCTTTGCTTTTTCTCTGAGGTTCTAAGCAGAGCAGCACCTAGCCATGGAGCCATTGTGTGATAAGAAAAAAGCATCTCCATTGGGCAGACGAGTTGAGAAAGGTTCCCTCTTCTCTGGGCAGGCAGAGTGTCACACTTTGGAGCAAAGCATAGCAAGGGAAGTGTGGCTGCATTTCTGTCCCCATTTATCCCCTTGGTTACTCACTTTGAGGCACAAATGGTTCAACTGTATGCAGTGGCCCTAGCTCTAAAATGGATCAATAAACTATGGCCAAAGACCAAATCCAGCCTACCACTTGTTTTATAGATAAAATCTTGTTGCAGTGCAGTCACACTCATCCGCACTGTCTAGTTTGCTTTCCTGCTACAATGGCAGAGTTGAATAGCGGCTATATGGCCCACAAAGCCTAAAATATTTACTGCGTACCCCTTCACAGAAAAAGTTTGCCAACCTCTGTTCTATAACGGCTTTAGTAATCTACTGACAAACATCAGGATTTGGAGTGCCACTTAGGGTTTTGAAGGGTGAGTGCCTATTTTTTAAAAGCAAATTTTGGAAAAAAAATTTATCTTCTCAGTTATTACGCTATTTGTTTTCCCTTTAGTCATCTGACACTATTAGAGTATTTATATATTAGAATGCTTCTGCTTGTAAATAATGGAAACTCATTTGGTTTCAACTGAGCAGAAAGAGGATATTGGATGGGTAGCTTGGCACTCTGAGAACCCAATCCTCAGAAAAGGACCAACAGCAAGGCCAAGCATGGTAAGTATCCTAGAAGTCTTTGATCTCCATTTCCCATCTCTGCTTCTCTCTGTGCTTCCAATTTATTTTATTTCATTTTAAAGAAACTTTTAATCAAAAGATGATACTTATAGAGTTTTAAACTCATCAAGTTACATAAGGCTTAAACAAAAAAATAACAGTCCCTACTCACTGTATGTCACTTTCCAATTTTCATTTCCCAGAAGCAACCACTTTCAACTCTTCTAGCATTTCATCTGCTCATATGTCTAATAATATACTGCTATTTCTTGATTCTTCAGTTTTAAGCATTATATGTATGTATTTCTTATTATAAAATGTGAGGATTCTCCTTTGCTCTACCTCCTAATATATTTTTATCACTTATTTTTGCTAAGTCTGTATTTGGCATTTACATTGCTATGATTATGTAAGTAAAGCAATCTTTCTAACAGTTAATGTCATCCAAAAATGGAAAAGTGTCTTGTAAGTTAGTGAGCTTCTGAAAACTGAATATACTTGGAAGACAGATGTTTTATTTATCTTTATATCTCCAGTATCTTCTACAATGCTTGCATTTGTGAGGTAATCTCTAAATGCTTTTTGAATGACTGAATGTCAATAAAAGTATTCAAACAGACGTTGATTACTGCTTTTAAGAATCTATCATAGAGGATTTCTGCATTGGGTGAGAGTGGATTAAATAAATTAGCAAATTTTATAGTTTTATGATCTACCTAAACCCATGGCTTCATCCACCTCTTATATTCTGACATGTCCTTGGAAGGACTATATCATATTTAACCTCGTGTCCCTAAAATCAAAGACAGTGCCTGGTAAAGACTAGACATCCAACAACTCAGTGAACAATGGATTAATGAATGAATCACTCTTCTAGATTCCTAGTCAATTCCCTATAGACATCTTGGTGTCAGTTGCCTTCTCAATCTATGTTTACATTGTTCTTTTTTTTTTTTTTTTTTTTTGAGACGTAGTCTCACACTGTCACCCGGGGTTGGAGTGCAGTGGCACAATCTCGGCCCATTGCAACCTCCAGTTCCTGGGTTCAAGTGATTCTTCTGCCTCAGCCTCCTGAGTAGCTGGGATTAAAGGCACTTGCCACCACACCCAGCTAATTTTTTGTATTTTTAGTAGAAACAGGGTTTCAGCATGTTGGCCAGGCTAGTCTTGAACTCCTGACCTGCCTCGGCCCCCCAAAGTGCTGGGATTACAGGTTGGACCCACTGTGCCGGGCCCTACATTGTTCTTACACTTCCTTTCTATCTGTCTAAATCCTCTCCATCAAGTGATCACTTTCTACTACACCAAGTTATTTAGTAACTGCATTAATCATTTGGCATTTACTGTGTGTGACTTTGTTTTGTTAGGGGTGTGTATGAACACACACCTGTCTCATCATTTCACTGGGAAAGGCTGCATCTTCTACTTTGAATCCCTGGTTTTCATCACAGTGCCAACCCATGACTGTATGTATCCACTGATTGGTTGATTCTGTCAACCTCAAAATAAAATGTACGTGAGATCCACATTGAGAATATTTGGTATATTAAAATTCAAACTTTAAAAATGGAAAATTGAGAAATATTATAAAATCTTTTATTATTATACTTTAAGTTCTAGGGTACATGTGCACAATGTGCAGGTTTGTTACATATGTATACATGTGCCATGTTGGCGTGCTACACCCATTAACTCGTCATTTACATTAGGTATATCTCCTAATGAAATCCCTCCCCCTCCCCACAACCCACAACAGGCCCCAGTGTGTGATGTTCCCCTTCCTGTGTCCCAGTGTTCTCATTGTTCAATTCCCATCCATGAGTGAGAACATGCGGTGTTTGGATTTTGTCCTTGCAATAGTTTGCTGAGAATGATGGTTTCCAGCTTCATCCATGTCCCTACAAAGGACATGAACTCACCCTTTTTTATGACTCCATTGTATTCAATGGTGTATATGTGCCACATTTTCTTAATCCAGTCTATCACTGATGAACATTTGGGTTGGTTCCAAGTCTTTGCTACTGTGAATAGTGCCACAAAAACATACATGTGCATGTGTCTTTATAGCAGCATGATTTATAATCCTTTGGGTATATACCCAGTAATGGGATTGCTGGGTCAAATAGTATTTTTAATTCTAGATCCTTGAGGAATCACCACACTGTCTTCCACAATGGTTGAACTAGTTTACAGTCCCACCAACAGTGTAAAAGTGTTCCTGTTTCTCCACATCCTCTCCAGTACCTGTTGTTTCCTGACTTTTTAATGATCGCCATTCTAACTGGTGTGAGATGGTATCTCATCCTGGTTTTGATTTGCATTTCTCTGATAGCCAGTGATGATGAGCATTTTTTCATGTGTCTGTTGGCTGCATCAATATGTTCTTTTGAGAAGTGTCTGTTCATATCCTTTGCCCACTTTTTGATGGGGTTGTTTGTTTTTTTCTTGTAAATTTGTTGTAGTTCTTTGTAGATTCTGGATATTAGCCCTTTGTCAGATGAGAAGATTGCAAAAATTTTCTCCCATTCTGTAGGTTGCCTGTTCACTCTGATGGTAGTTTCTTTTGCTGTGCAGAAGCTCTTTAGTTTAATTAGATCCCATTTGTCAATTTTGGCTTTTGTTGCCATTACTTTTGGTGTTTTAGACATGAAGTCCTTGCCCATGCCTATATCCTGAAGGGTATGTCTAGGTTTTCTTCTAGGGTTTTTATGGTTTTAGGTCTAACATTTAAGTCTTTAATCCATCTTCAATTAATTTTTGTATAAGGTGTAAAGAAGGGATCCAGTTTCAGCTTTCTACATATGGCTAGCCAGTTTTCCCAGCACCATTTATTAAATAGGGAATCCTTTCCCCTTTTCTTGTTTTTGTCAGGTTTATCAAAGATCAGATGATTGTAGATGTGTAGTATTATTTCTGAGGGCTCTGTTCTGTTCCATTGGTTTATATCTCTGTTTTGGTAGCACTACCATGCTGTTTTGATTACTGTAGCCTTGTAGTATAGTTTGAAGTCAGGTAGCATGATGCCTCCAGCTTTGTCTTTTGGCTTAGGATTGACTTTGCAATGTGGGCTCTTTTTTAGTTCCATATGAACTTTAAAGTAGTTTTTTCCAATTCTGTGAAGAAAGTCATTGGTAGCTTGATGGGGATGACTTTGAATCTATAAATTACCTTGGGCAGTATACCCATTTTCACGATATTGATTCTTCCTATCCATGAGCATGGAATGTTCTTCCATTTGTTTTTGTCCTCTTTTATTTTGTTGAGTAGTGGTTTGTAGTTCTCCTTGAAGAGGTCCTTCACATCCCTTGTAAGTTGGATTCCTAGGTATTTTATTCTCTTTGAAGCAGTTGTGAATGGGATTTCACTCATGATTTGGCTCTCTGTTTGTCTGTTATTGGTGTATAAGAATGCTTGTGATTTTTGCACATTGATTTTGTATCCTGAGACTTTGCTGAAGTTGCTTATCAGCTTAAGGAGATTTTGGGCTGAGATGATGGGGTTTTCTAAATATGCAATCATGTCATCTGCAAACAGGGACAATTTGACTTCCTCTTTTCCTAACTAAATACTCTTTATTTCTTTCTCCTGCCTGATTGCCCTGGCCAGAACTTCCAACACTGTGTTGAGTAGGAGTGGTGAGAGAGGGCATCCCTGTCTTGTGCCAGTTTTCAAAGGGAATGCTTGTAGTTTTTGCCCACGCAGTATGATATTTGCTGTGTCTTTGTCATAAATAGCTCTTATTATTTTGAGACATGTCCCATCAATACTAAATTTATTGAGAGTTTTTAGCATCAAAGGCTGTTGAATTTTGTCAAAGGCCTTTTCTGCATCTATTGAGATAACCATGTGGTTTTTGTCTTTGGTTCTGTTTATATGCTGGATTATGTTTATTGATTTGCATATTCTGAACAAGCCTTGCATCCCAGGCATGAAGCCCACTTGATCATGGTGGAAAAGCTTTTTGATGTACTCCTAGATTTGGTTTGCCAGTATTTTATTGAGGATTTCTGCATCGATGTTCATCAGTGATATTAGTCTAAAATTCTCTTTTTTTGTTGTGTCTCTGCCAGGCTTTTCAGGGTGCTGGCCTCATAAAATGAGCTACGGAGGATTCCCTCTTTTTCTATTGATTGAAATAGTTTCAGAAGGAATGGTACCAGCTCCTCCTTGTACCTCTGGTAGAATTTGGCTGTGAATTTGTCTTGTCCTGGACTTTTTCTGGTTGGTAGGCTATTAATTATTGCCTCAATTTCAGATCCTGTTATTGGTCTATTCAGAGATTCAACTTCTTCCTGGTTTAGTCTTGGGAGGGTTTATGTGTCCAGGAATTTATCCATTTCTTCTAGATTTTCTAGTTTATTTGCATAGAGGTGTTTATAGTATTCTCTGATGGTAGTTTGTATTTCTGTGGGATCGGTGGTGAGATCCCCTTTATCATTTTTTATTGTGTCTATTGGATTCTTCTCTCTTTTATTCTGTATTAGTCTCGCTAGCGGTCTATCAATTTTGTTGATCTTTTCAAAAAACCAGCTCCTGGATTCATTGATTTTTTGAAGGGTTTTTTGTGTCTCTATCTCCTTCAGTTCTGCTCTGATATTAGTTATTTCTCACCTTCTGCTACCTCTTGAATGTGTTTGCTCTTGCTTCTCTAGTTCTTTTAATTGTGATGTTAGGGTGTTAATTTTAGATCTTTCCTGCTTTCTCTTGTGGGCATTTAGTGCTATAAATTTCCCTCTACACACTGCTTTAAATGTGTCCCAGAGATTCTGGTATGTTGTGTCTTTGTTCTCATTGGTTTCAAAGAACATCTTTATTTCTGCCTTCATTTCATTGTGTACCTAGTAGTCATTCAGGAGCAGGTTGTTCCATTTCCATGCAGTTGAGCGGTTTTGAGTGAGTTTCTTAATCCTGAGTTCTAGTTTGATTGCACCATGGTCTGAGAGACAGTTTGTTGTGATTTCTGTTCTTTTACATTTGCTGAGGAGTGCTTTACTTCCAACTATGTGGTCAATTTTGGAATAAGTGTGATGTGGTGTTGAGTAGAATGTATATTCTGTTGATTTGGGGTGGAGAGTTCTGTAGATGTCTATTAGGTACAGTTGGTGCAGAGCTGAGTTCAATTCCTGGATATCCTTTTTAACTTTCTGTCTCGTTGATCTGTCTAATGTTGACAGTGGGGTGTTAAAGTCTCCCATTATTATCGTGTGGGAGTCTAAGTCTCTTTGTAAGTCTCTAAGGACTTGCTTTATGAACCTGGGTGCTCCTGTATTGGTTGCATGTATATTTAGGATAGTTAGCTCTTCTTGTTGAATTGATCCCTTTACCATTATGTAATGGCCTTCTTTGTCTCACTTGATCTTTGTTGGTTTTAAGTCTGTTTTATCAGACTCTAGGATTGCAACACCTGCCTTTTTTTGTTTTCCATTTGCTTGGTAGATCTTCCTCCATCCCTTTATTTTGAGCCTATGTGTGTCTCTGCACGTGAGATGGGTCTCCTGAATACAGCATACTGATAGGTCTTGATTCTTTATCCAATTTGCCAGTCTGTGTCTTTTAGTTGGAGTATTTAGCCCATTTACATTTAAGGTTAATATTGTTATGTGTGAATTTGATTCTGTCATTATGATGTTAGCCGGTTATTTTGCTCTTTAGTTGATGCAGTTTTTTCCTAGCATTGATGGTCTTTATAATTTGGCATGTTTTTGCAGTGGCTGGTGCTGGTTATTCCTTTCCATGTTTAGTGCTTCCTTCAGGAGCTCTTTTAGGGCAGGCCTGGTGGAGACAAAATCTCTCAGCATTTGTTTGTCTGTAAAGGATTTTATTTCTCCTTCACTTATGAAGCTTAGTTTGCCTGGATATGAAATTCTGGGTTGAAAATTCTTTTCTTTAAGAATGTTGAATATTGGCCCCCACTCTCTTCTGGCTTGTAGAGTTTCTGCTGAGAGATCTGCTGTTAGTCTGATGGGCTTCCCTTTGTGGGTAAACCGACCTTTCTCTCTGGCTGCCCTTAACATTATTTCCTTCATATCAACCTTGGTGAGTCTGACAATTATGTGTCTTGTGGTTGCTCTTCTTGAGGAGTATCTTTGTGGTGTTCTCTGTATTTCCTGAATTTGAATGTTGGTCTGCCTTGCTAGGTTGGGGAAGTTCTCCTGGATAATATCCTGAAGAGTGTTTTCCAACTTGGTTACATTCTCCCCGTCACTTTCAGGTACACCAATCAGACGTAGATTTGGTCTATTCACATAGTCCCATATTTCTTGGAGGCTTTGTTCTTTTTACTCTTTTTCTCTAAACTTCTCTTCTCACTTAATTTCATTCATTTGATCTTCAATCACTGATACCCTTTCTTCCAGTTGATCGAATTGGCTACTGAAGCTTGTGCATGCATTACGTAGTTCTCGTGCCATGGTTTTCAGCTCCATCAGGTCATTTAAGGACTTCTCTACACTGGTTATTCTAGTTAGCCATTCGTCTAATCTTTTTTCAAGGTTTTTAGCTTCTTTGCATTGGGTTTGAACTTCCTTCTTTAGCTCGGAGAAGTTTGATCGTCTGAAGACTTCTTTTCTCAACTCGTCAAAGTCATTCTCAATCCAGCTTTGTTCCATTGCTGGCAAGGAGCTGCGTTCCTTTGGAGGAGAAGAGGCACTCTCATTTTTAGAGTTTTCAGCTTTTCTGCTCTGTTTTTTCCTCATCTTTGTGGTTTTGTCAACCTTTGGTCTTTGATGATGGTGACATACAGATGGGGTTTTGGTGTGGATGTCCTTTCTGTTTGTTAGTTTTCCTTCTAACAGTCAGGACCCTCAGCTGCAGGTCTGTTGGAGTTTCTGGAGATCCACTCCAGACCCTGTTTGTCTGGGTATCAGCAGTAGAGGCTGCAGAACAGCGAATATTGCTGAACAGCAGATGTTGCTGCCTGATCGTTCCTCTGGAAGCTTCATCTCAGAGGAGTACCTGGCCGTGTGAGGTGTCAGTCTGCCCCTACTGGGAGGTGCCTCCCAGTTAGGCTACTTGGGGGTCAGGGACCCACTTGAGGAGTCAGTCTGTCAGTTCTCAGATCTCAAACTCTCTGCTGGGAGAACCACTACTCTCTTCAAAGCTGTCAGACAGGGACATTTAAGTCTGCAGAGGTTTCTGCTGCCTTTTGTTCGGCTATGCCCTGCCCCCAGAGGTGGAGTCTACAGAGGCAGGCAGGCATCCTTGAGCTGTGGTGGGCTCCACCCAGTTCGAGCTTCCAGGCTGCTTTGTTTACCTACTCAAGCCTCAGCAATGGCGGGCACCCCTCCCCCAGCCTTGCTGTCACCTTGCAGTTCAATCTCAGACTGCTGTGCTAGCAGTGAGCGAGGCTCCGTGGTCGTGGCACCCTCCAAGCCAGGCACGGGGTATAATCTCCTGGTGTGCCGTTTGCTAAGACCATTGGAAAAGCGCAGTATTAGGGTGGGAGTGACCTGATTTTCCAGGTGCCGTCTGTCACAGCTTCCCTTGGCTAGGAAAGGGAATTCCCTGACCCCTTGCACTTCCCGGGTGAGATGATGCCTCGCCCTGCTTCGGCTCACACTCGGTGGGCTGCACCCACTGTCCTACACCCACTGTCTGACAAGCCCCAGTGAGATGAACCTGGTACCTCAGTTGGAAATGGAGAAATCACCCGTCTTCTGCGCCACTCATGCTGGGAGCTGTAGAATGGAGCTGTTCCTATTTGGCCATCTTGGAACTGCCCCCCAGAGCCATAAAATCATTTTTTGATAAAGTAATTCACCATGATGATATATTATTCCACATAATTTACATTTCATTTCAGTCACAATTTTTAGGGACATGTAATATAAAGTGAGGCACAACCAGAATAACAGATGGACTGGGCACCTGCTTATAGCAATGCAAAGCAAGGTACATAATAATGGGAAAGTGTATTGTGAAGGAATGTGGCATCTAATATTTCCCAAAGGAGCATCAAAGTAGTCACTATGGGGAAAAGAAACAGAACTTTATTAGACTTCCTTCCTCTTATTTAGCAATTTAGGTTATAGACATTAGCAAAGAAGGGGAGGACCACCAAATCCTTTCCAATGCTTTAGGCTTCCAAAGGCATTCTGTCATCCTCAATGTGTGGATTTCACACACACATTTCACACTATGAAGTATATGATGGTTTGGCCTTTTCCAAGGTGACAAAGATTGAGATAAGGTTTAATCTAGATTCAAGACATTTTTATTCTATCTACTGAGATGCCATATATATCCAGACAAATGCATGAATTTTTGTTGCATCAGAGGCTACATAATGTTCAGACAGAACTTGGAGCAGAGCAGGAAGCGGGTTTCTATGTAGAACACCAGGTAAAATGTATGTAACTAAGATATAAACCAGCATCAACCAGGGCCTTTATTTAAACTTTTAAAAATATTTTGATCTGCAGCATTAGTATCACCTTTGTGATAACTATTATTCTGGGATTTTATATTATAATTATTATTTCACTTTACTTTGATGAGTCCTTCTTTCACTTGAAAGTACCTTAATTTAGTCTATCAATTTCTCTCATAGTATAACATGGAGGAGGAGTAAAGGGTGTTATCTTTTGTTCAGCAGAGTGCCAGCCTCTGAGTACGATGTTCTACTACATTAAGTAATATACCATGAAAACCAAGGAAAAAACAATCCAAAAACTTTCCTGAGTTTGAGCTGTAGGGCTGGCCTTCAGTGAAAAAACATGAACTTTCTCAGATTTTCTCTTAGAGGAATTTCTGCTTTGATGTAGAATCGTAGCCTTGACGAGGACTTGCAAAGCCATAGAAATGCTTTGTTTGAACTCCACAGAATTTTAATAATCCTGAAAGGTTACAATAAATTTCTGGCTGTTTTTGAAAAGTTCTTACATCTGTTCTTACTGGGTCCTCAATCAAACATGATCACAAGGTTTTTTGTAAACTGTGTGCTCTGTAATATATTTCAATGTGCAATCCTCGGACTCCATGAAATTTCAAGGCTATCAAATCAAAGCTCATGGCCTTAATACTAGTGGTACTGTTTGACACCCACCCCCTTCACTATTTATCTGGCTGTGAGAAGCTTCAGGGGATTGAAGATACATTTTGGTACTTTGAGGAACAAGTTATATATTCAGAAATCATAATAAACACAGAATACTTTTACACTCTCTAGTGGACAAACCTTTTTCATAATGACATCATGCACATTCGTATTTTTTAACTCTATCATCTTGAAACTGGTCTTCTGCTTTTGATTGTTTGCAAAAAAATTTGGACAATATTTATGAGGCAAAAGTCCCTACAGGCCATCTATTCCCTTAAAAAGGTAAAATAAACTCAATGCAGAAAACACTTTTTTGATAGGATACAAATGAGGAATATATTAAGTAAATGAAGAATTGATGCTAGAAAAAGTATAACTACATTACAGGATTAAAACCACAGGACATCATTTTCCTGAATTCCCTGAGGACCTTTGTAAATTACCAAAGACACTCAGGCCTCACTTTGAAAACCACTGACCCAACATAGACTCATAGTAATAATAGCGGGTCAATGCCTCTTGTCCAAACTTTAAATCAAAATGTCCACAATGAACAATTTGAATACTAATGAGTTGATATCATTCTTTAATAAATTTTAAATATTATAGAGAAATTAAGCATCACTACCTATCTGAAGTAGGTAGATTTACAGTAAAAAAAGGAACTCTCTCATCTTGTTCAGTTAAGACTACTGGCACTACTTCTTATGTAATTAAAGAAAGGATTTGTAAAGATGAAGTCTTACTATGTTGCCCAGGCCAGCCTCGAACTCCTGGGCTTCTTCCATGTCAGCCTCCCAACATACTGGGAATACAGGCATGAACCACAGCACCTGGCAGTTATGTAACTTTAAACCCATACCTGCATTTTAGCACTTACCACATTATTTTGTTTTTGCTTCTATATTTCTTTTTTCTAAAAGTCTTGAAGTCATGAATCAACTCCAATTTCCTTCAAACCCCCAGCTCTTAACAGAGTACTTGGCATTTAAGTGTTCAGTAAATATTTGTTGAATGAATATATCAATTCACTAATTATACAGCAGGCAACTTTTGGGGTAATCATATTACCATTCATGTTCTAGTACTACTACCCATTACTAAATTATTAAATTACTCATTACTACTCATCACTAAATGTTCAAACTTTTAAAATTTGGGTTCTAAAACAATCTAAGTGATTGATCTCTCCCTTAGTTTCAAGTCCGTGTGTGAGAGAGAATGTGTGTGTGTTTTCTCTACCATCTTGAGAGAATAAATAAAGGTTTTTTTCTTTTTTTCCTTGGCATCCTCTAAAGAGGACCAAAGTCATCACAGGGCAGTCTAGGTCTCAGGCTTGGCAAAAATGCCCATTCTGGCCCATGCAGTTGACAGAAGTTACAATGTACTTCAATAAGCATGAAAGGTAGATTCTTAGACAAGAACACCACAGTTGCTATGTGATTTCTTGTGTCTTAGAGTGAGAGACTTCAGCTCATAACAAGATAATCCACCTGTTCCAGATGAGGTCCTACCAGGTGCAAGAAACAGCAAGTGGGACCCAAACAAGTCTCTTACACCCTCCAACCATGTCACTCTGAAACTCCAACATAATTACCTTAAATGGCTTTGGGAAAACAAAAAACTGTTTTTCACAGGTCAAGTCACCCAGATTTCCCATTTAAATGGCTGACGCTATTTCTTACTAATGCCACCAGGGCCTTCCTCCTACTTTGTTCACCTATTATATTATAGTGATTAGACATGAAATATGCCAGCTGAATTTATATTATAACAATGACCAGTGTGTGTAGACATACACAATCAGTTTCCTGCAAGACTGGGAAGGGTCTACACATGGGTCACATGTCCAAAGCCTACTTCTATAGCAATGTGGATAAATGTATGCACTGGAATTCCAGAAGACTGCTGCTCTGGAGAAAGGCAGTCAAAGTGGAGGAAGAATTACACTTCCTGTGGTTTTAAGAGCTTTTGAAGGTTTCTGAAAAGTTTTTAGTTGGGCTTGCAAAAGGCCCAGGACCATGAATTTGCAAATTTGAGATTATATCATCTTTTCCAGCTCTAACATTTCAGATGGCTAGAGTAAAACTCCACGTGTTTAAAAACTACCATTACTTAGCAGAAATGTGTACTGTTGTGCAGTTAACGGAACTTCTCATCGTTTTAAAATGAACTGAGTGGTAAACAGTGTTTCTGGAATTTGAGAGTGCATACAGATCACCTGAGGATATTTTTAGACTGTAGAATTGGATTAAGTATGTCTGGGGAGAACTCAAGATTCTGCATTCCTAAGGATGTCCCAGGTGATGGCAATTCTGCTGGTCTGCAAACCACACTGTGAGTCACAAAGTGGAGTGCTTAGTGTAAGATTTTACTCAAAAACCACTAGTTCCTCACTTTTAGGGTAAAAAAGCATCTGTGCAGTATCAGTAGATTTGGATAATTTACAATCTGCAAAGTATTTGATCTGCTCCCCTTTCTGATATATAATGTCATTGTTTAACGTTATATAAACTACATGATTTGTATATAACAGATTAAAATAGTTTTTAAAAAGAATTGCACTTCTGAAAGCTTTGTTCATAGAACAAAAGGGTCAACGTTTCAGAACATAGATTGAGAATGGTCATTTGATTACCATGATACATAGGACAAAGAAGGAAACAAAGAAAATGGCACACACATGCAGTCTGACAATAAGAAAAAGGAGGAGAGAATTTCAGCAGCTTTTAGAGAATTCCATGATTCCAAGAAGGGTTTCAGATACACTGTGTAAATCTCCCAGACACGCCTCTTTCTAGAAAACCTAGAGCAACAATCACTGTTTTTTTTTGTTTGTTTGTTTGTTTTTTAAGGTTTCTGGAGTAGCACGAGAATATTTATTTCTGCTACACTTATAAATAGTGGCCAGGTTCTCTTTCTCTCTCTCCCTCTACCCACTTCTCTCTGCCCTTTCTCTCTCCCCAACTCCGTCTTTCTTTCTGAACTTCCTACTCTCTCCAACTTCCATGCACAATCCCCCATCAATAGAGCAGTGGTTCTTTCTTTGAGTGTTCATCAAAATCACTTGAGGAACTTGTCAGACATATCTTCCTGGACCCTACTCACAGATATGAGGAGCCAGCTAACCTCAGATGTTAACAAGCACCTGAAGTGATTCTGATGAAACTGGCCCACAGATAAAACTTTGAGAAACACTTCATCAGAGGTTAAATTATACTTTGTTATGCACCTTATCAATAGCAGCAATCTACCGGTGATCTTTCACTCCCACATTCCAGGTCTCCATATATTCTTTAAGTATCTTTCTTTGGTTATAACTCGGTTTTCAACTGAGTTACAAAAATAGACACAGAAATATAACTATTACTCTTCTGTTTTAAAACAAGTCTCTCATGTGCTTTCCTCTTGACCAGCAGTTTGTGATATGTTCTGATGGGAATTTAAGATTGTATAAAGCTTTTTTTTTTTTTTTTTTTTTTTTTTTGAGATGGAGTCTCACACTGTTGCCCAGGCTGGAGTGCAGCGGCGCTATCTCGGCTCACTGCAAGCTCCGCCTCCCAGGTTCACACCATTCTCCTGCCTCAGCCTCCTGAGTAGCTGGGACTACAGGCACCCGCCACCATGCCTGGCTAATTTTTTGTATTTTTAGTAGAGACGGGGTTTCACCGTGTTAGCCAGGATGGTCTCGATCTCCTGACCTCGTGATCCACCCACCTCGGCCTCTCAAAGTGCTGGGATTACAGGCGTGAGCCACTGCACCCGGCCTGTATAAAGCGTTTTAATGGGATTTTAAATTGTTCAGAGGAAAAGAATTTTTTCCTTTGATGTATGTTTTATTTGAAAGCATTAAAAATATGTACAATTTCCACAAGCTTGAAAAGAAAAAACAGAGAGCCACTAGAATGAGTGACAACTTTATAATACATGTTTATGAATTTCTGCTTAGTTTAAAAACAAAACAAACAAGCCAAAAAAAAAACTTAAAAACTTGTCGATCAGTGTTTCCCTCTAGAAAACTTTCAAGAAAATTCACAGATGACAAAATATTAAGTCAGCTAAGATTATATCCTAAGTTCACCACACACCAGACAAGCTTCCACTAATCTTCAATGTCTTTGTAGCTTTACCTATTCCCCAGAGACAGGGTCTAATCTTTATAACATTAGCAGTTCATTTGTTATATCTGAAGTTCAAGAATTAAGGGAAATGGAGCACAGTAGTTTCCAGAGGCCTATATTTTCACTAAACCAAACTCTTCCACTATTCTGTGTTTCCTGTTTTCAAACACTTTTCATCCTTTTGTGAGGATCTGGTCCATTGAGATGTCTGAAATGTGCATCCTTTTGGTGTGCTTAACAAAAAAGCCCTGCATGGCTGGACCACTCCAGTCCATCCCTTGTGAATGAAGTTGAATGTACTTGAGTGACAAATGATGTATGAGCACCTTTCAAAAGAATGACACCAGTGATGGAGCTTCAGCATCACTCTGAACACTGAACCCTTCAAGATGCAATGGATCAATATCTACCAAGTCAAATGGGAACACAAATGCAAACCATTTAACATGCCAACAGCTCTATTTAAATAGCAAAAAAACAAAGAGAATAAGTGCATGCTTATGATAAGGTTTTAGTGGGCTTTTATTAACAAGTGAAGCCAAATCAGCAAAGCAAGTATTTATTAAGTACCCCCATGTGCAAAAGTGTTGATTGAAATGTTTATATCACTGTAGGACCCAGAAAGCTATTGCATTCACCGAGATGTATTCCTGCCTCCAAGCTTGGCTCCAGAGGACTTGAAGGAGATTGTCAGCTCCAATGTGAGATGGTCTCACTGAACCCTGTCTATCCCTAAACCACCTCAGGAGTCCTGTTGATGCACTTGGCCAAAGATCAGTGCTGAGTGGGAATCAGGAAGTTTTCTATGAGGGGTTGGGTCCAAAACAACAAATGTTGGATTAGATTAGCGTTTTTCAAATCACAGTTCACGAAATTAATTAGTGAGTCACAATCCAACACATTTTCTTAAAAAAATAGAGAAAAATTCTATTAAAATTATCAGCAGATTACAAATAGTATGCCTAAGCATTGTTTCATGAAATATATATTATGGTTTTGTAGGTGCAAAGTGTGTGTGTGTGTGTGTGTGTGTGTGTGTGTGTCCTAGGTTGTTATGTGACATATATTCTAATGGTGAGCAGTAGTCCAAAAAGTTTGAAAGCCACTGAATGATCTAGTAACATCTTTTCCAATACAAAGGTCATACAGTTGTCAAATTTTCTAATTTCTGTGTGATTTTAAGTTAATATGTGCCAATTATGCTTGTATATAAATTTTTTAAAGAGTGATTTTAGGTTCAGGTACAGAGATTTCCCATATACTCTCTGCCTCTGCATATGAATAGCCTCCCCCACTATCAATATCCCCCACCATGGTTGTACATTTATTACCACTAATGACCTATTTTGATCCATCCTTATGACCCAGTGTCCATAGTTTACATTAGGGTTCACTCTTGGTGTTCTACATTCTATGGGTTTAGATAAATGTATAATGACATGTATCCACCATTATGGTATCCTACAGAGTAATGTCACTGCCCTAAAAATTCTCTGTCTCTGCCTACTCATCCCTCTCTTCTCCTTAAACCCTGGCAACCACTGAGCTTTTTGCTGTCTCCCTAGTTGTACCTTTTCCAGAATGTTATATAGTTGGAATCATACAACATGTAGACTTTTCAGATTGGCTTCTTTCACTTGGTAGTATGCACCTAAGTTTCATCCATGCCTTTTCATAGTTTGACAGCTCGTTTCTTTTTAGGGCTGAATAATATTCCACTGTCTAAATATACCACAGTTTATGTATACTTTCGCCTATTGAATGTATACAAGCACCTTGGTTTCTTCAAGTTTGGGAAATTATGAACAAAGCTGCTATAAACATATGTGTGCAAGTTTTTGTGTGGACATCAAATTTTAATTGCTTTGGGTAAATATCAAGAAGTACAACTACTGGATCATATGTTTCATTTTGTAAGATACCACAAAACTGTCTTCCAAAGTGGCTGTTAAATTTTGCGTTGCTACCAAGCAATGAATGACAGTTCCTGTTGCTCCACATCCTTGCCAGCATTTGGTGGTGTAAGTATTCTGGGTTTTGGCCATAGTAATAGGTGTGTAATGGGATCTCATTTTTTCCATTTGCATTTCCTTGATGACATATGAAATGAAACATCTTTTCATATGCTTATTTGCCATTTTTATATCTTCTTTGGTAAGATGTCTGTTAAGGTCTTTGGTCCATTTTTTAATCTGATTGTTTTCTTATTGTTGAGTTTTAAGAATTCTTTATATATTTCAGATAACAGTCCCTTGTCAAATATTTTCTTTCAGTCTGTGGCTTGTCTTTTCATTCTCTTGACGGTGTCTTTCGTAGTACAGGAATTTTAAATTTTCATCAAGTTCAACTTATCAGTTCTTCCATTAATGAGTCGTGCCTTCAGTTTTATATCTAAAAAGTCATCATCAAACTGAAGATCATCTAGATTTTCTCCTATGTTTTCTTTCAAGAGTTTTACAGTTTTTCATTTAGGTCAGTGATCCATTTTTGAGTTAAATTTCTGTGAAGGATGTAAGGCCTATAAAAATTCTTACTTTTGCATGTGGGTGTCCAGTTGTCTCAGCACTATTTGTTCAAAAGATTTCTAGTTCCATTATATTGCTTTTGATCATGTGTTAAAGATCAGCTTACTATATTTATGTTGGTTCATTTCTGGGCCCTCTATTCCCACCCCTTGTCTATTTTTCACCAATACCACATTATCTTGATTATGGTAGCTTTATGGTAAGTCTTAAATTCAGATAGTGTCAGTCCTCCAATTTTGTTCACCTTCAATATTGTATTGGCTATCCTGGTGTTTTTTTTGTTTGTTTGTTTGTTTTTTTTTGCTTCTGCATGTAAACTTTAGAATCAGTGTGTCAATATCCACACAATAACTTGCTGAGATTTTGACTGGGATTATATTGAATCTATAGATCAAGGTAGGAAGAACTAATATCTTGACAATATTGAGTCTTCCTATCCATGAATATGGAATATCTCTCCATTTATTTAGTTCCTTTTTAGTTTCAGTTTTCTGGTTTTCCTCATAAAGTTTGTGTACAGGTTTTGTTATATTTATTTCTCAGCACAGTCGTCCCTTGGCATCCATGGATGTTGATTTCAGGACCCCCCACAGATACTAAACTCCAAAAATGCTCGTTTCTAATATAAAATGGTGTAGCATTTGCATATAACCATGCACATCCTCCTGTAGGTTTTGAATCATCTCTAGATTACATATAATACTTAATACAATGCAAATGCTAGGTAAATACTGTATTATACTATATTTCTATTTGTCTTGTATTTTATCGTTACTTTTTATTTTTTTAATGAGTATATTTAATCTGCAGGTGATTGGATTCACAGATGCAGGACTCGTAGATACAGAGAGCCAACTTTATTTCATCTTTTTGGATGCTAACATAAATGGTATTGTGTTTTAAATTTCAAATCCCACTTGTTCATTGCTGATATATAGGAAAGTGAACGATTTTTGTATGTTTACTTTGTTAACTTTGCATCCTGAAACTTTGCTATAATTGCTTTGCTTTTTTTCTTCTTCTTTTGACACAGAGTCTTGCTCTGTCACTCATGCTGGAGTGCAGTGGCATGATCTCAGCTCACTGCAACCTCCCCTCCCAGGTTCAAGTGATTCTCGTGTCTCAGCCTCCTGAGTAGCTGGGATTACAGGCATGCACCACCGTGCCCAGCTAATTTTTTCTTATTTTTGGTAGAGATAGGGTTTCGCCATGTTGGCCAGGCTGGTCTCAAACTCCTGACCACAAGCGATCTGCCCACCTTGGCCTCCCAAAGTGCTGGGATTACAGGCATGAGCCGTGATACCTGGCCTATAATTGCTTATTAATGCCAGAAATCTTTTTTGTGGATTCTCTCAGATTGTCTATATAGATGATCGTGTCATCTGCAAATAAAGATAGTTTTATTTCTTCTCTTCCAATCTGTATACCTTTTATTTCCTTTTCTTATTGTATTAGCTAGGACTTCCAATACAGTGTTGAAAAGCAGTGGTGAGAGGGGATATCTTCCCTTTGTTCCTGGTCTTAGAAGGAAGGCTTTATGTTTCTTGCCATTAAGTATAATGTTAGCTGTAGGTTTTTTGTAGAAATTATTTATAAAGTTGAGGAAATTCTCATTATTCCTAGTTTACTGAGAGTTTTTATCAGGAATGAGGCTTTAATTTTGTCAAATACCTTTTCTACAACAATTGATATGATCATATGATTTTTCTTATTTAACCTTTCGATGTGATGGATTTCATTAATTCATTTTAAATGTTGAAACAGGCTTGCACACCTGGGATTAATCCTAATTGGGTTTTGGTATATAATTCTTTTTATACATTATTAATGCAGTTGGCTAATATTTTGTTGAGGATTTTTGCATCTATGTTCCTGAGAGTTGTTGGGCTGTAGTTTTCTTTTTTTGTAATACCTTTGCCTAGTTTTGGAATTAGACTAATACCCAGCCTCATTGAATTAGTTAGAGTCAGAATACTCTCTCTGCTCCCATTTTCTGAAAGAGATTGTAGAGTATTGGTATAATGTCTTCCTTAAACGTTTGGTGGAATTGGCTAGGCATGGTGGCTCACGCCTGTAATCTCAGCACTTTGGGAGGCTGAGGTGGACAGATTGCTTGAGTTCAGGAGTTTGAGACCAGCCTGGGCAACAAGACAAAATGCTGTCTCTACAAAAAAATACAAAAATTAGTTGGGCATGGTGGCACATGCCTATAGTCCCAGCTACTTGGGAGGCTGAGGTGAGAGGATCTCTTGAGCTTGGGAGGATAAGGCTGCAGTGATCTTGCCACTGCACTCCAGCCTGGGCAACAGAGTGAGACATGTCTCAAAAATAATAATAATAATAATAGCAAAAGAAATTCTAAAATAAAATAAAACATTTGGTGGAATTTACCAGTAAACCCATCTAGGCCTGGTGCTTTCTGCCATGGAAGGTTTATTAATTATTTATTTAATGTATTTAATAAATCCAGGCCTATTCACATTGTTTATTTCTTCTTGTGTGAGTTTTAGAAGATTGTATCTTTCAAGGAATTGGTAAATTTATCTAGGTTATCAAATGTGGGCAGAGAGTTATTCATTGTATTCCTTTATTATTCTTTTAATGTCCACCGGATCTGCAATGATGTCACCTCTTTCATTCTTGATATTAGCAATTCATATCTTCTCTCATTTTTCTTAGACTGGCTAGAGGATTACCAATTTTATTGATCTTTTCAAAGAACCAGCTTTTGGTTTCATTGATTTTCTCTATTTCAGGTTTTCAATTTCTTTGATTTCTGTTCTAATTTTTATTTCTTTCTTTCTGCTTACTTTGGATTTAATTTGGGTAATTTAATTTCTGTTTATAACTTCCTAAGGTGGAAGCTTAGACGGTAGAGTTTAGATCTGTTTTTCCAATATATGCATGCATTCAATACTATAAATTTCCCTCCATGTACATTTTAACTGCATCCCCCAAATTTGGGTAAGTTGTATTTTCATTTCCATTTGGTTTAAAATATTTTTAAATTTATCTTGAGATTTCTTATTTCGCCCATGTCTTATTTAGAAATCTATTGTTTAACCTCATATTTGAGGATTTTCCAGCTATCTTTCTGTTACTGTGTTCTAGTTTAATTCTGTTGTAGCCTAACAGCAGACATTGTATGATATCTGTTTTAAAAAATTTGTTGAAATATGTTTTATGGCCCAGAATGTGGTTCTGTCTTGGTGAGTGTTCCATGGTAGCTCAGAAAGAATATATATAGTCAGCCCTTCATATCTGTGGATTTTGTATTCATGGATTCAATCAACCACAGATAGAAAATATTTGAAAAAAATTATGTTTGTACTGAACAAGTACAGACTTTTTTCTTTCATGTTTCCCTCAATACTATTAACAATTATTAATACTAATTATACTAATAATACTATTAACAACAATAATACTAACAACAACTATTTACATAGCATTTACCTTGTACTAGGTATGAGTAATCTAGAGATGATTTAAAGTATACAGAGGGATGCACCAATGTTATATGCAAATGCTATACCACTTTATATCAGGGACTTGCACATTCATGGATTTTGGTATTTGAGGGGGATCCTGGAACCAATCTCCCGTGGATACTGAGGGATGATTATATATTCTTCTGTTGTTAGATGAAGTAGTCCATGTCCATTATATCCAGTTGACTGGTGGTGCTATTTAGTTCAATTACACTCTTACTAATGTTCTGCCTGCTATATGTGTTCATTTCTAAAGGAGGGGTATTAAAGTCTCTAACAATAATGTGTTCATCTATTTTTTTGCCATTCTATCAGTTTTTGCCTCACATACTTTGAATCTCTGTTGTTAGGTGCATACACATTAAAAACTGTTACGTCTTCTTGTAGAAGTGACCCTTTTATCATTATATAATGGCCCTCTTTGTTTCTGATAACCTTCTTTGCTCTGAAGTAGGCTATGTCTGAAATTAATATAGTTGTTACTGCTTTCTTTTGATTAATGTGAGCATGATATATCTTTCTCCATCCATTTTCTTTTAATTCACATGTGTCTTTATATTTAAAGTGCATTTCTTATAGACAACACATACTTAGATCTTGTATTTTGATATACTTTGATACTCTTTTAATTGGTACATTTAGACCATTGGCATTCAAAGTGATCATTGATATAGTTGGATTACTATCTACCAAATTTGATAGTTTTGTTTTTATTGCCCTTGTTCTTCGTTTCTATTTTTCTCCTTCACTCTTTTTTTTTGCCTTTGTGGTTTTAATTGAGCATATTATATAATCTATTTTCTCTCCTTTTTTAGCATATCAGTTATGCATTTTTTTAGTTTAGAGGTTGCCCTAGAGTGTGCAATATACATTTATGACAAGTCCAAGTTCACTTTCAAATAACAATATAACAATATACTACTTCGAGGGTAGTGCCAGTACCTTATAATAACCAGATAATCCAAATTCCTCCCTCCCATCCTTTGTATTATTGCTGTCATGCATTTTACTTATATATAAATAAAAATATACATAATCAAATACATTGTTGCTTGTATTACTTTGAACAAATTGTTATACGTTAGATCACTTAAGATTAAGAAAAATAATGGTGTTTATTTTTCCTTCACTTATTTATTCTCCCATGCTTTCTCTTTCCTCATGTAGATATGAGTTACAGACTGATATCATTTTCCTTCTCTCTAAAGGACTTCTTTCAACATTTCTTGTAAGGTAGGCTTACTGGCAATAAAATCCCTCAATTTTTGTTTGTCTGATTAAGTCTTTATTTCTCCTTCACTTTTGAAGGATAATTTCACAGTGTACAGAATTCCAAATAGGTAGACTTTTTTTCTCTCAAACTTTAAATATTTTACTCCACTCTTTCTGTTTACATGGTTTCTGAGGAACAGTCAGATATAGTTCTTATCTTTGCTCATGTATAGGTAAGGTATTTTTTCCTCTGGCTTCTTTGGGGATTTTTTTTTATCTCTGATTTTATGTTGTTTGAAAATGATATGCTGAGGTTCAATTTTTCTGGCATTTATTCTGCTTGGTGTTCTCTGACTTTCCTGGATCCGTGGTTTGGTGTCTGACATTAATTGGGGGAAAATTCTAAGTCATTAATGTAACAAGTATTTCTTCTCTTCCCTTCTCTCTTTCTTCTCCTTCTGGTATTCCTGTTATGCACATGTTATACCTTCTGTAGTTGTCCCATAGTTCTTGGATATTCTGTTCTGGTATTTTTCAGTATTTTTTTTCTCTTTTCTTTTTGGTTTCGGAAGCTTGTATTGAAATATCCTCAAGCTGTTTTTTTTTTTTTTTTTACTCCCCCTGAGCTGTGTCCAGTTTACTAATAACTCCTTCAAAGGCATTCTTCTTTTCTATTACAGTGTTTTTGACCCCTAGCATTTCTTTTTGGTACTTTCTTTGAATTTCCATCTCTTTGCTTATATTGCCCATCTGTTCCTGCATGCTGTCTACTTTATTCATTTATCCCTTAGTATTTTAATTATAGTTGTTTTAAATTCCTTGTCTGATAATTCCATTAACACTGCCATATCTCAGTCTGGTTCTGGTGCTTGGTCTGTCTCTTCAAACTGTTTTTTTGCCTCTTAGTATGCCTTGTTGTTTTTGTTGACAGCCAGGCATGATGGACTGGGTAAAAGGAACTGCTGTAAATTGGACTTCAGTAATGGGTGGTAAGCTGTGTGGGGAGGGGAAGCATTCTATAGTCCTATGATTAATTAGGTCTCAGTCTGTTAGTGAGCCTGTGCCTCCAGATTATGAACTTCACAAGTTCTTCTCAGTTTTTTTTTTCACCCAAAGGTAGGACGGGAGGGCTAAAGTTAGCTGGAGTTTGACTTCAGCTCAGTTAGGCTCTGATAAAACCGCAACAGGTTAGGCTCTCTGATTAGTTTCTTCTGAGAGAAGATCTTGCTAAGAACAGGATGTTCTGGCGTTTTCAAAATGGTCCCTTCCCCTGACTCCCCACCCCTGCTGGAAGCACAGGAAGATATTTCTCTGACATTCACTGTGAGAAACTGGTAAAACACCAGTAGGTAAAACTCACAAAACTGTGGGGGCCCTTGATGCCTGGGGTCCCTTGGGGTTTTTATTTCTTAGACTTGTCCACACTAAGCCTCCAGCAATTCTTCAATCACAGTTCAGGTTTCCCTTCCCCAGCACTGGTTACTGCAGAGGTGTCTGCTCCAGTAAGTTGTGACTTCCTGTATTCACCTGATGGTCTCTCCAGTCTGGGGAGCAGAGGTTTGCCCTGTGACATCACTTCTCCTATGAATCTAAAACAGGCTGATTGTTTTTCAGTGTGTTCAGCTTTTTACTTATTAGACAAGGCAGCAACTTCCAAGTTTCTTACATGCTAAACTAGAAACTGTAAACCATACATAGTTTTAAAACTCAATTCAATAATTTTTTGTAAAAAATCAAAATTAGAAATGTTACTTCTTCCCTTCCAAATTTCCACTCCCTGGGGAAAGTAGGAAATGTTTACATTAATTTTGAGATAAGACAGACTAGTTTTCCACTTTATAGTTGTTTTTCTGATAGTGAGCTTCATAATTTCTAAATACCACGCTTATACTGTCTCAATTTTTTAATCTTAAATATTATTTTTTCCCAATGAAAAATGAGTATTTAACTCTCTCACAAAACACACACACACACACACACACACACACACACTTCCCCAATCGAATATCTAATTCCATTAATGTCATAATTATAGTTACATCAATATTCACTGTTTATATTATATGATTATATGACTATCATTTCCAGCTGAACATGTAGGCATAATATATTTCTTTGCTTGCTTTTTTTTTCTGTCCCTGGAGTTATTAGCAGCTTCTTTTTTATTTGTTTAGTTTTTTATGTCCATCTCTTATTTATATCTTGACTTTCAAACAGAACTATAAGTACTCTCTCAAAACTGTCAAATGCATCTGTTAAAATGTCAGTTTTATTACTTCTTAGAGACATCCTGCTTGGCCTCCTTAACCCTCTCGTGCCAATCTCTGAATTAGTGTTTCTCTTGACCTGCTTCTCTTCCATCATCCTGTTTTGTCCCTTTAACACCAGTCTGGGAACTGCCTGAGTTTTGCTCCTGTGTTGGGTGCCTTTCAGTATCTAGGACCTATGGCACCAACTTTCCCAGTTTACTTCTTCATTGAGTGGCATATTTCCTCCAGTAGTTTCTTGCAAAAAGGTGCACGTTAGTTAAATTTTTTGAGTTTTTATACCTGACTTTAACAACTGATTAAAAGTGTAAATAGGTATAGAATGCTGAGTTGGTAATCATTCTCCCTCAGCATTATAAGGAGATTGTTCCGTTGTTGTTGTTTTTACAGAGTCTCGCTCTGTCGCCCAGGCTGTCGCCCAGGCTGGAGTGCAGTGGCACAATGTCAGCTCACTGCAACCTCCGCCTCCCAGGTTCAGGCAATTCTCCTGCCTCAGCTTCCCAAGTAGCTGGGAT
The DNA here is from genome assembly GCF_000001405.40 of Homo sapiens. Taxonomy (NCBI): domain Eukaryota; kingdom Metazoa; phylum Chordata; class Mammalia; order Primates; family Hominidae; genus Homo; species Homo sapiens. The sequence continues at coordinate 106,705,965 of NC_000007.14, forward strand.
CACAGGCACTTGCCACCACGCCCAGCTACTTTGTATTTTTGATAGAGACAAGGTTTCACCATGTTGGCCAGGCTGCTCTGAAACTCCTGACCTCAAGTGATCCACCCTCCCTGGCCTCCCAAAGTGCTGGGATTACAGGCATGAGCCACCGCACCCCGCCTTTTTTTTTTTTTTTTTAGCTTCCAACATTGCTGTTGAGAAACCCAATGCTGTTCTGATTCCTGAAACTTTGCATGTGACTTGTTTTATTTTTCTTTCTTTCTGGAAGGTTTAACTTCTTCACTTTGTTCTCAGAAGTCTGAAAATTCATAACTATTTCTCATACTGCATTGTCCTCCCATCACTGTACCAAATACTTAATTAGAGAACTCAAGTCTTTCTGTTCTGGGTTTTTTTTTTTTTTTTTTTTTTTTTTGGTTCTACTTCTTAGTTAATTTTCTCTGTTTTCCTACCTCTTTATTTCTGGAACTCCTTTCCCTTGTCTAATTTTCTTGTCTATTTTCTCCTTTTTCTCATCTCTATTATTTTTCTGCCTTCTGAAAGATTTCATCTTTATCTTCTAAATCTTCTATTAAATTTTTCACTTTTGCTATCATGTACTTAATTTTTAAGAGTTTTTGTTGCTGTTCTCTGAATGTTTCTTTTCATATGCATTATCTTTTCTTACTTCTCAAATTTTACTTATAATTTTCTAGTATTTTCTGTTCCTTGCCTTAAACTGTGTACCCTGCAAGTCTTTTTTCTTCTGTTCTATACACTCTATTTTATGTTAAAGAGTTTGCTCAGGTATTCAGTGATACTTGGATCTTTGTTCATATGTAAGGATGAAGAACTGCAAAATAGAGGGTGAGTGGTTGGGGCTTTTGAACTTCACTGATAGATACAGACCCAGCCGTTTGCTGGGAATCCTCAATAATCAGTATCTGTTCATTTTTCTCTTGGATTGGTCAGTCTCCAGAAGAGAAATCCTTCAAATTCCTGCTTGGGATATATAAGCCTGTCTGTCAACATTTTCCTGGAGCTTAGTAGGAAAAGGCAGGCTACAGGGAGGAAGGATTCTCTCTGTTTAACACATAGCGTTACCTTGTTTCCAGGTGGTGCTCTGCCCACAGCTGTGTCTGTGTCTCTAAGGCCAGAGCCTTCCTGATTCAGAGTATCACCTCCCATCTTCTGCCCAGCTGGGAGAGGACAGTTGTCTTGTAAAGAACATGGGAAGGGAATCTAGGAGCCCAGCTGATTCTTCTTTGGAGTTGCAACCCAAATCACTCCCAGGTATAATTTCTGGATTTTTCTGAGGTTCTGCAGAAAAACTTTATCTTCCCCTAGGCAGTCCTCACTTCATTTAGTCTTAGGCTTTCTCTGGTCTCACCATTTGCTTTCATATTCCCCAAATTTTGGTGCAATTGTCTTCTCTTCCATTCTCCTTGTCTTTTAAGTTAATGCCTTTAAAAATTCCCTTTACTGATACTTCAGTGGAATTAGCAGAGATTAATAGATGCCATGTTTTCTTGGCTTTTTAAAAGATTAAATGTAATTCCATGTTTTATATATGATTTTCAAAAAATGAATTACCAATCGTAAATTACAACAGTATGCAATACACTTAGGGTGAATAAGATTAGAAGCTTAAATAAGGTTGATGTTTTGTACTGGTGATATTTTAAAATCCAATTTGGTATTAGATGATTAATATAGCACTTTTACCTAATTTATTAGAGAATTAGTTTAATTTCATTAAACTAGACAATCCTGTTTTATTCTCAACAATGGAAAAGTAGGATTATATAGAAGAATATATTCTTTCTTTCCTTCCTACCCTATCCCTATGGCATTCAGCCACACATAGATTACACAGACACTTTGTTCTCAAGCATAACTTGGGCTTCAAGCATAACGGAATATTCTTCTGAAAGAGAAGACAGATGACAGCAAAGTAGAAAACAAGTTGTCTAATGCATTTATTTGGTAGAGCCTGCTTTGCAGTCAGTCTGTATGAACTTTTGTATTGGGGAGAACTTGGGGTTGCTTTACTGGCATCCTTTTCTCACTGCATTTATATTAAGGTGACATCAGGAAGTGCTCCAGCTGCCATCAGGTACAGGGTGCTATGAAAGAAGAATGTGGATATAGGATAGAAAGAAAAATACCTGTCTCAGTGTCTGAACCACCTTATTAACAAAAACCTTCCAGAAGCAAAGGAATGATTTGGGCAAAACACCAGTAACCTAAGTGGAAAATAATTGTCATAAGGAAAAATGGGATAATAAGCACATCTCTCGACAAATCATTCTTTCTTTCCTTTCCTCTTTTTAGATGCACTGACTAGAGAGAGAAATGTTCTTCTCAATGCACTCATGATATAAGGTCTCTTACCCTGTCCTTCATTTGCCCTTAGAAAAGTTAGAGAGCGCCAAACAACCACGAATTTTATGACTCCACTCTTTCATCAAACATTATGGAAGGAGTTTAGGTAAACTTGATATCCTTTACTACCCGTCTACGAGATTCTTGTTTTTCAAAATAAACCCCTTTTCACAGATAAAGTCTGAAGTTTATGTAACCAGTCTAGCTATTCTGGGAAGCAACCTTGCTGTCTAGGTTAGATACACCCTGACCAGTGTGGATGGATGCACAGAGAATGTCCACCTGCGAGGAGGGGAAAGCCTGGAGTGTGAGGGAACACCAGCTCTGGGGACAAGTAAGTGCACATTCTGGCTCTGTCACTTACGAACCAGTTGATTTTGTTTGCATGCATGAATTTACATGTCCTTTCAACAGAAACAGAAAGCTATGTGATTTAATCACTTATTTTCTTTTGCCTTTGCTTCTAGAAATTTTGGAACTAAGTCCAGCACTCTGTTGTATCAGATGACTCATTTGAAGTAGCTCATAGTATCTCTTCCATTTGTTTCCTTAGATGATCTTTACTATGTTTGGTTGCCAATGTATCAATTTGTACTTCAATTATATTTTAAGCAAGAAGTCATCAGTTATGAATCTAAATGTCAACTCCCTTGATGTTCCTATAAACTTTCACTAATCCAGGCTGACCTGTCTCCAAGTGGCTCTTGATGCCACTTTACTATCTCTGATGATTTGTGCTAGGTGAGTGGTATGATGTGCTAATTTCATTTAATTTCATTTTTTATTTTATATAAAGATGATTTGGTGTTGATATTTTCAAGTCTGGGTTTTAAAGTTGCAGGGTTTTCTGAAAATGCCAAAGGGGAAGTACATCAAGCTATATGGCTTTCATTCTCTATCAGAAGAAATCCTACACATTCATAAATTAATAAATTTGACTTAGAAGTGCCATCAAGTATCTATTTCTATTCCTTCAAAGTACATGTGTAATTCACTCAAAAAACATTTATTGAATACCCATTATGTACCGGACCTGTACTAGTCTTTCAGAATACGGACATAAAAACAGCTCTTGGACGGTTCCAAGATGGCTGAATAGGAACAGCTCCGGTCTGCAGCTCCCAGCGTAATTGACACAGAAGACGGGTGATTTCTGCATTTCCAACTGAGGTACCTGGTTCATCTCATTGGGACTGGTTGGACAGTGGGTGCAGCCCATGGAGGGTGAGCCAAAGCAGGGTGGGGGCGTCACCTCACCCAGGAAGCACAAGGGGTCAGGGGATTTCCCTTTCCTAGCCAAGGGAAGCTGTGACAGACTGTACCTGGAAAATCGGGACACTGCCACCCAAATACTGTGCTTTTCCAATGGTCTTAGCAAATGGCACACCAGGAGATTATATCCCACACCTGGCTTAGCAGATCCCACGCCCACGGAGCCTTGCTCACTGCTAGCGCAGCAGTCCCAGATCAAACTGCAAGGTGGCAGTCTGGCTGGGGGAGGGGCATCTGCCATTGCTGAGGCTTGAGTAGGTAAACAAAGCAGCCTGGAAGATCAAACTGGGTGGAGCCCACCGCAGCTCAACAAGGCCTGCCTGCCTCTGTAGACTCCACCTCTAGGGGCAGGGCATAGCCGAAAAAAAGGCAGCAGACAACTTCTGCAGACTTAAACGTCCCTGTCTGACAGCTCTGAAGAGAGTAGTGGTTCTCCCACCATAGTGTTTGAGCTCTGAGAATGGACAGACTGCCTCCTCAAGTAGGTCCCTGACCCCTGTGTAGCCTAACTAGGAGACACCTCCCAGTAGGGGCCAACTGACACCTCATACAGCTGGGTGCCCCTCTGAGACAAAGCTTCAGAGGAAGAATCAGGCAGCAATATTTACTGTTCTGCAATATTTGCTGTTCTGCAGGCATCTGCTGGTGATACCCAGGCAAACAGGGTCTGGAGTGGACCTCCAGCAAACTCCAACAGACCTGCAGCTGAGGGACCTGACTGTTAGAAGGAAAACTAACAAACAGAAAGGAATAGCATCAACATCAACAAAAAGGACATTCACACCACAACCCCATCTGTAGGTCACCATCATCAAAGACTAAAGGTGGATAAAACCACAAAGATGGGGAGAAACCAGAGCAGAAAAGCTGAAAATTCTAAAAACCAGAGCACCTCTTCTCCTCCAAAGGATCGCAGCTCCTTGCCAGCAATGAAACAAAGCTGGATGGAGAAGGACTTTGACAAGTTGACAGAAGTAGACTTCAGAAGGTTGGTAATAACAAACTTCTCCAAGCTAAAACAGGATGTTTGAACCCATCACAAGGAAGCTAAAAACCTTGAAAAAAAGATTCAATGAATGGCTAACTAGACTAAACAGTGTAGAGAAGACCTTAAATGACCTGATGGAGCTGGAAACCATGGCACGAGAACTACGTGACCCATGCACAAGCTTCAGTAGCCAATTCAATCAAGTGGAAGAAAGGGTATCAGTGATTGAAGATCAAACGAATGAAATGAAGTGAAAAGAGAAGTTTAGAGAAACAAGTGTAAAAAGAAATGAACAAGCCTCCAAGAAATATGGGACTATGTGAAAAGACCAAATCTACGTCTGATTGGTGTGCCGGAAAGTGACGGGGAGAATGGAACCAAGCTGAAAAACACTCTTCAGGATATTATCCAAGAGAACTTCCCCAACCTAACAAGGCAGGCCAACATTCAAATTCAGGAAATACAGAGAACACCACAAAGATACTCCTTGAAAAGCACAACCCCAAGGCATATAATTGTCAGATTCACCAAGGTTGAAATGAAGGAAAAAATATTAAGGGCAGCCAGAGAGAAAGGTTGGGTTACCCACAAAGGGAAGCCCATCAGACTAACAGCTGATCTCTCAGCAGAAATTCTACAAGCCAGAAGAGAGTGGGGGCCAATATTCTACAATTTTAAAGAAAAGAATTTTCAACACAGAATTTCACATCTAGCCAAACTAAGCTCATAAGTGAAGAAGAAATAAAATCCTTTACAGACAAGCAAATGCTGAGAGATTTTGTCACCACCAGGCCTGCCTTACAAGAGCTCCTGAAGGAAGCACTAAACATGGAAAGGAATAACCAGCACCAGCCACTGCAAAAACATGCCAAATTGTAAAGGCCATTGATGCTAGGAAGAAACTGCATCAAATAACAGGCAAAATAACCAGCTAACATCATAATGACAGGATCAATTTCACACGTAACAATATCAACCTTAAATGTAAATGGGCTAAATGCCCCAGTTGAAAGACACAGACTGGCAAATTGGATAGAGTCAAGACCCATCAGTGTGCTGTATTCAGGAAACCCATCTCACGTGCAGAGACACACATAGGCTCAAAATAAAGGGATGAAGGAAGATCTACCATGCAAATGGAAAGCAAAAAAAAAAAAAGCAGGATTTGCAATCCTAGTCTCTGATAAAACAGATTTTAAACCAACAAAGATCAAAGAGACAAAGAAGGCCATTATATAATGGGAAACGGATCAATTCAACAAGAAGAGCTAACTATCCTAAATATATATGCACCCAGTACAGGAGAACCCAGATTCATAAAGCAAGTCATTAGAGACCTACAAAGAGACTTAGACTCCCACACAATAATAATGGGAGAATTTAACACCCCACTGTCAATGTTAGATAGATCAACAATACAGAAGGTTAACAAGGATAGCCAGGACTTGAACTCAGCTCTGCACCAAGCAGACCTAATAGACATCTACAGAACTCTCCACCCCAAATCAACAGAATACACATTCTGCTCAACACCACATTGCACTTATTCCAAAGGTGACCACATAGTTGGAAGTAAAGCACTCCTCAGCAAACGTAAAAGAACAGAAATCACAACAAACTGTCTCTCAGACCACAGTGCAATCAAATTAGAACTCAGGATTAAGAAACTCACTCAAAACCGCTCAACTGCATGGAAACTGAACAACCTGCTCCTGAATGACTACTGGGTAAATAATGAAATGAAGGCAGAAATAAAGATGTTCTTTGAAACCAATGAGAACAAAGACACAACGTACCAGCATCTCTGGGACACATTTAAAGCAGTGTGTAGAGAGAAATTTATAGCACCAAATGCCCACAAGGGAAAGCAGGAAAGATCTAAAATCGACACCGTAACATCGCAATTAAAAGAACGAGAGAAGCAGAAGGCGACAAATTCAAAAGCTAGCAGAAGGCAAGAAATAACTAAGATCAGAGCAGAACTGAAGGAGATAGAGACACAAAAAACCCTTCAAAAAATCAATGAATCCAGGAGCTGGTTTTTTGAAAAGATCAACAAAATTGATAGACCGCTAGCAAGACTAATAAAGACGAAAAGAGAGAAAAATCAAATAGACGCAATAAAAAATGATAAAGGAGATATCACCACTGATCGCACAGAAATACAAACTACCATCAGAGAATACTATAAACACCTCTATGCAAATAAACTAGAAAATCTAGAAGAAATGGATATATTCCTCCAAACATACACCCTCCCAAGACTAAACCAGGAAGAAGTTGAATCCCTGAATAGACCAATAACAGGATCTGAAATTGAGGCAATAATTAATAGCCTACCGACCAAAAAAAGTCCAAGACCAGATGGATTCACAGCCAAATTCTACCAGAGGTACAAACAGGAGCTGGTACCACTCCTTCTGAAACTATGCCAATCAACAGAAAAAGACGGAATCCTCCCTAACTCATTTTATGAGGCCAGTATCATCCTGATACCAAAGCCTGGCAGAGACACAACAAAAAAAGAGAATTTTAGACCAACATCCCTGATGAACATTGATGCAAAAATCCTCAATAAAACACTGGCAAACAGAATCCAGCAGCACATCAAAAAGCTTATCCACCATGATCAAGTGGGCTTCATCCCTGGGATGCAAGGCTAGTTCAACATATGCAAATCAATAAACATAATCCAGCATATAAACAGAACCAAAGACAAAAACCACATGATTATCTCAATAGATGCAGAAAAGGCCTTCAACAAAATTCAACAGCCCTTCATGCTAAAAACTCTCAATAAATTAGGTATTGATGGGACGTATCTCAAAATAATAAGAGCTATTTATGACAAACCCACAGCCAATATCATACTGAATGGGCAAAAACTAGAAGCATTCCCTTTGAAAACTGGCACAAGACAGGGATGCCTTCTCTCACCACTCCTATTCAACATAGTGTTGGAGGTTCTGGCCAGGGCAATCAGGCAGGAGAAAGAAATAAAGGGTATGCGATTAGGAAAAGAGGAAGTCAAATTGTCCCTGTTTGCAGATGACATAACTGTATATTTAGAAAACCCCATTGTCTCAGCCCCAAAACTCCTTAAACTGATAAGCAACTTCAGCAAAGTCTCAGGATACAAAATCAATGTGCAAAAATCACAAGCATTCCTATACACCAATAACAGACAAACAGAAAGCCAAATCATGAGTGAACTCCCATTCACAATTGCTACAAAGAGAATAAAATACCTGGGAATCCAACTTATAAGGGACGTGAAGGACCTCTTCAAGGAGAAATACAAACCACTGCTCAATGAAATAAAAGAGGACAGAAACAAATGGAAGAACATTCCATGCTCATGGACAGGAAGAATCAATATCGTGAGAATGGACATACTGCCCAAGGTAATTTATAGATTCAATGCCATCCCCATCAAGCTACCAATGACTTTCTTCACAGAATTGGAAAAAACTACTTTAAAGTTCATATGGAACCAAAAAAGAGCCCGCATTGCCAAGTCAATCCTAAGCAAAAAGAACAAAGCTGGACGCATCACACTACCTGGCTTCAAACTATACTACAAGGCTACAGTAACCAAAACAGCATGGTACTGGTACCAAAACAGAGATACAGACCAATGGAACAGAACAGAAGCCTCAGAAATAACACCATACATCTACAACCATCTGATCTTTGACAAACCTGAACAAAACGAGAAATGGGGAAAAGGTTCCCTATTTAATAAATGGTGCTGGGAAAACTGGCTAGCCGTATGTAGAAAGCTGAAAATGGATCCCTTCCTTACACCTCATACAAAAATTAATTCAAGATGGATTAAAGACTTAAATATTAGACCTAAAACCATAAAAACCCTAGAAGAAAACCTAGGCCATACCATTCAGGACTCAGGCATGGGCAAATACTTCATGACTAAAACACATAAAGCAATGGCAACAAAAGCCAAAATACACAAATTGGATCTAATTAAACTAAAGAGCTCCTGCACAGCAAAAGAAACTACCATAAGAGTGAACAGGCAACCTGCAGAATGGGAGAAAATTTTTACAATCTACCCATCTGACAAAGGGCTAATATCCAGAATCTACAAAGAACTTAAACAAATTTACAAGAAAAAAGCAAACAACCCCATCAAAAAGTGGGCAAAGGATATGAACAGACACTTTTCAAAAGAAGACATTTATGCAGCCAACAGACATATGAAAAAATGCTCATCATCACTAGTCATCAGAGAAATGCAAATCAAAACCACAATGAGATTCCATCTCACACTAGTTAGAATGGCGGTCATAAAAAATCAGTAAACAACTGGTGCTGGAGAGGATGTGGAGAAATAGGAATGCTTTTACACTGTCAGTGGGAGTGTAAACTAGTTCAATCATTGTGGAAGACAGTGTGGCGATTCCTCAAGGATCTAGAACTAGAAGTACCATTTGACCCAGTGATCCCATTACTTGGTATATGTCCAAAGGATTATAAATCATGCTACTATAAAGACACATGAACATGTATGTTTATTGAGGCACTACTCACAATAGCAAAGACTTGGAACCAACCCAAATGTCCATCAATGACACACTGGATTAAGAAAATGTGGCATGTATACACCATGGAATACTATGCAACCATAAAAAAGGATGAGTTCATGTCCTTTGTAGGGACATGGACGAAGCTGGAAACCATCATTCTGAGGAAATTATCACAAGGACAGAAAACCAAACACCACATGTTCTCACTCATCGGTGGGAATTGAACAATGCGAACACTTGGACACAGCATGGGGAACATCACACACCGGGGCTTGTCATAGGGTGGGGGTATAGGGGAGGGATAGCATTAGAAGAAAGACTTAATGTAAATGATGAGTTAATGGGTACAGCAAACCAATATGGCACATGTATACATATGTAACAAACCTCCTGCACGTTGTGTACATGTACTCTAGAACTTAATGTATAATTAAAAAAACAAAAAAACCAGCTCTTGCTTCTGAAAGATGCCACAGTCTATTGAGAAAAACAAATAAGAAAATAAGCAAGTGTGATAATGCCATAGTAAAATGCTAGGAGAACATGGATTTGGAGCCCACTGCTTCTAACAGGATCTGATGATTCTGAAATGATTTTAAATGTGTTTAGCTTTCATAGGTAACAGCTTTCCAAAGTATTTGAGCCAATATATTTTCTTACCTGCAATGTATGAGAGTTCTAACTATTCCACATCCTGGCCAACACTTGCTATTGTATGTCTTTGTAATTTTAGCCGTTCTGATAGATATGTCATGGTATCTCATTGTGGTTTTAATTTGCATTTCCCTGATGAGTAGATGTTGGTGAAGGCAATAGGTGGGAAAGGGTAGATGGAGGAAGAGGCATTATAGACAGAGAGACCAACATGTACAAGTAGACACAGAAACTAGAGAAAATATGTATCGTAGGTGCACAGGATAGCAAGAGACAAGGCAAGAGAGAACACAAGGAGGAGTATCAAAAGCCTTGCCCAACACACTGAGAAGGTTGAGCATCTCATAAAATCACTGGAAAGCTAGCCATAAAAATATTTTATAAGTAAGACATAAATGTAACCAGATCTATAGTTAAATGATCCCTCTAACAACAGTGTGGAAGACAAATTGGAGGAAGGAATACTGGAGGAAACGGCAAGGGAAGGAGGTAAGTAGGGCTTGAATAGAGGCAATGCCACCAAGGACATGCCAAGAGAGTGGTTTTTAAGGACATTTAGACAATAAAATCTACAGGTTTGGCTCAACACAGGAAATGAGGAGGATGAGGAGCACAAGATGGCACCCAGCATTCGGGCCTGGCAGACATGCTATACTTGAAATAGGGGTAGAATATCTAGAAACCAAGCAGTGTGTCCTGGAGGTCTGGTATTTGTTTACCTTACAAAACAGTTAAAAGGATTTTGTTTTCAAAGCTTAATTCATAGGACCACCAGAATTATATTTCCAAAGGGGCCCTGGGAGTTGAGAGAGGAGATAAACATAGTGTCTTGGTCTTTGAGAGCAGAAAAAAGGGTTCCTGGGGCAAATTCTGCACTGATGAAGAGGGCTGCCTTCACTATCTCTCCCAGAGAAGTGCTCCAAAGCTGGCAGAAGACCCTCAGTCAAAGGCAACACTGTACAGCAGAAGCAAAAGTACAAGATACCAACTTCTGTAGACTACATACAGGTCGTCAGCATGTGTGGGGTGGGTAAAGCCATGAAAACGAGTGAGCTTATGCTAGGATTGCTTAGACTGTGAGGAGAAAAGGGCCAAGATGATGGGAAGCATCAGTGTTTAACAGGTGGAAAGCCTGAAAAAGAATGTCCAGAAAGGCAAGAAGAGAGCCAGCAAAGAGCAATGTAATGGAAACCAAGGAGGAGAATTTTATGAAGGAAGTGATCAATATAGTCAAGTGCTGGAAAGAGAAGTTAAATAACATGAGGATTTTAAATAGTTAGAAAATCTTTAATGACTTTGCAGAAGCCACTTCACTAGGTTAATGGGATGTAAGCCTCATTATGGAGAGCTTTAGAGTAAATGAGCAATGATAAAGTGCAGAGAATGGTTTATATTATTTTGGGGGGTTAATAATGAAGTTGGAAAAATATAGGGTGATCTCTAAGAAGAATTACAAATTTAGGGGAAAGAACTTTCCTTTAATGTGGTAGAACCTGTAGCATGGTAAAAGGCTATGGAGAAGAAGCCAATGATAATAGGTTGAAAAAAATGGAAGAGAAAAGAAGCTAAGAAGTAACTGAAGCATTAGAAGGGAAATCTCCAGAGAAATCTAAGGATTGTCAACTATGCCAACTGTTTAAACAACTTCAAGAAACATAAGGACAGAGAACAGTCTACTGTATTTGGCAATTAGGGCATCAGTAAGAGTTGTTTTGAGAAGTTCACTTGAGTGTTGGGGACAGAAGCAGAGTACAAGGAGCTGAGAATCTAAGGGGATATGGGAAACTGAAGACAGAAAATTGAACACTACATTTTCAAAGCACTTGGCTGTGATTGGAAGAAGAAAAGTAAATTATTTAATCCTACCTATCATTTCTGCTAGGCCCATGGTCTCCTCTGAGTGGCCAGTATCCAGTGATCTTGCCCTGCTTATTGGACAGGAGTGGACACTAAGCCAAGGGAAGTTTACCTTATGGGCATAGCTGTCAATCAAAGGGGAGCACCCAAAGTAATGCACAATTTGCTTTTTCTTAGTGGATCCTCTTTCTGGGAGAAATTAAAAGTGTACTCACAGTTCAACGACAAATACACAGTGACACTACTGGAAGAGACTCATTTGTTTTTGGAGTTATGAAGCACTCTCCTTTTTCTTGGATTAATTTATCTCCATGGTAATTAACCAACAAAATTATGTTCAGAGATATAGTTTCTGTTAGATTGCCTTTCAGAGATTAGATCTTTCCTTTTCTACACTTCCCTTTATTTTGAGCCATGAATAGCAAAGCAAAGGACCATTAAGTATCCTATTAGCCAAATGCTTTAGTTTACACCATGATGATCTCAGAATACCTAAGTAATCAGTCAATACATTTTTTTAAAAGCCAAATAAGTTAATAATCTTAATGAAGTCTGACTTCATTAAGTCATTTTTGTAGTTCATTTTTGTAGTTTTTAGTGTAATTTAGAGACATAGCTCAAATCAACTTCCTCATTCTATAAGTAGAGGTACACATAATTATGCCCTTAAAGCTAATCAGGATTTTCAAAAGTCAAGCATACCATGGGCTGTGGCTTTTATTAGTCACAGCCTCCGGAAATGTTGATTCAGCTGAGTAGGAGGCAATGGGAGCATTCATTGTGACTTAGTTAATAGTCATGTGTGGGGGAAGGGTGCAGAACTGGGTAGAAGATGAAAGAAGATAAGCACATGTTTAAAAGAATTGCATTAAACAACTTTTTACTATGGTTAGAAAAGTAGCATTTGTTTTTTTCATGCTGTAATATGTTCAGCTTCATAATGAGTTGTGACATTTACAGCATTCTTTTAAAGATATCTGGGCAGAGCAAAGCCAGGGAGGAAATTACTGAGCATGACTACTGGCAACTGGTGATAAATACTTTCGCATTATTTAAAAATATTTAATGGCCACTGTCTTTATTGTGCAAGGTATACTACCATTTCATTATCATTTTTCAGATACGTGACTCAAGTTACCAAGTTGCCATGACTGCCTACTGGAGATGAAGGAAACAAAATCATCATTACTGAAAAATTCTTGAAGAAAAAAATGTTCATCAATTTGGAGATACCTGTCTTCCAGAATACTTGAGATTATTCTTTAAAAACAATTTTTACCACATATAAACAGAAGCCAAGGCTAACTCAAGATAAAAATTTAGGTCTTAAGGATCTTTCATGCCTGTAATCCCAGCACTTTGGGAGGCCAAGATGGGCATATTACTTGAGCTCAGGAGTTCAAGACCAGCCTGAGCAGCATGGCAAAATCCTGTCTCTACAACAAATATAAATATTAGCCAGGCATGGTGGCGAGTGCCTGTAATCCCAGCTACTCAGGAGGCTGAGGCAGGAGAATCACTTGAATCTGGGAGGCTGCGGTTGCAGCGAGCCGAGATTGCACCTCTGCACTACAGCCTGGGTGACAGAGTGAGACTGCATCTCAAAAAAGAAAAAAGATATACTTTGGGTGTGGATAGATGTAATATTTCTGAGAGAAAAGATCTTTTTTGCTCACTTTAAAAATTGTTCCTCCACCGCATCTCACCACTCCACAGCCTAAAATCACCTGATATTGATCCCTGTTCTATCCAGAGTATTAGTGATGTGTAGTATCTATTCAAAAAGTGCTCCAATACTGTCTTTGAGGTTTCCTCCCAGGCTACCGGCACCCATTCTGTAGCTTTTGCTGCTCTCAAATCTTGAGTTTACCAGAAATTGTCAATAAAAGTTTATTATACAAGAATCAGGACCATATTCCTTCCTCAAATGGCCCTTTAATGATTGTTGAATAAAATATCAAGGAGTTGCTGTGGTCTACTCATATCGTCCTAAAAACCAAGTTTGTACAAGTAGATAACAATCACTATGTTAGAACAACTTCTTGGCTGAAAGCAAGTACAAGACACCATTGATTATAAGACGCATCCCAATTTTAGACATGTTAACATGTGAAAACAAAAAACAGGCTTATCTTCAAGACATATTTTTAAACCTAGAAGAAGAGAAGGAAAAGGATGAGGAAAAGGAGAAGAACAAGAGAAAACTGTTCAAATAATCTAGATAAGAACTAAGGTACTAGTAGCAGAGAGAGAGAGAGAGAAGGGTTTGGACACAAGGCATATTTAGTAACTAGAATCACCAGGTCTTGGAACTGACGGGAAGTTGAGAAAGATGGCAACAAAGTATAGGAAAGCTATACAATTTCTAGGTCATATATCTGGATGGGAAGCAAATAAAAGATTAAGGGAAAATACTAGTTTAGTTTTGGATACACTATTTGACAACCAGATACAGATGTCCAGTAGGCAGTTGGATATATAAATCTGGAGCTTAGTAGAGTTGCCTAGTCTGCAGATATACAATTAGAAGACATTTATATGTGGTACTGGGTAATATTGCCCATCAATGGCCTATTGAATTTTTTTTAAGAAAAACATAAAAACCTCCAAACTAACCAGTACTGTATTGTCAGTATTCAGTTACAAGGAACAGAATCCACTGTAGCTGGTTTAAGAGGAAAGGGGTTTGTTACAGAATATTAAATGGCTTACTTTAAAAAGCTAATAAAAAAAGACTCCATTCTAAGGTTCTAGAAACAATTCCCAAAGCCACACTACAGAACTGGGTAGCTGAAGGAGCTGCTGCCTTAAAAATGATCAGGGATCTGTAAAATTAGCAAACTGCCATGTGAGAAATTACTAACACTACTTGCTTCCAAACCACATCACGTTCACTAAAATCTCCACCAGCAAAAATATGACCCTGTGCCTTGACTCTCTCCTCCTAGATTAACTGCAAATCTAAGTCTCATACAATGTATCTGTCTGATTGTCAGAAGGTAAATTATACCCAGAACTCTAGGACATTTGAAGAATGGCTTGCTTTGTTTTGCTTTGGCTTTGTGTGTTGAGCTTTCTGCCTTCCACATATTATAAGGAAGCTGAACTGAAACGTGTGGTGAGTGAGCCAGACCCTATCACCTACCATGAAGACCAAAAGCAGAACAATGGGGAACATGAACACTGAAAGTGTGAGAAGTTTGGCCATACCAAAGAAGGTATGGCCAGAGAGGTGAGCACCACAGTGAGTGTACAGCATGGAAGCCAGTGGAAAGGAAGCAGAAGAACAAAGCAGCACCAGAAGAAGCAAGGAGTGAAGAAAGGTCAATGTCAGAAGCTGCTAAGAAGTGAGCGTTTAAACAGCTGGATAATTTCTAAAGCAGGGGCCCATCCATGGCCTGTTAGGAAATGAGCCGCATAGCAGGAGGTGAGTGGCTGGCGATCGAGCAAAGTTTGATCTGTATTTACAGCAGCTCCCCATTGCTTGTATTAC
The DNA here is from genome assembly GCF_000001405.40 of Homo sapiens. NCBI lineage: Eukaryota > Metazoa > Chordata > Mammalia > Primates > Hominidae > Homo > Homo sapiens. Next base: position 106,721,140 of record NC_000007.14, read on the forward strand.
TGCCTAAGCTCACTTCCTTCAGATTTTAGGGGGCATTAGATGCTCATAGGAGCAAGGGCCCTAGTGTGAACTGTGCATTTGAGGGATCTGGGTTGTGTTCACCTTATGAGACTCTAACAAATGCCTGATGATCTGAGGTGGAACAGTTTCGTCCTAAAACTATTCCCCCCCAACCTCCCACCCCTTCCCATGGAAGAATTGTCTTCTGGGAAACCAGTCCCTGATGTCAAAAATGTTGGAGACTAAAGAGTATCTGATAGAGTTAGCAAAAACAAGGTCCTTTGGTGGCCTTGGCAAGAGCAATTTCAGTGAAGTGGTTATGAAGGATGCTTGCTTGAAATGGGTTAAAAAGTGACTGGGAAGGATAAACTGATTTCAAGTTTATCTTCCTCTTAAGTGTGAAGTAATCTGTTAGGGCCTGAGTTTTCCTCGTCTGTTAAAATGGATTTATGCGCACCTTGTATGTTTGTTTTATGTGCAACCTGATATGGCCAGGCATTCACCACTATGACGGAAATCAAAAGAATTAACCTCACTTTTGTACCTAGGATCTCCCCAAACACCTCCTGGTTGTTGGAATTTGGGAGAACCTAGTCATTCACTACCTCATTTCTTCCAGCTTCTTCCAAATTGAGAACAGACTCATGTGACCAATGGATATCAAAGTATCAGTTTTATTCATGGTAAAGCTGGAATGAAGAAAATAGTTTGGGCTTGAGGTCAAAATGCCTTTCCCTTGTATTGAATGTGCATTCCCAGCCAGGCAGAGGAGCTAGAGGGGACACTCTGCCCAGTCTATTTACCACACTGGAGATAAGATATGAGAAAGGTCCCAGTCGTTATCCATTTTTGAGGCAAGTAGCAGGAGAGCAAGAACCAAGAGTTAAGGCCATACATATACAGTGACCCCATCTGGCAGGAAAACAAGAGGAGGCACCAAGAAAGGAATGAAGAGAAAAATGGATACGTCCTTTATGATAATTCCTCAAGACTGTTAAAGCATTTCCAGAAACCATAGAGAGGAAGAGAGAGGTACTCCCAACCTAAGGGATGATCATGTCTCTCATGGCCCACAAACAAGATGTCTTTTACATCAAAATCCATGCATGGTGGAAGGGGAACATGACTAGGTCTTCATTTGCCACAAAAGTTCACAGGAGGAAGAATGGGGAAGTAGCCGACCCAACAGCCTTCACCATACCAAACACTTCAGACTAATAAGTAGATTCAGTTCTTCAAATAGGATACAGTTATAGTAGATATAGAGATATGGAGGTACCCAGATTCTCCTCCAAGGAAGGACTTGCTGCCAAGCAGCCATGAGTGCAAACAACAGTCTCCAGCTGACTTATTTTTCAGCATTTGCCTAAACTTCAGAGAGCTTTGAGATCCGACCTCACATATTCCCAAGCAGCCTGCATCTAGTGACTAATCGACACAGGGGTATACAATTCTGTCCATTTTGGTCAGATGTGAGACAACTCTGTTGTGAAATATTTGTTCTGGAGCTTCCATTCAGGTTTGCTGAGGCTTTTTTGGACCTGAATTCACCTTTACCCTCATCCTGCTTCTTTTCCCTTCCTTTTACAGATGCTAATCTCCAAAAAATATTTGACATCCTAAACTCTATCTCTGTATCAACTTCCAGACAATCCCATCTACAACAATATTGTAGTGCAAATAAAGAATAAATTCATGGTGAACATAGCTGTTTCCTTTTACCTCCCCAGAGAAGCCTTCTAGAGTAGCTTTTTTTTTTTTTTTTTTTTTTTGAGATGGTGTCTCGCTCTGTCACCCAGGCTGTGGTACAGTAGCACGATCTCAGCTCACTGCAACCTCTGCCTCCTGGGTTCAAGCGATTTTCCTGCCTCAGCCTCCCAAGGAGCTGGGACTATAGGTGTGTGCCACCACGCCTGGCTAATTTTTTGTATTTTTAGTAGAGACGGGGTTTCACCGTGTTAGCCAGGATGGTCTCAATTTCCTGACCTCGTGATCTGCCGGCCTTGGCCTCCCAAAGTGCTGGGATTAGAGGCGTGAGCCACTGTGCCCAGCCGGGACTAACTTTTATAAAGAGGCTGCCTCCTCTCTGCCTGCTAACCTGTACTCCAACCTCTCAGCCCCAGTTTGATTTCAGATATCCCAGTACCCAGTCTCCCCTTTAAGATTCTCTGTTTGATGACTCAACTCACCTCCTTCCGAAAAATCCATGTTCTCCTGTAGGAGGCTGTGCCACCCCTAGAGGCATCCCATGTTTGCTATTACACACAAAGCCTCACAACTAAGTAGTCAGATGCTTGTCAAGGCTCTCCTCTGTCAATTAACACTGGCCTCTGAAGGTGCAGAACAGAAGAGGTTGGGTTCAAACTGTGAGCAAGAGTGAACACAAGAGCTCTAAGCCCCGTTTGGAGTTTCCACTAGAGAGAACTGTGACATATCTAGTGCCTATGACAGAAATACTCCCTATCAAGATGAGCCAGACAAGGTCTAATCTTGTGCTGAGAAAACAATCATTCTCCTATCAGCATGGTGTTGCCCTTCTCCTTTCTGGAACAATGGACACATTTTCTGTCTTGTTTGAGCAAAACTATACCACAGAAAAAAATTGTGTCAGTCTTCATTGATTGATCTCTTTATCATTCAGATGAAATGGAGTCAGCTCTATGCATGTTCCAATTAAACTCTATGTGGGGGAAACTGTTGGGGGCCAGGAGAGCTTCTGAATTTCCCTGCTACTCTAAGATCAGAGTTAATGTAAACAAAGAACTTAGCACATTGCCTGAGACATAATAAGTGCACTTTAATTATTTTTTGCTTTGAAAGGTGAATAAGTTAAACTACCTCTATTTACAAATGACATAATCTAATACATAGAAAATGTTAAGAAATACACTAAAAACACAATTAGAACTAATAAACGAGTTCAGCAAAGTTGCAGAATAAAAGATCAATTTACATCAAAGGTGAGGGTGAAAAGGGACAAAAAGATCAATTTACAAAAATCAACTGTGTTTCAATAATAATGGGAGAGTTTAACACCCCACTGTCAACATTAGACAGATCAAAGAGACAGAAAGTTAAAAAGGATATCCAGGAATTGAACTCAGCTCTGCACCAACTGGACTTAATAGACATCTACAGAACTCTCCACCCCAAATCAACAGAATATACATTCTGCTCAACACCACGTCACACTTATTCCAAAATTGACCACATAGTTGGAAGTAAAGCACTCCTCAGCAAACGTAAAAGAACAGAAATTATAACAAACTGTCTCTCAGACCACGGTGAAGTCAAACTAGAACTCAGGATTAAGAAACTCACTCAAAACTGCTCAACTACATGGAAACTGAACAACCTGCTCCTGAATGACTACTAGGTACATAACGAAATGAAGGCAGAAATAAAGATGTTCTTTGAAACCAGCGAGAACAAAGACACAACACACCAGAATCTCTGGGACAAATTTAAAGCAGTGTGTAGAGGGAAATTTATAGCACTAAATGCCCACAAGAGAAAGCAGGAAAGATCTAAAATTAACACCCTAACATCACAATTAAAAGAACTAGAGAAACAAGAGCAAACACATTCAAGAGCTAGCAGAAGGCAAGAAATAACTAAGATCAGAGCAGAACTGAAGGAGATAGAGACACAAAAAACCCTTCAAAAAATCAATGAATCCAGGAGCTGGTTTTTTGAAAAGATCAACAAAATTGATAGACTGCTAGCAAGACTAACACAGAAGAAAAGAGAGAAGAATTCAATAGACACAATAAAAAAATGATAAAGGGGATATCATAACCGATCCCACAGAAAGACAAACTACCATCAGAGAATACTATAAACACCTCTACACAAATAAACTAGAAAATCTAGAAGAAATGGATATATTCCTCCAAACATACACCCTCCCAAGACTAAACCAGGAAGAAGTTGAATCTCTGAATAGACCAATAACAGGCTCTGAAATTGAGGCAATAATTAATAGCCTACCATCGAAAAAAAGTCCAGGACCAGACGGATTCATGGCCAAATTCTACCAGAGGTAAGAGGAGGAGCTGGTACCATTCCTTTTGAAACTATTCCAATCAATAGAAAAAGAGGGAATCCTCCCTAACTCATTTTATGAGGCCAGCATCATCCTGGTACCAAAGCCTGGCAGAGACACAACAAAAAAAAAGAATTTTAGAACAATATCCCTGATGAACATCGATGCAAAAATCCTCAATAAAATACTGGCAAACCGAATCCAGCAGCACATCAAAAAGCTTATCCACCATGATCAAGTGGGCTTCATCCCTGGGATGCAAGGCTAGTTCAACATACGCAAATCAATAAACATAATCCAGCATATAAACAGAACCAAAGACAAAAACCACATGATTATCTCAATAGATGCAGAAAAGGCCTTTGACAAAATTCAACAGCCCTTCATGCTAAAAACTCTCAATAAATTAGGTATTGGTGAGACGTATCTCAAAATAATAAGAGCTATTTATGACAAACCCACAGCCAATATCATACTGAATGGGCAAAAACTAGAAGCATTCCCTTTGAAAACTGGCACAAGACAGGGATGCCTTCTCTCACCACTCCTATTCAACATAGTGTTAGAAGTTCTGGCCAGGGCAATCAGGCAGGAGAAAGAAATAAAGGGTATTCAATTAGGAAAATAGGAAGTCAAATTGTCCCTGTTTGCAGATGACATGATTGTATATCTAGAAAACTCCATCATCTCAGCCCAAAATCTCCTTAGGCTGATAAGCAACTTCAGCAAAGTCTCAGGATACAAAATCAATGTGCAAAAGTCACAAGCATTCCTATACACCAATAACAGACAAACAGAGAGCCAAATCATGAGTGAACTCCCATTCACAATTGCTTCAAAGAGAATAAAATACCTAGGAATCCAATTTATAAGGGATGTGAAGGACCTCTTCAAGGAGAACTACAAACCACTACTCAACAAAATAAAAGAGGATAGAAACAAATGGAAGAACATTCCACACTCATGGACAGGAAGAATCAATATCATGAAAATGGCCATACTGCCCAAGGTAATTTACAGATTCAATGCCATCCCCATCAAGCTACCAATGACTTTCTTCACAGAATTGGAAAAAACTACTTTAAAGTTCATATGGAACCAAAAAAGAGCCCGCATTGCCAAGTCAATCCTAAACCAAAAGAACAAAGCTGGAGGCATCACGCTACCTGACTTCAAACTATACTACAAGGCTACAGTAATCAAAACAGCATGGTACTGGTACCAAAACAGAGATATAGACCAATGGAACAGAACAGAGCCCTCAGAAATAATACCACACATCTACAACCATCTGATCTTTGACAAACCTGAGAAAAACAAGAAATGGGGAAACGATTCCCTATTTAATAAATGGTGCTGGGAAAACTGGCTAGCCATACGTAGAAGGCTGATACTGGATCCATTCCTGACACCTTATACAAAAAGTAATTCAAGATGGATTAAAGGCTTAAATGTTAGACCTAAAACCATAAAAACCCTAGAAGAAAACCTAGGCAATACCATTCAGGACATAGGCATGGGCAAGGACTTCATGTCTAAAACACCAAAAGCAATGGCAACAAAAGCCAAAATTGACAAATGGGATCTAATTAAACTAAAGAGCTTCTGCACAGCAAAAGAAAATACCATCAGCGTGAACAAGCAACCTACAGAATGGGAGAAAATTTTTGCAATCTTTCCATCTGACAAAGGGCTAATATCCAGAATCTACAAAGAACTCAAACAAATTTACAAGAAAAAAACAAACAACCCCATCAAAAAGTGGGCAAAGGATATGAACAGACACTTATCAAAAGAAGACATTGAACACGCCTGTAATCCCAGCACTTTGGGAGGCCGAGGCGGGCAGATCACAAGGTCAGGAGATTGAGACCATCCTGGCTAATACAGTGAAACGCCGTCTCTACTAAAAATACAAAAAATTAGCCAGGCAAGGTGGCAGGCGCCTGTAGTCCCAGCTATTCGGAAGGCTGAGGTGGGAGAATGGCGTGAACCCCGGAGGGGCGGAGCCTGCAGTGAGCCAAGATTGCGCCACTGCACTCTAGCCTGGGAGACAGCGAGAATCCGCCACAAAAAAAAAAAAAAAAAAAAGAAAGACACTGATGCAGCCAACAGACATATGAACAAACCTGCATGTTGTGCACATGTACCCTAAAACTTAGAGTATAATAAAAAAAAATGCTCATCATCACTGGCCGTCAGAGAAATGCAAATCAAAACCACAATGAGATACCATCTCACACCAGTTAGAATGGTGATCTTTAAAAAGTCAGGAAACAACAGGTGCTGGAGAGGATGTGGAGAAATAGGAACACTTTTACACTGTTGGTGGGACTGTAAACTAGTTCAACCATTGTGGAAGACACTGTGGGAATTCCTCAAGGATCTAGAACTAGAAATACTGTTTGACTCAGCCATCCCATTACTGGGTAGATACCCAAACGATTATAAATCATGCTGCTATAAAGGCACATGCACACGTATGTTTATTGCAGCAGTATTCACAATGGCAAAGACTTGGAACCAACCCAAATGTCCATCCATGATAGACTGGATTAAGAAAATGTGGCATGTATATACCATGGAATACTATGCAGCCATAAAACATGATGAGTTCATGTCCTTTATAGGGACATGGATGAAGCTGGAAACCATCATTCTCAGCAAACTATTGCAAAGACAGAAAACCAAACACCGCATGTTCTCACTCACAGGTGGGAATTGAACAATGAGAACACCTGGACACAGCAAGGGGAACACCACACACCAGGCCTGTTGTTGGGTGGGGGGAGGGGGGAGGGATAGCATTAGGAGATATACCTAATGTAAATGATGAGTTAATGGGTGCAGCACACCAACATGGCACATGTATACATATGTAACAAACCTGCACATTGTGCATGTGTACCCTAGAACTTAAAGTATAATAAAAATATATTTAAAAAATCAATTGTGTTTCTATACATTTGCAATGAATACACTAAAAATGAAATTAAGAAAACAAAATCTGTTTACAATAGCATGAAAAAGAATAAAATACTTAGGAATGAATTTAACAAAAGAAGTACTAAACTTATACTCTGAAAAATACAAAACATTGCTGAAAGAAATTAAAGAACACCTAAATAAATGGAAAGTCACCTCATGTTCATGGATTGGAAAATTTAATATTGTTAAGATGGCAATACTCCCCAAACTGATCTACAAATTCAACACAATTCCCATCAAAATTCTGGACCAATAATCTGATCCTAAAATTTATATGAGAGCGCAAGAAACAGAAGAGCTAAAACAACCTTGAAAACAAACAACAAAGTTGGAGGATTCACGCTTCCCCATTTCAAAACTTACTACAAAATCTACAGTAATCAAGACAGTGTGGTATTGGCATAAGATAAGACATACAGATTAATAGAATGAAATTAAAAATCTATAAGTAAACTCACACTTACTGTCAATTGATTTCCAACAAGGGAAATTTTTTCCCATTGAATTGATTTCCAACAAGGGAAATCAATTCAATGGGAAAATAAAAGTCTTTCCATAAATGGTGCTGACACAATCTGAAAAAAAAGAAGTTAGATCCTACCTCACATCTGTATAAAAATCAACTCAAATAGGATCCAATAACTAAGTGTAAAAGCTAAAACTATAAACTTCTTAGAAAAACAGAGGTAAATCTTCATGACCTTGTAGTAGGCAATGATTTCTTAGCTACGACACCCAACATATAAGCAACAACAACAAAAAAGAATAGGTAAATTGGATATCATAGCATTTAAAAAAAAAACTTTCCTGCTTCAAAACACACAATTAAGAAATTAAAAAGGCAACCCATAGGATGGGAGAAAATTTCTGCAAATCATATATCTGATGAAGGACTTGTGTGTGGAATATATAAAGAACCCTTACAACTTAACAATAAAAAGACAAATAATTTTCAAAAAAGCAAAGAACCTGAATAGACATTTTTCCAAAAAAGATATATAAATGGCCAATATGCACATGAAAAAAATGATCAACTTCATTAGCCTCAGGGAAATGCAAATCAAACCTACAATGGGCTGCTATTTCATGCAGATTATGATGGTTCTAATCAAAAAGTTAGATAATAACAAGTTAGCAAAAATGCAAAGAAATTGGAACTCTCATGCACTCCTAATGGAAATGTAACATAGTACATCTTTTGGAAAACAGTCTGGCAATTTTTCAAATAATTAAATATAGTGCTACCATACAGCTCAGCAATTCCCCTCCTAGGTATATACCCAAGAGAAATAAAAACATATGTCCACATAAAACCTTGTGTGTGAATATTCATAGTAGCATTCTTAATAATAGGCAAAAGTTAGATATAACCCAAATGTCCATCAACTAATGAATGTATAAATAAAATGTGGCATAAGCATACACTTGAATATTATTCAACCACAAAAAGGAATGAAGAACTGATACATGACACAGTGTGGATGAACCTTGAAAACGTTATGTTAAGTGAAAAAAGACAGTCACAAAGGATTATATATTGTATTATTCCATTATATTTAATGTCCAGAATATGGAAATTCACAGAGAAAGAAAGTAGGTTTGTGGTTTCCTAGAGCTAGGAGCAATGGGGGAATGAGGACGGATGGCCAAGGGATTTCTCTTTGTGGTGATGAAAATGATTTAAAATTTATTGTGGTGATGGTTGCACAACTCTGTGAAAATACTAAAAACCAGTGAATTGTACGCATTAAATGGGGAAATTGTATGTTATCTGAATTATGTGTTAATAAAAACTTTTTTAAATTATTGATTTAAGACTGAGTAAAAGAAGTGGTTATGGATATCAGGTTATGGGTTTAAATAAGGTCATTGGCTGAAGTCAAAAAGTTGAGGAAATTCCCAACTAGAAACCTCAACTTCCTCACTGAAATAGAAGGCAAATCCATCTGCCAAGTAGGAGTTTATAATCAGATAATGGTACATCAGAGGTAAAGACTGCAGAGGTGGTACAGTTCCAGGTGATGACAGGTTCCAAGGTGTGTCATGAAAGTGAGTGGCTAAGCTGGAGAAGAGGGAGAGGGGGTGGAGGCCCAGGAAGTGACAAAGCTTAATACACCTCACAAGTACTTGTTGAATTGAATGAAAGAATTACTTCCCCTGCCAGCACTGTATGATACATTAAGGCCTCAGTGTTACTTTAATCATCTTGGAAATTGTCACCATGTTTGCCCTAAGTAAGTTTCTTTCTTTTTCTACTAAATTTAGGGATAGGCGTATGAGTTTCAATGGAGACCATACTCAAGTTACCTCTCACCTATGGATGAAAAAAGGAAAGAAAAAGAAATTGGGGTTTTCTAAGTGTACTATGATTACACTGAGAGTATAAAAACTACTTAGGAGAATAAGCTTCTAGAAATTTAGAATGAAAACAATGCATACGCAAAACAATAAATAAGATACTAAACACAATTAACTACTGATTCAAGAAATTCACCTAAGACCTACTTTCTTTGTAGCCCCAAGTTCAGTAGAGTCAGAGGGAGGATTTCTGGGAACCCCAAACGCCTTTTCCTTGCATTCCCCCTCTGATCCAGAAGATCTTCTCAGGTCCCAGCTAATCTTTCCATTGAGGCCACCATTCTCTCACCTGTAGGGTCCCTATACCCCCCTATGTCATAGAAAGGTTTAGAGCTGAGCATCATCCCCCCATTTTCATTGCCCCCATACCAGTCCCCTCTACTAACACAAACATACAATGATAATAAAGGTTCAGGGCAAAATATAGAAACCTATCTATTTGTATTAAGCACAAAGGAATTTAATAAAGGAAATTGGGTGTTTACATATGAACTAGAATGGCTGGAGGAGCAGGCTCAAGGTTGGGCCCCCAGGAATAACTCCTAGAACAATGCAGAACTGACTATCCAGGCAAGCTACTTGCTCTGCAGCAATCAGGATGGTGAGTAGCCAGCAGGCTGACACTGGAACTTTTGAGTTCATGAACCCACAAGGATAGCTGTGTCCCAGGATCAGAAAGTCAGGATCGAGAAGCTACTGCTGCCACACCACAACTGCCTATAACCATCTATGAAGCTAATGTCTGAACACTAGAACACCACTTCAGAAAAACGTGAGATCTTGGAGATGGTCCAAGATCTTGTTCACACACAGAAAAACAGACAATAGAAGGAAGGTGGCTTCTGTTTCACTTCTGCTTTCTACATGTAAAACAAAGCGTATTTAATAAATTCATCCAAAGGAGTCAGGGAAACGTGGTTTCCAGCATTCAAAAAAAGAGCTGGAAATGGCTGAGTGCCAATCAGCTATATCCAGCATACAAACACACTATAAATGCATACATGTGCATATGTGTACACACACGATCCCAGATGACAAGATTATTGGCCCTTTTTGTTATGTGAATTTTTGTAATAACCCCAACAGAAAATAGAAAATAATACAAATGAGAAACATGGAAAATTACAAAAGTCCCAAAATTTCACATAGGCTATAGAGTCTTGGCCTCTACAGTCACTGGTTACCGACTTCCTCTAAGGAATTAAGTGCATGTCCTATGGGCAGCCCTGTGGTTTTAATTATCTTGAGGTTCAGGCTCACCAGTGCTCTCTAGTACTCAATAATAAGGAGTCTGACTCCATTGTTGATGTTTAACAGCTGACAGCTGTCAAGCCCTGCCACGCCTCCTTCCTTTTGTGCCCCACATCCAAGCAAGCTGATAAAAAAAAAAATTTAAAAAAAGAAAAAAGAAAAAAAGCCTTGGTGCTCCTTTGGCACCGATGGGAAATTCAAACCATACAAACGTTGGCCAGCATGAGGAAACCAGCAACCCAGCCTCACTCCCTAACTATTATAAAACCCCAAGCAGGGAGGTTTCCCCTCCCTGCTCTTTCAAGGCATTTTCAGATCTGCTTGGGAGCCTGCCCTGTTCCCTCTAGAAAACCTCATTACATGTGCAATAAACCTTCCATCCCCTCTTTGTGTATGTGTGGCATCATGAGTCTTGACATCTAAACCAAATTTTGTGTGGGAGGTCCATCTCACCACCGAGGGATACCACAAGAGGTTCCACCCCACAACTCGCCACCAAAACACTCCCATATCATACATTTCTGACCCCATCCTTTCTCCCTCATGATCCTTTCTCCTACCTACTGATACCGTCCAGGCAGAAGGGTGTGTCTCTTTGTATTCAGTGGAGACTTGGCTTCTCTGCAGGACAAGATTGGGTGAAGCTCAATTTGCCAGAGCTCTGCTTTGCCCAGCGAAGTTTCTTTCAGAGCACTTCCTCCCAAAGACCGTGTTAACCTTTCTCCCTATTGTCAAATCTTGATTATCGCCTCATGCCCATGTGAAACTCCCTTAGTTGATAATTTCATCCACAATTGCTTGCTGCTGTCGTTGGTGTCTGTTCTCTCTGCTCTGCTCTGCTCTTTTGGAGCTTTGATGCCTGGCTTAGCACCTTTGCCCACCTAAAGACTCCTTTGACCCTGGAATATGAGTGATGATACTCTCAAAGACATTTAATTTCAATGATATTCACCTTGCAAACTACTAACACCACCATCCTGCCTCTCATCACTGTCATCACTTTCAGCCGAGATTCAGACATCTCCAGTCATTTGTCTGCTCCCATACTTTCTTCTTAATACTGCTCACTTTGTCTGGTATCAACTGCCCTTAGACATCTTCATTTGGATAACTCCTTCTCATCCTACTGGACTCAGAGCTTTCTGTTCTTTGTCAGGGCTATCACTGCCTTTCTATTGTCCCCATTATACAAAATACATTAAAAATAACAGGAATTGTAAATTGGCATCTTACAGTCTGCCTCTGGCTAGAAGCTATATTTTATTTGGCCAGCAATGGGTTTTTGAAAAAACACATTTTTCCGAAAGAATTCAAAGCAGGATCTCAAAAAGATACTTGGATGGCCATGTTCCTTGCAGTATTATTCACAATAGCCTAGAGGTGGAGGCAACTTGAATGTCCATCCACAGATAAATGGACTAACAAAATGTGTTATATACAGAAAATGAAATAGTATTTCACCTTTTAAAAGAAGGAAATCCTGTCACGTGCTACACCATGGATGCACTTGGAAGACATTATACTAAGCGAATTAAGACAGTCATAAAAAGACAAATACTGTATGATTCCACACATATGAGTTATCTAAAGTAGCCAAATGCATGGATACAGAAAGTAGAATGTTGGTTGGCAGGGGCTGGTAAGAGGGGGAACATAGGGAATTGTTGTTTAACATGTATAAAGTTTCAGTTTTGTGAAATGAAAAAGTTCTAGAGATCTATTGCACAAGAATGGGAATATACTTTATACTACTGAACTGTACACTTAAGATGATAAATTTTATATATTTTTATCATAAGTAAAAATAAAAAAACAAAACTTCTAAAATTTGAATGCTTTTAGAGGGACACTCTACTTCACCTGAGGCCCAACACTAGCCTGATTTACGAGTTTAAATGAACTTTCAGGCCCCCATAAACATTAATTTTGAGTTTGGAATAATGAGAGAATTTAAAAATGAAATAAGATGAACCTGGAGTTCTTATTAAATAGGAATGTGGGATTTAACATTGAGAATGATTCCTTTGTTTGGCAAACATTCATTGAACTCTAGCACCTGGCACTTGCTAGGTACTCCAAATACAAAAGTGATCATCTCAGTTCCTGCCCTCAAAGATTTTATATTCTAAGCAAACTGAATTACAGTATAGTTTAATAAGCATTGTGATCAAGGGCTGTGCAGGTTATCAAGTGCTCCCTCCACAGAAAGGAAGAGCTATGAGAACTGGTAAGATGGGCATGGGAGGATGAAGAAAGATAACCAAAAGGGGCATCTCCTAAACTGAGCATTGTAGGATGAATAGGAGTTATCCAGGGACAATCACATATTTGAGAATTTTCCATTTCTTCTTACGTTGTTGATTTCTAGTTTCATTGCATTGTGGTTAGAAAAGATACCTGGTATGACTTTAGTCTTCTTAAGTTTGTTGAAACTTGTTTTGTAACCAAACATGTGATCTGTCCTGCAGAATGTTCTATGTACACTTGAGAAGAATGTGTTCTGCTGCTATTGGATAGAATGTTCTATGTATGTCTGTAAGATCCATCTGGTCCATGGTATTGTTTCAGTGCAGCACTGTTTTCTTATTTATTTTCTGTCTGAATGTTCTATTGTTGAAAGTGAGGTATTGAAGTCCTCCACTACTATTGTATTGCTATGTCTCCTTTCAAACCTGTCAATGTATGCTTTATATATTTAGGTGCACTTATGTTAAGTGCATATACATTTATAATTGTTATATCTTCCTGATGAATTGTCCCTTTTATCATTATATAGTGACCTTTTTTGTCACTTGTGATAGTTCTTAAGGTCTATTTTGTGTGATATAAGTATAGCCAGCCTGCTATCTTTTGGTTACGTTTGCATGGAATGTCTTTTTCCATCTCTTCACCTTCAGCTTATGTGTGCCTTTGATTCTAAAGTGAGTCCCTTGTAGACAGCACATTGTTAGATCTTGTTGTTTCATCTACTCAGCCACTCTATGTCTTTTGATTAGGAGTTTAATTCATTTATATTTAAAGTAGTTATTTATAAGTAAGGATTTACTACTGTCATTGCTTTCTGTTTTGTATTTCTTTTGTTTCTCTTTCCCTTTTTTCTGTTTACCTTTGTGATTTATTGACTTTTTATAGTGATTTGCATTGATTCCTTTCTCTTTTTTGTGTGTGTATGTCTACTATGGGAATTTTCCTTGTGGTTACCTTGATTGCATGAAACACAGTAGTCTATTTTAAACTGATAACTTGTCTTCCACTGTATACAGAAACTCTATATCTCTCACACACACACTTTATATTATTGATGTCACACTTTAAATCTTTTTTTTTTTTTTTTTTTGATACATGATCTTGCTCTGTCACCTAGGTTGAACATGGCTCACTGCAGCCTCAACCTCCTGGGCTTAAGTGATCATCTTGCTTCAGCCTCCCAAGTAGCTGGGACTACAGGCCTGTGCCACCACACCCAGCTAATTTTTTTGTTTCTTTTGTAGAGACAAAGTCTTGCCATGTTTCCCAGGCTGGTCTCCAGCTCCTGGGCTCAAGCAATCTTCAGCCTCCCAAAGTGTTAGAATTATAGGTGTGAGCCACTATACCCAGCTTCTATCTTCTTTTAATATTGTATATCTATCCATAAATTTTCATATTTATAGTTATTTTTTAAACTTTTTTCATTTAACTTTTATACTAGAGCTAAATGTATCCACCAACATTACATTACCACAGTTTTCTGTGTTGGTCAATGTATTTACTTTTACTACTAAGTTTTATACTTTCGTGTGCTTTCATATTGCTGTTTAGTGTCCTTTCATTTCAACTTGAAGAACTCCACTTAGTATTTCTTGTAAGACAGGTCTAGTGGTAATGGAATTTCTCCATTTTTTGTTTGTCTGGAACATTTTTTATTTCTCCCTCATTTCTGAAGGACAGTTTTGACAGGTAATGTATTTTTGGCTAGCAGGGTGTTTTTCCCCCACTACCCCCACTCAGCCCTTTGAATAGATTACCTCACTCCCTTCTGACCCACAAGGTTTCTGCTGAGAAATCCACTGACAGTCTTATGGGGGCTTCTCGTAAATGATGAGTCACTTTTCTCTTGTTTTTTAATTTTTCTTTGTCTCAGCTTTTGATAATTGGATTATAATATGTCTCTGTATATAGGGTTCATCCAATTTGGGATTTTTTTAAGCTTCATGAATCTGGCTATTTATCTCCCCAGATCTTGGAAGTTTTCAGCCATTATTTCTTTAAATAGGCTTTCTTTTTTTTTTCACTCTTCTCCTTCTGGGATTCCCGTAATGCATAAACTGTTTCACTTTATAGTGTCCCATAATTCCCTTAGGCTTTATTCACTGTTTCCATTCTTTTTCATTTTGCTCTCCTGGCTGGATAATTTTAAATGACCTGTCTTCTAGTTTCCTGATTATTTTTTTCTGCTTGATCAAGTCCACTATTGAAGCCCCTTAGTGAATTTTTAAGATCAGTTATTATATTCAGCTTCAGAATTTCTGTTTGGTTCTTCATAATTTCTGTTTCTGTTGATATTCTTAGTTTGTTCATGTATCATTTTCCTGATTTCTTGTAGTTGTCTATCTGTGTTCTCTTGCAATTTGCTGTGCTTCTTTAAGACGATTATTTGAATCCTTTGTCCGGCAGTTCATAAATTTACATTTCTTTATGATCAGTTACTGGAGATTTCTTTCGTTCTATTAATTGTGTTACATTTTCCTGATTCTTCATGTCCTTGTAGCTTTGCATTGGTGTTTGTACACCTGAAAAAACAGTCCCTTTTCACAGTCTTTACAGACTGGCTTTGATTAGGAAAGGCCTTCATCAATCAACTCAGCTAGAGATTCAGGGCCCTCATTCCTAGCTGCTCTAGGTATTCAGCGTTTTTCTTTCAGGAGCCCATATCTCTTGCTCCCTCTGGTGTTTGACTGTGTCTGTTCCATCAGTGATCTGTGTGAGGCAAGATCGAAACTGGCCTCTCAATCAGCACTGTGAAAGGCTTCTTTCACAGTTTCCTTTCTTTCCCTTCTTTCCTAAGGGAGAAGCCTCAGTTATGCGCATTATCCCAATCTCTCAGAGCCATGCCAGCAACACCTGCCCCAGGAATCTGGACTATTTCATTTTCTTCACTCCTTGTGACGCAGAGCATAAACCAGCCCTTTGGCAACAGCTGCCAAATTATCATTTTTAGGGAAGCAGTGTGGTAACTGCCGAACCATCACCTGAGGGACACCTGACATTCCTGGTGGGTTGGGGGAGAGCCTTCTCCTGCCCTGCTCATGCCTGTCTAGTTACTGTAACAATACCAATCTTTTCAACACTCTGTGTGTGCTAAACTAGCCCCTTGGGGAGCATCTTGAAAGGCTGGGAACCATTGGACATTTTCCCCACTCTCCCCCACTCCCCACAAAGGAGGAGTCACTGAACTGTGCTGATTTGGGCAAGGGGCTGATGTAGATAAAGTGAAATTCATTTTGTTATCTGTTTCAGCACAGCTGCTCTTGGTTTTGTGCCTATCCAAGGGTACTGCAAGCTGTTAATTAGAATTAGTCTTCTCATAAAGGTATTTTGTTACTTACATCATTATTAAATCTGTGTTTCTGTAGAAGAATGAGGGCTGGGACTTCCTATTCTGCCATCTTGTGGACATCATTCTTCTATGCTGTTATTCTCCAACATCATTTTTCATGGCTACATGGTAGCTGTATTTAACTGTTCCCATATTATTCGACATTTGGTTGTTTCCTAGTGTGTTATTATGAATATTCTCATAGACAAATAATTCATAATTGTTTATTAGGAGTACATTTCTATGTGTTCAAAGGACATGAATGTTTTAAAGACATTTGATACACATTATCACATTGTCCTCCAAAAAAACTGTACTAATATCCACCCCTGTTGGTCCAGTGAGAAAGTTTTATTTCTCTGAATATTTATCAAAACTGGCTATTATCTGGATGACGCTGGAAACCATCATTCTCAGCAAACTATCGCAAGGACGAAAAACCAAACACCACATTTTCTCACTCATAGGTGGGAATTGAACAATGAGAACATATGGACACAGGAAGGGGAAGATCACACACCAGGGCCTGTTGTGGGGTGGGGGGAAGGGGGAGGGATAGCATTAGGAGATATACCTAATGCTAAGTGACGAGTTAATGGGTGCAGCACACCAACATGGCACATGTATACATATGTAACAAACCTGCACATTGTGCACATGTACCCTAAAACTTAAAGTATAATTAAAAAAAACTGGGTATTATCATTTAAACGATACTTGCTATAAGTAAAAATTCATACCTTCTAATTGTTTTAATTTGTATTTTTCTGTCATTTAAGGTTGAATTCAATTTGTGAGTGTTTACTGGATATTTGTGTTTATTTGTATGGGCGAATTCCCTCAGGCTCCCCACAAGTTTTTTTACATTGTTGATTTGTAAGGGCTTTAAAAAACATATTGAATATACTAGGTGTGGTGGCTCACGTCCAACACTTTGGGAGACCAAGGTGGATCACTTGAGCCCAAGAGGTCAAGGCTGCAGGGAGCCAAGATTGTGCCACTGCACTTCAGTCTGGGTGACAGAGTGAGACCCTGTCTCAAAAAAAAAAAAAAAAAAAATATATATATATATGTATAAAATGTGTGTGTGTGTAGAACATATTAATCCTTCTTCTGTATTATGTATTCCAAATGTATGATTCCAGTTTTTCATTTGACTTGATTTTGTTTGTGCAGATTATCTGCTGATCAGAACTGTTTTCATTTTAAATAATCAAATCTCTCAATTTTTTTAAAATTTTGCCATTAAGCATAGAAATAACTTCTTTACACAGATATCTTTTCTATATTTTTATTGTTCACATTTATATTCTTAATACATGTGGAGTTGTGTGTTCTAAAGCAGAAAACTTTTCTAAATGATAAGCCAATTGTTACAGCATCATTTATTGAAAGTCCCTTCCTGTCCTCATTGATTTAAAATGCTACTTTGTCACAATTGCAAAAATATGGAACCAGCCCAAATGCCCATCAATTAATGAGCAGATAAAGAAAATATGGTGTATAATACATGGAATACTGAAAATATTATATACTCAGCCATAAAAAGGAACAAAATAATGGCATTTGCAGCAACCTGGATGGAACTGGAGACCATTATTCTAAGTGAAGTAACTCAGGAATGGAAAACCAAACATCATACGTTCTCACTCATAAGTGGGAGCTAAGCTGTGAGGATGCAAAGGCATAAGAATGACACAGTGGACTTTCGGGACTTGGGGCAAAGCGGGGAAAGAGGGTGAGGGATAAAAGACTACACACTGGGTGCAGTGTACACTGCTTGGGTGACGGTTGTTCCAAAATCTCAGAAATCACTGCTAAAGAACTTATTTGTGTAAAAAAAATTTAAAATAAAATAACTGCTATTTCATCATATACTAATTTTTTATGTAGAGTTCAGTGTTTCTACATTTTCTCCATTACGCTATTAATTTATTTACTCTTGCACCAACAGTGTACCATTTTCATTATTTTTGCTCTATAGTATTTACCTGGAGTCAACCAAACTGTAAAGTTTAATGGCACAGTCTCCAAGACTACCCTCACCTCTGACACTGACTGCAAGTTTGAGGGGTTTGCAAAATGACCCTCAGATTTAATAATTCTGTAGAGTGATTTACAGAACTCACTGGAAGCTATTATATTCACAGTTATAGTTTATTACACAGAAAGAATACAGATTAAAATTAGACAATGGAAGACAGACACAGGGTAGAGTCTGTGAGTGTTCCAAATGCAAAATTTCCATTGTCCTCACCATGGAGTCAGGACACATTACCCTCCTGGCATCAATGTGTGACAATATGCATGGAGTATTGCCAACTGGGAAAGATATCCAAACTCAGTGTCTAGAGTTTTTACTGGGTCTTTGTTATGTAGGCATGATTGATTGATTCCCCATGTGGCTGAACTCAGTCTCAAGGTGGACTGATACCAGATGACCAAGGCCTCCACCGTAAATCACATGGTTGATCTTTCCGGCACGGCCAGCCCCACTCTAAAATTAAGAGTGGTCAGTTCGCACCCTAAAAACAAAGACACTTTTGTCATTGACTACCTCCTAGAAGCCAAGGGCAAAGGCCAGACCTCACTTAGGTAGAACCAAATCCTTTACTACATAGTATTATGTAAAATTATGTAAAGCAAGTCCCTTCTATCATTACTCTTCCTTCCTAAAAATGGTGAGCTAGTTTCAGACCCTGCTTCATGGGCATGTGACCTATGCAGTCTAACAGGGCCCAGGGCTCAAAAGGGCCCCATATGTGGTTTTTAATGCTCTGCTGTCACTGTCTTAAAATTCTTTTATCTATTTATTTTTATTAAATTTTTTTCTTTAATTTTTAGAGATAGGGTCTCTCTCTGCCACCTACGCTATAGTGCAATGGCACAATCATAGCTCACTGCAGTCTCAAACTCATGGCTTCAAGTGATCCTCTAGCCTTGGCACCCTAAAATGCTGAGGTTATACATATGAGCCGCTGCACACAGCCTTGAAATTCTTAATACATTTATTTTTTCAACTTTGTTTTATAAGTGAAGTCCAATGGGACAAAGGCGCATGCATGTGAGCTGAAAAGATATTCATACGCGTGTGCCTATCATTCCTTGCTGTCCCATTTGTATGTAACATTCACAATTCCCTATAAGCATAGAATTCTGGTGGGACGATGATGCATAGGAGTTCAGTGAGACTCAAAGCAAGTACAAAGTAGGTGTGTTACAAGAGGTAACCCTTTTCATTCTTCAAATGCAGAAAGAAGGCATTCTAATAATACAAATAACCAAGTAAGTCTATCGTATCCTTTCTTACTTATGTTATTTCCCTGCATTAGCTAATCACTTATGCTAAAAATGATGACATCGAAGGAAACAGAAAGATAGGGCAACCCATGTTCTATGTCCTTTCAGTCCTTCTTTACTCATCAATAAGCTGAGGGTAGAGTGTGTTGGTAGAATGTGCATGAAGCGATATAGAGAGGTGAAATAAAAAGAGTTAAATATGTTTTATACAGCATTTCCACTGCTGTGTAACAGTAAAAAACATGCATGTGCAAGCTACAAAATATAAATTGTGTATTTTCAGTGATGACACATATGAGTAAAGGGCTACTATATTTGCATTTAAAATTGGCATTGCATAATAGAAAGATGAACAAAAGGCTGGGCACAGTGTCTCACGCCTGTAATTGCAACACTGTGGGAAGCCGAGGTGGGTGGATCACTTGAGGTCAGGAGTTTGAGACCAGCCTGGCCAACATGGCAACACCCTGTCTCTACTAAAAATACAAAAGAAAAAAAAAAAGCCAGGCAAGGTGGCGGGCACCTGTAATTCCAGTTACTCGGGAGGCTGAGGCACTAGAATCACTTGAACCCAGGAGGCAGAGGTTGCAGTGAGCCGAGATCGTGCCACTGCACTCCAGCCTGGGCTACAGAGTCAGACTCTGTCTCAAATAAAATAAAATAAAATAAAATAAAATAAAATAAAATAAAATAAAATAAAATAAAATAAAATAAAATAAAATAAAATAAAATAAAATAGATGAACAGAAAATTTCATACTAGTAATTGAAAATTCCAATTTTCTTTACCTAGAACAACATTAAATAGCAAATGTAAAACATCATGACTGGTTGAGAAAGAGAACATTGAAGAAAAGAAAGGAATGGGTTTTGTGTTTTAATAACTGTAACAGCACTTTTTCTCTTCTTTTTGTACCAGGGGCTCCACAATTTCATTTTGCACTGGGTCCTGAAAATTGTGTAGCCAGCCCTGACCAGTCTGTATTGTTTATCCTTTCAGAAAAAGTGAAGCATCATATTGTTATTATCTAGAAAATACCATGCCTGGATTTGAGTAGGGATGGCATTAAATCAGCAGTCACATAGGTATCCTAAATGTGTGGAGCCACGGGGTTTAAAACAAAAGGGAATGCCAGAATAATATAGTGCATGCTCCATCTAAAAATATTTAATGTAAAAGTTTTAAGCAGTGATGGTAAAAGCAAACAGACAAAAAAATGAATTGCAGCTCAGTTTGCTTGGATATCACGTCCTCTGGTAATGTCCGTGTCCTTTATCCTTCTGCTAAAACTGATAGACTACTTTGAGGGAGAAGTTGCATCTTTACCACATCATTTTCTGATTCAGGAACATGAATATGTCTCCATGTATTAATTTTATTTATTTATTTATTTATTTATTTATTAAGACAGGGTCTCTCTCTGTAACCCAGGCTAGAGGGCAGTGGCACAAATACAGCTCACTGCAGTCTCGACCTGCTGGGCTCAAGTGATCCTCCTGCCTCAGCCTCCCATGTAGCTGGGACTGCAGGCATGCACAATCATGCCCGGCTAATTTTTTAATTGTGCCTGATGACTGTCTTTTTAAAACCTTCATAATGTTTTGCAGTGTTCTTCATTTGGGGACATATATATTTCTTGCTACATTTGTTCCCATGTATTGTATTATTTTTTGCTATTGGGGATGACATTTTTTTCTATTACATTTTCTGAGATAAATGATATAGAGGAAAACAACTGAACCTTTTTTCTTAGTTCTAGATGGTTCTTGGTTGATTCTCTTGTATATTTTCAAGGAGATAAACATAATAATTTTATATTTTTCTCAAGGTTACACAGTTTATTTCTTTTTCTTGCTTTATAATTGCTAGCCCTCCAAGGAAAATGTTAAATAATAGTGGTGATCATAGGCTCAGAGTAGTATGGTATCGACTTTTAAGATTGAAATTTGTTATTATGTTTTCATGCCTAGTCTGCCAAATTTGTTTTTAATGAGAAATGAATGTTCAATTCTATTAAATTCTATTAAATGCCATTTTAGCATCTATTTTGATGTTCTTGTGGTTTTTCTCCTTTAATCTATTGACGTGTTAAATTACTTAATAAATTTTCCTAATACTGAATCATCTCTAAATCATTAGGATAAAACTTATTTGCTTATAGTGCATGGTTCTTTTAACATTTTGCTATTATTCTCTTTTCCAAATATATAAATATATATATAAATATATATAAATATATAAATAAATATAAATATATAAATATATAAATACATATATAAATATATATAAATATATAAATATATATAAATATATAAATATATATATAAATACATATAAATATATATAAATATATATAAATATATATATTCCAAATATATATATAAATATATATAAACATATATATTCCAAATATATATACAAATATATGTAAATATATATATTCCAAATATATATATAAATATATGTAAATATATATATTCCAAATATATATATATATTTGTAAGATGATGGTTTGTAGTTTTCATCTTTATGCTGTTCTTCTCAAACTTTTGAATCATTTTCTGGGTAATCTTGTAAAATGAATTGGGAAGATTTCTATATTCTCTACATGCTCTTAAAGATCTTAAAAATAAAAACAAATTATTTGCTCCTTGAATATTTGAAAGAACTTACCCATAAAACCTCTAGGTATGGGGACTTTTTTTTTGATAATTCTTTAAATTTTTTTCCAATGCCTTTTTGGGATCTATTTATTATTTCCACCTGTTTGTAAGTAAATTTTGGAACTTTTTATTTTCTTAGAAAATCCCTCATTTTCCTAAAGTACTTAAATTTATCATCATAGAATTATATCTAATCTTTTTTCTCTCTCTCTCTCTCCTTTTTTTTTTTCTTTAATAGAGACGAGGTCTCACTGTGTCACACAGGCTGGTCTCAAACTCCTAGGCTCAAGCAATCCTCCCATCTCAGCTTCCCAAAGTGCTGGGATTACAGGCATGAGTCCCCACGCCCAGCTCTCCTTTTAAAAATTATCTTTTTTATGAGGATGCAATCTGTCAAATTGAGAATTAGAAAATTCAGTGTACATATGACTATGTGTCTTTAACAAAAAATGACCTATGGGAAAAATGAGCAGGATAGTTATTCTAGACTTGAAGACTGAACAACAAATTAACTAACTGCAGTGTGTAGACCTTGTTTGCACATGGATTTGAACAAAACAGTTGTTAAAAGAGTTTGAGAACTTAAGGTAAAGTTGAACACAGACTGAGTATTAGATGATACAAAGAAATTACTATTACTTTTGTTCAGTGTAATGGTATTTATTATGGTTAAGGTTCAAATTTTTAAAGTCCTAATTTGTTTGTGATATATACTGAAGTATTTATAAGTAAAATACTATATTGTATGAATTTCCTTAAAATACTCCAAGGGAAAAATAAGTTGGGGAGAGTCAGGAAAAGAGGGAGGGAGAAAGGAGACAAGATAAATAACAAGAATGGCAATGTGTTGATGATTGTTGAAGTTGACTCTTGGGTACATAGGAGTTCATTGTCCTATTTTAAATACTGAAATGTCTAAAACTTTTCCCTCTGTATATATGGGTTGTCCCTTTTACCATTCTGAATGTTATGTGTGTTTTCTTCTAGAGACTTTTATATTTTATTGTGTTTGTAACAAGCTTTTAATTTACTAGTCATTCTGCTTTAAAAGTAGTTTAAGATTTTATCTAAAAATAATTTATCTGTATTTTTTAGGTTAAGCTTGTTGTTCTGTTTCCTGCTCCTTGAGTTAAATGTTTAGTTCATTTATTTTCTCTTTCTGGTTACTAATTAGAGCATATAAGGGTATGAGTTTTCCTTTGAGTTCAGTCTTGGTGTATCTCAGTTCTGGCAGGCACCATTCTTATGAGGGGATACTGTGTATATATGGTAGATTGGTACTGAACATTCATTGTACTGTGTTTCTAGTGTGCCTTATTGAACTGCAGAGCCTAGAAAGCTGAAAACTACATTTCCCAGATTCCCTAGCAGACAGGATTTTAAAGGAGATTTAGATTTAGCCAATCAGATGCATTCATGCAAGTTTTTGGAAGGCAAAAAGAAGGCAGAGGCAGAGCTTCTGTGGCTTCTGCTAGCAGGCACAGTTGGAAGTAACTAATTTCTCTCCAGCTAAATTAGCAGAGGTCCTAGTGCACTCTTTAGTTTTGTGGATGTCACGCACAGGCACAAGGTACCAGGTTACTGGAGCAGATCATAGCATAGGCTGAGGTTCCAGAGCCCTCAGCAGTAATGACAGTTTCCTGTTTGTTGTGGCATCCTTGCCAGTCCTGCATTTTTCTGTAGCAGTGGCTTTCTGACGTGGAAGACATAGCAGCTGCCATGGTGACACCATTTTGCTGTGTGGTTTTCAGAGTCATTTCCAAAAGCTCACTCTAGCATCTGCTCTTCACAACATTCCTACAAACCATTTAATTCCTTGTCATAATCTTCCTAAATCTGTTCTCTGTAACTGAACCTTAACTAATATAATAAATGAAATTAGCCGTGTGGTTATATTCTACTTATGGTATAGAATTGGTTGCATTTGCTAGACCCAAAATAGCAGTAGCTTAAAAAAGTTAGAACTTTATTTCTCTCTAAAATAAATGCCTGCGCGGGTATGGCTAGTCCGCACTACAAAGTTGAGGCCATTTCTATTTTTTTGCCCTGACATCCCTAGGCTGTTACTCTTGTCTGCATTGTCCAAAATATCCCACCACTGTGTCTGGTGAGCCAAAGAGAAGGGAAAGAAAGAGAGAGAACGTTCTTCCTTTGAAAGGCATAACTCGAAAGTTGCATGTTACTAAGGATCGCATCCTACTGGCCACACTTGGCTGCTGGGAACAGTGACCCTTTTGGTTCCTCCCTCTTGATATCTTGAAATATTTTATTATATTTGTAAAACTCAAAGAATGGCCTGGCCTAGAAAGGGAAAACATCCCTAATTGTGCCATATCCCTCCCCTCCCCATTATTTTGTTTTAGAAATTACAACTAGTTACTGAAGGCTGGGTTCACCTGCAGACATGTTTTGATTGGCTGTCGGAGTATTTTTAAAAAGTTTAAATTTC
Source organism: Homo sapiens (assembly GCF_000001405.40). NCBI lineage: Eukaryota > Metazoa > Chordata > Mammalia > Primates > Hominidae > Homo > Homo sapiens. The sequence goes on from NC_000007.14 coordinate 106,745,769, forward strand.
AATGGCTTTAGATAAGCATGCGTCCCCAGACCACCACATTGCACACCACTCCCTATTGTCTTGTGGTCAAGACTGATCCATTAATTTACATTACTTTCCTGACCCCATGGGCATTTGAGTTTGTGAATCAACCTAAATTCTTTTTTCTTTTTCTTTCTTTCTTTTTTTTTTTTTTTTTTTTTTTTTTTTAAGAGACAGGATCTCACTTTGTCCAGGCTAGAGTGCAGTGGTGCGATCTCAGCTCACTGCAGCCTCAACTTCCTGGGCTCAAGTGATCCTCCCACCTCAGCCCCTCAAGCAGCTGGGGCTACAGGTTAATTTTTTGTATTTTTTTTGTAGAGATGGGGTTTCTCCATATTGCACAGGCTGGTCTCGAACTCCTGAGCTCAATCGATCCACCCACCTCAGCCTCCCAAAGTGCTAGGATTATAGGCATGAACCACCACACCTGGCCCCTCTAAATTATTGTTTCTTCTGACTACGTAAAACCTTCAGGATTGGAGAGTTTACAATCCTTGACTTTAAAGGAAATCAAAGGACTGCCACTGACCAATTCCTTTTCACTTATTTCCCTTATTTTTATCATGGGATATACCACATCAGTTATTTCCTTTCTTACTGAACTTCTCCTATTTTATCAACTCTAGCTTAGCCTCTTTGTTGATACTATGTCCAAGGAATGTGAACCTGATAAACTAATACTTCTGGATGTGAATTTTAAAATAGTTTATGAACTAATAATTTCTGGCTCTACTTAATTTCAGTCATTTTTGACCTTCTGAAACCCAAATTTTTCTTTCTTCTTCACCAGATTATTATTCCTTCTCCTGGAAACCAGTTCTCCTCTCATATTCAAAATCCACATAAGAAGCATAGTTCCTATATGACCCAGCAATTTCACTGTATACCCCAAGAATCATGAGAATATTTGTCCACACAAAAACTTACACACTATACAGATATTTATAGCAATGTTATTCACAATAGCCAAAAGGTGAAAGCAAACCAAATGTCCATCAGCAGATGAATGGATAAACAAAATGTGATATATCCATATTATAGAATATTATTCAGCCACAAAAGGGAATGAAGTAATAATACATGCTCCAGTGTGGGTGAATCTTGAAAACATTATGGTAAATGAAAGAAGCCAGTCACAAAGGGCCACATATTGTATGATTCCATTTCTACGAAATGTCCAGGATAGATAAATCTATAGAAACAGAAAGTTTATTTATGCTTGCCTAAGGCTGGTAGAGGGTGTTGTAGGCAGTGGAAAGTTTACAGTTAAAGGATATGGGGTTTCTTTTTGGGGTGACAAAAATATTTTAAAACTGATTGTGGCAATGAATGCATAAGTCTCTGAATACGCTAAAAACTCATTGAATTGTACACTTCAAATGGGTAAATTATATGTGTTAAATAAAATTTGGCTGGATGCAGTGTCTCAGGCCTGTAACCCCAGCAACTCAGGAACATGAGGCAGGAGGATCACTTGAGCCTAGGAGTTCAAGATGTTAAATATAAAACTTTAGCCGAATTCAATTTAAAAGCGTTAACTGAACAAAGAACAATTCAATTTGTGAATCAGGCAGCCTCCTGAGTGAGAGTAGGCTCAGAGACTCCAGTGCAGCCACATGGTGGAAGAAGATTTATGGACAGAAAAAGGAAAATGACTTACAGAAAATGAAAGTGAGGAACAGAAACAGCTTGATTGGCTACAGGTTGGCATCTGCCTTATTTGAACACAGTTTGAACAGTTGGCCACCTTTGGCCAAAACTCAGTGATTGGCACAAGAGTAGGCTACAGTCTGTTTACAGTTCCATTTAGGTTATAGTTCACAATGACAGAGAAACCTTTAGAGTGAACTTAAAATATGTAAGGAGGCAGCTTTAGGCTAACCTTGATTTAACAATTGTTACAGTGAGCTACGACAGCACCACTGCACTACTGCAATCCATCCTGGGTGATAGAGCAGGATCTCCTCTCAAAAGAAAAAATAATTATAGGAGGCCATTAGTTTGAACTGAGCCAAAACTAAGTTGTTTATCTGACCTTTCAAGAAATCAAGAGAGGGAGAGAAATAATAGCCAAATCCCCAAACAGACTATTTTTAGCTGGCATGAGAAGGAAGTCCCCTCTGCTTTAACATTTACAAGGAAAGTAGCTTTGAAACGACCAACACACTTTTTGTTCCTGCTTTTGCTTTCCTCCACCCTTTTCTGTCTATAAAGCCAAACTCCTGTACTCAGCTCACTGGAACACTTAATCTATTTCATGGAATAAGCTCTTGCCCAATTCTAGAGTCACAAATAAAAGCCAATGAAGATCTTTAAACTAACTTTGTTGTGATTTTGTCTTTCGACATATGGCACATGAATTACATCTCAATAAAGCTGTTTTTAAGATCCATATATGAACCCTCATATATATAGTTAACTGATATTTGACAAAGATGTCAAGATGATTCAATGGGGAAAGGACAGTCTTTTCAACAAATGGTGCGGGGAAAATTGGATATTCATATCCAAAAGAAAGAAATTGGACCCTTACCTTATATCATATACAAAAAATTAACTCAAAAATGGATCAAAGACCTAAACATAATACCTTAAACTCTAAAATTCTTAGAAGAAAACATAGGAGAAAAGCTCTCTGTCATTGGATTTGGCAATGATTTCCTAGATATGACACCAAAAGCATAGGCAATATAAGTGGAAATAGATGAATTGGACTATATTAAAATGTACAACTTCTGTGCATCAAAGGACACAATCAACGGAGTGAAAAAGCAATCTACAGAATAGGAGAAAATATTTACAAATCATATGTCTGATAAGGGATTAATATCCAGAATATATTTTTAAAACTCTTATAACTCAACAACAACAACAAAACCTTGATTTTAAAATGGGCAAAGGTCTCTAATAGATATTTCTCCAAAGAAGATATGCAAATGGCCAAACATATGAAAATGTACTCAATATCACTAATCATTAGGGAAATGCAAATTAAAGCTACAATGTGATATCATCTCTCACCCATTAGGATGGCTGGTTTTAAAAAACGGAAAATAACAAGTGTTGGTGAGAATGTGGGGAAATTGCAACCCTGTGAATTGTTGGTGGAAATGTGAATTAGTATAGTCATTATGGAAAACAGTACAAAAGTTTCTCAAAAACTTACAAATAGAACTACCATAAGACTCAGCAACCCCTCTGTTGTGTGTATACCCAAGAAAAATGAAATCAGCACCCTGTAGATGTAACTGTGCTGCCATGTTCATTGCAGTACTATTCATGATAGCCAAGAGATGGGAAAAACCTAAATGCCCATTGACAGATGAATGGATAAAAAGAACTGTGGCATAGCTCTATTTATACCACAATTTTTAAAATCTATTTACAAAGAAATATGCTCAGTCTTTAAAAAGAAGGCAATAATGTCATTTGCAACAACATAGATGAACCTAGAGGACATTATGCTAAATGAAATAAGGCAGACATAAAAAGAAAAATACTGCATGATCTCATATGTGGAATCTTAAAAAAAAAGTTGAATATGTAGAAACAGAGAGTTACACGGGTGGTTACCAGGGATGGTGAAAGGGAGAAGTGGGTCAAAGGGCACAAACTTGCAGTTATGTAGAATGAATAAGTCTAGAGATCTAATGGACAGCATGAGGACTACAGTTAATAATATTGTATTTGAAATGAAAATGTGCTTAGTCAGTAGAGTTTAGGTGGTCTTACACATACACACACACACAAATTTGCACACAAAGTAACTATGGAAGGTGACGGATAGGTTAGTTTGCTTGGCTGCAGTAATCATTTCACCATGTATATGTATATCAAAACATCGTGTTGTACACCTTAAATATATACAATAAAAAAGTGAAAAAAGTCATCTATCAGCACTAATGACATCTCTATACATGTCTGGGCTTCAGATAGAAATAAACCTTGGGATCCCTGAGTAAGTTGCTCTCTCTGTCACTAAAAGACAGCCTTCTGAAAACTTACGTAAACTTGCAGCAGCTCTTACCTTCCTTTGGGACTTAGACTTGCCCAGAGGACCTCTGTCAGCACATTTACCACGGCATCTCCAAAGGGTCCATCATAGTGTGGTGTATACAATTAAGAATCATCTCATCATTAATGCGTGTACGAAATTCACCGTTACTTTTAGATTCTGGTGTATCAACTAATGATTGCAGTTTGGCAATCTCAGGCCCATAACTCCCACCGACCCCCCAATTAATAAACTTAATCTTATCTCAAGCCCCCATTTCTGCTGATGGCAAAAATGCGATCTCATCATTTCCAAACAGATTCAATTACTTTAGACATTTCTCAGTTAGTCCAGGGAACCGTGTTTCGTCTTCCCCCTGGAGTTCTGCCCATATAAGGAGGTGAGTGAAGAGAGAAGCGTAAGCACCTGTGGGAAGGGGGCCATCACATCCTATGGTTCTCTGTCCACTCCAGTCTCTGCTGAGATGTGACTTGTCCTCCTGGTCTTCAACTTTTATTTATTTATTTTTTTTTTTTGAGGCAGAGTCTCACTCTGGTGCCCAGGCTGGAGTACAGTGGTGTGATCTCAACTCACTGCAACCTCTACCTCCCAGGTTCAAGCAATTCTCCAGCAACGGCCTCCCAAGTAGCTGGGATTACAGGCATGTGCCACCGTGCCCAGCTAATTTTTGTATTTTTAGTAGAGACAGGGATTCTCCATGTTGGCCAGGCTGGTCTTGAACTCTTGACATCAAGTGATCTGCCCACCTCAGCCTCCCAAAGTGCTGGGATTACAGGCATGAGCCACAGTGCCTGGCCTTGCCTGGTCTTTAGTCAGTAGCATCTGTTGTGCTGCAGAGGCCAGGTGTCCAACTATGAACTCCAGTCTGTATCATTCAGGCCACTCCCTGTGATGGCATCCTCTCCTTGTGGCCTCAGAGTCCCTTCTCCATCATCCCTCCTTCTGCTGCTTCTGCAACCCTCCTGGAGGAATGGGGGAAATGTAGGAAGTCTTCCGCCCTTTGGGTCTAAGGGAGACTCAGACTGGCGAGTGTCCTCTTCGTTGACACACGTCACTCACAGGCTGCTGCACGTTGTTGAAGCAGAGGGCTTCTCTGGGAAGCCTGGCCCCATTGGGATATTGACTTAAACCTATCTCAAGTTTCTCTTTGGTCCCCTCCCGTGGCTATGCTGAGTCAGGGATGCAGCACAAGATCCCTTCTTGAAGATGCAGTGACTACTTCTTCTCCTTCCCTTATTGCTGGACTAATGTTAGCTCCTTTTAGGTGGAAACACTGGTTCTTCCTTCATCAAGGAATTTTCCCAGCTTTTTTGTTTATGGCATAAACTTCATGAACTGAGTCCTTACGTTTTTGGATCTGAATAGACTCCCAAAAGGGCAGACCCTTGCTATTGAATTCTTTGACTTTCCAGTCTACTGTCACTGGCATAAATTTCAAGCATCTATTTTAGAAATCAAGAGCCACAAATCTAACTTTTGTTCTCTGTGACTCACCTGTCCAAGAGTCACTAATGCTCAGCTCCAGAGACTAGTTATAATGGTGGAAGGATCATGTGATGAAAATATATTATCCCTAATTTAAACTAAATATTGTCTTCTTCTACCTGCCCCTGTATAAGGGAAGTCTGTAATCACAGGGGCTCTAAGAGGGTGAGAGTCAATGGAGCAGAGTAGCTCTGATGGCAAGTCAGGGAAGGGCAAATGTTGGATTGTCCTTTCAACAACTGATTCCTTTCAAAGAAGTTATTCCCAACTCTAAACATGTCATCAGAATCCCCTGAGGTTTTTTCATTAATTTCTTATTTAGACTCAGGGGCGCATGCACAGGTTTGTTACATGGGTATATTGCATGATGCTAAGGCTTGGGCTTCTACTGACCCTGTCACCCAAAGAGAGAACACAGTACCCAGAATGTAATTTTTCAACCCTGACCCCCTCCCTCCCTTCCTGCTTTTGGAGACCTCAGAGTTTATTGTGCCCATCTTTATGGCCATGTGTACCCAATCTTTAGCTCCAACTTATAAGTGAGAATATGTGATATTTGGTTTTCTGTTTATGTGTTCATTTACTTAGGATAATGGCCTCTGGCTGCATCCATGTTGCTGCAAAGGACATGATTTTGTTCTTTCTTTTGGCTGTGTTGTATTCCATGGTATATACATACCATATTTTCTTTATCCAATCCACTGCTGATGGACTCATAGGTTGATTCTGTGACTTTGCTACTGTGAATAGTGCTGCAATGAACATATGAGTGCATGTGTCTTTTTGGAAAAACAATTTATTTTCCTTTGGGTGCATACTCAGTAATGAGATCACTGGGTCAAATGGTAATTCAATTTTTAATTCGTTGAGAAATCTCCAAACTGTTTTCCCTGTAGGTTTTTGGTTTTTGTTTTGTTGTTGTTGCTTTTTAGAAAGACACACTCCCAAGCCCCACTCTGGACCTGTTCAGAGAAGGCATCTAATTTTTTAAAAATTTTCAAAATTCACAGTGATGATTTTGATGTATACCTGCTATTAGAAGCTATGAGTTGAAAACAGCTGTGGCCTGAAGACCCTTCATAAAGAGGTTGTCTAGGGGAGGATCTAGAAGTGTCTAGAATCAGGTATGTAATCTGAAGTTGGGATTCACCTATCTCCACTGCTTGTAGCAGAATGCAGAGCTAACCCCAAGCAGAGGATCAGCAGGCCAAGGGGACACTTAGCAGGAACTGTCAGAGCAAGGGAACAGGTGCCAGCAAAGTCACAAGACCTGAGAGGGTGTAGAGAACTTGGCAGGTAAAAGAACAAAAAGAGCAGAGATAAGGAATCCAGATAAAGGAGCTGATGATTCTATGTTGACCTTCTGTCCCCCAGTGAAGAAAATTCTAATTTTTTTTCCTGCTAAATCAGGAAGCAGTTCCAGGAGATTTTAGTCAACAATTTGCCACCTCTGACAGACGTTGGCATAGGCTGCTGGTGTGCATACCTGGTGTGCAGCTGGAAATAAAAGGGGAATAGAGTTAGGACAAGGAAATGGGGAGATGTGCAGCTAAGCTAGATTTGAGTAGATTGACTGGTGGAAGGAGCCATTTCAGACTACAGGAATTCTGGAGTCAAAAAAACAAAGCAAAAAACGATGCCTTGCTGACAGAACCAAGAACTGCACTTCCCACCGTTTAGCTGTCCACCAGAGTCAAAACACTCATTCTGGGTACATGTCTTGATGTCTCCTGGATATGAGTGGTATTGCAAATATTTTTAATTTAAAAAGAAGCCCTCCTACAAAAACATTAAGGTTAGCAGATAGTACATGCTACACACCGTTCTGATTTTTTAAAAATAAACAAACCACAAAGCTACCTTGAACTGTTAGAAGGGCCTGCTCTATGTAAGGCAACTAACTTCCTTCTTTTTTTAAGTAACAGGCCACTGAGTGAGGGATCTCTCACCCCAACTCTGGCCAACACGTATCGATTTATCTTTTATTTTATAAAATGAAATAAACATAACAAAATTTACCATCTTAATTTCTTTAACTGTACAGTTCAGTAGTGTTAAGTGTACACATTGTTACGCAACCAATCTCTAGAACGTTTTCATCATGCAAAACTAAAATTCTATACCCATTTGACAACTCTCTAATCCTTCCTCCCCCAGCCCTCAGCAATTACCTACTTTCTGTCTCTATGAATTTGACTACTTGAGGCTAGGCGCCGTGGCTCATGCCTGTAATCCCAACACTTTGGGAAGCCAAGGCAGGAGGATCACTTGAGGTCAGGAGTTCGAGACCAGCCTGGCCAACATGGCGAAACCATGTCTCTACTAAAAAAAAAAAAAAAATTAGCTGGGTGTGGTGGCACATGCCTATATTCCCAGCTACTTGGGAGGCTGAGGCAAGAAAATTTCTTGAACCTGGGAGGTGGAGGTTGCAGTGAGCCAAGATCATGCCACTGCACTACAGCCTGGGTGACACAGTGAGACTCTGAGTCAAAAAAAATAATAATAATAAATAAACAAATAAAATGAATTTGACTACTTTAGATACCTCATATAAATGAAATCATACAGTATTTTGGGACTGGTTTATTGCACTTAGCGTCATGTCCTCAAGGTTTATCTGTAGTGCAGCATATGTCAGAATTTTCTGCCCTTTTAAGGCTGAATAGTATATAATCCATTGTGTTTTTTTTATCCATTCATCTGTGGATGGACATTTGGGTTGCTTCTGCCTTTTGGCTACTTTGAATAGTGCTGCTACGAACATGGGTGTACAAATATCTTGTACCTTCAATTTTTTTGGATAAATATCCAGAAGAGGTATTGCTAGACCAGATGGTTATTGATGAAAAGAGTCAGATTCTGTAAAATATTTGAAGAGATTTATTCTGAGCCAAACATGAGTGACCCTGGCCTATGACGCAGCTCCAGGAGATCTGAGCATGTGTATCCGAGGTGATTGGGCTACAGCTTGGTTTTACACATTTTAAGGAGACATAAGACACCAAGCAATACATGTAAGATGTACATTGGTCTTGTCTGGAAAAGCAGGACAACTCTAAGCAGGTGAGGGGGCTTCCAGGTCATACGTGGATTCAAAGATTTTCTGACTGGCAATTGGTTGAAAGATTTTAGTTATTACCTAAAGACCTGGAATCAATAGAAGGAAGTGTCTGGGTTATTATAAGAGATTGTGGAGAGCAAGGTTCTTATTATGCAGATGAATCCTCCACGTAGCAGGCTTCAGAGAGAATAGATTTAAAATGTTTCTTATAAGACTTAAAAAGGCAAGGTTTCAGAGAAAAGGGAACACTTATACACTGTTGGTGGGAGTGTAAAATAGTTCAGCCATTGTGGAAACCAGCATGGCAATTCCTCAAAGAGCTAAGAGCAGAATTACCACTTTGTGGACCCAGCAATCCCATTACTAGGTATATAACCACAGGAATATAAATCATTGTAGGCCAGGTGCGGTGGCTCATGCCTGTAATCCTAGCACTTTGGGAGGCTGCAGTGGGCAGATCATGAGGTCAGGAGTTCAAGACCAGCCTGGCCGACATAGTAAAACCCCATCTCTACTAAAATTACAAAAATTAGCCGGGGCATGGTGGCATGCACCTGTAGTTCTAGCTACTTGGGAGGCTGAGGCAGGAGACTCACTTGAACCCAGGAGGCAGAGGTGGCAGTGAGCCGAGATTGCACCACTGCACTCCAGCCTAGGCAACAGAGTGAGACTCCATCTCAAAATAAATAAATAAATAAATAAATAAATAAATAACTCTACCATAAAAGCATATGCACACGAATGTTCATTGCAGCACTATTCACAATACCAAAGACATGAAATCAACCCAAATGCCCATCAATGATAGACTGGATAAAGAAAATGTGGTACATACACACCATGGAATACTACGCAGCCATAAAAAAGAACACAGTCATGTATTTTGCGGGAACATGGATGGAGCTGAAGGCTATTACCCATAGCAAACTAATGCAGGAAGGGAAAACCAAATACCACAAGTTCTCACTTATAACTTGGAGCTAAATGATGAGAACTTACAAAGACAAAGAAGGAAACAACAGACACTGGGGTCTACTTGATAGGGGAGGGTGGGAGGAGGGAGAGGAGCAGAAATGATAACTATTGGATATGGGGCTTAACACCTGCGTGATGAAATAATATGTAAAAGAAACCCCTGTGACACGTGTTTACCTATGCAACAAACCTTCACATGTGCCCCCAGACCTAATATAAAAGTTAAAAATAAGAAACAAGCAAACAAACAAACAAGACTTTAAAAGGTGCCAGACTCTTAGTTAATTCTCTGCTGGATCAGGGAAAAGACCTGGAAGGGAAGAGGAGAAGGGGATTCTCTAGAGAATGTAGATTTTCCCCATAAGAGACAGCTTTACAGGGCCATTTCAAAACATGTCAAAGAAACATATCTGGGAGTAAAATACTTCCATTTCTTTCAGGTCCTGCTATCCGTCATGTGATGCTATACCAGAGTAAGGTTGGAATTTGGTGTCTTGTTGCTACAGAGTCTGTTTTGTCAGCCTTAAGCTCTCTGTTTTAATGTTAATGTTGGTCAGTTGTGCCTGAATTCCAAAGGGAGGAGAGCATAATGAGGCATATCTAACCCCCTCTTCCCATTACAGCCTGAGCTAGTTTTTCAGGTTAACTTTGGAATGCCCCTGGCTGAGAGGAGGGGTCCATACAGTTGGTTGGGGGGGCTTAGAATTTTATTTTTGATTTACATGGTAATTCTATTTTTAATTTTTTGAAGAACCACCATATTGTTTTCCACAGTGGCTGCATCATTTTAAATTCCAACCAACAGTTCACTTGTCCTAATATGTGTGAGGTGATATCTCATTGTGGCTTTGAATTGCATTTCTTTGATAATTTGGGATGTTGAGCATTTTTCATATACCTGTTGTCCATTTTTGTGTCTTCTCTAGGAAAATGTCTATTCAGCTTCTTTGCCCATTTTTTAATCAGGTTATTTGTTTTTTTACTTTTGAGTTGTGTGAGCTCTTGATATTTTTGGATATTAATCCCTTATTATTTGCAATATTTTCTCCCATTCCATAGGTTGCATTTTCATCTTGTTGATTAGTTCCTTTGCTGTGCAGAAGCTTTTTAATTTGATGTAGTTCTTCTTGTTTATTTTTGCTTTTGTTGCCCATGCTTTTGGTGTAATATCTAAAGTATCTTTGCCAAGGACAATATCAAGGAGCTTTTCTCCAATTTCTTTATAGAATTTTTATGATTTCGGGTCTTACATTTAAGTTTTCGATTCATTTTGAGTTGATTTTTGTGCATGGTATAAGATAAATGTCCAGTTTCATTCTTTTGCATGTGGATATCCAGTTTTCTCAACCCCATTTATTAATGAAACTATGTTTTTTCCATGTGTCTTCTTCATGGCCTTGTTGAAAATTCACTGACCATATATGCTTTTGTTTATGTCTGCTCTGTATTCTGTTCCACTGGTCTTTGTGTCTGTTTTTAAGCCAGTACCATGTTGTTTTGATGACAATTCTGTAATATAATTTGAAATCAGGAAGTGTGATACCTCCAATTTTGTTTTTCTCTCTCCAGCTTTTTCTGGCTATTTGGGGTCTTCTCTGTTTTTATATCGTAAGGCTCTTGTATTGGTTTGAACCCTGAGAGCATGACAATGAACAACACAAGGCGGTGTGGAGCAACACACTGTTTTAATGAGCTCCTGGGTGCAGACGGGCTGAGGCCTAAAATGGCGTCAGCACCAAATGAGGACAGAGCAGGGGTTTTATAGTCTCCTGTAAACAGGAAGCGTCTCAGTCTGATGTAACTGCTACGCGGTACCCCGATGGCCTCTCTCTCAGTCTTCAGGGAGTACATGTCTTCCAGCCAGCTCTCTTCCTGCTTCTGCTATCTTGCTGATGGACGCTGCTGGCACAAGTGACCTTGCGCTTTGGGACTGGGCTTGAGAAGGTAGGAGTTATTCGCCACCCACCCCCTCAAGCTTCTAGGTCCCGGGGAAAGTCTTTCATCTATATATTTTGGAGTTGGTTTTTCTATTTCTGTGAAAAATGTCCATAAGACTTTGTTGAATCATGTTGAAGCTGTATATTGCTTTGGGTAGTAGGCCCATTGTAACAATATCAATTCTTCCAGGCCACAAACACAGTATACTGGGTTTAACCTCTTTCATCTGTGTTACAGTTTTCAATGTACTGAACTTTTACTTCCTTGGCTAAATTTATTCCTAAGTATTTTATAATTTTTTATGCTATTGTAAATAGGATTGTGTTCTTGATTTCTTTTTTAAACTAATCATTTTCAAATGGTTATTTTCAGACATGATTTATTTAGACATAGAGTAGCAGCTATTGTTGAAATTTTTTTAAGCAGATTTTCAAGCATGGATTGTAAAGCCAATTTGGCAGATCCTATATGATCTAGAGCTATGGTTTCCATGCCTCCCCATGGGTAAAATAAAGAAATGTGTAAATAATTCTGAGCATACAGCTCCAGTGCCAGTGCTGCAACTGCTACTTCAAGGAGCCCCTAGTAACACCTGAAAAACCCTGCTACGTATACTTGGTTCATTCATTTTCACCCTCCTACATGATTATTTCACCCTTCTTCATTCGTTGCAAAACTCCATCTCTCTCAAAGCTCACCCAGCTGATGACCCTGCTTTCTAATTCACTGAAAAACTAGAGTAATCAAAAGAAGCTCCACTTCCTCCCATGCACACATCTGCCAAGCCACTGGCTCCATGCCCAAATATTCTGCCCTCCCTCCAGTTACTACAGATGAAGTAATTGTCTGTGTTCTAATAAGCCAACTGCTGCACTAAGTCTTGTCCCCTCTTACCTACTCAATGACATGTTGCCAGGTGAGTTTCTTCTTAAATTTTCCACCCAAGGTGTCTCACTTGCCTCCCAGGATCCCAGCCCTGCAGTATTGGAACCACCTTAAAAATAGAAGCCGCATCTGACCACTTCTCACCATCTCTACTGCTGCTGACCTGGTTTAAGCCAGGACAACTGCTCCTGGGGCCAGTGAACTACCAGCTGGTCTTGCACATCACTGCCCTCACTGTTGAGTCTTAACACAGTAGAGTTAGTCCGTTTCAATATAAGTCAGATGAGAACAGCTCTTTGCTCCAAATTCTCCCATGACTTCCCCACCATTCAAAGCAAAAGCCAAAGTCCTGGCAATGGCCTCAGGGCCCGACAGATCTGTAGGCCAGCTACTTCTCAGACCAACCCCCACAGTGACACTGGCCACTTCGCTCTTCCTAGAATGTATTAAGTACACCCACAGCAAGACCTTTGCATTTGCTGCTTCCTCCACCTAAAATGCTCTTCCTCCAGATATCTGTGTGGTTTGGTCCCTTTCTTTACATCTCTGCTCAAATTCAGTCTGTTGTCAGAGAGGCACTCCCTGACCCTTCCTCATAAAAGAACAGTCCCCCTCATCCTGACCTATTCTTCTCCCTGATGTTATCACCACCAGATAAACTTTATTCTCTGTCTCTTTCTGCCCATGGTCCACTAATGTATCCATCCCACCTGCTACACAGTAGTCTACTGCACCTGGTCCTACCTGCCCAATAAGTGTTTTAAATTAAATGCAAATTATTTTCACGCATGCCTATCAATTCATATATACAATATTAATAAATCTTATTTCTTTATTTTTGGATAAAACTGAGTTTTAACATTCCCTTTTCTCCTCACCCCCCCACCACCACCTTATTCTGTTCAGCTTTCTTAAGCCCTGTAACCACCCCTTACACCACCCCCTTTGTCACAGTGGCCCATGAAGAGCCCATAGCACAATTTTCCTGCATGTGCAGAAGTAAAATAAGATGAGAACTGTGGGTTCATGACATAACTCTGTTATTTTCACCATCACATCTCAGAAATGGCTTACTGCCTCTATCAAGAAAATACAGATGTTCTCTAGAACCTATTTTTAAACAGCAAAAACATCTCAACTCCCCCCTCACTGATGACCAATATATTCAAATCTAAATTAAACATTAATGGGAAAATTTTAGTTTTAGGTAAACATATTAATATTTGGTATATGATGTGTGTGCAGATAAAGTGTTTCTATTTATGTAAGTGCATACAAATGTTTATCGACCTATCAACCTTACATATATGCTTCCCTTTAAAAAACAATAAAGCTATACAAATGAATACTAACGGTTGTTGACCCAAATACTTTTTAATGTAATCGAGGTGTTGAAAAATGCAAAGCTTTCTTTTAAGGGTGGTTCTCATCCTAGGCTAGTGCAACAACTCCCCGGAAGTCAACCAAAGACACTCTTTTTCCCCTGTGGTTTCTTTATGTAGAAATAATGAGAGTCCTAGCTACCCATCTCCTACCTCTGCTTTTCAACTAGATCATTTTATCTCCCGCTATTAGGCCCCACTGAAGAAAACTCAGGAGCAATGAGGATACTGACTATGTAGGACAAAGGCACTATGTTCCATGGTGGGGAGGGAATAGTGGTACATGGCCCAGTGGAAGAACAGGCTTTCTCTATTCAGAAAAAAAGAGATGATGCTTATGGTCTTACATGGAAGGGACATCATGTGAGATGTAAAGTCAATGGAAATCAAGAGGTTTCCACAGGGGCGGGAGAAGGGGAGATGCTGGCAATAAATAGACAAGAGGGCAGGGAGAGGAATGTGGCTAATTTCTTTTTCCTGCTTTTATAGTTTTGAAGGGTACAGCCAGCCAGATTTTCCAGCTTAGTCCATTTTCCTTCTAAATAAAAGGCAGCACTGCGGGATAAGCATGACCAGAGCATAGCCAGAGAGCATGGGATGCTTATAGTGATAATAAAAGAGGGGGTGACTGAGTTGTTTACACTGAGCAGACAAACTTCACTGGAATTGAATACAGGTGGGCCTCCTGCATTCGATGCACCTGTTGACTTTAATTTGCTTCATCTGTCTGCTGCTTGCCTCCATACCTCTACTTCCTAAGTGCCTTTACCCCGCCTGTGTTTGCAACAGTGGTGGGAAGAGGTGTCAGCCGTTCTAATTGTTCTGTTAATAAAAACAAAATGAAGGCCCCTCTCTGCAATAGACCCATGACTAACCAGGACGCCAGAGAGTGCAGCTGCCTCTTCAAGTCCACTCTCAGCAAGCAGCTACCTCTCCCAAATTCGCCTTTTCGGGCCTGCTCTCCATGTGACCAAGGAGAGTGGGCTAGAGAAGAAAATCAAGCCAGGGGATCTGAGTCAGTAAATCCCAACTCACCAAACTCTCGCTCCACAGGATGTGTGTTGGAGCCGGCTCACACAAGCTGGAGAGAGGGCCATTGTGCACATCTCTTCCCTGTTCCAATTGGTGACCCCACGTTGGTCATGTGGCATCTGTTGTGGTGGGAGTATTTAGAAGTCAGCAAATCTCACAAATCAGCATGCTCATTCTTCTCAGGTAGCCCCTTGTTAAACACCAGCACGTCATTGCTTTCAACTCTAATATTTAACTGATGCCTTCAAATGTCTAGCTGCTCTAATGGCTATTTCTGACAGCAGGATCCCAAATATTAGATAATGCAGAAAAGCATAAAGGATGTAAATCTCTACTATAAGTGTACTGCTTAGAGAGAAACACTGCTGATATTTGTGATGTATATCTTTCCAGACATAAATATGTGTGTGTTTCTAACCACATCTTCCTAGTGCAATTATTATTTTAATGTTTTTATTTATAAAACAAATAACAGATTTGTTCATGGACACAATTTTCAAACAATATATGTCTGAAGTAAAAAGTGAAAAACCCAACCCTCATTCCCTCTCACCCTCCCTCTAAACTCCTACTTCCTGGGAGTAGCTTCTGTCCATAGTTTGTGGCATATTCTTCTAGATCTTCAGATAGCTAGACTCCTTTTTTTTTTTTTTAACTAAAACTAGCATTATATATGCATACTGCCCCACAACTGCTTTCCCACAGAAGGATGATTGCAAGCTCCATGTTCCCGTACTTCATTAGGCTGACTCCCCTGCAGCTTCATGGTCAGAAAATAGCCAAAGCTGGGAGCTTTGGGCAAAACACACTTTTATTCTAATTGTTCTTTCCTTGATCTCTGTTGTGAACACCAGTATTAACTCAGTTCCATATATTCATCAGGCCCCAACATCCATCTGAGAAGCGCTCTCCTCTCCAGGCAAACCCGTCATTTTCTTTAGACGAGAATGAAACTGCCTTTGCAAAATTATGTCAGCAAGAGAAATCTGACATAGTTGACTCTGTCTTGCTTCTGAGCCCCAAGCTGTCCCTGGTCATTCCTGGGCATAGGCCATTCTTCCTAACTTCAGGAGGAATTTAGCTTATGGTTTAACTTTGAAACAAAAGTAATACTAGGCTGGATGTGGTGGCTCATGCTTGTAATCCCAGCAATTTGGGAGGTGGAGGTGGGCGGATCACTTGAGCCCAGGAGTTCAAGGCCAGCCTGGGTGATATGGCGAAACCCCGCCTCTATAAAAAATGCAAAAATTGGCCAGGCGTGGTTGCACTCGCCTATAGTCCCAGCTACTCAGGAGGCTGAGGTAGGAGGACAGATTGAGCCCAAGAGGTCAATATATGAATAATATATGAATATGCTGTTTATATTATGTATGAAATATATTACATGCAGAATATTATATATTAAACATTACACTCCTATGTCCCCATTAGGTATGGTCATTTTTGCCCAGAAGACTTCTAATATACATTTAATATTCAAAATAATGATAAAATTTATAACAGTTATATCATTGCTTTCATGAGAATTTAGTAATTGAACCTAAATGTACTCAGTACCAAATGGTAGCTCATGGGCATAGTTCTCAAACATAATGTTTCTATGGAACAGTACAATCTGCATTTTGACCATTCATTTTATTTTGGTCTCTAAGAACATATTCCAGCAAAAGGTAAGGAATACATATACAAAGTTAGCTTTAGATAGTAAAAGCCTTTTATAAAATGTTGAATCTCATGATGCCATATTGGGTGTATTGATGTTAGAATACAGTGAACTAGGGGCCAAGAAGGTGGATTCTAAAAGCAGGAGAGCCACAGACATTTCAGACCACGAAGACCAAATACAATAATAGCAAAGAAAATTTCCCAATACCTATAATGACTATTGCATATTTTAAATATAAATACAGAAGAGAGTTTTTCAAATAGCCATTAGAAGCAGTTGCTGTGAATTGCTTAGTCAAGATAATACAAAGTAAAAGACATTTGGTATTTCCTGATTTTTTATTTTGTAAGGGTGATTCTTTATGCCCAAACTCCCAGAAAGTATTTTAATAATTTAGAAATATATTTTAGAATAAAACTAGATACTATCTCATGCCAGTTAGAATGATGATCATTAAAAAGTCAGGCAACAACAGACGCTGGAGAGGATGTGGAGAAATAGGAATGCTTTTACACTGTTGGTGGGAGTGTAAATTAGTTCAACCATTGTGGAAGTCAGTGTGGTGATTCCTCAAGGATATAGAACTAGAAATACCATTTGACCCAGCAATCCCATTACTGGGTACATACTCAAAGGATTATAATTCATTCTACTATTAAGACACATACACACATATGTTTATTGCGGCACTCTTCACAATAGCAAAGACTTGGAACCAACCCAAATGCCTATCAGTGATAGACTGGATAAAGAAAATGTGGCACATATACACCATGGAATACTATGCAGCCATAAAAAAGGATGAGTTCATGTCCTTTGCAGAGACATGGATGAAGCTGGAAACCATTATTCTCAGCAAACTATCACAAGGACAGAAAACCAGACACCACATGTTCTCACTCATAAGAGGGAGCTGAACAATGAGAACACATGGACACAGGGTTGGGAACATCACACACCGGGGCCTGTCAGGGGGTGGGGGCTAGGGGTGGGATAGCATTAGGAGAAATAACTAATGTAGATGACGGGTTGATGGGTGCAGCAAACCACCATGGCACGTGTATACCTATGTAACAAACCTGCATGCACTGCACATGTATCCCAGAACTTAAAGTATAATAATAATAATAACAACTGAATTACTATAGATTATCAGGAAATAACTTATAAATGCAAAAATCAAACAAACATTTTTCAGTTGCCATACAACATGGTGGGCCCACTATTTGAATTATTACTAAAAGGAGAATCTACTGACCACAACTCAAGTTACGAAAAGCATGAAAGTTTCATGACTATGTACCATTAATTATTTAGAACTGGAGTTCTCATTTTTTAAATTTGTCATGTGATCTCCCACATAGCTGCTATAAAATGAATACTCATCTTTACTGAGCTTATAGACAATTGATTAAAGAGAACAAACAAGTAGGTGATACACTGACAAGTATTTTAAACTCTATGTATTTTTATTCTTTACTGCTAAAGTCACTGTCAGGTAAGTATGGGAGTGGAGCAACAATCTGATTCTAATAAAGGTGGCTTTAATTTAACTCACTGCTCTCTGCCTGAAGCAATCAGAGGCCCATGTAACCTTCTCAACCCAACCCCATATCCCTCCCCTCTCCTCCTTGTCGTCTTTGCTCCCCTATCCTCTCTCTCCTTTTTGTGATCTTTGCTCCCAGATGCCAGCTGATTTGTCACAGGAAGGCAAACAGCTCCTGATGTAGGAGGTGGGGTTGAGAGCTAGATTGGAGGGCAATGTTCTGTGTCAGCTGGAGTTGGCAGTCCTCTGCCCAGGCAGGGGAAGGTTTGTGATTGATCCCAATGGACCACCGCACCACAGGCCTCATCATCTCACTGAAGCTCTGATGGACACACAGTCTTTGGTTGCCCTCAGCCCTGCCAAGGCACAAAATAGCAAACAGGATTTAGGGCCAGGTATTATCTCCTAAGAAGATAGAGAAGATGGCTACCTACAGTCATGATGTTAGAGACAAAAGAAAAGCCCCTATAAATGCCAAGACTGGCCACTCTCCATGTTAATCTGCTTCCAGTCATTAGTCATGACATCCCCAAATAGCAGGGGTTTAAAAACACTTTAATAATAAATGCTGGCCTATGGTCAAAGGGATCAAAGTTCCTTACTTTATTTTTCTGGAAAACAAGAACATATTTTCTTCTGTGATCATAAACCAATCATCGTGGGAAGTATGATTCCTCAATAGTAAATGGTCAACTTGTCAAGAACTATAAAGAGTCTGAGATTATATTCTACTTGGCAAATTAACATATTAGCCTATTACTGTTGCATGAATGCTGACAGAAGGCACCAGACTTCTGGCTCAGAGACAAAGGACTTTATCACCCAGAGCACAGAAAGGAGCAGGAGCTACACGTTCATATTAGTTCCCCTTCCCCCGACACACCCACCAAATTCCACAAAGCAACTGCATGGATGCTCCACACACATGGACTTACATCACAGCTAAAGAAAACCCAAGTTTAAGGAACCTCAATCATTTATAATGGGCTGCAAGAAAACCTTCCCAAACTTTGCTCCCAAACAGACATTATCTTTATCATATTGGACAGTAAATAATCTGTCCTCTGCTCCATAGGAAGATGCCATCTTCCAAGGCAGTTCGTAATGCAAAGGTTCTTAAAAAGATAATCAATACAAAAGCAGTTTGTGCCTCTGTTCACAAAATGTGCAGAAATGTAAGGGACCCTTGAAGAATTGTCTCCCAACACAACTCCATCAAGCTGCTATGGTTTGTATGTTGTCCCCTTCAAAACTCATATTGAAAATTCATTGCCATTGCAACACTATTAAGATGTGAGGCCTTTAAGAAGTGATTAGGCCATGAGGGTTCCATCCTCATGAATAGATTAACACCATTATCACAAGAGTAGGTTACAGTTATTGCAAGAGTTCAGCCCCCTTTGCACACTCACTTGCTCTTCCGCCTTCCACCAGGGGATGATGCAGCATGAAGACCCTCACTAGATGCCAGTGCCATGCTCTTGACTTCTCAATCTCCAGAACTATGAGCCAAATAAATTTATTTTCTTTATAAATTACCCAGCAGAAAACAGACTAAGACACAAGCCCTCAGCAAGACCAAAATCTATAT
Organism: Homo sapiens; assembly: GCF_000001405.40. Classification (NCBI taxonomy): domain Eukaryota; kingdom Metazoa; phylum Chordata; class Mammalia; order Primates; family Hominidae; genus Homo; species Homo sapiens. The sequence continues at coordinate 106,765,366 of NC_000007.14, forward strand.
TCTCACCATTGGTATCACTATCTCACATTGAATGGTATAAAGAAAGGCAATGTGGGCCGGGTGTGGTAGCTCACACCTTTAATCCCAGCATTTTGGGAGGCTGAGGTGGGAGGATTACTTGAGCACCGGAGTTCAAGATCAGCTTGAGTAACATAGGGAGACCTTATCCCTACCAAAAAAAATGAAAAAAAAAAATTGCTGGTCATGGTAGTGTGCCTATGGTCCTAGTTACTCAGGAGGCTGAGGTGGGAGGATCACTTGAGCCTGAGAGATCAAGTCTGCACTGAGCTATGATTGCACCACTGCACTCCAGTCTGGGTGACAGAGGAAGACCCTATCTTTAAAAAAAAAAAAAAAAAAAGTAAAGCTTCTGCATAATTGTTCCTCTTTGCAGTAGGTGTTATTGGGGTCCTACTCAGGTCCTGTTTATCTGGTAAATGCCTGCATTCCCCAGCTGTGTGAATGTTGGCTGTTGGCAACTCACAGCTGTACCCCTAACCTAAGAATAGCCTTCAGCAGAGCTGTCTTGCCTAGAAATGCCTGTAAGGCGTATGCCTCCCTACCCAACACACACACCCTCCATAGGCAGCACACAGGCAATGACTGACTGATGAAGAAGCACAAAAGACCCAAGGAAGGACAATTCTGTGATACCATTCATGCCCCAGAACTCCCGCAGGATCAGGTTGGGGTCAGACTTTAGCGTACACGCATCTTTGCCCAGCTTCCTCCCCTCCCGTCCCCTGCTCAGCTTACTCCTCTACTGGCTTCTCCTGAACCCACTCCCTTAATGAGTCACTCCATTTCAGGCTCTCCTACTAGAGAACCTGACCTAAGGCACTTGCCTTGAACATTTCCAGAAATAGAGCTGTCTGCCTCACAAGGCATGCCATTCTGTTTTTGGACAGCTCTGATCATTAGAAAAGTTTTATTATTTTATTAGGATCACACTGCCTCTGTAATCTCCACACATGAGTCTATGTAGAGTAAGTCTAATCCCTTTTCCACATGACGGCCTCTCAGATATTGGGGCAGGGGGGATTCCTTCTTAAATCTACTTTATTTTTAGGCTATGAGAAAAAAGGGGGAGCTTTTTTAAAAAGTTTTTTAAAAACTATACAATAATATTCTAACTCAGAGTAATGTCTGCCTGACAACAAAATTGCATGAAGCAAATAATGAAAAGTCAGCCAGAAGAAAATCTGAAGAAGCTTATTTCAAATCCACTGGGTGCCAGGGGCAGAGAGAGGGGGTGGGGCAAAAAGACGTACCCAGCACAAGAGTGAAGAAGAGATCAAATCTCAGGAAAAGATAAATCAGACATAAACTACTCAAAACCAGACACAATGAAAGACTGCAAGGATCCCACAGAAGAGAAACCTTATAATTCTCCAGAGATGATGTCATAGAAGTAGACCTAAAAAAACTCTAGGACTCAAATGTGTATATGTCACATGCACACCGTATCCATACTTTGAAGATTTTTAGATAAGGATTGGTAAACACTGTCTCAGGATCATTGAGACTTACTGATGAGATGCATACCTGGAATACAACATTAAAAGAGCATGCATACCTTGTTCAAAAGGAAAACGTTTCCTCGAAAGGATAGGATAGGAAAATTGTATGTCAAGAATATATATATTCCAATGGAAATTTAAAATCTGAGAGTAGAAGTATTTAAAAGGGGATAAACCCGGAAAGAGATGGAAGTAGTATCTTTGAAGGACTGTAATACAGATACCCAGCACATGAAGGAAATTGGGTAAAACAATCCTAGATAGCTCTCATGAGCAGGGCAAAGTCAGAGATAACCAGGTCCATGCATGTTTGTGTCTCCACAATGTCAGATTTTTACTGATGCTATTTTAACCACAAAAGCCACAAGCTACATGGAGTTCTCAAGAAGGCAACTCTCTCCTTAGTACTTCTCGTTCACTCCGTAGTCAGAGCACACAGCTCAAGCCACTCCACAAGTCAGTCAACATTGCAAACCATATATAGTAGTATATTTCATCAACATATAAATGTTAAGATTAAACATTCCACACCAAAGTAATATTTAACATCAAGAGAAAGGGAATAGGAAAAAGGATTAATGAAGTAGTCCGAGGAAAGTGACGATGAAGACAGAAAGAATCTCCTGGTCTGTGCTCGGCGGTCCAGGAAAGGTCTTGAAAGGAAAAGTCTTTGATGTGGGCAGAGCCTTCAGCAGCAGATGCCAGGTGTTGATCACTAGTGACAGTAAGAGCATGTCAGTTAAGATGGCCGCTTTGAGCTGCTGAAGCCCTGCTCTTTTTACGACCACCAGAGGACTGATAGTGGAAGTGTGTGCTTGTTTATGCCCTTATCTGGTTGGATGCAGTCTTTATTTATTACAAATTTATTAAGCAAACATCGTATCCCTGTTGGCAAAATGTCCCGTGAAATGTAAGATGGAGTCTTTTTTTTAAGATGGAGTTACTTATGTCAAGGGTGCTCAATACAATAGCCTTTGTTGGGGCTTTATAACTTAAAATGTGCTTTCTCACATTTTCTTCAATCTCAGAGAAGACTTATCAGATGAATAATACATTATCATTATTTTATGGAAGTTATAAGTGATTAATTGACCATGCCCTGTTAAATTAAGTTTAGCCTAAAGCTGCCTCCTTACATATTTTTAAGTTGAGGCTAAAGGTTTCTCTGCACATAGTGAACTGTAACCTAACTGGATGTATCAACAGACTGTAACTTGCTCTTGTACCCATCACTGAGCTTCAGCCAATTGCAGATGGCCAACTGTTTAAACCACGTTCAAATAAGACAAACATCAAGCTGTAACAATCCAGCTGTTCCTATTCCTCACTTCTGTTTCACTTTCATTTTTCTGTTCATAAATCCTTTTCACGTGAGTCTGTCTGAATCTATTCTGGTTTGGGGATTGCCCAGTTCATGAAACATTCTTTGCTCAATTAAACTCTGTTAAATTTAGTTTGTCCAAAATTTTTCTTTTAGCAGCTGCAGATCGCCCAACTCATCGGTGGTAGGTCTAAGACTCGAGCATGGGTCTTTAAGCCTAAAGTCTATATTCTTGCCACATAGCCATGCTATCTTCTGATACATGTAGCAAAACTGCTACAGAATTGGCCACCTGGAACCAGTTAGTGGTATCCTGCTATTAACCACATGTATTGGTTACCTGATGCTGCCATAACAAATCACCACAAACTAGGTGGCTTAAAACAACAAAAAATTATTATCTCAGTGTTGGCAGCTAGTAGTCTGCAACTAAGGTGCTGGCAGGTTGATGTTTTCCTCTGACGCCTCTAGGGAACCTTCCTTGCCTCTTCCTAGCCTCTAGCAGTTGCTTGCCACCCTTGGTGCTCCCTGGCTTCTAGATGCATCACTGCAGTCTCCACCTACGATCTTCTCCCTGTCTGTGTCCCTGTGTCCCAATGCTCCTCTTTTTATAAGGATCCAGTTATATTGAATTTAGGGCCCATTCTAATCCAGTATGACCTCGTCTTAACTTGATTACATCTGCAAAGACTGTATTTTCAAATAAGGTCATATTCACAGGCTCCAGGTGAACATAAGCTGGGGAAAGGCACACATTCAACCCAGCGCACAGCAGACGGAGAGTTTGTTCTTGGTTTGGGTTACTGACAATTTTCCCTCAGCAGGTAAAGGAATACATTTAGGAAATTTTTGTCCTGGATTCCAACAAGAAAGAAGGAGGTGTCAAATGCAGAAACAAGCAAACCTTGGAATAAAATGGCCTTGATGTTTATAATAGTGAAAAAGGTAATGGTCAGACCTTCAGAAAGGGGGCTTCATAAAAAGTAAGGAAAATAATAGTGCCCAAGGGAATATGTTTAGAAGAGGAATGTAGACTCTGAAAACAGGATTACTTGAGCATTACAAAAATGATCCTGTTTAGGAGGAAAGATATGCTGTCTGGAAAGAAAATATAATAGAAATAATCTCAGATAATTGACCATAAACAAGCTTGTGCTGAAAACATAAACAGCAAGAATAGAATAATAGTCTAGGAGCACACAGTTCTCAGAGAGGAGGTAAAAGGAGGGTTAGATCTGGAGTAGTAAGACTCGAGGTTCCTATGGCTCAGAGGACGGATGGGGTGGACAGACCCAAGCATGCGATAAAAGAAAGGGAAAATTTGTTTAGAGTATTATGAGAATAAAGTCTTAAAATAAAGTAGGGGCGGAGATAAATACTAAAGACAGCAAGAAAGCTGTTTTTCTTTTTAATCTCCGTAGCCAAGAAAAGATCTGGGAAGAAAAACCTATGCTGTATCTCAGACAATATCACCTTAGGCCAAGCATGGTGGCTGACACCTGTAATCCTAATGCTTTGGGAGGCCAAGGCAGGAGGATCACTTGAGCCCAGGAGGACCTCTTGCCCACCAGCCTGGGCAACAAAGTGAGACTCCATCTCTACAAAACTTTGTAAAAAATTAGCCAGGTGTGGTAGCACACGCCTGTGTTCCCAGCTACTCGGGGCTGAGGTGGGAGGATCACTTGAGCCCAGAAAGTAAACCCTCACTAGCCATGTTCACTCCACTGCACTCCAGCCTGGGCCACAGAGCAAGACCTTGTCTCAAAAAAAAAAAAAAAAATTACAATATAACCTTAACAAATGATAACATAATCAAAGAACCATTCAATTTTCTGCTTCCTTCCATATTCTAAGAGAGATGAACATCAATTTTGAAGCAAACATTATGAAGAGAGAATTAAAACCTACAATAGAAAAAGAGATAGTAAGAGAAATCTTCACTTACTCTGAATGACTTCAAAACTTCTGTTAATACAAATTCTATCCCAAAGTATCAAAAGAGTTTGCAGATGAGATCAGAGAACTGCTCCTGAGAATCAAGGAGAATGGAAAAGGTGACTAATGGCTGGAAAATGTTTCTACTTCTAAAAATAGTGAAAGAATGAGATCTGTATGTAAACTGATGAGCCTCATGCAGACGCCAAACAAAATTCTAAAATGGATGATTTGTAGGCAAGATACAGTAAACAAATACTAACCAGTGTGAATTCACTAAGAACAAGTCATGCCAACCAGTCTCACTTCTTTTCTTAGATTTGGTTGCCTGTGTGTCAGGAGGAAGGCATGCACATGGTATGCCTTGGTTTTAGCATAGCATTTGCCAAATATCGTGATGCACACCTTTTGTTGTTAAGATGGAGGAATGAGGGCCCAGGTAACAGCAAGATGACTGGTGGTTTGCTGCATAGTTAGGCATTCAATGTCACCCAAAGAATATTGGCCAAAGACTTGACTTCCACCTTAAAAGGCAAACTCCAAGAATTTATGATTTGCTCATTTCTGTTCAATATTTTTGTCAAAAACATGAAAACCACAGAATGCATGTTTATGAATATTTCAATTTAAAAATTAGGGAGACAGAGCTAATACACGAGGAGACAATTCAAAACTATTTCTTCATATAGAAATCAGGCCCAAAACAAAGAAAATACAAATTATTTGGGATAAACATAAGGCCAAAAAAAAAGAGAGAGACAGAGAGACTAATAATACCAATAGCTTACATTTATTGAACAGTTACTATGCATTATATAGTCACATGCCATATATACATATGTTTTGAGACTGGATCTTGCTCTGTTGCCCAGGCTGGAGTGCAATGGCACAATCTTAGCTCACTGCAACCTCCCCGTCCCAGGCTCAAGCAGTCCTCCCACCTCAGCCTCCCGATAGCTAAGACTACAGGCACGTCACCATGTTTGGCTAATTTATATATATTTCATAAAGATGGGGCTTCATCATGTTGCCCAGGCATTATATTTTTTAACCTCATAACCACCACATTATCATTAGAATTATTGCTTTTAAAATTTATCAGCGAGGAAGCTAAGCCTGAGGGGCTAAGTAATTTCTGCAATTTATAGTTAGTAAGTGGCCAAGACTTAAATCCAGGTGTGCCTAAATTCAGGGCTTATGGTTTTAGCAACTTTACTAGTCTCATCAATGCAGGAATGGAGGTTACTTGGCATTAACTTATTTTGAGTTTTAATTGAAAACACCCAGATAAAAGTGTTAATATTGCACAGTAGCCACTTAATAATGCTATCTTCTTTCTTACTACAACATTGAAAATTTAGGAGAAACTTGATAGTTGAATTCAAATAATTTAAGAATTGATAAAATCTATGTAACTCAAAACAAAAAAAACTAAGATTACAGTTAAAAATTACACTGTGATATATATATATCATATATATATGATGGAATATAGGCAATGACTTATTTATGTTAAAAGATGGAAGAAACATAGATCAGTGTAGTTAAAGCCCAGTGTAGTTCAACCATATATATATGATATATATATGATGGAATATATATATATATATATCATATATACATAATGGAATTATATACATGATATATATCACATATATATGATGGAATATATATATATATATATATATATATATATATATATATATATATATATATCTCGCAGTTTCTTTATCCACTAATTGATTGATTGGCATTTGGGTTGGTTCCATGATACATATATCATATATACATGACGGAATATATATATCATATAATATATATAATATATATATCATATGATATATATATACATATATTATATATATCATATGATATATATAATACATATATTATATATATATCATATGATATATATAATACATATATTATATATATATCATATAATATATATAATACATATATTATATATATATCATATAATATATATAATACATATATTATATATATCATATAATATATATAATACATATATTATATATATATCATATAATATATATAATATATATATTATATATATATGATGGAACACTACTCAGCCATAAAAAGGAATGAATTAATGACATTCACAGCGACCTGGATGAGATTGGAAACTATTATTCTAAGTGAATTAACTCACGAATGGAAAACCAAACATGGTATGTTCTCACTTATATGCGGGAGCTAAGCTATGAGGACACAAAGACATAAGAATGATACAATGGACTTTTGGGACTTGGAGGGAAGGGTGGGAGCCTGGTGAGGGATAAAAGACTACAAATAGGGTGCAGTATATAGTGCTCAGGTGATGGGCACACCAAAATCTCACAAATCACCACTGAAGAACTTAACTCATGTAACCAAATACCACCTGTACCCCAATAACCTATAGAAAAATAAAATAAAAATGAATGACAAAAAAATTACACTGAGATAAATTTTTGTTCAATAACATGAACATTTTTCTATATTGTGGCTTTCCAACCACGGAATAAACTACCTTGCACAGGAATAAGTTCTGTATCAGCATTTCTATGAGTGGGTAGTTGAACTGAGAGGAGAAATCTCTAGGTGATTTCTCAGTCTTCTAAATCTAAGGTTCAATAAAGAAAACAGTTTAAAGGTTAAGTGGTGCAAAAAGGAATTCCTGAGAATCACTGACTCATAACTGCAAGGAAACTTGTAGTCATCAGCAACATAAGTTAAACAAGTTGTGGTCTAAAGCCTAAGTCTCCTATTTTAATTCTTTTAGGAAGGTAAGAAACCCTCGGAACACTCCACTTATTCTATTTTATTTATCCTCAGAGTGTTTATTGAAGGTACAGCAGTCATCAACATCCCCGTTTTGTTGACTGGAAAATGAAGCAATTCCACAGCCAATGAATGGCAGGGCAAGATGGGAGGTCAGTTCCTGTAGACATCTGGTAATCTTTCCATGACATTACTGTTTTCATCTCAATAGATGATCCCAAGGCTTTTTTTAAAATTAAATATATTTTTAAAGTAATTTTAATTCTCTCATTCATATATATATACACATATATGTAATTTACCACTTGTGAAACACTTAATCACATGATTTTGATCTACATCCATATGGTTCTATGCAAATTCCTTACCAGCTAGTAATTAAGAACCCTGGTTAAATGTAACACTTGTAAAAGCAGTCCTGGAATTTTGGTGCTGGCCTGGCATGGTATAATAAAGGTGCTCATTCCTGGAATGCAGGGTCAAATTCCAGCCTGGCTCTGCCACTGACAAGTCATGGGACCTTGGGCAAGTCAAGCAACCACTGTGCACCTCAATTTCTTGGTTTCTAACATTTGTGAAGGGCTTGAACTACACTGATCTATGTTTCTTCCATCTTTTAACATAAGTAAGTCATTGCCTATTGAGAACTCATGCCTATCAGTTTACTTGTGATGGTCATTTCGTCTTTCACAGCTCAAGGCATGATTTAGTTTATAATTCTATTGATTTTTAATGTTTTTCAGCCAGGTCATATCAGAAGGAACTTTGCATGCATATTTAGCCTGATTTTAGCAATATTTTTAATCTAATAAACTTAACCAAGCAGTCTTGTTGTTGTTGTTGTCGTCAAAATTTGGGGTAAAATTTCAAAAACAGGAATATAACTTTTTAACTTTTCAACTGTACTCATGCATTTTGGTTTAGCAGTATGCTTTTTTCCCCCATGAATTCAGCAATCTTAAAATATGCTATCGCACAAGATACTCATGGGGGATTTAACACCAAATTTTGTTTTGGAACCTATAGTCACTCACTGTTCCAATCTGAAAAATACATAGATGTATCTCAAGTGTATATATTGGTTACCAGCTGGTAGTTTCTCAAATATCTCCATTTCTTTCAGCTGCTTCACACTCACTACCAAGCAAAAAGGTAGGCTTCCTATGAGCAATGATATGAAATAATGTCATAGGTAAATCAAAATAATCTAGATGAAAATAAAATCAGAGTCACAATCCAATTAGTATTTAATATCTCTGTAATTGAGTGTATGCTAATAATCTTTGAACATTTAGTTTCTTAAAACAGAAAAACCAAATACAGGTACATTCATCTCATTCATTACATTTAATTTTCTACTAACAAGAATGTTCAAGTTTTACAGGGCGAGTATCCCTTATCTGAAATGCTTGGGATGAGAAGTGTTTCCAATTTTGATTTTTTCCCAGTTTTGGAATATTTGCATTATACTTACTGGTTGAGCATCCCTAATTCAAAAATCCAAAATCTGAAATGCTCCAATGAGCATTTCCTTTGAGTACCATGTTGGCACTCAAAAATTTCAAATTTTGGAGCATTTCAGGTTTCAGATTTTTTGATTAAGGATACTCAACTTGTACTATCAAACTGGGAGCTCAAACTAGGACATCATTCCAAAGAAACCTTCCAGAATGTCATGACGTCGTAATTAAATGTTTTTGTTACAGAAAGGGGTCTCAGTTCAGAACCCAAGAGAGGGTTCTTGGACCTCACGCAAGAAAGAATTCAAGGCAAGTCCATACAGTAAAGTGAAAGCAAGTTTATCAGGAAAGTAAAGGAATAAAGAATGGCTACTCCATAGGCAGAATAGCGGCATGGGCTGCTCGACTGATGATACTTTTTGTTACTTCCTGATTATATGCTAAACAAGGGGTTGATGATTCATGAGTCTCCAGGAAAGGGGTGGGCAATTCTCGGAACTGAGGGTTCCCGCCTCTGCCCCTGCCGACTTCTTAGACCATATAGGGTAACTTCCTGATGTTGCCATGGCATTTGTAAACTGTATGGCACTGGCGGGAGTGTCTTTAGCATGTTAGCGCATTATATAATTAGTGTATAATGAGCAGTGAGACGACTGGAGGTCACTTTCATCGCCATCTTGGTTTTGGTGGGTTTTGGACAGCTTCTTTACGCATGCTGTTTTATCAGCAAGGTCTTTGTGACCTGTATCTTGTGCCGACCTCCTATCTCATCCTGTGACTAGGAATGCCTTAACCTCCTGGAATGCAGCTCAGTAAGTCTCAGCCTTATTTTACCCACCCCCTATTCAAGATGGAATTGCTCTGGTTCAAAAGCCTCTGACAGGTAGAAATTCAGATGTTAGAATATTTTACCTCCTTAAAATAATTTAAAGGACCAATTACTGTATAGCTTATTTATTTGGATATTTTATATGATGTTTTCTAAACATATAGTATTTGTCAGTGTTTCCAGTGACAAGGTTTTTTGTGAAGGGATTTAGACCAGTGGGGAGCCCAAGGATATTTATTTTGCTGTCGTTCTTGAGTCACTATAAATATTTCAGTTAAGAGTAGTCATAGGAGAGCAAGCAATTGGAGCTATCTGGATTTGAAAGTACTTCAGCTTTCTTCAGCATCCATGCTATCAGTAGCTGCCTAACCTTGCCTTCTGATATTATGCAAGAATTGGACGCTTCTAGCTAACAAACCTTCACTCATGCTGGCTTTTCCCATCCTTTGATCCCTTACCTTGATGCTGCTTTATGATGCCAAAACACCTCAAAGCTTGAACTTGGATAGCATCAAAACATAAAGACAGTACTGAATCAGCTCATGAATCCTCAAAATCAAAAGTCCTTCTCCCCTGTCCGCATGTCCAGCATTTGTGACTTAGTGAATCATAGGGTGGGGAAGTGACTCACAGTCAGCCCAACAGCACTCTTTTTTTCATTAGTTGTTTCTGAAGAATTGTAAAGTTCTGAATTCAAAGCGTGCTTATAAGTTATCGAGATGGACTTTTTCTCCCCTGCAGCATGCCAGAAACTATACAATCCACCCCCTCTGAAGGAGTTTGTTCATTTAAAAAAAAAAAAAGGGTAAGCATGTTTTTAAAATTTAGTTGCAGCAGACAGTACAGAAAACAGTTATTATGGCCACAGCACATGTTGCCTGGGTCTGCTGCTTTTTCTTCTTTCCTATTTTCTCTCATCCCTTTGTTCCACTAAATCCTCCTGCTCCTACCCCCTTTTACCACCACCCCCTCCTCTTCCTCCCTCCTCCACCCTGGATCCCTAGAGAGGGTTGACCTGGGGGCTAGGTAATAATCCCAGAAAGGGCTTGGGATTCCAAATTGCCAGAGATCAAGAAGGCCATCCAGGGAAAACCTGGAAGGACACAGAGTGGTCAGTGTAAATGCATCCACGTGCTCCAAGTGGGCAAAGTAATTGGTTAAAATGTGTAAATGTAAATGCTAAAAATCGAATCTCTATAGAGTGGCCAATGCTATAAAAGGATTACCTTATTCTAAACAATTTTTTCATTCTGTATTTTTCCTGCCAATCTATATATTGTTCATTATTTCACCTTCTCCTTGTTGTTTTCCTGAGCTTTGGGCAAACCTCATCACTTAATGCATGCAATAAATGGGAGTAAGTTCAATTTTTCATCGAGGATAACCATGATAAAAAAAAGAAAGAAGAAATTCACTAATACTACAAACTGTGTTAACCTTGACATGAGAACTTTCAGAGGAGTAGTGGAGGCAAAAGCTTGATTGGAAGGGACTGAAGGGAATGGGAGGAGAAGAATTGAAGGCAGTAAGTATAGACAACCCCAGAAGAATCATTCAGTGAAGAGCAGCAGAGATAGTAGAGCTGGAGGGAGAGTTACAGGTGGATGTGGGGTCAAGAAAGTTTTTAATATAATTAATGTGAGAGAAATAAGAGCATCTTTATATGGTGATAGTAATGATGAGGCCAAGAGGGGAAAAACTGATGACATAGGGGAGGGAGTGTATTAGTCCATTCTCATACTGCTATGAAGAAATACCTGAGACTGGGTAATTTATAAAGAAAAAGAGGCTTAATGGACTCACAGTTCCACATGGCTGGGGAGGCCTCACAATTATGGCAGAAGACAAAGGAGGAACAAATGCACATCTTACATGGCGGCAGGCAAGAGAGCGTGTGCAGGGGAAGTGCCCTATATAAAACCGTCAGATCTTGTGAGACTTGTTCACTATCACAAGAACAGCACAGGAAAAACCTGTCTTCAAGATGCAATTACCTCCCACCAGATCCGTCCCACAACACATGGGGATTATGGTAGCTACAATTCAAGATGAGATTTGGGTGGGGACAGGGCCAAACCATATCAGGGAGTATGTTTGCCTTTGCCAAGCAGCATTAAGGGTTTATGTTCATGAATTTAAGATGGGAGTGGAAGGACTGCTGGAGATGGAGCATGTTAGGGGTTAAATTGTATGCCCCCCTCAAAAAAAAATTTAAGTGTTGAAGTCCTAACCTCTGGTACCTCAGAATGTTACCTTACTTATCCTGACTAGTTAAGATGAGGGGGTGTCCTAATCCAGTGTGACTGGTGTCCTTATAAAAATAGGAAATTTGGGTGCAGACAGGCACACAGGGAGAACACCATGTCAACACGAAGGCAGAAGTTGGAGTGATGAGTCTACAAGCCAAGGATTGCCAGCAATTCATCAGAGGCCAGGACAGCAGCCTGGGGCAGCCCCCTACATGGTACCAACTCCATCAACACCTTGATCTCAGACTTCCAACCTCCAGAACTGTGTGAGAATTCATTTCTATTCTTTAAGCCACCTAATTTGTGGCACTTTGCTTTGACAGTTCTAGCACACAGGGTGATTGAGGAAGCGTGCTAGGAAGAGAGGAAGCAGGGGTCCTAGAGTGGGCGGCATGCCTTGCAGCCGTGGAGGCCACACAGCTGTGGGAAATGACAGGGTCTGCAATCACGGTGATGAAAGGGGAAGGACCAGATTGTGAGAGGAAAGGTCAGTAGGGAACTGAGAGACCAGGATAATGGAGGGACAATCCATGTGTAAGTTGAACTTGCCCAGAGTTAAGACAGGAAGAGGAATGCAATGGTGAGGCAGGAACACTGAGGAACCAGGGGGAATGACTTCAGGATGACAGATGTCACAAAATGAGAAGTCAGGTGACATAACCTGATGACCTGAGATTCAATGCAGGACACTTTTAGGAAAGAGAAAGAGGTAATGATGCAGAAGTGGCAATGAGGAGTGTAAAAGAAACGCACCCCACCTCCAGGCCCCATGGCACAACTGGAGGGAGCAAACCACAGCCACCACGGGACAAGGAGAATAACGACAGAATCAGAAGGCAGTGTTCCCAGAGGACAGCCATGTTTTCATCAGAGTGAGATGGTGCTGGAAGAGTCAGAGCCAAGGTTGACACTATTGGGTTTTGCTAATAATGGACTGTGAGTTCCAGCAGGGCCCAAAAGGGGCTTCAGGATTGGGCAAGGGTAGATGTCCTCCTCTAGTCCATGACCAATGCTGATCCACACTGGACTAATTACTTCCCTGATTCCAAGCTAGTAGATGGGTAGCAGTAAATGTTCCATCTCCAGCTGTACTCACCTTGTTGACTTTATTTTCTAACTGTAGCTAATTCTGTCCCAGGACCTGGCTATTACACAGGCTGAAGCAGCAGTTAGCTCCTCTTTTCTTTGGGACCCACAGAAATCACAGCAGCTGTGTTGTTGTGGGGTTTCTTGGCGTTTGTTTTGGTTTGGTTTGTTTTTTTTGCCAGTAATTTTTTTCCCAGAAAGGCATTCTTTCTCTTCACTGCAGTGGAAGTGAGAGAGGGAGAGAGGGTGCAGAGAGGGAGAGGGCAAGTAATCAGATTCCAAGATGACCATCTCCCCAGAAGGCTTTCACTATTCCTCAACATATGGCATCATTTTAGCATCCTCAGCTCTGTTAGTTTGAGGGTAACCTCAGCAAACATGCCCCTCTCATGAGCAAGGTATGTGGTTTGACAAGCAGACTGTGACTTTTGTGATTAGAAAAAAGCATCCTTCCTCCTGGTGAATGCAGGCCATGTCAGGGCGCTCAGCTTGACAAGGAGACAGTAGGCTGGATTTTAGATCCTATTCATTTCTTGGGCTAAGTATTCTTACACAGTCAACAACCTGGACAACTGTACATAGCAGATCTAATGGGAGAAAAGTAATTGGGTGTTTTAAGGAATATTTTCATTAAAGTATGTGGAATATGGTATCAAGTAGTGACTGTCATGTAACAATGCCTTTTACACATTCCAATGTGTGTGAAATACAAAAAAAAAGTTTCCGTGTTAATCCCCTTATAAAATAATTGAAGAAGTCTTTTTTATGTGCAATTGTTTCTGAAAATATGTTAAAGTTACCCAGAAAAGTGTTCACATTTTCAGACTATTATCTCATTCTAGGAAAAATTAGGACAACTTGACTCATGCTGGGGAGGCTAGAATCCTGGAGAGAATGAAATTAGAAAAACCTAGATTTTGGGTCCCCCAAGATAGCTCAAGTCTGTCAGTTCTGCAAAACAGAATTATGCCCCATTCCCATTCTCTCACTCCTTACCTGAGATGCAGACAGGGCTTAGAAAGGACACGCCAAGATTTGCTGCCTTGCCACACAAGCTGGGTTTTCCCTCCCTGGGCCCTGCCAGCCTGGAGGTCATATTTCCTTTACCTTTTGTCCATTTTTCCCTCCCTGGGGCCTGGCTTGAAGGACAATTCTTGTTTAGAAGAAATCAAGTCTAAGATGTTACTAATCTGGAAATGTTGATCTGGTCTGCCTCTAACATTTGTGGGGCCCAAAGCAAGAGTACAGACTAAGGTCCCCAAACCATGTGTCTAGTTATTTAGAAGTTATAAATCAAAGCTAACAAACTGCTGAATAAAAGATCCTATTCTCCTATCTGATAAATATACCCTCCAAACAACCCAGAAACCCAAGGTAGGAATGCGGTGGCACAGGGAGTGCTAACTCCTGGCTCACAGCCCATGCTCCCTCTTTTCCCACAGCCAGCCCTCCATGAATGAGGAACTTCCTGGGGCCACTAGTGCATGCTGCAGCTCACACAGTCAACTCCATCCACACCTCCACAAACAGCTGCCCTTTGGCCACTACTCAGGCGTAAGGACACACCCAGCAGGGTATGCCCTCTGGAGGTCAGACCAGGGAAGAAGCCCTTGCACAGTCAGGAGCCAGCTCAGCACCTGTGATGCTGAATTCTATGTGGCAACTTGACTGGACGCAGGTGCTCGGATTAAACCTGATTTCTGGGTATGTCTGTGAGGGTATTTCCAGAGGAGATTAGAATTTGAATCCGTGGATTGGCAAAGTTGGTGTCTGCCCCAGTGTGGGTGGTCACCATCTACTCTCCTGAGGGCCTGAAGAGAACAAAAGGCAAAGGAAGGAGGAATTCGCCCTTAACTTGCTTGCCGCCTGCCTGCTTGAGCAGAGACATTTCATCACATCTTCTCTGGCCCTCGACTGAGATTCACACCATTGGCTTCCCTGGTTCTCAGGCATTTTGACTTGGACTGAACTACACCATTGGCTTTCCTGGGCTCCAGCTTGCACATAGCAGATTGTGGGATTTCTCAGCCTCTATTATTACAGGCGCCAGTTCTTCAAAATCAACCTCTCTCTCTCTGTCTCTCTCTCTCTCCCTAGATCACAGTCTGGAAGTCTGCTCACAGTCTCAAGGTTGGCATATCCCCTAGAGCCCCCAGACTCCTCATCCCATGGAGACCAACATGGCCAGGGGAGGGCCAGAGCAGGGCCTTCTAAATCACAGACCCCAGGGCAGGAGCCCCTCCGGTCTGGATCTAAGGATGGTATTTTCAACAATTCCTAAATTTTTATCCTAGGCTCTCCAAATGGGAGTCTAAAGGTCTCAAAACATGGTCCAGAAGAAGTATGCAAAAATGTAAATTCCTAGGCCCCAACCCAGACCTATGAATCAGATGATCTGTATGGGGGTTCAAGGAATCTATATTATTAAACAATCTTCCTAAATGACTTGTATTCATACTAAAGCTTGAGAATTGCTATCAAACAGCTAGAAGTTGGAGTGAAGGGTCCTGCCTTTCCCATGAAATTCATCAACTCTATGCCCTCAAAAGCTGGGCTCTTGGATGAGCTGCTCTCCATTCTAGAGACATTACCAGCTAGGTAGCCTGCTGGTCCTCAGGAAGTTAAGCCCAGACTCTTCAGCACAGAATCAGATAAACACTGATTACATTGTACTCTACAGTTCTGAGAACACCATTACTTAATTCCCGGCAAGTTGCAATGTAATTGAGTAGGTTGTAGTTTTTTGGGTTTGGGGTTTTTTTGTTTTTTAAATATATCAGGCGTAGTTAGCCAGCTTCCTAGAAACACCATGATCTCTTGGTGAAAATTCCAGAAATATGCATCACTTCCTAATTAAAGTAGGGAATTTTTAAAAATTATTAAACCACATGCTTTCTAATTCCTATTGCCCTTTCTTTTCACCCACCATTCAGCAGTCAGCAGACACTTTCTGGGTACAACAGGGTAGGACCATCCAGGCAGAACAAAAGCCATTGATCATGAACTACAGAGGAGAGTTTGGTAAATGGACACCAGAAACCATGGCCTACAGGGGCCTGGTTTTCTCCCATCTAAATACTAACTAGGCCCAACGCTAGTTGGGCTTAGCTTCCTAGATCAGATGAAATTGGGCACATTTAGGGTTGGGGGTATGGCTCTCTATTGTAAGTAGCAAGAGTTTGAGAGAAGAAAAAAGGGATTTTCTTTTTTTTTTCTTTTAAATTTTAGAGCATTAACTTTAAACATCAAGATCCAAACCCCAAGGATTCAGAGAATCTTGTACTATAAACCATTTGTATTAGTCAGGGTTCTCCAGAGAAACAGAACCCATAGGAGGTATAGAGATAGAGAAATATGGAATTGGCTCCCATGATTATGGAGGCTGAGAAGTCCCTCAATCTGCTGTCTGTGAGCTGGAGACCTAGGAAAGCTTAGCTGGTGGTACAAACCAGCCCAAGTGCAAAGGCCCAAGAACTAAGAGCACCATTGTCAGAGAGCAGGAAAAGACAGATGTCCCAGCTCAAAAAGAGAGAGCAAATTCACCTTCCTTCCACCATTTTATTCCGTCCTGTTCCATTCCTCAACAGGTTGGATGATGAGGGAGATCTTTATCCATCTCAAGTTTTTTGTGCAAATATGGAATACAAATGAAAAATACTTAAAGCACATCATCATTGATTTCCAACTTAGACTAGTTTAACTTCCCTTTTTCTTCTATCCTGTCAGTTCCTTGAGGGATCCTCTCTCCTTGTTCATCTCTGCATCTCTAGTAATTAGCACAGTGCCAGGCACATGGTAATATGGCTAAAACAGTGGATTATTGGTCTCCAACATAATTAAGCCCATCCAAAAGAAAAACCAACCTCATAAATCTGCTTTGCAAAGTTCATAAACAATGGATATGCTATGTCTCAAAGGTGCTGGCCAAAAAAATTTAAGAACTTGGGAATTATGTGTTATTTTGTTTGTTTTTTTCACCAAGCCTACTTTTCTGTCACAAGAGCCCATATCAACAACACACCCATGTATGTCCTTCTTTTTATCTACTTTTCTCCATGAAGTTTGTCACCATCAACTGTTAAAACTGTAAAGATTTGATCAGCTAAATAAGTGGTCTTTGAACTAATTCCTCTCGTACTTCCTAAAGGAACTTTGAAAAACTATGTATCCCCTTGCACATTTTCAAGCAGACACCTAAGATTTTTCATCATAAATTTGAATAACTTCAAAATATGTACTTATTAGCATATTGTAAATATTGATTTTTAAATAAAATATATCACACTTTGTATCCAATGAACTCTAAACACCATAGCAATTTGACACTTACTCTCCCACCCTCAGTCTTAAAAATTCACCAACAACCTCTTTTTTAACAACCGAAAAATTTGTATTATTCCTTTTTAAAATTTTGAAGTTTTCTGGATTGAATTATTTTTATAATGATTTTTAGTATACAACTGACCAAAGCAACATAAATATATAGCATATTTTGATAAATAATTATAAAACATAGCAAGTTATGTGTTATTGGAAAATTAAACTAAATGAATGGATCTTTTTAAATTAGTTCGGGTATCTGTGGCTGTTCCTAACTGTTAAAATGAGACAGAGTCAGCGTCAATTCTACTCTTATTTTTTATTTTTTTAGACGTAAGCCCTGAGAAAACTTGTTCAATTAAATAAGTAATGAGAATGTTAGGCATTTTCTGATAAAAATGTCACTCTGTTATTTGAATGCCTTCTTGATTATAAGTCAAAAAGTACATAGTGATCTATTATCAAAAACTATTGGCCTATCTGTTGACAACTTGGGTAGGTCCTCCTTTAATTTTATTGAAAGCAAAGAATTGGAAACTACCTAATTTACAAAAAAAAGAAGAAGAAGAAGAAGAAGAAGAAATGTGTTACCTAATTATTAGAGCTCACTTTCTAAGTTTCTAGGAAGTATGACCCAAAAAAGCTTGGCCAAGACTTATCACATGGCTGTTGATTATACCATCACCCTTTTACTTACAGGCGTCTTGCTTATGGACCTAAAAAAGATGAAACTGGAGTTAGAAACAAAAACAGAAAATTGTAAATTGTGCATTTGGGGACTTTTCTCCTTGACTGTGAACAGAGACCTATATACAATGCCAAATTTCATTTTTTAAGAATGTCTCAAAATGCAGAGTAAAGAAATGACAGAAGGACAGACACTTGGGGATATTCATGTATATACTAATAACTTCTTCCCAAATATGACTGAAGACAATACACTTAGCAGAACTGAAATCAATATATTAACATCTGAAAGGGAGAAATTAATCCTAATTCAATCAAGCCAGTTTTCTAAAGTTCAGGTCATTGCATATTAGATTTACATTTTGGAAAAATTTTTTTTGCTTTTGAACCAATAGATTTCTGCTTTTGACAGTATAGTTTAAATACTTTATGTAAGTTGACAGCAAGAGAAAGAACTTAGTCACCAATAAGTATAGTACAAGATTATGGAAAGCACATTAAGGACCTCTAAGCACATTAGTTAGAGTATAATCTGCAATATATTCCTGTTAAATTACTTAATGCTAATTCTGTGGACTGAATTTCATTCCCCCAAAATTTATATTTTGAAGGCTTAACCCTTAATGTGACTATATTTGGAAATAGTGCCTGTGAAGAGGTGATAAAGGTTAAATGAGGTCACAGGCTGGGGTCCTACTTCACTAGGACTGGTGTCCTTTAAAGAAGAGGACAAGATGCCAGATGCTCTCGTTCATGTGCCCCCTTTCTCTCTCTCTCTCTCTCGCTGGTTCACTCTCTCTCTCTCTCCTCCTGCCCCCCATGTGAGGATATAAGGAGAAGGCAGCCATCTGCCAGCCAGGAAGAGAGCCCACACCAGAACTTGACCATGCTGACACCCTAATCTTGGATTTCTAGCCTCCAGAGTTATGAGAAAATAAATTTCTGTTATTTAAACCACCTGGTGCATGGTATTTTGTTATGGCAACACAAGCTGACTTATATACCTAATAACTACATGGCAGGAATTAATACATGAACGGGAAAGTTGTTCATGAGTGACAGTGAGCAGGAGACCTGTACCTTCATCAGAAATGAATATAGATTTCATATTTTGCTAACTTTTAGCAAAAATTAATGAAAGTGTTTCTCCTATAAATCTGAGTAAATATTTAAGAAAATACAAAATACTAACTTACCTCTAATATGTGTTTCTTTTGTTAGAAAATGTAGCCTTGATATGTTGGAAGAAACTGTAGTCTTTTCACCTTGAAGTTATGCAAATTACACTCCTGAGACATAGAGTAAAATGCAGCTAAATGAGAGTATTCACAGAGCTTGCTCTCATTACTGAGATGGTGAAATTGCAGAGAAAATGTGGTTCATAGCTCACTGGCATTTCCCAGTACACTTCTTACAAATCTTGAATATTTCAAGATAGACAGAGACCTCCCATGAGTTTGCCACCTGGATGAATAACTTACTGCCATCTTCAATATTTCTTTTTTCTTTTTCTTTTTTTTTTTTTTTTGAGATGGAGTCTCGCTCTGTCACCCAGGCTGGAGTGCAGTGGCGCGGTCTCAACTCACTGCAACCTCCGTCTCCCAGGTTCACGCCATTCTCCTGCCTCAGCCTCCTGAGCAGCTGGGACTACAGGCACTCGCCACCACACCCAGCTAATTTTTTGTATTTTTAGTAGAGATGGGGTTTCACCGTGTTAGCCAGGATGGTCTCGATCTCCTGACCTCGTGATCCGCCCGTCTCGGCCTCCCAAAGTGCTGGGATTACAGGCGTGAGCCACCGCGCCCGGCCAATATTTCTAAGAGATGTTCTCTTTGTTTTTTTCTTTGTTTTTTTTTTTTTTTTTTTTTTTGAGATGGAGTCTTACTCTGTCACCGAGGTTGAAGTACAGTGGTGTGATCTCGGCTCACTGCAACCTCCACCTCCTGGGTTCAAGCGATTCTCCTGCTTCAGCCTCCTGAGTAGCTGGGATTATGGGGTCCCACCACTATGCCCGGCTAATTTTTGTATTTTTAGTAGAGACTGGGTTTCGCCATGTTGGCCAGGCTGATCTCGAGCTCCTGACCTCAAGTGATCTGCCCGCCTTGGCCTGCCAAAGTGCTGGGATTACAGGCGTGAGCCACTGTGCCCAGCCTGCTTTATTCTCAAGTCTCTTTCCTCAGGAACAATGCCTTCTTTGCCAGTAGTGAAGACAGGAGGAAAATGCCATCACTTCTCCTGCCTAATTCCATGATACTCCTGAAGTCCAAACACCCCGACATGGGTGAGCATACCTGCTTAAGGTATGCTTTGCCCCTAAAAGAGATAAGCATAAGACAGAGAAAGATAATATGCCCTGCACCTTTGGTTTATGCTGGTTTGATTAAAGGAAAATACCCATAGTATTTCCTTCAACAGAGTATTTCCTTTGAGAGTCTCTCTCTCTCTCAAATACCCATAGTTTGACTTTCCTCAGCTTGGTGTCCCAGAGGTTTGTATACCCAGGGCAATTAAGGTACCACAGCATAATTTGAGGTGGATGAAAAATATGTCACTTTTTTGTAGGGCAGAAGAAAAGGAGCTATAAAAGAAAAGGTGGATAAGGAGAAGCAGCTTGATTCAGGGGCACTTTTGAGCAAATATAGAAATATATATATATAGAGAGAGAGAGAGAGAGAGAGGGAGAGAGAAAGAATTTGGAAATTGATTCTGAGTCTGCATAGCTCTTGGGATGTCCTCATGTACCCCTAAAGCTATGCAAATCTCAATTTGAATTAAATATTTCTACCATTGCTAATAATTATCATTGCAATGTACTGGGAACCTATTTTAAACCAGGTAGTATATTAAGTTTCTCATATATATATATATATATATATATATATATATATATATACACACATATATATATACACATGTATATATACATATATATATATGGAGAGACAACATGTGCTCATTTAAATTGTACTTCTCATATGATAGTCATTATTAACCCCATTTTAAAGGTGAATAAATTGGGACTCAGAGAAAAGTAATTTGCCCAGGATCCCACGGCTAGTAAATGCCACAGCCAAATTCAACCCTAGCTCCATTTGATTGGAGAGCCTGTGCTCTGCAGTTCACCCTACGTGGCCTTGTTTCTGTGTTCTCAACTGGCAGCAGCTGAATATCTCTGCCTTCTAGAGAACCAGTGCTTAAAAAGTAATAAGTCTCTAATGGTGGATTTCAGGATTATGTGGCAGACTTTTGAAAGGTATTTTCATCAAGACACTCTTCCTAGTGCCTCCTGAAATCATGAAAATACATTTTTTCTCTCTTTTTCTGATACACACATCACTCTGTTTCTTAATGAGGTTACAGAGGTGGGGAGAATCAAGTATGAATAGCAAATAAGCATTCAAATTAAGAAAACTTGAAATTATTCCAGGGTCTCTATTTAGTTCACTGTTAGAAATCCTAACTGTGTTTTCATACTTAATTTAAAGACGTTGTGGTCACTAGTTCTTTTTTTTCCTTAAAATATCCCCCAAAGGATTCTTTAATTCTCAATTTTTGACCTAAGCCCATGAACCCAATCCCTTTAGTGATTAACCACACAGTTAAAAATTAAAGGTAATGATGATCATAAATGACCATTAATTCTTTAATTCTCAATTTTTGACCTAAGTCCATGAACCCAATCCCTTTAGTGAATAACCACATAGTTAAAAATTAAAGGGAATGATGACCATAATAGCAAACCATAAAGAATATCCTACTATTCTCTGCAAAAATATAGACAAATTATGGTAATTAAAAAATAGCCCCCTTTCAACCTATTTCACACATATGTACACACACAATTTTCAGTGGAACTGTGAGTAAAGTGAATCTACACTTATATTTCATTATGGAGCTTAAACTAATATTTATCTATTCTTTAAGACAAATTAAAGCTTGTATTTTTGGGTGGGTTCAGCTAAATAGTAGTTTGGACAGTAGTCCTTGGTCTGGGGCTCATGTATTTTTCAGACGTAAAGACACCTAAGAAGTTACAAGAGCACAGGGTGAATAAACAACATCAGTTTCCTAGAGTGCAGATTTAGGAGAGGAGAGAAAGCTTAATGATCTAGACTAGAAAAGCAGCTCCCAAGACAAAAGAGCACCTCTGTTGGAGCCAGCCACACTGCATTTTGAGACGCAGCTCAAAAAGGTGGAGAGGGGAACGGGAAAATCTAAGGAATTTTGTAAGGTGAGGGAGTCGGACAGAGAAATTAATTATGCTAGTTTTTAAGGGTATATTTGGTCCTCAATGAAATACTAATGTCATATGTTTATGTTTTGCTTAAAGAACTTTTACATAAATGTATTATTCATAACGGCCTGTGGGGTTTGTGGGGAAGGCACTATTTTTGTTAAGTGGCAGAAAAGAAAATGCAGGCACAGAGAGGCTGGGCGAATTGTCCATTGTCCCATAGCTGGTTCCTTGGCAGAGTAATGATCAGACAGACCCCAATCCAAGGGAGTCCCACCTCTTGCTAGCAGTCAGAGGCACTCTTTTTTAATTTGCCAAATTGTTCTAAAACTAAATATACAAGTACCATATAATCCAATAATTGCACTCTCGAGTACTTATCTCAAAGCTTTGAAAACTTACGTTCACCAAAGACCTGTATATGAATGTTCATGATGTCTTTATTCGTAATAAACAAAAGCAACCGAAATATTCTTCGGCAGGTGAATGGTTAAACACGCTGTAGTCTATCCATACACCATACACTGGAATACTTTTCAGCAGTAAAAAGGAACAAACTATTGATAAATGCAGCAACTTAGATAGCTCTTAAGGGAATTATGCTGAGTGAAAAGAGCCAAACTGTTTTTATTTTATTTTTTTTTTCTGGAGAAAGGGTCTTGCTCTGGTGCCCAGGCTGGAGTGCAGTGACGTGATCAGCCTCAAACTCCTGGGCTCAGGTGATCCTCCCACCTCAGCCTCCCAAAGTGCTAGGATTATAGGAATAAGCCACCACACCTAGCCTAAAAGAGCCAATATTAAAAAGTTATATACTATATGATTTCATTTATATAACATTCTTGAAATGAAAAATTCTAAAGATGGAGAACAGATTACTGATTGTTCATCAGGGTAGGAGTGGATGTAGGATAGCGACACAGCCTTAGTGATGGAACAGTTCTATATTTTGATTATAGTGGTGGTTACATGAACCTATACATTACAAAAGCTGCACAGAACTATACATACACACACATGCAAGAACACATCAAACAGGTGAAATGTGAATAAGCTCTGTGGATTGGCCTAATGCCAATTTCCTGGTTTTGGTGTTGTGCTATAGTTAGGCAGGATGTTATCACTGGGGGAAACAGAGTGAACATATATATATATATAAATATATATATATATACACACACACACACACACACACACATATATACATATATATATACACATATATATATGTGTGTATATATAGATATACATTTTTTTTTTGAGACAGAGTCTTGCTCTTTTGCCCAGGCTGTAGTGCAGTGGCACGATCTCGGTTCACCGCGAACTCTGTCTCCCAGGTTCAAGCAATTCTCCTGCCTCAGCCTCCCAAGTAGCTGGGATTACAGGCACCCAGCTAATTTTTGTATTTTTAGTAGAGGCAGGGTTTCACCATGTTAGCCAGGCTGTTCTAGAACTCCTGACCTCGTGACCTATACATTTTTTATAACTTCCTATGGGTCTATAATTTTTTTCAAAATAAATCATGAAAAAACCATTTTCTAAGTAATCATAAACCACATTTAATAGTCCATTCTTGAAATTTGTCTGGGATTAACACAAAGCTAAGGCCAGTTTTCCTGTACCTCCCCATTTCTTCTTACCTGTTGGTTTGTGATACAATTTGGATCTGTATCCCCACCAAATCTGATGTTGCATTGTAATTGCCCATGTTGGAGGTGGGACCTGGTGGCAGGAGACTGGATCATCAGGGTGGATCCCTCATGGCTTAGTGCTGCCCCTGCAATAGTGAGTAGTAGTTTAAAAGTGCGTAGCACCCAGGTCGGGCACAGTGGCTCGCACAAGCAATCCCAGCACTTTGGGAGGCTGAGGCAGTTGGATCATTTGAGCCCAGGAGTTTGAGACCAGCCTGGGCAACACGGCAAACCCCAGCTATATAAAAAATTAGCCTGCCATGGTGGTGCATGCCTGTAGTCCCAGCTACCTGGCAAGCTAAGGTTGGGGGATCACCTGAGCCCAGGGCGGGGAGGAGGAGGGGGTTGTCAAGGCTGCAGTGAGCCATGATCAAGCCACTGCACTGCAGTCTGGGCAACAGTGAGACCCCATCTCAAAAATAATAAATAAATAACTGAAAATGTTGTTAAGTATGTAGCACCTCTCTTCTTCCTGCTTTGCCATGTGACATGCCTCCTCCCACTTTGCCTTTGGCCATGAGTAAAAGCTCCCTGAGGCTTCCACAGAAGCCAAGCAGATACTGGCGTCATGCTTCCTGTACAGCCTGCAGAACTCGGAGCCAGTTAAATCGCTTTTCTTTATAAATTACCCAGTGTCGTGTATTCCCTTATAGCGAGACCTAATACAGTTTGTCTTATTGTCTTTCATTCTTTATTTGTTAATTCATTGCACACTTATTAAATGTTCATCATACACGCACTGCTGCTCCTGCAGGAGATCACTGGCCTTTATCCTATCCCTTGGCTCCATCTTTCTTCCCACCTTTCTGTGGAAACTGACAGGAGCAACTAATTCAGCCCTGAGGGTCATGAATATCCACAAAGGGAGCATTTAAGTTGATTTTACCAGGATTTTCTTCTCCCTTTCCCAGAAAATTTGAGTGGAAAATCCCTCTTGATCAAGTCAGCAAATCTCCTGCCAAACAAATTCTTCCCAGTCTTTGAAAGATCCAATCCCCCTATTCTGGTAGGTTTGGCTATTATCCAGGAAACCTAATCTCACTCCTCTAAACCAGCAACAGAAGCCAAGTCTTCCTTTCCTGCATCCTTTTCTTCCAAAGCCAACTGGAAAGAAAAAATAAACCAAAAATTCTATCTAGACCCTAAAATTCTCTATTTTCTGTTCAAAACTCCAACAATGGAGATACAATTGAAACTTCTTAACATCACAGAATTTGTTTTTAGCAGAAATCGATATAAGAGGCCAGCCTCCTCCTCCTCCTAGAGATGAGGGAGAAATAGAGACTCAGAAGGGTATGCAATGTGCCAAGAGCCGGGCAGGACAATGCACTTGTCAGGGCCTGAGTCTTAAGAAGTCAACATTTACCAAGTCCCCACAGCCTGTCTTGTCATCAGGAACTGAAGGAAGCAAATGAGAGGGGAGCCCACCAACTCTCTGTGGTCCAGGTGTAATCAGGAGGCCCCTCCCCATGTTCTCCTCCAGGACACCTTTGGCAGGAATGAAGAGGGGACTCTGTATGCTCCTGACTGGAGCCCAACCTACCAATCCCCAGCCTTCACACTCCACACCACTATCCTCCTTGAGACCACCAAGATCAACCTCAGCATGCTCCCTAACCTTGTTTATGTCAACACAAGAAGCCCAGGACTCCCAGGTCAGCCCTCAGACCCCACACGGCTCTATGAGAGCAAACAACCACCTCCTCAAACACACACACACGATCCTAATTACCCCTCCTGCACTGCATTTTGTTTTTTTTTTTTTTTTACTTAGCATTTATGATTATTTGATAATTCATAAGCTCTATTTACTTGTTTTTCCATCCTCTCCCAGAATAAAAGGTCTTTGAGAGCAGGAATTTTAGTTTGTTTTGTTCACTCTTCTATCTTCAGTGTTAGCACTTTGTAAGAGCTTAATAAACATTTGTTAAATCAATAAATCTCTAAGACCGTTTTTTGAAGTCTGAAAATGCCAGGATGAAAGGATGTCGGAGAAGTTTAAGAGAAGAGCCATCATTTGTGGCAGCCAGAACACTTGAAAAAGGGAAGGCTTGAATTCTAAAGATTTTCAGAACCGGCATGGATCAAGTGAAAGAACAATTAGCAGTGGGGTGTTCAGAGCAGACACAGGGCCAGACATAAGCAAAATAGCGTTCCTTCTGAAACAGGGAATAGAAATAACTTCACACCTACTATGTGCCAAGCACCGTGTCAACAAGCACTATTCAAGATGGAATTGTTATCCCCATATACAGATGAAGAAACTGAGGCAAAGAGGAGATAAGTAACTGCCCAAGATCCACAGTTAGTAAGGAGGAGAGCCACTTTTCAAACCTGAAGTTTACCCAGATCCAAAATCCACCTCCCTTCCTCTCACTGAGTCTGCCTGGCCCATCCATCCCAGGCATCAGGCCCCTTCCTCTGTGACCCCGACTGAATTCTTCAGTGCCTCCTTCTCCAAGTTCCAGATGACCCCGAGGATCAATTAGTTCCCATGCAGTGCTAACAAATGCCACAGGCTCAGACCCTGGGTCCTGTCTTCCTCTCTAAATCAACACTTGCAGGAAAAAAGTATGGACCCAACTAGAAAGTACTTTTAATGATTAAGTTATTAAATAAACCCCAAAAAAGTACAGTGAAAGGGATTGGTAAGGGGGATAATTAGAATATAGCCTACTGGTATATCTGGTAAAGTTTTTATGATAATAAATTAAAATATCATAAAGTTTTTATAATAAATAGGATATTGATTAGTCTTTTCTAAACCTCAGCATACTTTTTTTTTGGTTTTGAAACAGAGTCTCTGTCACCCAGGCTGGAATGTAATAGCACGATCTTGGCTCACTGCAACCTCCACCTCCTGGGCTCAAGTGATCCTCCTGCCTCAGCCTCGGCATACTTTCTAACCTTGTTTATGTCACCACAAGAAACCCAAGGCTCCTGGGTCAGCCCTTATCCCCCACACGGCTCTATAAGCAGTAAGCAACCACCTCCCCAAACACACACACGCAATCCTTATCTTCCTTCCTGCCCTTTTGTAAAACTTAGCATTTATGATCATTTGACAAATCATATACTTTATTTACTTGTTTGTCCATCCTTTCCTGGAATAAAAGGACTATTAGAGCTGGAATTTGTTTGGACAGAAAAAAAAAGTGTTTAAATAAAAGCAGAGAGAGAGAGACATGGTTTATAACAAAGTCTCATTAGGATGATGAAACACTTAAATAAATTTTTACTGGGGTCGTGATCCCTGGAAAAACTTTCAAAATAAGAACTCTGACATTCACACTGAATGACTCTTCCTTCCATCACCGAGACACTCTGATCCAGATCAGATGGCCTCACAGTTCCGGCCAACTGGGTGAATCCAGGGTTAAAAATGGCCACCTACTTTTCATGGGGCCCACTCGACAGCTCAGTTGTTTGGAGGTATAGTGCTTGCAGAACCAAGGTCACAGGTAATGAGCGGGATTATTGTTCATCATTAAGCATTAAGTGTTATCTATGAAATGATGTTGTTTAATGGTGCTATAGGCTTTTAGCAATAGAGTCATCAAGAAATATAAAATCCAGACTTTAGGTTTAGTGGGAGAAGAGGGAAAGGAAAGCTTAAAATTAGGATAGTTGTAAGAAAGATGCTTATTAAAGAAAGATGAATGGAGTTTCTCTGCTTCTAGTCCTAAAAGACACTAGTGTTACAGGTACCTGTTATTTTTCCACCTGCCCAGCAGGTGTCAGTGTAAGACAATGTTCCTAGAACTGACCAAGCTTTTTTAAAAATTGAGAGTTATCAAATTATAAAATACAGAAGATACAATAAAGATGGGTTTGCAAAAATTTTCACATGAGCCTTTAAATGAGGGAAGGAGATGACCAAAAATAAGTTTCCAGAAAGGTAAGATGATCAGAGTTGGACTGGGGGGCCTCAGAAGGCCCCATCTGGCTCTCAGATTTCTTGTCAATTCAGCGGGAATTCCTGGAGCATCTCGGGGCTGCAGGAGGACTCAGCACTGTTGGAAGAGTTCGTTGCTGGTAACTAGCACAGTAACAAATGAACACTCCCAGGGAAAATGGTAGTATTCCACCAGGCATACTCTCTTAAAAAACAGACACCGTCTCTGCTTCTCAGAGGCTTACAATAAGAACATAGAAATCCTGTAATTCATGAAAATATATTATTATAAGAACTAAAAAAGTGAATCAAGGAAAAAGAGATGGTCATCAATGGTTGCATGAATAATTTGCAGAATGCACTGAGTTAGTCAGGGTGAGCTTCCCGGAGGAGCTGGCCATTGAGCTGTGACGAAAGAGAACAGAGCCACAAATCCAGGGTTCCACCCTAGCTCCTGCCTTTCTGTTCTGCATTCAGTTTTTCTCCTCCAAATACAAATGTCCTATACACTGATGAAGGGCAAGCAATACAGAAAAAGAAAATAAACACAACTTATTTTTTTAATTCACTATATAAAGGTTCCGTGGGTATTTTAAAGGGAAAATGGTGGGGGGCGGGGGCTCTTATCTATTGCGCATGTAACAAGACATACATTATGTCATACAAGTCTAACCAAAATCCTGAGATGTAAGTAGTATTGTTCTCATTTTTGCATAAAGGATCCAAGGCTCCCAGAAGCCATAAACTTGCCCAAGATTATGATATCTAATATTTATGAGGGATTACTCCGCATACACAATAATCCTATGAAGTTACTATTATTCCCATTTATTGGATGAAGACATTAAGCCTTACAAAAAATAAGTGATTGTCTCCCCAAAGCCACAGGCCTCAGGAGCCATTAAGATGAAATTCAAACTCATGTTTAGCAAGGTGGGTTCTCTGGGAACTCAGGTTGTAGGTGTTTGCTAGGAAGTGCCCTTAGGATTAGTACCTATGGAGAGAAGGGGAGGGTGGAAGGATTGGCCAGCACTGGGCCAAAGAGCCAGGCTTTTCTACACCTGTCTCCATCAGTCACTGGATATGGGCCTCACAGGAGGGAATGGCCTTGGGGAAGGCAGCTCTCTGCAACTGAGGTGGACCTGAAGGGTTGGTACCTGACAACTGTCTGCTGACAGCACTCCCAGAGCTAGAACAAGTCCTTCCTAGGAGGGGCATCTGGCATCACCACGTTCATTATGCCATGCCTGTGTCTTACTTTGTTCCAGTTAATCATGATCTCTGCTACACCATGCTGGGAGAAGGCCAGAAGGGAGGCAGTGGTAGTCTTTGATAGAGTTGGAGGGTGGGGCAGGGCTGGGGGTTGTGGAGTGGTGAGCCCAGACCCCAGACTTCCTGGGGAAATGAATACCAGGCTCTCATCCAAAGAGACATTTCATCAAATAACATCAAGTGGAAATAAACAAAGGGGTTGAGGCTGATTGCACTGGCTCCAAGTACTGTCAGCCATTAGATGCTTGTTGTTCAGTTGATTGACAGCTTCCAGGTGGCCAAGTAAGGAAGGATGCAACAGTTGGCCCAGACCTCGTGCTGCTTAGTAACATCTGATCTCCTCCTGCTGTGTGCCGCTTTCTCACCCGGAGGCACCTGAGCTGCTCCATATGCCTGGTGTGCTAAGCGCTGGCCTTTCTGTGCTGTGCGGTCCTGCTCTAAGGTGAGGGTAGCCTTGAGAGGGCTGTTTGCCATTTGGAAATAGAGTCAGCTTGTGGCTCTCTCAAGAAGTGAGAACAGCAAAATTCAAGCCTGAGTGGTAACCAGTTTCTCATACTTCTGCTTGAATTCAGAGAGCAGCTGACTTGACAGAAGGCAAAAAGCCGGCCAGCTTAGCTCACTCAGTGACAAGTGAGCACAGAGCAAAACTAACTTTCCATGGTTCAATTCCTCTCCAGTGTCACCCTGCTTGCACATGGAAGGGAGGCCTGAGAGGCTGCAGAATGGCCCTGGAGAAGGCAAGAGACATCATCTGGTTGGCCTGGAGTGCACGTCTGTGAGAGACTTTGGGGCAGTTCTCTCTTCTCTATGCTAGAGCCATTGATGCCCTGTGCACTTCATTGCCTTTGACCATCATTCCTTGCTCCTGGAATGCCACCTCCTCTTTGCCACAGTTAATAAAACCAGCTGAAGCCTCCGTTCAAACTCTCTTCCATGAAACTCTCCATCCGCATCACCACTCCGGTCAAAAGTACTGCAGTTTTTCTTCATTTGATACCTATCACTTAGCAACAGGGGTTCCAGCATTTTAAATTGTGCGTAAGAATCTCCTGAAGTGTTTGATTAAAGGCAGATCTTATGGCTGTGGGCTCTAGCCATTCTGAGTCAGCAGGAATGGAGAGGGCTGGGAGTCTGGATTTTCATTATCAGTCTTGGCCCTCCTGGTGAACTTGGTTTGAAAAAGGATACTTAGAGAAGTACTGGCATTATGACTGTAAAACATTTCTTCTCTCCAAAAGAAGGGATGATACACTTGCTGTAGAGTCTGTTTCCTCCTCTGAAGTGCATGCAATAGTGTTACAGGACCCCAACACTTACCCAAAGGTAGCCTTTGGGAAGGGGGTTTCCACACTATAGTCCCTTCTGCGGTGAACAGAAAGATGTTACAGGACTCCAACACCTACTGGGGGTTTCCTCACTATAGTCCCTTCTGTGGTCACCAAAAAGATGTTACAGGAAAGGCATCCCCATCCAGACCCCAAGTGAGGGTTCTTGGATCTCAGGCAAGAAAGAATTCAGGATGAGCTTGTAGAGTAAAGTGAAAGCAAGTATATTAAGAAAGTAGAGAAGCCAGGAATGGTGGCTCACGTCTGTAATCCCAGCACCTTGGGAGGCTGAGGCGGGCAGATCACAAGGTCAGGAGACTGAGACCATCTTGGCTAACACAGTGAAACCCCATCTCTGCTAAAAATACAAAAAATTAGCCGGGTGTGGTGGCATGTGCCTGTAGTTCCAGCTACTCCAGAGGCTGAGGCAGGAGAATCACTTGAACCCAGGAGGCAGAGGTTGCAGTGAGCCGAGATTGTGCCACTGCACTCCAGCCTGGGCAACAGAGCAAGACTTTGTCTCAAAAAAAAAGAAAGTAAAGAAATAAAAGAATGGCTACTCCATAGACAAAGCAGCCCCGAGAGCTGCTGGTTGCCCATTTTTATGGTTATTTCTTGATATGCTAAACAAAGAATGGATTACTCATACCTCCCCTTTTTAAGCCATATAAAGTAACTTCCTGATATTGCCATGGCATTTGTAAACTGTCACGGCACTGGAGGGAGTGTAGCAGTGAGGACGACCAGAGGTCACTCTTGTCGCCATCTTGGTTTTCGTGGGTTTTGGCCAGCTTCTTTACTGCAACCTGTTTTATCAGCAAAGTCTTTATGACCGGTATCTTGTGCTGACCTTTTATCTCATTCTGTGACTTAGAATGCTTTAACAGTCTGGGAATGCAGTCCCATAGGTTTCAGCCTCATTTTACCCAGCTTCTATTCAAGATGGAGTTGCTCCAGTTCACATGCCTGACATTTCCCCCCTCCCTTTTATAAGAGCACCCTTAGTCCTAAGGGTTGCTGAGGAATGAAGATCCACCTTCTGTAAGTTCTTCAGGCTGAACAGGGGTGACAATATTCCTGCCTAACTATTAGGGTCTCTTGTATTCTGGGTAGAGAGGAGCTCAGTCAGAAAGCATTGGTATATGGGCCATTCATAACTCCAAGTTCTGACAAAAGGTGATATCTGGAAGATTAATAAGTGTTCAGTTTAAGAAAACATTTAGTAAGCTTGTTCTGCATTTTTACATGCAACAGCAATATATTTCACAACAGTAAAGCAAAATAAGTAAAATTATTCCGAGTAAACTAAATTAGAGGGTTTTCCATGAACTGGGCAGCTGTTGGAACCAAGCTGATATGGAGTTGCTAGATGATTTCAGTACACACCCAGAATTAGAATATTGATTCAGATTTTTACGATACCCATTCCTCTTGTTTCTTCTGAGCAGCAGTCAGAGATCACTGGTGGTTCACAGGGTTAGCCTAAATTATAGAAACAAACTTAAAAACAACTGATAAGACTAGAATCTAATAAGTGTACCATATTTCTTGAAACATAATATTTCTGTCTCTAGTTTCCCATTTTTATAAAAGACATATCATGGTAAGACTGATTTGCTTTATTATAGTTGGCCTGATTATTTGTATAAAGTACAGCAAGAGTAACTATTTTTCACATAAGCTCTTTTTAAATTGGCTTTGATGGGACTGTGTTCCATAGAAGGAATCTTAGATAAGACTTGTTTTAAAGCTGAGCCCTGCCATGGCTTTGCACCCTCAAATACCTATGAGTTGAGTAAATTCCCTTCCTCTTGGGGTCCCAAGATAACTTGGTGCTTCTAGGCCTGTTAGAAAGTGACATTCTTTACTTACCACAGGTCTGAAACCTTATACAGGGACTGTTGCAGGCAAGGTGTGAGGCTTTTCCCTAAGGGGCTTTTATTGACTTTACAAGTCAAGTTTGATTCCTTAAAGGAAAGCACACCATTCCAGTCAAAGCCTTGGTAAAATAACCAATTTCTCCAGTTGTGTTCTGTTGCAAAAGAAAACAGATTCTTATTGCATTTATGTAAATAACTTATTGTCATAAATTAAGAATACTCAGAAATAGTTTCCAAATTCTGGAGAAATCAGGTAACCAGAAACAAATATGCTCCAAATTTTGTTCATAGGAATATACTTTACTCAATTGTTAAACACTGTAAATAGCTTAAAAGAAAAGTATTTCTTGACTCTGAAAAACAAAATGAAGGATCGGCAACATTTTAAGAAAAAAGTTAAAAAGATTACTTCAGTTTTTATTGGTTCAGTTAATTTAGTTAACTCCTGTTTTGCTTGATATTCATAAACATTTCAGCTCTCCATGAAAATCCTGAAAGTTTTTTTCCTCTATTCTAATGTCACAATCACCAAAGTTATTAGAAACGTGCATTCAAGAGCACCTGTCAGAGTTCTATGGTTGATTATAAACCACCTTCTAAAGAAGATTAAAACAAGACAATTGTCTGCGGATGACAAAAAGTCCTAGGACAGCCACTATTTAAGCCACAATTGACTAGGAAATGTTGGTTACCTTTGTGTCACACAATGATTTTATTTAGCAATTGTAATTATTAATAACCTACACTAAGCCATATTACAATTACAGGAGGGTTTTTTTTTTTTGAGATGGAGTCTCACTCTGTCGCCCAGGCTGGAGTGCAGTGGTGCAATCTCAGCTCACTGCAAGCTCCGTCTCCTGGGTTCACGCCACTCTCCTGCCTCAGCCTCCCGAGTAGCTGGGACTACAGGCACCCGCCACCACGCCCGGCTTATTTTTGTATTTTTAGTAGAGATGGGGTTTCACCATGGTCTCAATCTCCTGACCTCGTGATCCTCCTGCCTCAGCCTCCCAAAATGCTGGGATTACAGGCATGAGCCACCACACCCAGCCGGGAGTTTTTAAAATAATTTTGGAACACATACCAATAGCATATTTATACAAATACAGCCCAAAGAAAGCCAAATGCTATTTTACATTTGATAATGCTTTCTGTATGATTTTAATATACCAAGAAGCCCAATTTCACCTTTACATTAGTATACTATTAACGTTAAACTCAATTCTTAATAAAACCTTATAGCCGTATCTACCCAATTTTAATGTTTCACTATAAGGTAAGATTTTCATAAACCTTTTATAACCCTTTACAAATTTTTGTTAAAGAGCAGATTATAGGCAGGTTTTTTGCTCTTAAGAAAAACCTGTTGTGCTTTAATTCCAATGCTTGATTTACAGAAAAACTGTATAATACCCCTTTTACTTTAGCCAGTAAGTTTACACACAGAATTTCTTTTATAATTAATTTTTCATAAACATTTCACAACTTGCTTAAACCTTCAGCTTTATCTAACTTAAAACAATCCTTTAATCCTTTAATCTGGGCAAGAAAAATACACATTCCCATGTGTTCTTATAATCTTTTACCAAAAACACATTCTACTTTCCTTACATGCCTTGCATGTAGAACTTTTTTTTAGTAGTCTAAGACACATGTTACTCTGTTAACTCTTAGTGACTTTTACTTTTGGTGAAAACCCTGGTTAGTAAGTGATTTTGATTATCTACTGGATGTGAAGGCTAGGACCCAGACAGAAATGTAGATAAGGTCTGACTCTTTCCAGCATTTAACTTCACGTGTCCTAGGACTTACTTAGAATCTAATGCTCCAAAATAAACTGAACAATTTTTCAAAGTCAAAGAAGCAGATTATGACCATTAAGTATTTAACAAACTTAACATCTGACCTGCATAATTTAGACCAAATGTCTTTTTTACCAATAATCTTTAAAACTATCTTTATTTCCCAAACATTACTAAAGTCACACGAACTAAAATGCATTACACTTTTTTACTTTTCTGACCAAATATTTAACTGAAGCTCTTATTTTTAAGCCAATCAGTTAAAGCTCTTTCATATACAGACATCACACGACACATATAAATAGACAGAAGAAGACAAAGAACTCATCTTCTAAGACAGGAATTGAATCCTGAACCCGGGCCACCGTTGTGATGGCAGAGACCAAGAGAAAGTACTGCCACATGCTTACAAGGTCAAGCTTCCAAGGACATGACTGACCACAGGGAAACCTCATCCACTTTACACACAAACACACACACACACACACACACACACAGAGGCCAGAAGTCTGACTGGTAAGAAATTCTTACCCTCTTGCCAGCATGCCAGTCTTCTGGGTTCCCTTTCCCTGAGTGGCCCTAGTGATCCAGCTGGCTGCACCACAGCCCTGGGGGCCAAGATGCAACACAAAGGACAAATTATCTCCTTCCATTCTGGCCAGAGTAAAATATATGTGACAAAATGTAGACATTAGCCACTCTGCTAGGCACCCAATATCAAACTGGCAAGCCTCAAACTTGCCCCCATCATCGTTAATCCAACTTCCAACCAGGAGTTTCAACATGTGGTCTCTGGGCAAGATGGTCACCCTGAGTAATAGAAAAGATAAGAAATGGAAAGGAGAGAGAGAAAAGGATTGCCTGTGGCAGGGTGGGGAAGGCAAGCTGCTCAGGGAGGCCAGAGAAAGACGTGCCCATTGCAGCAACACTGAATCAAAAGTTCAAGTGGCCACTTGTTGGTCGCAAAGGAATCTGTTCCAGCAGTGCCATCAGCTCTCAAGTTTCCCCTTTTAGGGAGGAAAAATCTCCCCATGTTTCACGATCCTGTACATGCTTAACCTTGTCACCCACAGCCATCAGCAAAGAGTACAAAGCAGATTAATCCAAAGAATAGCAGTTAACATCCCATAGTGCCAAACCCATTCTTAGCCGAGAGGGACTTTACCAAGAGGGACTTTACTGAAAGGGGTCTCTAACTCCCTAAATCTTAGAAGGGACTCTAATTCTCCTAAGTCCGACCTTTAAACCAAGGTTGGTCAAGTGTCCTTGCCTTTTATTGAGAGGAGCCTTTAACCCTCTCTTAGAAGAGACTCTAACTCCCCTAAGTTGGGCCTCTAACCCAATCCCATTCTTTACCTGGGTACCCCGCAACTTACCCAAAGTCATCCAATCAGTGCTGCAGTCTGTTTCCTTTGGGTTGGGGTGGGGGTCTCCTAGGTGTTATCCCTTCAGGGTTTGTCAGAAAGATATTACAAGACCACACCACTTACCCAGAGGTAGCCGTTGGGTTAGGGTTTCTGCACTATAGTCCCTTCTGTGGTCACCAGAAAGATGTTACAGGACCCCAACACTTACCAGGGGTTTCCTCACTACAGTCCCTCTGTGGTCGCCAGAAAGATGTTACCGGAAAGGGGTCCTGATCCAGACCCCACGTGAGGTCTCTTGGATCTCACTCAAGAAAGAATTCAGGGCAAGTCCATCGAGTAAAGGGAAAGCAAGTTTATTAGGAATAAAAGAATGGCTACTCCATAGACAGAGCACCCCCGAAGGCTGCTGGTTGCCCATTTTTATGGTTATTTCTTGATGATATGCTAAACAAGGGGTGGATTATTCATGCCTTCTCTTTTTAGACCATATAGGGTAACTTCCTGACATTGCCATCGCATTTGTAAACTGTCATGGTGCTGGTAGACGTGTAGCAGTGAAGACAACCGAGGTCACTCTTGTCGTCATCTTGGTTTTGGTGGGTTTTGGCCGGCTTCTTGACTGCAATCTGTTTTATCAGCAAGGTCTTTATGACCTGTATCTTGTGCCGACCTTTTATCTCATTCTGTGACTTAGAATGCCTTAAGAGTCTGGGAACACAGCCCAGAAGGCTTCAGCCTCATTTTACCCAGCTCCTATTCAAGACGGAGTTGCTCTGGTTCACACGTCTCTGACAATAGGATAGGGACCCTGTGCTACTCATGGCTATACTCCTCACTGTATCTAGCACAGTAATTTGCATACAGTAGGTGTTCAAGTGTTGTTTATTGGTCAGCTGAGAGACTTTCTGACCTTCTGATTTTTCTTTCCCTCTTCTAGATGATTTGAAGTATGTAGGAAAGCCCACCTCTCACTCCTACTGCACACATCTTCTGGCTATGCACCATCATGTTCCAAAATCTATACTTGCTGCTGTCGTCCTCCCCACCCCATTCTATCTGCTGTCTATGACCCTCTGTAGCACAGCTGTTTAACTAGGAATTTTTGCATGATTTTTAATTCTCTATCTTATATTGTATTTTATTCTAATTTTTAAAATATACATGTTTATTAGGCATATTTTAGGGGAAAAAACATTAAAAAGAAAACTTACCTGTAGTCTTCATTTCCTCTTTAAAGCACATTTTCACATATCCTGAAGGTGTCCCTCTTTCTGTGGGCTGTGTCAACGACTTTTTCTTTCCAGTGGATCTCTCTTTTCTGAAAAGCCTGGGCTATTACTACAGATTGAGAAGGGGATTTGAGGGAAACAGAAAATCCAAAGGCTGTTTTTTAAGAACAAAACTTGTTCTGCTACTTACCCCAACCTATCAAAAATTAAACAAATATGAAACTAATAGTATAACTTTGACCAAGCACAGTCATAGGGAACAGACATTTGGGCAACAGCATTCTAAGGAACTCAATGTCTTTTTCCTGGCTTTCAGAATCCACTTAGTACAACAAGTAGATAATTAAGAAAATGTAGGGATAATAAACATAATAATGATAATAAAGCAGACATATATTACTTCCTCTATGCTGGGCACTGTTATAAACAGTTACATTCATTGACTTTTTTAGCCTCACAACAGCCCTATGAGGTAGGTATTGCTATTGCTGCCATTTTACAAATGAGGAAAATGAATCACAGAGAGGTTAAGTAACTGGCCCCAGGTCACACAGCTATTATAATAAGTGGTGGAGTTGGGATTTGAACCTAATCAGGCTCCAGAGCCCATCTTCTCAACCACTAACTGCAAATTAACTAGCGTTGTGTGAACAATTATAACATTTTAGTCATGTAAAGACCTTAAGTATCACTGCACTTACGCCTTTGATCAAGGTCTCAAATATTCTGGAGTGTTTTCTTGGAAAATAAACCCACAGCTAAGCCTCAATCAGACATTTGTTTCACTCATAATTACCACGGTCCAGAGCTTTATCTGTCAAAGTGTATATGCAGCCAGACTGAAAAGTGAGGATTTACTTTGAGAAAATACTTCTTTTACTCCTGGAGTTGGTTGTTCTCTCAAATTCATTTAGGCAACAAATTTGTTGAGCAACTACTATGTGCCAGGTACTATTCTGGGTTCTTGGTCCAAAAGATCAGTGAACTGTGTTGTTTACCCACCATGGGAGAACCCAGCTTCTACTGGATCCATGGTTATGAATGGACAAGAAAGGTAGTGATGAGTTGCATATTGATAGTCAAGAAAAATGCTATGTGACATATGAGCATGGCTCTAAAACTAGCACCCTATATAACTAACTATGGGATATCTAAAGAACAAGAAACCCAAAGGCTATGAGGGTGGAGCAAGCCTTTTTTGTCTTACTGCCAATGAGAGGAGCCACAGATATTACCACTGCTACAGCTCATCATCCATCCAGAGCCTCTGTCTCCTGGCACCCTGAGTTGTGTGAGGTTGGGCCCTGATCCCATCTGCTGATTTGCTTAACCATCTCTTCCTTCTAGCACCACCACTTTCTAGCTTCAATACTCCTACAATAAATATGTTCTGAAATTCACCTGGGTATTAAATCCTGTCACTGAAATAGCTAAATAGTACAATCAGTGAACAAAACGGCAAAGATCTCCGCTCTTGTGGGACTTACGTTCAAATGGGGGAGGTAGGCAATAAATAACACTAAACATGATGTAAAAAGTAAACGATACAGTATGCTGAAAGGTGATTAAGGGCTATTGAG
This sequence comes from Homo sapiens, assembly GCF_000001405.40. NCBI lineage: Eukaryota > Metazoa > Chordata > Mammalia > Primates > Hominidae > Homo > Homo sapiens. The sequence goes on from NC_000007.14 coordinate 106,803,832, forward strand.
AATAAAGGTAGAGCAGGTAATGGAGATTAAGAGTGCTAAGGTGGAGAAGGGGAAGCGTGCAATTATAAATAGAGTGTCAGGGTAGGGCTCACTGAAAGGGTGGTATTTGAGCAAAAACTTGAAGGAGGCAAGGAACTTACATGTGAGGTATCTGGAGCAGAGCATTCTAGGCAAAGAGAAAAGCTCAGAGGAAAGCCCAAAGGTGAGAACACACCTGCTGAGTGAAGGAAGGAGGCCGAGGCCAGTGGGATTGCAAGAAGGAGAGTGGTGAGACATAAGGGGAGAGACATAATGAGATCATGGTGGGACTCCTCGATCTTGTAAGGACTGGCTCTGGCTCTAAATGAAATGGGAACCATTACAGACTTTTGGACAGAGAAATGAGACCCAATGTTAACAGGATCACTCAGGCTGCTGCATTGAGAATGGATAGCAGGGGATGAAGAAAGAACCAAGGAGCCCAGTAAGATGATGATGTCTTCAACCAGGGCAGTAGTAGAAGTGATCAGATTATGGCTACATTTTGAAAAGAGTGTGTTTCAGTCACCACAGGTAGTTAAGCTGCAGTAGCAAGAGGCTCCCAAATCTCAACAGCTTACAACACTTCATGTCCAGGGAGGGCTGACTATGACTCTGCTCCTTGTTGATATGGCTCTGGGTCCAGGCTGGTAGAGCAGCCTCCATCTGGAACATCTTAAGCTATTGTGACAGAGGGAGAAAGGAGACATGGAAACTACATGCTAGCTCTTAAAGCACCCACCAGAAATGATGTCTATCAATTCTGCTCACATTTCTTCAGCTACAGCAAGTTGTATGGCCACTCCTATTTTCAACAGAGTGGGGATATTTAATACTCCTGCAGGGAGAGGCACAGCAGGAGGAAAAATTAGATTATTTGGGGAAAAGTAATACTATCTATTATCAGCCATTCAGAGCCAACAGAATTTCCTGATAGATTGAATGTGAGGTATAAGTGAAAAAAAGCATCAAGAAAGACTTGAAAATCTTGGCCTGAGCAACCACAAAAATGGAGCAACCATCAACCCAAATGGTAAAGCTGTCAGTGAAAAAGTTTATAGTGGTAGATCAGGAGCTCACTTTTCGACATGTTCAGGTCAAACTGCCTATCAGACATTCAAGTGGAGACGTCAAGTGGGAAGCTGGATAATATAGTGTGGATTTCAGGTCAGATACCTAGACTGGAGGCATAAATTTGGAAAACATCATCACATGGTTGGCATTTAAAGCCCTAAGCCAGGTGCGATCACTGAGAGTAAGTGTAGACAGAGAAAGTAGAAGACCAAAGGCTGAGCTGAGCCAAGCCAACAGGAGGAGTTAAGGAAAAAGACAAGGAATTCACCGGGGGAAACTGAGACTGAGAAGGATTCAGCAGTGAAGAAACCCAAGACAGTGTTACGAAGACCAAGTGAAGAAGTCTCATCAAAGGAGCAGCAAGGGAACCAATTATGTCATATCTGCTGGAGACTGAGAACTTTACCATTGGATTTAGCAATTTAGAAGTCATTTGGTGACCTCGAGAAGAGTAGTTTCCATGGGGTGGCAGGAGTGAAAGCCTAGATAATACGAGTTTAACAGAGAATAGGGAAGAATTAAAGTCAGAAAGTATAAGCCACATTTTGAGTTTTGCTACAAAAAGAGGCATAGAAATGGGGCTAGCAGAGGAAGTGGGGTCAAAGAATGTTTTATTCTTTTTTAAGATTGGATGCAAATAGCATAGAAATAAATGTTAATTAGAATAGGCCCAGGAATGTGTGAAAATTTATACAAGAAAAAGAGGAAAGACTTGCTGGTGTGCTACCCTTAACGAACAGAAGTTGATGGGAGGATGTAGTTTTAGACAGGAGCACAGTTAGATAGACCACCCAGGTACAGACAGGAAGGATGCAAATGCCAAGTCATTTGTAGAAGTTGGGAGCAGGTGGGGACCATGTGGAGGCTCTCTTCTTATTGCTTTCCTTTGTTTAGTAAAGTGGGAAACAAGATCATCAGCTGACAGTGAGGATGGGGAAGAGGAGTTGGAGATTTGAGGCAAGGAAAAGGTGTGAGTGAAATGGTCACCAAGGATAAAAATCAGTGATGGCCTCTGGGGGTGGTGGTGCAGGAATTGGCTGGGAAGTGATTTAAAGGAACTTTCCGGGGTGATGGTCGTGTCCTATATCTTGCTGGGGTATGGGTTACATGATGAATGCATTTGTCAAGTCACCAAACTACACACTTACAATCTGTGCATTTCACTGAGAATAAATTACACCTCAATTCAAATGGAAGGAGAAAGAGGAGGGAAGGGTAAAGGAGGAGGAGGAGTAAAGTCACCCAGGAAAGTGGAAGAGTGAATAGAGAAGTGTGGCATTAAAGGCCCACTTGAGGTTTATGGCCATTAATTCAATTGACATCAGGGTGGTGGTGTGTTAACTCACCTGCCACAATCAACTGCACAGGTGTCAGGCAGAGTTGAATTTATCCAGGGTTTTGCTAGACAGTTACTGTGAATCAAAAGCAGTAGGTAAAGGAGTGTTTGTAATGACTGACTACAGCGACTGTAGTTTTAAAAATAGGGCTTTATTGTGCGTGACTGTGGGTCAAATCCACTAACAGGTAGAAATAGATGTCAAGGCTATCACAGTAGCAACACTTATGTATTTAAAGGAAATATACTTCCTTGTTGACCTGACTTGTAATCAGCATCACTGATGCTTTTAATCACCTCTGATTGCATCTCATTCTGTTAAATGTATTCACGTGCTCTTTGGAGCATTCTTACTCTAAGGAAAAGGAACTCCTTTGGGAGGACAGGCAGAAATACATGATTTATACATGAAATACAGCCACGTTTTTCTGCTACTAACCATGGAGGCCAATTACCCACTTAGCCTTCCTTGGTTTCAGGTAGTAAAACCTGCTATTGCCATCAAAGGACTGCCTCATGGGTGAAGTGATTAATGTCCCAGGAGATACGATTCCTGAAGCACAATCAAGTTCCTCCCTCCTGAATACATCCTTTCTTACCTAAAGTCTTGGCTAATGTCCGAATGACACCAGAATGACAGTCTTAAGGCTTAAGGTTTTAATCATAAATTAAAGTTCAAGTGATCTTGTTATCAATCAATTATACTTTCTCCTTGAATTTATCCCATCCTACTTTCTGCACTCCCACCCTCTCCCCACACAATGTTTTGACAGAAGTGTGAGGATTTGAGAAGTTCCCCAGACAAAGAGCTCTGTCTCAGGACCTCATGGTGCTCTTCTGTCTTCCAAGAGTCCCACTCACAGCCCCACTGCTCCTCAACTCAAATCCCAGGAAGTGAGACGCCCACAAGTTACTGATGCTTCTCTGCAGACACAATCACTGACCTTCCCTTTTGCTACCTTGACTCTACAATCCAGCTTCCGCAATCCACCTACACCAGCCTGTTTGGGACAACTTCCTTACCGAAGGGTCAAGGTAATTTTAAAAGAAAACAAGGAAAAGTTAAGCTAAGTGCTAGATTTGGCTTTCTTCAGAATCCTAAGACAACAAGCACTGGAGATGTTAACTCTTCACAACAGGGTTCCTGCTTGGACTCAGAAGCAACCTGTTGTAACCTGACTCCAATCTCCTCACACCCACAGCTCACCCTCAAAGAGACCCTTGCTTCTAGTTTTCAGGAGGAAAACCTCCACCACCTTCTGGAAATTTGTGCCTCTCACCCAGGAGGATCCATCCTCTACCTAGAATGCATCTACCCTCCCCCATTAGATCATGTCCCCTTACCTGGGCCTTTCATCAGGGGCTTCAGTAAGACCATCAACCACATCTGTTGATGCCGCCGTGCACTTCTGAACAATCAGAGATTGGGAGAGGAGGGGCTGTCCAGGGCAAGCATCTAGCCCTCCAGCCAACCTCCTGCTGAGAACTCACCTGAAAGCTGAGAGCACTCTCCAATTTAGTTAACACCTGTTGATCTAAAGAGGGACCCATTACACCAAGTCCTTCCACACGTTCTTCAGGGGCTAACGTTAATTTTCACAGACAGTTGAAACCCATAATGAGGAAGAAAATATTTACTCAAGTTGTTGAAATTTTTCCTTCCATAGAGTCAGGAAGTCACATTCATGCACAGATGCTGTTTCTTTCTTGTCCTTTCTTTCACATTCTTTTTTTTCTCTTTTTTCTTTTTTTTTGAGACTGAGTCTTGCTCTATCACTCAGGCTCGAGTGCAGTGGGTCGATCTTGGCTCACCACAACCTCCATCCCCTAGGTTCAAGCCATTCTCCTGCCTCAGCCCCTCAAGTATCTGGGATTACAGGCACATGCCATCACACCCGGCTAGTTTTTGTATTTTTTTTTTTTTTAGTAGAGATGGGGTTTCACCATGTTGGCCAGCTGGTCTTGAACTCCTGACCTCAAGTGATCTACTCGCCTTGGCCTCCCAAGGTGCTGGGATGACAGGCACAAGCCACCATGCCCAGCCTTTTCTTTCACATTCTTGATGGTATCTCCTTTGTGAAAAAGAAAAGCTTTGAGACAAGTGAGTGTTGAGGGTTTGTTGTTAGTCTTGTAAACCCAAGAGCATCTTAGACAAGTCTCAATCAATTTAGAAAGTTTATTTTGCTAAGGTTAAGGACATGCGTATGACACAGCCTCAGGAGGTCCTGACAACATATGCCCAAGGTAGTTGGGATATAGCTTGCTTCTATACATTTTAGGGAGACATAATAATACATTAGTCAATACATGTAAGGTTTACATTGGTTCCAGCTGGAAAGGGTGGGGGCCTTCCAGGTCACAGGTATTCTGAGTGACAGTTGGTTGAAGGAGTTATCATTAGTAGAAAGGAAGGTCTGGGTTATAATAAGGGATTGTGGAGACCTAGGTTTTATCATGCAAATGAAGCCTCCTAAAGCCAAGTAGCAGGCTTTAGAGAGAATAGACTGCACGTGTGTCTTATCAGACTCAAGGTCTGTGTTGATGATAATGCTGGAGGGGTATAATGAAGCATGTTCGACCCCCACTTCCTGTCATGGCCTGAACCAGTCTTTCAGGTTAAATGTTAGAGTGCCCTGGCTGGAAGGCAGTCCATTCAGATGGTTGCAGGAGGCCTTGGAATTGTATTTTTGGTTTACAGTCTGCTCAGCTCTCATCTCGGGTAAAGCAAGGCAGTGGTCTAGCTGGGTATTTTCCACACTGATGATGTTTAAGTGCAGGGTGATGTTATATCCCAGGTATTCTTTCCTTCCCTCCTTATGTGAATCGCCCCTCACACTTAAAGGATAAGGAGAGAGACAAGTGGCCAGGGGAGGGTTCATGGCCTAGCAACATGGAGGAGGCATGAACTCAGGCTGATAACTGTGATGGCACGAAGCACGCGGTAGGGGCGCAGGTAGATGAGGAAACCAGTGGCAAATAGAGCCGAGTCATGAATGAACCAACAACCGTGCTACTCCTAGGCCTTTGGCAATATAATTGCCTTCATTGTTCTGAGGCCTAGCTGTCTTATTCCACTTGGGCCACTACAATAAAATATCATGTACTAGGTGGCTTACAAACAACAGAAATTTACTTCTCACAGTTCCGGAGTCTGGAAGTCCAAGATCAGGGCACCAGCAGATTCAGTGTCTGGTTAGGGCCTGCTTCCTGGTTCACAGATGGCAACTTCTCCCTATGTCCTCATGTGGTAGAAGTCTCAGCTCTCTGAGATTTCTTTGATGAGGGCACTTATGCTTCCCAAAGGCCCCATCTCCTGATGCCATCACCTTGGGGCTTAGGATTTCAACACATGAATTCCAGGGGAGCAGGGGGACACATTCTGACCATGGTACCAGCTTTGTCAGATTCCTGGCCATGAGCTGCCAGAAGGCTTTCACAGAAATAAAACATTGAAATCTGAGTCTTGCAATAATGTTCTGCTTCTGAGTAACATAAAAAATTTAGGGCCAGGCGCGGTGGCTCATGCCTATAATCCCAGCACTTTGGGAGGCCAAGGCAGGTGGATCACCTGAGGTCAGGAGTTCAAGACGAGCCTGGCCAACATGGCAAAACCCCATCTCTACCAAAAATACAAAAATTAGCCAGGCATGGTGGTGGGTGCCTATAATCCCAGCTACTCGGGAGGCTGAAGCAGGAGAATCACTTGAACCCGGGAGGTGGAGGTTGCAGTGAGCTAAGATCGTGCCATTGCACTCCAGCCTGGACAACAAGAGTGAAACTCCATCTCAAAAAAATAAAAATTTAATAACTATTTGTCAAACATATGTAGAAAAAAGTAACAAATTTCCATAAATATTGATAAGACTGATGAATACAATTGAGAAGCAATCAGCAAGGAACAAATTGGTGACTAAGTATTAGTATTATATACAGTATAGTAAGTTATAGATGAAATAGCATACCCAGTAGTAAAAATATAGTTACCATAAAGCGCAAGTACTTGATGCCTAAAATCTATTTCTATGAAAGTTTGTTCACAACTACATTCTATTTTTCTAAATACTAGTTATTAATAATATATTTGCCCACAAAAAAATGCTTTTACATATAATTACTTCATTTAAGCTTCACAAAAAGCCCATAGGCAGAGTGTTATTCTCTTCATTTTGATTTATGAGAAAAGGGCTCAAAAAATCCAGTGGCTTTCCTAAGGCTATACAGAAAAACTGAGACAGCCACCTACATCTTCCCTCTTAGGTCAAGTTTCCTAGAAGCAGAGCCTGACATGAGGATTCTCATGCTAGTAATTTATTGAGGGAGCGAACACCTGTATGTGCATAAGGGAAGTAGAATAGGACAGGGGAAGGGGCTGGGCTAAGATATGGGTCAGCTAGAGTTTATCACTAGCCTGATGCCGTGGGGAGCTCTGGAGCATGAGTGCTCCACAAATTTTTCCTGCCTTGAGACAAGAGAGCGAGGCTTTTATATCCCTTTATCAATCATTCATTGCCTCTTGCCCTCCAACCCCACCCCACCCCTGGTGGATGGAAGCTGCATCTCTGGGCAAGGAGCTTACACTCATGGAGTCTACAGCACCTGGAAGATGGGTACCATGGCCAGGTAATGGACTTCTGGGCCAAGCACCACCACTATCTACCACATCTTCTGAATCCAAGTCTACAATTGTTTTCATTATGTAACTTTTAATATTTTAAAAATTACATTTTATAATAATGATGAGCCTGCAATGTTTTCAAAGTCAAAAGATTTATTAAGCACTTACTCTGTAAGGATATAGGAGGATGAAAAAATTATGAAGAAAAAAATACAAAATCATGATTCAAGTAATTTTTTCATTCTTTTTGAGACAATCTTTGCATGCAAGTTTCCATTTCAAGAAGTTTTCCTCACTTCCCAGTGAAATGACATTACGTATATATAGATATACTCTATATATACATACACATATATATGTATATATGCATATATATATATATATACACATTGTATGTGTGCGTGTGTGTATGTGTGTAATTCTGAATAGGTTCTTAAAAAACAAAAAGGGAACTATATCAGTTAGAATTAGATTTGGCTATAGAACCAGCACAAAATGACAGTAGCTTAAACAAAACAGTTTCTTTTTCTCTCACATAAAAGAAATCTAGAAATAAGCATTTCAGAGCTGTTATGGTGATTATCACAGACCCTGGCTTCTTCCAGTTTTTACCTCCACCATTCTTCTTTGTGGTTCAATGTGATTGCTAGAGCTCCAGCTATTGCATTCGTGTCTCAGGCAGAAAGATGAAGAAAAAAGAAAGGAGGCCATGTTCTCTCTCTTTAAAGATATTAGTGTGTACTCCCACACGATTTCTGTTTATGTTTCATCGGTCAGAACTTAGTTACAGGGTCATATCTGACTGCAAATAATTTGGGGAATGTAGGGTTGTTGTTCTTTTGTGGGTTGTTTGTTTGTTTGTTTGTTTGTTTGTTTGTTTAGCTTGGCAGTCATGTGCCCAGCTGGAATTTGGGGTTCTCTTATTAAAGGAGAGATATTTGGGAGTAGACAACCAGCAGTCTCTGCCACAGACACCATTTTACTCCAGAAACTTTGAGGCTTTTTGGAAAATATGAAAAATCTAGGATCAGATTAAAGGAAAGCCAAGCAGAGCCTTCATTCTATTAAGTAAGTTGCCTTCCCCAACAGAGCTCCAGAAAAACCTCTTGCTCAAAAGCTGCAAGATCTGGAAACAAGGTGGGCCATGAGGTAAATACCAATGAAAAAAAGAAAAAAAAAAAAGGATGATGTACAGTTAAGCAGAGCAGCCAGCCCCATCCTTCCTCCTCCCCGGCCTCAGTGAGGTCTACTGCTAAATAAAGCAGTTGAGGGTTTGCCACGAGCTCCTCACATGGGTTGCACTTCTGACTACATTCTGGCTGCCACACCCAGCAGGGAGGGAAGAAAGGCTGAGCAACAGAGTGAAAATCACACACAAGCTCAGCCTCCATGCTCTGTAACTCATTCCTTCCTTCCCAGGGTATGACAGCTCCAACTGGGGTTGGATCCTTGCATCCTTGGATCCTACCGGCAGAGGCCGTTGAGAAAGCAGTTGACAAGGAGCACCAAAAAGACTTCAGAGACTTCAATGCCCTCAGATACCTCACCATCACATTGGTCCCTAAGCTTCACTACTTAAAGAAGGACTTGTACATGGAGACCTGAGTTTAGGGGTGCCACATTCCAAATGTTTTCCAGTGATGCTTTAACACCTCTTAAAAAATGGTGCCCATCTTTCTATGTCTGGTTGGTCTGTCCCCTTAATATGGCTCTCACTGGGTGGCACCTCACTGTGCTGTCTACATACTAACTACAGACATGATATAATAATTTAAAGATGATTTTAAAAGCTAATAGTGATATAAATGTACATTCTTCCCATCATGGAATACTGAACACATCAAGCCTGTTCCTGCTATAGGGACCTTTGATCAAGCTATTTCTCCTGCTTGGAAAGCTCTTCCCTCAAGCTTCACAAGGCTGGGTTCCCATCATTCTCCTTTTATCTCAAATGTTGCCTCCTTAGAGGAGTCTTCTTTAACCACCCCAATCTAAATTCATCATCCCCCACTCCAAGTGCCTCTCTGGTGTGCAGCCCTCACCAGACAACTGAACCTGCAGATTCCTTGGTCATGGACTTTCCAGCCTCTAGAACTGTAAGAAAATACATTTCTAGTTTTTACAAATCACCCAGTCTCAAGTATTCTGTTTCAGCAGCACAAAATAAAGTAAGACACTGTTACATATTTCATTGTCCATTAACAGTTGTGGGGTTTTTTTGTGTGTGTGCATGTGTGTGTGTGTGTGTATGTGTGTGTGTGGGTGTTTTCATAGTATGGGCCTGGTGCCGTGGCTCATGCCTATAGTCCCAGCACTTTGGGAGGCCGAGGCAGGTGGATCACTTGAGGCCAGGAGTTTGAGACCGGCCTGGCCAACATGCTGTAACCCTGTCTCTACTAAAAATACAAAAATTAGCCAGGCGTGGTGGTGCATACCTGTAATTCCAGCTATTCAGGAAGCAGAGGCATGAGAATCGCTTGAACTCAGGAGGCAGAGTTTGCAGTGAACCAAGATCACGCCACTGCACTCCAGCCTGAGTGACAGAGTGGGATTGTCTAAAAAAAAAATTAAAATAAATAAAATAAAATAGTATGCACTGAAGAGCATTGCCCCACAATTCATCTCAACATTACTAGATTAAATGATTTAAATTATTTGATGAGCTCATGTTTAATTTTAAAATTATAATGAATTATTAGCCTTTTGATAATATTTAATGTTCATTAATGAAATTTCAAACTCCACAACCCATTTTATTAACATAGCATGCATATTTCCTAATAAAACAAAGCTGTGAAGCATTCATTACCTACTAAAAATTACACAGTGGGACCGTTATAACTTATGTCTCATCTTCTCTCCTTTCAACTGGAAAAGTCCTGGAACATTTATCACGGGGAATAAGTAAGAAAGGAAGGGAGAAAATGAGTCACCTTCTATTCCTGCTAGCAAATTCTATTTGGCTTCTTCCACCACCACCTCCTGTCCATCCTTCTGGTGCAAAAGACCAGAGAAATTGGGGGACAGTAACAAGATAGTTGAAGGAGGTTACCAGAAGTTGCATCAGATGAAATAATCGGGAGAAAGAATTTGTAAAACGACACTTCCCAGTAAGATTCCCCACAAACGTAAACCCAGTCATTTGGGTCATTTGTGACTTTGATTGGCATATTCAAATTGTGCCAATCATTTGGCACAATTGTGATTGGCAGTCATTTGTGAGTTTCAGCATGAAACAGTGACAAGAATCTAGTCACCTCTGCAACAGAACATCCAGTAACTGACATTGACTGTCATCTCGGCAACACTATGACCTCATTACATACCTTTCTTTAGAAAGTTTACTGTCTCTTTTTAGATTCTCTTGGATTTTCAGTTAAAAACATCAAAGATAGTTTTATGTAATAAGCCAGATGACTGTGTTTTCCTCCTTCTTTTCTATCCATTTTCCCCTAAACAACTTAGATTTTCTCAATATTCTTAATCAGAGTTGAGATGCTTACCAATACACATTACCAGAATTCTTAACATACAAAGCCAATTTTCTTCTTTCTTTGCTTCCCCAAATATTTGACTTCAGAGCATTTAGAAATAAATGCAGAGGGTAGAAAAATGCCTTTTACTTCATGTTTGTTATTCCTATGTCAAGAATACCTATTGTGATAGTTTTATTCAAATAGGAGGCACACTTCCCTTCTATGAGTTCCATGTGAAAGAAGTTCCCAGGGTTAGGAAGAAACAATACACAATGCCAGTACTTCCCAAAGGATAAGAGCCCCATGGAAACCCAAATATATTTTTCATAGAATTTGTTTATTTAACTTATCCTGACTACCCTATCTAATATAGCACCCCTTCATTCTCTGTTCCCCTGTACTGCTTCCTATTCTTCATAGCATGGATCATCATGCTATTATTATGTTATTCATATATTAGCTTACTTATTATATTAACCATCTCTCCCACTAGCATGAAAGCCCTACTGGTTTATACTCCACCGAATCCCCAGGGCTTTGAACACTGTTCAACATACGGTGGGTGCTCAATATATTGTTTGAATACAGCGGACACCATCAATGCTTCTTCCCGATCCCATCACCTCTGTTACCCTTGTATTGTTTCTGCGTATCCCTTTCTGTGCTTTTGGTTCCAATGGCCCCACACATCCAATTCATCTTTGGAGCACTGCTCTGGGGCTCCTGGAGCTGTTTTGCCACCTCGTGCAGGAGATGGAAGTGACAGCGTTTATATCTCCCTTGGGCAGCCTGCAGCCAATGACTGCATCGTGGGAGTACAATTTCCTGCTCAGTTTCCTATGAGTCCTCAGCCCAGGTTCTGCTCTGAGGAGCCTGACCCAAACAAGACATTGAGTGTTTGAATGAGTGCACTATACAATTTCATACAAACTCAAATTATTCCTTGAAAATGTCACAATAACAAAAAATTTTAACTACATTTCTCTTGATTATATTCAAAACAGTAATGGATAGAGATTTGCCACCTGAATCTATGGTAAAACTAATCACCCAGAGAGCACTGTGGGAAGAGCTTAGCTTCAAAAGTAATTTCAAAAACAATAATTATAAACCATTGGAAAAAAGAAATAACTGAGTCAGTTCCCATTAGCCATCCAGAATTAAACTTCTTTGAATTAAGGCTATGATTTGAAAAGCCTTGCTCTTTTAACAACCATGGAACTATAACAAAGAAAAATTAAAAATGCATTTGCTTTTAATGCCACCTGCTCCTCATAACTCTCTGCTAATATCTTCATTTCTCAGTCAAAATGCAGGTAAAATAAATTTACTTTGCATTCCTCAGAATATCATTAGCAAAAATGCATGCATACTTGCACATCTAATTTTGATTAAATTGTGCTTCATCTAACTGCCAGGTCTACTTCTTCAAATGCCCTTTATTTAGCTTGCACTGTCTCCCACAGTCCATTTTCCTCTACTCAAGTGGCAAGATAGGACACAAGGTCAAAGGTCAAATCCCAATCATAACTGTGATGGCTAATTTTAGGTGTAAACTTGACTGAATTGAAGAATACCTAGAGAACTGGTAAAGCATTATCTCTGAGTGTGTCTGTGAGGGTGTTTCCAAAGGAGATTGGCATGTGAGTTGGTAGAGTGAGTGGGAAAGATCTACCCTTAATGTGGCTGGGCACCATCCAATCAGCTGGGTGCCTGGATAGAACACAAAGGCAGAAAAAATTCTCTCTCTCTCTCTCTCTCTCTCTCTCTCTCTCTTTCTCTCATTCTCACTCCCTGCAAATGGGACATTCTTGTTCTCCTGCCCTTGGACTGCTCTATGTTCTCTGGCTCTTGTTCTGCTGCCCTTGGACTGCTCTATGTTCTCCGGCATTTGAACTCTGGGACTTACACCAGAGCCTTCTGCCTCAGGCTGAGAATTACATCATCAGCTTCCTTGGTTCTGAGGCTTTTGGACTTGGACTGAGCAATGATTTGGTTATCCCAGGGTCTCTAGCTTGTGGGTAGCCCTTGGTAGGACTTCTTAGCCTCCATAATAGCATGAGTTAATTCCCCAAATAAGTCCCTTCTTATATATCTCTATCTCTATATTTACCTCTATCTATCTATCTACCTACCTATCTATGTACATACATCCTACTTGTTCTCTCTCTCTGGACAATCCTGACTAATACAGATATTGGTACCATGGGAGGTTCTGGAGGAAGAGAATTTTAAGGGTGAGTTTCCTTTATTGGTTTGGGGTTTTCTGGAATTGGCTTTCTGATTTGATTCAACCTAAAAATCCTACAAACTCCACTTCTAGTAGTACAGAGAGCATTGGATAGTCCATGGCACGAACTGTTTATAGAGATACACAAAATATCTACATTTGATACTTTTAATCAACCACTTATAAGACACATGGAACTTGGTAACTCTCTATATCATACTTTCAAACATTTGTGAAAAACCAAGGAATATAATGAGGATGGTTGGCTGCTTCTAATGTCACTGGACACAGTAATGTAAGAAAAACATGAGCTCAGGGATTCAAATTTCTAGCTCCAGCTCCACATAAATAGCCTAAGAGCTTCTAAGTGTGCCCTAAGGTAACATCTTCTCTCCTGTAGCCACAGGCCTGAAATTGCTGAAAATCAAACACAAGCCATTGTCAGGTGACTGGCTGAATTACAACAAAAGTTGAACTCTCAGTCTCATAGTGAGGGCATTGCTTGCACAAGAATGGGATCCTGTAAGTAGAAATTTGTGGGAAGACCCTGATAAAGCTGGGACATTGAGCTCCTAAATTCTGATGAGTCTTGTTTGCCAGCAAAAGTGGCCTCCCTACCCCCACCCCCAGTGGCACCAGCATCTGGTGCCAGTTCACAGTGACATGGCCTTTCCACCTGTGTCTTCAAGGTTTGACTCTGCATAGCCTGAGAAAACGGTAATGGCCTCTGCTGAGGCAATTGCTAAGCAAGACAATGTTGATTCACCCCCCTTCCCCACCCCTCTTTGCTTCTAGACTATATCTGGACTCAAGTCCCAGCAGGCCCTAAGAGGGACAAAGTGTGACCCATGAGGAGGTGCACCACACTCCAAAAGAACTACTTGAGTTTTCTCATTTATGAGAGCAGATATCCAGGGAATATGTATAGAAATGGATATTAAGGATGTGCGGTAATGGTGGAAGGAACATAAAGTTGGATCAGGCCAAAGTTATTAATATAGGCCCACTAAGCAGAGATTGTGCATTGCATGCTACAGTTAGAGGAGTTAGGAAAGGTGCTAGCAGTTTGGTTGATTGGTTGGCTGTGAAGGAAACCAGAATATTTCACCCCAAAATATACCTTCTTGACAAAAATATCTTTAAGCCAGAGGCAACTGGAAAGCAACAGTTGCAGAAAGAGCCATCTGAGCTGCTCTTTCTTACCTTTGGCAGGCCATAAAATTCCAGGGAAAAGGATACAGGGGGTCTTCTGCCTCCCCTTTCTACCTAAAGACAGAGATATTAATTCTCTCTTGCTTATCAGCTCACTGGTACCGGCAGGGCCAGAGGATTCTGGGAACAAACTTGACTATTGTCTCATAGTTTTCTCATCTTTTGGGAAAAGTTGCTTATTCCTTTGTCTTGTTGTTTCTAAATTTATTGTTCTTTATTAGATATGCTATCTAAGCTGGGACCCTAAGCCACCATCTGAGAGACACTTTTGAACTGATATTTCCCCTGCATAATGCACACTGCATGCTTAAATTAAAATGCTTGGTTTCGCCAGGCGCGGTGGCTCACACCTGTAATCCCACCACCTTGGGAGGCCGAGGCGGGTGCATCATTTGAGGTCAGGAATTCAAGACCAGCCTAGCCAACATGGTAAGACCCCCGTCTCTACCAAAAACAAACAAACAAACAATAAATAAATATACATATATATATATATAAAAATTAGCCAGGCGTAGTGGCACATACCTGTAATCCCAGCTACTTGAGAGGCTGAGGCAATAGAATCACTTGAACCCAGGAGACGGACGCTGCAGTGAACTGAGATATCACCACTGCAGTCCAGCCTGGGTGACAGAGGAAGACTCCATCTCAAAAAAAAAAAAACGAAGCCTGAGCGTGGTGACTCACGCCTGTAATCCCAGCACTTTGGAAGGCCGAGGCAGGTGGATCACCTGAGCTCAGGAGTTCAAGACCAGCCTGACCAATATGGTTAAACCCCGTCTCTACTAAAAATACAAAAATTAGCCAGGTGTGGTGGGAGGGCGCCTGTAGTCCCAGCTACTTGGGAGGCTGAGGCAGGAGAACTGCTTGAACCCGGGAGATGGAGGTTGCAGTGAGCCGAAATTGCACCACTGCACTCCAGCCTGGGAAACAGAGTGAGACTCCATCTCAAAAAATAAATAAATAAATAAAAATGCTTGTTTTTCTCTTATCCATCTTTTGTGACAAAAGTATCCCATCTACGAACTTATGAGGGTTGAGAAAAGAAATTATATTTTCTCCTCTTCACCTGAAACTTGGATCAAAAGATGACTCATGAGGCCAAGCTGGAGATCCCCCATCTCCCTTGGGTTAATGTAGAGGAAAGGATTAAAAGGAGATTGGAATGCTAGAATGGATTTGTCACTTAAAACCTACTAACCCACACTGGGAGGGTCCAGAAGTCATAACTTTCACCAAATACTTTGAGAAATAGATGTGTGGGGGAGCCCCAGCATCCCTGAACAGTGCTATGATTGTGCTTTTCTGTAGGTTGGACCTTAGAGTGGAGACCTGGATAGAGCACCCTTGACATAGCTAATTCTATCTTAGAAAAAGGCTTCATTTTATATTTCACAGGGCACTTTGCATACAAGGATAAGATGTTTTGTTTAATAAACAAATAAAAAATAAAGACCACATCCAGTGAGATAAAGACACAAAAAAGCACACCCTTCCACCGTCAGTTCTCATCATCAGAAGACTCTATGACTGTAAAAGATCAGGCCTTCAGCAGCTCCAAATGGCTGCCTTAATGACACTGTCTTGCAGTCACTTACAATAAGAACTTGGTGTCTGCAGCCAAAAGCTCTGCCACCTCAAGGACTTGCAAGGCTGACAGACCATCTGGCTCAAACCAGGATTCCTTTTGTCTTCTTAGCCCTCCCTGGACTGGCTTATTAACACTTTCTCCTGTACTTTTTCCTCTTGATTTTAAATGTGACTTTGTTATGGAATGTTTAACCTGTAACATTTATATATTGATTAAGTATACTATTATGTATGGTTTGCAATATTGATTGACTTGTGGAATGTCTTGAGCCTGTGTGCCTGAAGCTCTGACCACTGAGTAAGCAGGAAGTACTAAAGGGGATTGTTTCCTTGGGAACTCCATGCAGCTTCTGGCTTTTGTGATTGGAACAGTATCAACAAAAGCCTGACAGTGTGGAAAGACACAACCACACATGGACCTGGTTATTTCTAACCTTGCACCAATCATGACAGAATTGCAGTCACTCAATTGGAAAACTTAAATGCAATGGGTATCATTGAAACCTGGTGTGGCAGGGGCTAAGTGGTGGCACTCATCTATCAAAGGCAAGGTGTGTATAGTTACCATCTTAGACAGCTGAGGCACAGCAACAATCAGAATAGTGTGACTTGTGTAAATCCAGGGTGTTGGCTAGCTAACCATGGTGTTCCTAAAAGTAAAATAGATAGGAAGCCTACTAAGTTCTTACTTGATCTGTATAAACAGAAAACTATCAGGTCAAGTGAACAAAGGTTTAATTTGAAACATAAAAACAGAGAATCATTCCCTCTCAATCAATTCCTAGACTTGAGCCAGTTCACAGACCCAGAAATACTTGAATGAAGGGGAGGCCAGGTTCTGTCCAGGAAGTACCCTGGTACACTACTGAAAATTTACACTATTAAACTTTCTCCCATCCTTCCCCAAAGGGACCTACGGCCTTTTACCAGCATAACTGTGCACTGGGGAAAAGGAAGTACAGATCTTTCAGGACTACTGAACACTGCCTCTGAATTGACATTGATTCCAGGAGACCCAAAAAGTCACTGCGGCCCACAAGTCACAGCAAGGGCTTATAGAGGTTAGGTTAGCAATGGAGCTTTGGCTCAGGTCTGACTCACAATAGGTCTGGTGGGTCTGTGAACCCATCATGTGGTTATTTCCTCAGTTCCAGAATGTATGATTGGAACAGACGTTCTTGCCAGCTGGCAGAATCCCCATATTCCTTAACCTGTGGAATGAGGGCTATTATGGTGAGAAAGGCCAAATCAAAGCCATTAGAGCTGCCCCTACCTAGGAAAATAGTAAATCAAAATCCATTGATTGCGTCCCTGAAGGGATTGCAGAGATTAGTGCCACCATCAAGGACATGAAAGATGCAGGGGTGGAGATTCCTACCACATCCCCATTCAACTTTTCTATCTGGTCTGTGCAGAAGACAGAAGACAAATGGACTCTGGAGAATGACAGTGAATTATTGTAGTTTTAACCCAGTGATGACTCCAATTGCAGCTGCTATACGAGATGTGGTTTCATTGTTTAAGCAAATTAACACAACTCCTGGTACCTGGTATATAGCTGTTGATGTGGAGAATGGCTTTTTCTCCAACCCTGTCCATAAGGCCCACCAGAAGCAGTTTGCTTTCATCTGGCAAGGTCAGCAATACACCTTTACTGTCCTACCTCAGAATTATATCAACTATCCATCTCTATGTCACAATTTAGTTCACTGGGATCTTGATCACCTTTCCCATCCACAAGATATCATTCTGGCCCATTATATTATGCTGATTGGACCTAGTGAGCATGAAGTAGCAAGCACTCTGGACTTACTGGTGAGGCATTTTGTGTGTCAGAGGGTGGAAAATAAATCCAACCAAACTTCAGGGCCTTCTAGCTCCATGAAATTTCTATGGGTCCAGCAGTGTGCGGCATGTTGAGATATCCCTTCCAAGGTGATGAATAAGGTGTTCCATCTGGCCCCTCCTACAACCAAGAAAGAGGCACCATACCTAGTAGGCCTCTTTGGATTTTGAAGGCAACGTGTTCCTCCTTTTGGTGTGTTACTCTAGCCCATCTACCAAGTGACCTGGAAAGCTGCTAGTTTTGAATGGGGCCCAGAACAGGATAAGGCAGAGGCAACAGGTCCAGGCTGCTGTGCAAGCTACTCTGCCATTTGGGCCATATGACCCAGCAGATCCAATGGTGCTGGAGGGGTCAGTGGCAGATAAGGATGCTGTTTGAAGCCTTTCATTGGTCCCCATAGATAAATTGCAGCAAAGGCCCTTAGGATTTTGGGAGCAAGGCCTTGCCATCATCCACAAATAATGACCCTTCTTTTGAGAGGCAGTCTTGGCCTGCTACTAGGCCTTAGTAGAAACTGAACATTTGACCATGGGCCACCAAGTAACTATGCAACCTGAGCTGACCATCATTAACTAGGTGTTAACTGACCCACCAAGCCATAACGTTGGGCATACACAGCAGCCCTCTATCATCAAATGGAAGTGATATACACATAACTGGGCCCAAGCAGGTTCTGAAGCACAAGTAAGTTACACAAAGTGACCCAAATGCCCCTGGTTCCAACTACACTGCCTCAGCCTGCACCAATGGCCCCATGGGGAGTATCCTATGATCAATTGATAGAGGTCCCAGTTTACAGGTGGTTCTGCATAATATGCAGGCACCATCCAAAAGTGGACAGTTTCAGCAATACCATCCCTTTGTGGGACATCTTTAGAGGATAGCGGTGAAGAGAAATCTCAGTGTGTAGAACTTTGGACAGTGCACCACGTTGTACACTTTGCTTGGATGGAGAAATGGCCAGATGTGGAATTATATACCAATTCATGAACTGTAACCAATGGTTTGGCCAGATGGTCAGAGAATTGAAAGAAACATAATTGGAAAATTGGTGACAAAGAAATTTGGGGAAGAGATATGTGGATGGACCTGAGTGGGAAAAAGATGTGAAGATGATTATGTCCTTTGCCAATGCTCACCAAAGTGTGATCTCAGCAGAGGAGGACTAATAATCAAGGAGATGGGATGACCCATTCTGTGGATACTAGTCACCCTCTTTCCCCAGCTACCCCTACCATCATCCAATGGACTCAAGAATAAATTGCCCAGCGTGGCAGAGATGGAAGTCATGTATGAGTTCAGCAACATAGACCTCCACTTAGCAAAGCTGACCTGGCTACAGTCACCTCTGAGGGCTCAATCTGCCAGCAGCCAAGACCCACACTGAGCCCTTGATACAGTATCATTGGCTTCGGTGGATCAGCCAGCTACCTTGTGGCAGGTTGATTACTCCAATCTCTGGAAACACCCTGACATACCCAGAAATAATGCTTTACCACTTCTCCAGGTATTCCTCAATCCAGTCAACATGACACCTAAAATTAATGATGACAAGTCCACCTCTTGTCTGTACTTAATCTACACACCTACACACCTCTCTGTAAACTGAACTTAATCTCCAAGTAAAGACAATAACAAGGTAATAGACCCACCTAACCTGATACAATTATCCTGCATACAATAAAAAACTAATCCCTTACCCAGAAGATGGGGTAAAGTCCTTGAATGATATTTACTTGTCTCCTGATATTTCATAACTTAAATACTATGATGTAAAATTAACAATACTTAAATACTGATATAAAGTGAATATATCTTTTTTTTTTTTGAGACAGAGTCTTGCTGTGTTGCCCAGGCCAGAGTGCAATGGCATGATCTCAGCTAACTGCAACCTCCACTTCCTGAGTTCAAGTGATTCTCGTGCCTCAGCCTCCTGAGAAGCTGAGATTACAGGTACGTGCTACCACGCTAATTTTTTGTATTTTTAGTAGAGATGGGGTTCCATCACTTTGGCCAGGCTGGTCTCCAACTCCTGGCCTCAAGTGATCTGCCCACCTCAGCCTCCCGAAGTGCTGGAATAACAGGCGTGAGCCACTGTGCCAGGTCCCTAAAGTCAATATATCTTATGTTAAATGATTAAGAGAGGAATGAAAACAAAGATATTTGTTTAATATATGTGTGTATACACACACACGCACACACACACACACACACACAAATGTATTCTGAACAAAATACGGAGAAAATACTGATGACAATTACAGTCCTCATTTCTGTAACTGGTCACACAGTCATAACTGGTATTTATAACTACTTTCTTCCAATATCCATTCTGTATTCTCTTTGCCCTCAGCAAGCACCTCAGCTAGTCACGGTTCTTTACCTGGTGGGGTGAACCTTCATTTCTGAAGGGTCTGGGTCAATTGTAGTCCTGCTTGGATTAGGTTGTTGTAATTTTCCATTGACTTTAATCACAGAGTTTGGTGATACTAAGAGATGCCCTAAGGGATCTTCTGTATTCCAGACATACTCTCCCTTAACCCCAATGTGGAGTACTCATCCAGTTTCCCCTTGGTAGTCTGGATCAATTTCCCCAGCCAACACAGTAACTCCTTTGTTTGCCTGTTGACTCACAGGCATGAGGAGCCCAAAGTGACTGGGTGGCAGTCTTAACTTCCAGTTGAATGGAATCATTGTTGTGTCTCCTGGTGGCAGCACTCTTCTCTGATGCTAAGACTTGTAGGCCAGCAGAGCATAAAGTCACAGAAACAGGAAACAACATTTTTCTAGTGGGTCAATAGGGATAATGGCAAATGGTGCCACTCCCACTTCCATCATAGGATGGGCAACATTTCGTTCTTACCGGCACTTACTCTGGATATAGATTTGCCTTCCTTGTATGCAATGCTTCTGCCAAAACGACCATCTGTGGACTTACAGAATGTTTATCCATTATCTTGGCATTCCACACAGCATTGCTTCTGACCAAGGAACTCACTTCCCAACCAAAAATGTGCAGCAATGGGCTCATGCTCACGGAGTTCACTGACCTTACCAAGGTCCCCATTGTCCTGAAGCAACTGGCTTGATGAATGGCATTTTGAGTCACAGTTACAGCATCAACTAGGTGATAATACTTTACAGGGCTGGGATGAGGTTCTCCAGAAAGCTATATATCCTTTGAACCAGTGTCCAATATATGGTACTGTTTCTCTTATAGCCAAGATTCACAGTTCCAGGAATCAAGGGGTATAAATGGGAGTGGCACCACTCACCCTTATCCTTAGTGACCCAGTAGCAAAATGTTGTTTCCTGTTTCTGTGACTTTATGCTCTGCTGGCCTACAAGTCTTAGCATCAGAGAAGAGCGCTGCCATAGGAGACATAACGATGACTCCATTCAACTGGAAGTTAAGACTGCCACCCACTTTGGGCTTCTCATGCCTATGAGTCAACGGGCAAACAAGGGAGTTACTGTGGTGGCTGGGGAAATTGATCCAGACTACTAAGGGGAAACTGGATGAGTACTCCACATTGGGGTTTAGGGAGAGTATGTCTGGAATACGGAAGATCCCTTAGGGCATCTCTTAGTACTACCAAACCCTGTGATTAAAGTCAATGAGAAATTACAACAACCCAATCCAAGCAGGACTACAATTGACCCAGACCCTTCAGGAATGAAGGTTCACCCCACCAGGTAAAGAACCATGACCAGATGAGGTGCATGTTGAAGGCAAAGGGAATACAGAATGGATATTGGAAGAAAGTAGTTATAAATACCAGTTATGATCATGTGACCAGTTACAGAAATGAGGACTGTAATTGTCATATTTCTCCCTATTTTGTTAAGAATGCATTTGTATTTATATATACATATATTAAACAAGTATCTTTGTTTTCATTCCTCTGAATCATTTAACTTAAGATATATTGACTTTATATCAGTATTTAAGTATTGTTAATAATACATCATAATATTTAAGTGATGGGATATCAGGAGACAAGTAAACATCATTCAAGGACTTTACCTCCTCTTCTGGGTAAGGGTTTAGTGGTGTTTTGTTTTGTTTTGTTTTGTTTTGTTTTTTGAGACGGAGTTTCACTCTTGCTGCCCAGGCTGGCGTGCAATGGCATGATCTCTGCTCACTGCAACCTCCGCCTCCTGGGTTCAAGCGATTCTACTGTCTCAGCCTCCTGAGTAGCTGGGATTACAGGCATGCGCCACCACATCCGGCTAATTTTGTATTTTTGGTAGAAACAGGGTTTCTCCATGTTGGTCAGGCTGGTCTCCAACTCCCCACCTCAGGTGATCCGCCTGCCTCACCTTCCCAAGGTGCTGGGATTACAAACATGAGCCACAGGATAATTGTATCAGGTTAGGTAGGACTATTACCTTGTTATTGTCTTTATTTGGAGACTAAGTACAGTTTACAGAGACGTGTGTGGGTGCCAAGTTGACAAGCAGTGGACTTGTGATAGTTAATTTTAGGTGTCAACTTGACTGGATTCAGGAATACCTGGCGAACTGGTAAAGCTTTATTTCTGGGTGTGTCTATGAGGTGTTTCCAGAGGAGATTGGTGTGTAAGTCAGTGGAGTGAGTGGGAAAGATCCACCTTTGATGTGGCCAGGCACCATCCAATCAGCTGGGGACCTGGATAGAACAACAACAAAAAAAACGGCAAAGGAAAGATGATTTTCAATCTCTTTCTCTCCTGGAGCTAGGATATTCTCCTTCTGCCCATAGACTTTAGAACTCCATGTTCTTCAGCCTGTGGATTCCAGGACTTACACCAGTGGCCTCCTGGGTTCTTAGGACTTTGGGCTTGGACTGGAAATTACACCACTGGTTTCTGGACTTTTGGACTTGGACTGAACCATGCTATCACCATTCCATGGTCTCCACCAGCTTGCAGGTGGCCTGCAGTGGGACTTCTCAGCCTCTATAATAGCATGAGCCAATTCCCCCAGTAACTCCCTGTCTTATATCTATAGCTATAGCTATACCATATTGGTTCTGTTGCTCTGGACAACCCTGACTAATAAATACACTGGCAGATATAGAAACAGATAATGACAGCATTTTTGAATACAGGTTAAAATAATTTTCTGAAATCAACTCTAATAAAAAGGACAACCACTTATGAAACATTTCCTGCCATATGGACCTATATAGGGAGAAGGTATTTTCCAGTAATGCCTTTATGATTATAATTAACATTTAAAGAAATGAAGAATGACAGCTTTTATAAGCAGTAGCTGGAATTAGCTGTAGTGAGAAAAAGTGAAGTCCTCCATTTTTACACTTTCTAGTCTCAAGTGTCTTGTTTCCACAACTTCATCCCTCTCTTATTATTTTAGTAAAATCCTTCCCTGTGTCACCCTCAACACCAAAAAATATATTAATTAAAAGCATTCTCATTAAAAATCTGTCGTGTCTTTTTATCTGCATGCATTTCTCGTTAAGCCCTGTACGGTCTTATCTATAACAATAAAATTTCATCATCACAGGATGGCTGTCTCTGGTATTAGTTCTGATGAACTGGTTTTAGAGTCTAAGTCTCAAGAGACTTTGTTCACAGAGCAGGTTTTGCTTATGTGGACTTAGGTGGACACCCATGGCCACCATAGTCACTTTTGCTGGCAACGCCCAAGATAATAAAATCTTACTATTCTACTAAATCCCTCAGCTCATCTGTAACTCCACCCTGGCTGTTCCTTTACACTTGAGGGGCCTCAATTGGACTTCCAGGGTATCATGGATTTGGTCCACAGCTAAACATATATCCTCAACCACTTAGTCCTAAATTTTGTGGCAAAATATCTATGGTGATAAACAAACATTGGGAACTTAATATAGTCACAGAGAGTACATACTCTATTTTATGCAGACAACCATGGACATGTGCAATAAATGATGTTAGTTGTGTGTATGTGAACAGAGTTTAGTGTTATCAAAACTGCTGAAAAGCTAATTCGGCACCTTCAGCGACGTGTCTATTTAACATTCTGCTGCATAGTAATTATGCATAAATGGGAAGCAGTTTTCATAAGTTGTGGTGATTACTTTTACCATGCCAAGTTTTATAGTGTTTTTAGTGTGTGTGGCCGGGGGAGATTTAATAATGTCTGTAAATAATGTCGATGTCAACAGAGTCCCCTAACATCATATAAATCCAAACAAAGGCACCAGTCCAAAGACTGATCCACCAATTTCTGGGACCCCCTGGGCAGTAGTATTCACCTGCTGGCACTGGAATCAGATTGTGTGTTTTCTTCAGTGTGCCTCTATCTTCTGGGTTAATTATCCCCCATGCTACACATACCAATGCTTCCTCATCCTTATATAAAAGAACATTGTACATCAATTAACTTTTTATTGTTCTCCTTTCAAAAAGCTGGGCCCCATGCTTTAAAGGCCCCTAATGTTACCAAAACTAGAAAAGAAATGTATCAGAGAACACATGGTCACCTTTGTTCCTGGGAACCAGGTGTTCAGAACTGACACAATATCACAATATAACCCGTGATCCTAAACATCTGTTCTCATGACTAACACCATTCAGGACCCAGCAAAACACTTCTTTGCATGTCTTGCACTATGTATGCCCTATGATCTCAAAATGAAAGTTGATTCCAGCTGAAGGACTTGAAGGTTTCTGGGATGTATCTGCTGACTTCTGAGCTGTTGCTTTGAGACTGGGGAGATGTGACAGATGGAAACATCTAAGTAAAATACAAATGAATTAATTTTTCAAATCTTTCTTCTCAGCTTGAATGCACCCAGATTCTTACGCTAACTAAGTAGCATTTCCCAATAATGTCAAAGCTTCTCTTAGCACTCCAATTCCAGAGGGATTAGTTTGGTTCTAGGGTACTCACAAATTAATATGATATTCACAATAGTTCCATATGACCCCTTAGGAATATATATTTAGCAATATTAACCAATTCATATTACTACAAAATTATATATTTGTAGGTTTGGATATAACATTCATGAAACTGATACCAATTTTCACATTGCTACTTGATACTGGATATTGCTTTAAGAGATGGAAGAATCACAACATATGCAATAGTAGTTTGTATAATATTGGTATATAATAGTGTGTGGATTTTTGACCCTAAATCCAAAAATGTTTCAAAGGAGTCACTGACTGCAAAGAAATTTTAATAATATGTTAAATAATTTATTTCACTTTTGTTTTTATTCTACATGAGTAATAGAACAGCAGCTCTCAACGTGTGGTCTAAAAGTTCCTGGGAGTGCCAAAACCCTTTCAGGGGGCCCACAACAACAAATTCTGTTTTCATAATAATACCAAGGTATTATTTGTATTTTTCACTGTGTTAACATTTGTATAGATGGTAAAAAGTACTGATGGATATAATTGATGGTGCCTTAGCACACATCAAGCCAGTGGCACCAAATTTACTAGTAATCACTGTATTCTTACTACTGCATACCACAATTTTTTAAAAGCTGAATTCTCATAAGAATATTCTTAATGAAGCAAAAAGTACTTCTGCTGCATAACAAAGTATTATCGTTATCTTGAAAAGAAGCATTTTTGTAATTAATATTATACTTCCAAGCAAAAATCGAATCTTAAAAAACCTTGTGTCACTGTGAACTTGATACCTTCCCAATACTTCAAGATTCTTCTGATGAGATCGATGGTGATAGTAAGAAATGTGATTTTTTTGGGATATTGTATAATAAAATGTGTCAACATTTGGAAAATTGGCATAACTCAGTGGACCCATATTTTCTAAATGACCATTGCATGATGTTACAAAATCATGCATGAATAAAAAAATCCATTCAAAGTGCAAGACAGACCAATCAATTTTAATATAACAGATTATGAAAGTTCATTGATGTAGTTTCAGATTTGATATTGTTACAGTAGGTAGTCAGACATAAGCAGCACCAAGGAAAGATAATCCCCCAATAGATAAAAACACCTGAAACTGGTGATCCGCAGCTTCCCAATAAGATCTCAGGAGTCGGGTATATGGGCTCAAGCATGCACATTAATGGGCAAAAGGACAGAGTTCAACTGGTATATAACCTCCCTCTAAAAGCATTTGAATGGTAAGGGAAAAACGCCACAAGTGAGCATGTGCACAATTTCAGTAAACACACTGGGCCTGCAGCCCCTCCCAAGTGCTAGCAGAACACTGCACATGCGGACAGCCCACCCCAAGGGAAGAATCAGGGAAAGAAGGGATGCAACACCCACTCACCCCCAACCAAAGCATGCCAAGGTATAAAACCCCAAGTCAAAGGTCAAACTGCGCACTTGAATCTCTCAAGTCGCCCGCATGGCCCTCTTCCAATTGTACTTTACTTTCGTTCCTGCTCTAAAACTTTTTACTAAACTTTTTCTCCTGCTCTAAAACTGTCAGGCCTCTGAGCCCAAGCTAAGCCATCACAACCCCTGTGACTTGCATGTATACATCCAGATGGTCTGGAGCAACTGGAGAACCACAAAAGAAGTGAAACAGTCAGTTCCTGCCTTAACTGATGACATTCCACCATTGTGATTTGTTCCTGCCCCACCCTAACTAATCAATCGACCTCGTGACATTCCTCCCCTGGACAATGTGTCTCATGATCTCCCCACCCTGCCCCTTGAGACCCCCGCCCCTGCCCATAAGAGATAACCACCTTTAACTGTAATTTTCCACTACCTACCCAAATCCTATAGAACTGCCCCACCCCTATCTCCCTTTGCTGACTCCTTTTTCGGACTCAGCCCACCTGCACCCAAGTGAATAAAGAGCCTCGTTGCTCACACAAAGCCTGTTTGGTGGTCTCCTCACACAGACGCATGTAACATTTGGTGCTGAAACCCAAGACAGGGGACTCCTTCAGAAGACCAGCCCCCTGTCCTCACCCTCAGTCCGGGAGGAGATCCACCTACGACCTCGGGTCCTCAGACCAGCCCAAGGAACATCTCACCAATTTCAAATTGGGTAAGTGACCTCTTCACTCTCTTCTCCAGCCTCTCTTGCTACCCTTCAATCTCCCTATCCTTCCAACTCCAGTTCTCTTTCCTCTCTAGTAGAGGCAAAGGAGACACATTTTATCCACGAACTCAAAAATTCCGATGTCGGTCATGGATTTGGGAAGACAGTCTTCCCTTGGTGTCTGATCATAGCGGGGACGCCTGCCTTGATCATTCACCCACACTCCATTGGTGGCAGGTCAATTGCAGGGACACCTGCTTTGGCTGCTCACCCACATTACAGCCGAGGACTCAGTCAGGGATGCCTACTAGAAGCCTGGCAGCTGCCTACCTCCATTTCTCCGTGTCTCTACCTTCCTCTTTAAACTTACCTTCCCCACTATGGGCAAGCTTCTGCCATCCATTCCTCCCTCTTCCCCCTTAGCCTGTGTTCTTAAAAACCTAAAACCCCTTCAACTAACACCTGACCTAAAACCTAAACATCTTATATTCTTCTGTAATACCGCTGGGCCCCAATACAAACTTGACAATAGTTCCAAGTGGTCAGAGGATGGTAATTTTTATTTGTCTATCCTACAAGACCTAGATAATTTTTGTCAAAAATTAGGCAAATGGTCTGAGGTGCCTTACGTCCAGGCCTTTTTTACACTTTGCTCTCTCCCTAGTCTCTGCTCCCAATGTGACTTATCCCAGATTTTCCTTCTTTCTCTCCCGTCCACTCCTTCGGTCTCCACCCCAAGCTCAGAGTCCTCTGAATCCTCCTTTTCCACTGACCCCTCTGACCTCTCTCCTCCTCCCCCGGCCGCTCCTCGCCGGGCTGAATCATGTCCCAATTCTTCCACAGCCTCCACTCCCCCACACTATAACCCTTCTATTACCTCCTCTCCTCACACCTGGTCTGGCTTACAGTTTCGTTCCGTGACTAGCTCTCTTCCACCTGACCAACAATTTCCTCTTAGAGAGGTGGCTGGAGCTGAAGGCATAGTCAGGGTACATGTGCCTTTTTCGGACCTCTTCCAGATCAGTCAGCATTTAGGCTCTTTCTCATCAGACCCCACTAAATATATACAGGAATTCCAATATTTAACTCAGTCCTACAATTTAATCTAGAGTGACTTAAATGTCATCCTGACTTCTACCCTCTCCCCAGATGAGTGAGAGAGAGTTTATAACCTAGGCCAATCTCACGCTGACGACTGCCGGCATCATGAGCCAGGCCTCCAAGAAGGCACCAGGGCAGTTCCCCAGGAGGGTCCCCAGTGGGGATACCAAACAGGCTCCCAAGATATAGCTAGGCGAGATTACATGGTCTCTTGCCTAGTTGAGGGGCTCAAAAAGGCAGCATACAAAGCTGTTAATTATGAAAAACTTAAAGAAACCACCCAAGGTAAGGACAAGAACCCAGCTCAGTTCATGGCCCGCTTGGGGGCTACCCTTAGACACTTTACAGTCCTGGACCCAGACATTAGGAAAAAACTCCAAAAACTAGATTCCGGCCCTCAAACCCCAGAACAACATTTAATTAACCTCACCTTCAAGGTGATTAACAACAGAGAAGAGGCAGCCAAGCGACAACATATTTCAAAGCTGCAACTGCTTGCCTCCACCATAAGAAAAATCCCAGCCACACCCATGGTACACAAAAACCTCAGAACAACAAAACCGCAACCTCCAGGCACTCCTTCAAAACCTCCTTGTGGACCTTGCTTCAAATGCCAGAAGCCTGGCCACTGGGCCTCGGAATGCCCACAGCCCGGGATTCCTCCTAAGCCTTGTCCTGTCTGTGCAGGACCCCACTGGAAGTCGGACCATCCAACTTGGATTACAGCTGCTCCTAGACCTACTGGAGCAAAAAGCTAAGGCTCCTGGCTGATTCCTTCCCAGATCTCCTCGGCTTAGTGGCTAAAGACTGACGCTGCCAAATCATCTCGGAAGCCCCCTGGACCATCACGGATGCCGAGCTTCGGATAACTCCTACAGTGGAGGGTAAGTCCATCCCCTGTTTAATAGATACGGGGTCTACCCACTCCACATTACCTTCTTTTCAAGGGCCCGTTTCTCTTGCCCTCATAACTGTTGTGGGTATTGACGGCCAAGCTTCAAAACCCCTTAAAACTCCCCCACTCTGGTGCCAACTTGGACGACATTCTTTTATGCACTCTTTTTTAGTTATCCCCACCTGCCCAATTCCCTTATTAGGCAGAGACATTTTCACCAAATTATCTGCTTCCCTGACTATTCCTGGGCTACAGCCACATCTCATTGCTGCACTTTTACCCAACTCTTTCACATCCTCCCCTGGTATCTCCCCAACTTAATCCACAAGTATGGGATACCTCTACTCCTACCTTGGTGACCAATCATGCACCCCTTATCATCTCATTAAAACCTAATCAACATTACCCCACTCAACGCCAATATCTCATTCCACAATAGGCTTTAAAAGGGTTAAAGCCTGTTATCACCCACCTGTTACAACATGGCCTCTTAAAGCCTACAAATTCTCCTTACAACTCCCCTATCCTACCCATCCAGAAACTGGACAAGTCTTATAGGTTGGTTCAGGATCTTCACCTTATTAATCAAATCATCCTTCCTATCCATCCTATAGTGCCAAACCCGTACACCCTCCTATCTTCAATATCCCCTTCCACAACTCACTATTCTGTTATCAACCTCAAAGATGGCTTCTTTACTCTCCCCTTGCATCCCTCCTCTCAGCCTCTTTTTCGCCTTTACTTGGACTGACCCTGACACCCACCAATCCCAACAACTCAACTGGACTGTTCTGCCCCAAGGCTTCAGGGACAGCCCACACTACTTTGGCCAGGGCCTTTCTCATGATCTGCTTTGTTTTCGCCCACCTGCCTCCCACCTTATTCAATATTTTGATGATCTTTTTTGCAGCCCCTCTTACCAATCTTCCCAGTAGGACACTATCCTGCTTCTTCAACATCTCTACTCAAAGGGGTACCAAGTATACCCCTCCAACGCACAAATTTCTTCCCCTAGCGTTACCTATCTCAGTATAATCCTCCATCAACATACATGTGCCCTTCCTGCAGACCGTGTTTAGTTAATCTCCCAGACCCCAATCCCCACCACCAAACAACTCCTTTCCTTCTAAGGCATTGTTGGATATTTCCGACTCCAGATACCAGGCTTTGCTATCCTAACCAAACCACTTTACAAGCTCACAAAAGGTAACTTAACTGATCCCATAGACCCTAAGTCTTTTCCCCATTCTACCTTTCGCTCTCTCAAAAAGGCCCTGGAGACAGCTCCCGCACAAGAACTCCCGACTCGTCCCATCCTTTTTCCTTACACACGGCTGAAATAAAAGGCTGTGCTGCTGGAGTCCTCGCACAGGAGCCAGGCCCACAACCTGTTGCCTTTCTATCAAAACAACTTGACCTCACAGTTCTGGGCTGGCCCTCATGTCTGTGTGTGGCAGCAGCCGCCACTTTAATACTTCCAGAGCCCTTCAAAATCACAGGCTATGCTCCAATTACCTTTACAGTTCTTACAACCTTCAAGCATTAATATCCTCTTCACACCTTTCACATTTATTGTCTGCCGCTCAACTCCTCCAGCTCTATTAGCTCTATTCACTCTTTGTTGAAACTCCAACAGTAACTATTACCCATCGGCCCAATTTCAACCCAGCTTCTCACATAGCACCCAACACAAGTCCTGAACCACATGACTGTATTTCCCTAACATACATGGCATCTTCCCCCTTTCCTCATATTGCTATTCTTCCAATTCCAAACCCAGACCACACTTGGTTTATCGATGGCAGTTCTTCTAAACCCAATCAATTTTCACCAGCTAAAGCTGGATATGCTGTCATGTCCCACACCTCTATTATCGAAGCTGCTGCACTTCCTCCCTCCACCACTTTCCAACAAGCCGAACTGATTGCTTTAACTCGTACGCTCTCTCTCGCTAAAGGAATGCACATTAACATTTATACTGACTCCAAATACTCCAAATATGCTTTCCATATCCTCCATAACCATGCTGCCATCTGGGCTGAAAGAGGCTTCCTTACCACACAAGGCTCTTCCATTATCAATGCCTCTCTAATAAAAGCCCTCCTTAAGGCTGCTCTCCTGCCGGCCAAGGCTGGAGTCATTCATTGTAAAGGACACCAGAAACCTACAGATTTTATTGCAAAAGGAAATGCCTATGCTGACAGGACAGCAAAAGAATAGCCAATGCCTCCACACCTGCTAATATTCCAGCCCCCACTCCAGAGGGCAAGTATTTTTCTTTCTCCTCTATCACTCCCACCTACTCTGAAAATCTGCTCTACCAGCCTTTTCCAACTCAGGGCTAGTGGTTCTTAGATCATGGAAAATTCATTCTTCCTGCCTCACAAGCTCAGTCCATTCTTTCTTCCCTTCATGACCACTTCCATGTGGGATACAAGCCTCTGTCTCGCCTCCTGGAGCTCCTCATCTCCTTCACTTCATGGAAATCCATCCTTAAGACCATCACCTCTCAATGCTATGTCTATCATACCACCAGCCCCCAAGGCTTTCTCAGGCCTCCTCCTTTTCCTACGCATCAGGCTCATGGATTTACTCCAACACAAGATTGGCAGATTGACTCTACTCATATGCTCCATGTCCATAAATTTAAATATCTCCTGGTTTGGATCAACACCTTCACCAGATGGGTCAAGGCCTTTCCCACTTTTTGCAGTAGCTCCAAAAAGGCTACTGCAGTCATCTCTTCCCTTCTAACAGATATTAATTCCCCAATTTGGCCTCCTACTTCTATTCAATTTGACAATGGTCCGGCTTTTATTAGTCATATCACCCAAGCTGCTTCTCAGGCTCTTGGTATTCAGTGGAATCTTCATACCCCTTACCGTCCTCAATCTTCAGGAAAGGTAGAATGGACTAATTGTCTTTTAAAAACACACGTCACCAAGCTCAGCCTCCAACTTAAAAAGGACTCGACAGTACTTCTACCAGTTGCCCTTAGAATTAGAGCTTGTCCTCTAGATGCTACAGGGTACAGCCCATTTGAACTGTTTTTTTGTTTTTGTTTTTTTTTTAAGAGACGGAGTCTTGCTCTGTCGCCCAGGCTGGAGTGCAGTGGCATGATCTCGGCTCACTGCAAGCTCCGCCTCCCAGGTTCATGCCATTCTCCTGCCTCAGCCTCCCAACTAGCTGGGACTACAGGCGCCCACCACCATGCCCAGCTAATTTTTTGTATTTTTAGTAGAGACGGGGTTTCACTGTGTTAGCCCATTTGAACTTTTATACGGACACACTTTCTTGCTCGGCCCCAATCTTGTTACAGACACCAGCCCTCTGGGTGACTATCTTCCAGTCCTCCAGGAGGCTAGACAGGAAATTCACCAGGCTGCTAATCTTCTCTTGCCTACTCCAGATTCCCAGCTATATGAAGACACCCTAGCTGGATGATCGGTTCTTTTAAGAGTCTGTTCCCTTAAACTCTACAGCCTCAATGGACTGGACCCTACCTAGTCATCTATAGCACGTCAACAGCTGTCTGTCTACAGGACCCTCCCTCTTGGGTTCACCATTCCAGAATAAAGCTGTGTCCATTGGACAGCCAGCCTGGTCTCTCCTCTTCCTCCTGGAAGTCACAAGTACTCTCCCCTACTTCCCTTAAACTCACTCGCATTTCTGAAGAACAGTAATAACCCTTATGACCCTAATACATCCCTTCATTCTATTAGGTCTATTCGTCCTTACCCTACTTTTTGCAACAGGGCTTTACGCAGTCACCCCCACTACTTGGACTGTGCCCCAAAAACTTGGCATCCCTGCTATCTTCTGTCTAGTCATACTCCTATTCACCATTCTCAACTACTCATAAATGCCCTGACCCTGTTTACACTGCTGGTTTACACTTTTTCTCCAAACTATCATAGCAGATATCTCCTGGTACTATCCCCAAAATGCCACCCTTAACTCCCTCTTGGAGTGGGTAGATGATCTTTGCTTGCAGGGCACCCTCCAAAACTTCCACCCTGATGAAGTCCTAGTCTTTACTTTTATACTCACTCTTATTCTCGTTCTCATTCTTATGTCTCTCTCTACCTCTCCCCAGCTATCTCCACGACACTATCAATCTCACTCACTCTCTCCTAGCTGTTTCTAATCCCTCATTAGTGAACAATTGCTGGCTTTGCATTTCCCTTTCTTCCTGCACTTACATGGCTCTCCCCACCTTACATACCAACTAGGCAATATCTCCTGTCTCCCTACATCTCCGAACCTCCTTTAACAGCCCTCATCTTTACTCTTCTGAAGAACTTCTTTACTTTCTAGACAGGTCTAGAAAAACCTCCTCAGACATTTCATATTAGCAAGCTGATGCTCTTCTCTGCATCTACTTAAAAACCTTTCTCCTTATGTCATTTCTACTCCTCCCATATTTGGACCCCTCACAACACAAACTGCTATCCCTGTTGCCGCTCCTTTGTGCATCTCCCAGCGAAGACCCACCAGAATTCCCTTAGGTAACCTTTCACCTTCTCTATGCTCCTTCACTCTTCATCTCCAAAGCCCAGCTACACACATTACCAAAACCATTGGGGCTTTTCAGCTCCGCATTACAGATAAGCCCTCTATCAATACTGACAAACTTAAAAACATTAGCAGTTACCATTGCTTAGGAAGACATTTGCCCTGCATTTCATTCCATCCTTGGCTACCTTCCCCTTATTCTTCAGATTCTCCTCCCAGCCCTTCTTGTTTGCTCATACCCAGCCCCACAAATACCAGTGAGAGATTGCTCATAGACACTCAACGCTTCCTCATACACCATGAAAATCAAACCTCCCCCTCTATGCAGTTACCCCATCAGTCCCCATTACAACTTCTGACAGCTGCTGCCTTAGCTGGATCCCTAGGAGTCTGGGTGCAAGACACTTCTTTTAGTACACCCTCTCACCTTTTCACTTTGCACTTCCAGTTTTGCCTTACACAACGTCTCTTTTTCCTCTGTGGCTCATCCACTAACATGTGCCTCCTGCTAATTGGACAGGCACATGCACACTAGTTTTCCTTTCCCCCAAAATTCAATTTGCAAATGGGACTGAATAGCTTCCTGTTCCCCTCATGACACCGACACAACAAAAAAGGATTATTCCACTAATTCCCTTGCTTGTTGGTTCAGGACTTTCTGCCTCCACTATTGCTCTCCCAACTGGAATAGCAGGCATTTCAACCTCTGTCACGACCTTCCGTAGCCTCTCTAATGACTTCTCTGCTAGCACTGCAGACATATCACAAACTCTATCAGTCCTTCAGGCCCAGGTTGACTCTTTAGCTGCAGTTGTCCCCCAAAACCACCGAGGCCTCGACTTACTCACTGCTGAAAGAGGACTCTGTATATTTTTAAATGAAGAGTGTTGTTTTTAACCTACATCAATCTGGCCTGGTATATGACAACATAAAAAAACTCAAGGATAGAGCCCAAAAACTCACCAACCAAGCAAATAATTACATTGAACCCCCTTGGACACTCTCTAATTGAATGTCCTGGGTCCTCCCAATTCTTAGTCGTTTGATAATTGTTTTTCTCCTTCTCTTATTCGGACCTTGTGTCTTCCCTCTAGTTTCTCAATTCATACAAAACCACATCCAAGCCATCACCAATCATTCTATACAACAAATGCTCCTTCTAACAATCCCACAATATCACCCCTTACCCCAAAATCTCTTTTTAGTTTAATCTCTCCCACTCTAGGTTCCCATGCCACCCCTAATCCCACTTGAAGCAGCCCTGAGAAACATTGCCTATTATCTCTCCATACCACCCCAAAAATTTTTGCCACCCCAACACTTCACCACTATTTTGTTTTATCTTATTAATATAAGAAGACAGGAATGTCAGGCCTGTGAGCCCAAAGTAAGCCATCATAACCCCTGTGACCTGCATGTATACGTCCAGATGGCCTGGAGCAACTGAAGAACCACAAAAGAAGTGAAACAGCCAGTTCCTGCCTTAACTGATGACATTCCACCATTGTGATTTGTTCCTGCCCCACCCTAACTAATCAATCGACCTTGTGACATTCCTCCCCTGGACAATGAGTCTCATGATCTCCCCACCCTGCACCTTGTGTCCCCCATCCCTGCCTGTAAGAGATAACCACCTTTAACTGTAATTTTCCACTACCTACCCAAATCCTATAAAACTGCCCCACCCCTATTTCCCTTTGCTGACTCCTTTTTCGGACTCAGCCCACCTGCACCCAAGTGAATAAACAGCCTCATTGCTCACACAGAGCCTGTTTGGTGGTCTCTTCACACAGACGTGTGTAACTAAAACTTGCCTAGGTCTTTCACTCTGCCTTATGACCCTTGGTCAAATTCTTTCTTCTGAAGAGGCAAGAATTGAGGTTGCTGCCGAACCATATGGATTTGCCACTGCTAACAATATTGCAACTAATGTTTAAGGAACTACCATTTGTCAAGTTTTGAATATTCACAATTCTTGAAAAGGCTATTATTGAATTATTGAATGCAGAAATATATATGAAAATCCAGCTAAATTTTATTCAGCCAAACATTAAAGGAATATGAAAAAATGTAAAGCAACCCTACTCTTCACATTCATATTTTAACAACATATTTGTACAAAATATTTTAATGTATAATGAATTTATTATTTTAAAAGCAATTCATAAAAGTTTTGAAAATTTCTCAATTTTAATTTCCAATACTGCAAAGATCAATGGATAAAATCCACATAAACCAAAGCTTTTGGGGCTCCTAAACAATATCTCAGAATCCTTTTAAGAGTATAAAGTGATTCTGAGAGTTTTTTTAATGAGAACTGCTGCATTAGATTGATATAAAGTAAAAATCTATGTCCAAATTTGTCTAGGAGGTCTTTCAACACATATAAAAATAAGCAACAAAGCATTATATCAGAGTTCATTTGTCACAGTATTTTATTTCTTGGTGGAACATAAACTAATGGTGCATCTTACAATCTATAGATTCTTAGATTCATTCAAAAATGAAACCTATGTCAAGAAAACCTGCGAATAATTGCACCAAAGATGACACATAATCCTGCATGTGCAATTAAGTATTCAATTTAGAAAAGGCTACACTTCATGATTCTTTGTATCATTAGCTTTTCCCACACATTTAAAGTGTGATCTACATTATGAAAATTCTGTTCACCCTCACTTTGGCAAGAAAGCACATTTGAGGAGCAATTATATTTGTAATGTTAGAGGTAGAATGCTGGCTTTCATTTTGGTCATGATTTTTCCCAGTGATGCATGGCTTCACACTTCCATATCTAATTCAAATTGTTTAGTTCAAAATTATCTGAAGATCTTTACTTGGCTGCTTTTTTTTTGATGGCTTCTTTTTTCCATCTTAGTGAGACCACACTTCTGGAAAGAACTACACTCTATTTGATGTTCCACCAAGACATTTAACCAGCGACGTGTTGCACAGTTGACTTCACTGAGGCTCTGAGCCTTTCTTGTCATTAGGACAACCCTGAGGGGACACCCTGCTACTTACTTGTGATGCAGTCACAGGAAATTATTCAAATGAGAATTTAAATAAGATGGATTTGCAGCTTCATAGTGATTTGTGTCAACTAAAAAAAGGAAGTAGTTTTATAATGAAATGTTTACAATAACACACATGAAGTTTACAGTTTTATGTACATACTTAGTTTTACCATTAATGCAGAAGTTAAATATATCTAGAAATAATTGCTGAATATTACATATGTACACACACACATATATTTTGTATGCGTGTGTATCTATCTATCTAAATGATTGGTAGGCAAGAAGCAGTTAGTAATTAATTTTTTCACACCTGTGGGCAATCTTACCTACTAAGTTACCCTTAATATTTTCACAATTTAGTAGTATATAAACAAGATGCATATATTTAAGAGTTGTCAGGCGTATGGTCAGAAAATTAGCTACTCAGGTCACAAATCACTCAGAATGACTCTGAGATTTCTTGTTATTCGTGATTCCCATGATTTGACATATACTAACTGAAAATACTCAGTTCATCTCACAGCCAGATATACCTCAGTTGTATTAAAGAATGTAAAGAACTATGTTGATTCTGAAACAGTAGTGAAAACTTTCAGCCCTGGTGCCATTGAAAAAAATGTTTTACTCAGATTATTCTCAGTTCTTTACAAACATAATAGTTACAGTTGCTAACTTTTTTTCTGACACACAAGAGAAATATACTCCATCCCATCAGCAATAGTGACTCATTTTTCAGTAATTTTTAATTGAGTCTCTACCTCCCTAGGGAATGCAAATCAGAAGGAAAGGCCCCACGCTGTGCATTTAACCCAAACCTCCCCTGCCTGTGCTGACAGCATAGAAGGCTGATCTTAGGGACTGGAAGAGCCAGGAAAGCCCTTTTAGCCACCTTTTCTCTCCCACCTCATCTCCAGGCCTACAGCTACAAGACAACAGACTGATTTGCTTCACATTAAAATAAAGATCTCTAATGGGTTCAGTGTATGTTATTCAAGTGATAGATATCCTAAAAGGCTTGACTTGACTGCTACTCAATCTATGCATGTGACAAAGTTGCACCATAATTTTATACAAATTTAATAAAACAAAATAAAGATTTCTCTGAGAAAGGTAAAACATTTGAGGTTTTCTATTATTTATAACCAGTGGAATTGCATTTATCAGCTTCTTTTCCAAGATCGCATGGGGCCTAGGTGTGTATAAGTGGGTACTCCTGCCCCCTCCGCCTGGATGTATGTGCAGCATTTCATTCTGGGGTCCTGTTGCCTCCCTGGGTACTTCCAGAAGCCCGAACCTAAGCCTTTCGACTTTATTCGCATACCTCCCTCACATTTCTCTCTTTCCACCAGGAGTTGGAATTAGGGAGGGGCAGGAGATTGTATTTTTATCTGGGGTAAAGTCTTTTCTCCCATTACCTTGACCTAGACAGGTTGTTTTTTCCATAGTCAACATCACAATCTATTGATAAAGTTTTGGGAACAAAATCAAGAATTTCTTACCTTCTATATACCTACCCTAAAGCAGTGAGCACAAAACAAAAATTCATGAAAACGTACCTGTGATATCAAAATTTTGTTATAGCATGACTACCATGAACTCTAGGTCTCCAACTAGCCCCATTCTCTAGCAGAGACAGGATAATTTTGACACATTCTGGGAGGAATTGGTGAATGACATGGAAGGAAGAGCAGATGAATGGATAGATGGCAGGCAACCCCAGATCAGAGAGCAGGGAGGCAGAGGGGAGAGTTCTACCAACAAACCTGGAAAATGTCTGCCATCACCATTATAGTCCTGGAAGTCCCAGTCAGACACAGAGCTCAGAATGGGCCCTTTTGACATTTGAGCTGTTGTGAACCACTACCACCAGGATAGTCAGACCCATGGAACAGCTGGCCAGCTACTATACAGACTCACCCCACACATTTCATGAACCATGAAATAACCCACCCCACAGTTAAAGTATTAGATTTTTCTAAACTTACTTCTCCCATTTTTTATGGTAGATAATTACTGTAGATATTACTGTGCATGGTTGAATGGAGGGGATGTAAAAAGGAAAATACAGAAATAAAATAAATATGTGTTTTTATCTCAAATGATATCCTACTGGAAGGAAAAGAAAGGAAGGAAATCGGGTACTACTGGGTCATCTAAGTATGATAGTGACAACCTGGACTGGGGCTTTGGCTATGGGGCACAGTGAAGTGGATCTATTCCAAGAGTTATTTTGGAGTTGGCATCAACAGAACCTGAGGCTGGTTAGATGCAGTGTGTGAGAGGAAGGATGGGCCAAAGGGAATCCCCAGGTTTCTGGCATGGGCATCTGGGCAGATGATGATGTCATTGACTGAAACAGGACATGCATGAAGAAGAGAGGGTTTGAATGAGAAGAATGCTGCATTCAGCTTTGGACCATTGGTTTGAGATGCCTGGGGGGCCTCTCAGCAGACTGCAGGACACTGCTGCAAACCAGAAGAGGAAGCAGCCAGCTATGAGAAGAGTGACAAGCTGTGCAGCCCTTTGTTCTCAGCAGCCAGGGAGGTCTCCTAAAGATGGGCTGAGTGATTGGTGATTAAGTCCATTAGAGGGAAGGCAAACAT
This sequence comes from Homo sapiens, assembly GCF_000001405.40. Lineage (NCBI taxonomy): Eukaryota > Metazoa > Chordata > Mammalia > Primates > Hominidae > Homo > Homo sapiens. Next base: position 106,842,339 of record NC_000007.14, read on the forward strand.
CTCCTGTAGAGTAGCTGTAGGCCATTAACACACTCTGCTTCACTTTTCACTTGCATTGTCCTCAGACAAATAGCACATCTGGAAAGTGAAATGCCAATTCCACATCCATTATAGTCTGAAAATCAAAATTAGTCTTTTAATAACATGGAGAGCAAAACAAAATGGCATTCAAGGGTATATAAATGATTATTCCACACTAAGTGAAGCCAGAAGTCATGGATTTAGTTTTATATTCACAAATCTCACAAGGTGTCTCTTTGTCATTGTTCATTAACCAACTTGGCTCACTCAGTCTGTAATTCTAAACCCCAGGCTAAGTTATGCTTGCATTATCTTATAGGGGAAATCAGAGAAGCGATGCAGATTATTGCTGATTAATAAACTCTTTGGGATATATTTTCTGTCACATCATCAACAGCAACTACCCCTGTGTAGACACATTGTCTGAGAAAAATAATCCCCTTTTTCCTGAAATTGAAACCCAAAGTAACCTGAACAATATTTGATTATGCTTTTATAGGACAGGGGTATCAATATTTCAGTGTTGCATACCAACCTAAGCTAATTTGGTCAATCAACAACTGTCAAATTAGAAGAAAGGTGGTCACCTCTACAAACTTACTACCAGGTGGATGTTACAATAGAAGTTTCAGATCAAATTCTTGCCATGGCTGGGCGCAGTGGCTCACACCTGTAATCCCAGCATTTTGGGAGGCACAGATGGGTGGATCCCTTGAGGTCAGAAGTTTGAGACCAGCCTAGCCAAAACGGTGAAACCCCATCTCTACTAAAAATACAAAAAAATTAGCCAGACATGGCGGCATATGCCTGTAGTCCCAGCTACTTGGGAGGCTGAGACAGTAGGATCACTTCGGCCCAGGAGACGGAGGTTGCAGTGAGCCGAGATTATACCACTGCACTCCAGCCTGGGTGACAGAGTGAGATTCTGTTTGAAAAAAAAAAATTGTTGCCATATATATACAAATTGATTAGTACTCAGGAACAAAACCTGGCCACTCTAGGAGAAGTGTCTACTCTCTGTCCTTAGATTTGAAGAAAAAAATGTAAGGCAGTTTACAAGAATATGGAAAGGCCAAGGGTTCTTCCAGCACAGGTGTTAACGAAGGGGCATTCCAGGCAAAAGGTACAACACTCACACACACACACACACACACAAAAGTCTAAGGAAATAAACAATGGTAGGATGTTCAGAGAACTGTTAATGAATTCAGTGTACTGGACCACACAGTGGATGTTCCAGAGCAGGAAAGAGAGGTCATATGCGACCAAGAAATATGAAGTTTGAAGCATGGAGCCTGAAAGCCAGTTAGGGAACTCAGGAGGCCGGGCGTGGTGGCTCACGCCTGTAATCCCAACACTTTGGGAGGCCAAGGCAGGTGGATCAACTGAGGCCAGGAGTTTGAAACCAGCATGGCCAACATGGTGAAACCCTGTCTGTACTAAAAATACAAAAATTACCTGGATGTGGTGGCACATGCCTGTAATCCCAGCTGCTCGAAAGGCTGAGGCATGAGAACCGCTTGAACCTGGGAGGCGGAGGTTGCAGTGAGCTGAGATTGTGCCACTGCACTCCAGCCTGGGTGACAGAGTGAGACTCTGTCTCAAAAAAAAAAAAAAAAAGGAAACTGTCGGGGGAGTGGTGGTGAAGGCTAGAGACAGGGAGAATACAGGAGCATGATTATGTCTAGAAAGTCACAGCATCATTCCCTGCTCGCTTCAGATGTGTTTTCATTTGTTACCTCATCAGAGAGGTCTTCTTAAATCAATTTGTAATTGCCCAAAGGGTTAGCCTTGCCCACTGCCTAGACAGAACTGATTTATCAAGACAAGGAAATTGCAATAGAGAAAGAGTAATTCACGCACAGCTGGCTGTGCAGGAGATTAGAGTTTTTTTATTACTCAAATCAGTATCCCCGAAAACTCAGGGATCCGAGTTTTTAAGGATAATCTGGCAGGTAGGAGCTCGGGAAGTGGGGAGTGCTGATTAGGTCGGGTTGGAGATGAAATCACAGGGGGTCGAAGTGAGTTTTTATTGCTGTCTTCTGTTCCTGGATGGGATGCAGACCTGGTTGAGCCAGATTACCGGTCTGGGCAATGTCAGCTGGTGCATCAGAATGAGGATCTGCAAAATATCTCAAGCCCTGATCTTAGGTTTTACAACAGTGATGTTATTCCCAGGAGCAATTTGGGGAGGTTGAGACTCTTGCAGCCAGAGCTTGCATGGCCCCTAAACCGTAATTTCTACTCTTGTAGCTAATTTGTTAGACCTGCAAAGGCAGACCGGCCCTCGGGCAAGAAGGGTTTTGGTTTGGTTTGGTTTGGTGTTTTCGGGGAAAGGGCTATTATCATTTTTGTTTCAAAGTTAAACTACAAACTATATTCCTTCCCAAGGTTAGTTCAGCCTATGCCCAGGAATGAACAAGGACAGCATAGAGGTTAGAACCAAGATGGAGTTGGTTATGTCTGATTTCTTTCACTGTCATAATTTCCTCAGTCATAATTTTTGCTAAAGTGGTTTCAAATTTAACTAAAATGGCAATCCCCTTCCACGACTTTTTGTCCCCTTACTCTGCTTCTTTTCCCTAGCGCTTAATACCAGCTACAATTACAGTGTGTATTTTTTGTTTGTTTGTTTACTTCCCCTACTAGATATATATTCCAAGAGCATGGACTTTATCTGTTTTGTTAATTGCCATCACTCAGGTGCCTGGCACACAATATACTCATTTGTTGAATGAATATAGTTAAATAAGTAGGTAGATTAAAATGTCAAAGAGCAGAGCGGCCACAATTCAGAGACCACCTGGATGTGCGAGGTGGGAAGGGAGAAGCACTGACGATGGTTCTGAGGTCTCTAGCTCAGTTGGCCATGTAGATGTTGATGCCATCAACCAACAGAAGTGGAACAGGTCTGGTGGGGAATGAATGAAGCATTGGATAGGGGAGAGTGTGAGCTTGGTTTTGGACATACTGGGTTCAGGTTGCCTGTAAAACCTCCCAGAGTTGCTGCTCAGTAGGCAGCTGGGAATGTGGAAATGAAGCTAAGGAGAAAGGAATTGGGCATGTGGAGACCACCTGAGTCTGAGTGACAGGAAAAGCCCTGGGATTTTCCAGGAAGAGGCACAAAGTAAGAAGAGAGCTGTGACTGTACCCGGGGGGAGAAAGCACCCTTTAAGGGGCTGGCAGAGGAAAAGGAATCAAGGAGACGTTGGGGGAGAGTCAGAGATGTGGGGGGGACAGTCAGAGAAGAAGAAACCAGAGAAGAGCTGGTAACTAACGAACCAAGGGAGTATATTTTCAATTGAGAAAATGGCCAGCAAATTCAGATGCAGCAGAAGGCTGTAATGGAAGGACTAGTGAGAAGACTCCAAAGATAATTTCTGGAATATTCCCATGGTGACCCTTACTGTTTAGCATGGGGTACAATTTAGAGAATTGCTATAACTTCTATAAATTGTTTCCTTTTTAAAATTTTTCTGCCAGCCTTAGAGTAAAAAGATTCCTAGATATAGAGACAAAAAAATTCTATTTCTGTAATTGACAGCCACTGTCCCATCTCTGAACAGATAAATCCATGGTAAAGGAGATATTAATCCAAGCATTTTAATAACACCACAATTACAGCTACTTGGGCAAATCATTAGTGTGCTCTCACTAGCTAATGAACTCCTGTCTTGGGTAATTAATGGAAACAATATGAAGTCACTGTTTTGAGTATAATTTACAGATACCAATAGTTTGCTTCAGTCATTAATTGAAGTAAATGAGGCATTTCAAGAGAGTCAACAGTGAGCTCTTGGCTAAAGGTGGTAAAATTTTCTTTGAATTGCAGCCTGTGTCTTTATTCCCTCTTCTTTGTTCTCTCAAATCCACTTGCATCTCAAGAAGATAGTTATTCCACCCAAAATTGCTCTCTCCACATCAGTACCAAACATTTGCCGACTGAGTTCAATGATCTGTTCAACATTTTCATCTGCTGTTTCTGACCTGGTTGATCACCACCCATTTTGACCTTCTCTTGGAAAGCTCTTCTCTGTCGGATTCTCTGACACCAGTGCTACAGTCTGAATGTGTGTGACTGCCTCCCATTCCCCCACACCACCACCAAATTCTTATGTTGAAATCTGAACCCCGAAGGTGATGGTATTAGGTGATGAGGCCTTTGAGAAGTTATTAAGTCATGGGGGCAGAGTCCTCATGAATGGAATTAGGGTCCTTATAAAAGAGACTCCAGGCCAGGCGCAGTGGCTCACGCCTGCAATCCCAGCACTTTGGGAAGCCGAGGCTGATGGATCACTTGAGGTCAGGAGTTCGAGACCAGCCTGGCCAACATGGCGAAACCCTATCTCTACTTAAAATACAAAAATTAGCCGGACATGGTGGCACATGCCTATAATCCTAGCTACTCGGGAGGCCAAGGCAGGAGAATTGCTTGAACCCGGGAGGTGGGGTTGCAGTAAGCTGAGATCGAGCCACTGCACTCCAGCCTAGGCAACAGAGTGAGATTCCATCTCAAAAAAAAAAGAGAGACTCCAGAGAATGTTCTTGTTCCTTCTGCCAGGTGAGGTGAGGAAATAGCAAGAAGACTGCCATCACCAACCTCACCAGACACCAAATCTGCTGGTGCTTTGATCTTTGTCTTCCTAGCCTCTATAACCATGGGAAATAAATTTCTGTTGTTTAAAGTTACCCAGTTGGCTGGATTCAGTGGCTCAGGCCTCTAATCCCAATAATTTGGGAGGCCAAGGCACGCAGATCCCAGAGTTCAGGAGTTCGAGATCACGCAGAGCCCAGGAGTTCGAGATCAGCTTGGGAAACATGGCAAAATCCCATCTCTACTAAAAAATACAAAAAATTAGCTGGGCTGGTGGCCCATGCCTGTAGTCCCAGCTATTCGGGAGGCTGAGGTGGGAGGATCACCTGAGTCCAGGAGGTCAAGGTTACAGTGAGCTATGATCACTCCACTGCACTATAGCCTGGGTGACAAAGCAAGACCTTGTCTCTAAAAAAAATTACATAAGGCTGGGCACGGTGGCTCATGCTTGTAATCCCAGCACTTTGGGAGGCCGAGGTGGGCAGATCATGAGGTCAGGAGTTCGAGACCAGCCTGGCCAACATAGTGAAACCCCATCTCTACTAAAAATACAAAAAAAATTAGCCGGACATAGTGGCGGGTGCCTGTAATCCCAGCTACTTGGGAGGCTGAGGCAGGATAATCTCTTGAATCCAGGAAGGTGGAGATTGCAGTGAGCCAAGATTGCACCACTGCACTCCAGCCTGGGCAACAGTGCAAGACTCCATCTCAAAATAAATAAATAAATAAAGCTACCCAGTTTATGGTATTTTGTTGTAGTCCTAATGGACTAAGACAGCAAGGTTCTCTTGGTTCCTCTGACTGACTCTCTGTAGTTCTTCTTTATCTCTGTATGGCTAGATTTCCCTTCTTCAACTCCCCATTGTGGCTATCTCCTAAAATTCAGTCTCCATTTTTCAGTCTTTCTACTACACTCATCCTTGTCTTGTCTACTTCTCTGCTCTCCTAAAGTCTTTTAATTGGTCGCATAGTTATACCTTCTTTAAATGTTGTTGTTGTATAGAACACTAACACATATAGCTATAGACAAGATATTATATACAATGTATTGGTGAGGATGCAGCCCATTCAAGTCAGTGATCAGTTCAGAGGATGCTTTCATATTGGAGTTAAAGAGGGTATTCTTACTTAGGGTATATATAAACAAAGCATTCTGAGAGAGGATAACTGAGGATTATCTAAGGATGAGATTGTGCAGAGTTTAATTCTGATTGAGGACATTTCTAAACTAGTTCAATTAAGAGAGCATTAACTTAAAGGGAAAATTATATTAAAATTGAATAGCTAACCTTCGGGCACACTATGCAAGGTGCTAATTTACATCTATTAAAAAGGCAGTTGTATTGGAGCCAATTAAAGCTATTTCTAGAGAATTCATCACAGAGGTTAAAAGTGTATTATTTATTTCACACATTTTCTTTAATAAGAATTTAATTCATTTAATATTACCTATGCTTATTTTGCTACATTTTTAAAATGTACATTTTTATCTATAAGCTTTAAGATTCTAAATTCTTTATATAAATCTTTTAGAATCTAAAGTACAGGTAAAAATTATACATTTATAAGATTACCAAATTTTCAGTCATTCCTATCAGACACTAGGTTTATCCTGGCACTTGCTGTCAGCAAATTCTCAGAGCCAAAGTAAAACATTGATTTGTTTTAAGGAATGGAGGATGGATAAAAGTGAAGTATAGCTTTTAAAAAAGTGAATTATTAAAAAAAATTATTTTATCCAGTTTCAGGTAATTTCACTATTAAAAAAAGGAAGCCCCAATGAAATAAGTGATTTTAAAGATGTTGGCCCTTCAAATGGACTCCCTTTCCAGTTTTCCCATTTCTGCCAAAAGTGTCATTGTTTTCCCAGTCCACAGGCTCGACACCTTAGAGATTTCTTTGCCTTGCCCATTCCTTACTTACTGATATTCAGCTTGTGTACAGTTATTACTCATTTTCTTTCTCTATTTTCAGAGCCACTATCTGGTCTAGGACATGGATGCTGCACATGGATAATGGCATGGCTTCTGCACTGATCCTCTGGCTCCCTGTCTCTCAACACTTCAGTTATTTCTCACCAGATAAGAATTTTCTGGGAATGCATGACTACTCAGTTGGAGAGTGCTCAAAGGCTTTCTGTTGACAGTGCTGTGGTTTGAATGCTCCCTCAAAAACTCATGTTAAAATTTAATTGTGACAATAAGAGGTAGGATCTTTAACAAGTGATTAGGTTATGAGGGCTCTGCCTTCATGAATGAATTAACGAATTATTGTGGGATTAGTTATCTCAGGAGTGAGTTCCTTATGAAAGGATGTTTATCCCCCATCCTCTTGCTGTCTTTCACACTCACTTGCACTTCTGCCATGGAATGACACAGCACAAAGGTGCTCACACCCTTGGGCTTTCCAGCCTCCAGAACCATAAGCCAAATAAACTATCCTGTATAAGTTACCCAGTCTGTAGCATTCTATTATAGCAGCAGAAAATGGACTAAGACAGCTGGTCATACAAAACCAAGCTGAGAAGCTGGGCTTTGGTTTCTTCCATTGTAAAATGGCCATGCTAGTCTTAAGGGGTAGTTTTCAAACACTTGAGCAGCACAAAACATAAAACAGATGAAAAATAGAGCCACTCATATTAAAGTACACAAAGGAACCAACCTACCCACTCCCACCATTGCCCCTTCCTCATCTAAAGGACTTGTAGTTTCAGGGTTGCCAGATCTTCCATTTTTCAAAAGAAGCTAGAATTCTGACTCTTCCTTTTAAAATCTAGAGATTTTTTTAAATGTTGGTAACCGTGATGGTGAATTGTATGTGTCACCTAGACAATGGCGGCAAGTTGTTTAGTCAAACACTGATCTAGATGTTGCTGTGAAGGTATTCTGTAGATGTGGTTAGCATCTAAAATTGGCTGACTTTAAGCAAAGGAGATTATCCTCAATAATGTGGAGAGGCCTCATCCAATCAGTTAAAGGCCTTGAGAGCAGAACACTGAGGTTTCCAGAGAAGAGGGAATAAAGAATTCTGACTTAAGGCTGTAACACAAAAATCCTATCTGAATTTCTAGCTGGTTGATTTGCCCCACAGATTTCAAACTTGCCAGCTTTCACAATCACATGAACCAATTCCTTAAAAATAATTCTTTCTCTCTCTCTCTCTAAATACACACACATGTATATGTATGTATTCTCTATGTGTATATATGCATGCTTTCTGTACATATATAAACATACACACACACGTATATACATACATATATAGACACATACATATTCTACTGGTTTTGTTCCTCTGAAGAACCTTCACTGATAAAATAGCCAACTCAAATTTTTGTGAAACTCTGTGTAGGCCAAACAAAACACATACATGGGCCTAGACCCTACCTCAAGCCACCAGTTTATAACCTCAGCACCCCCACAATCCAGCCCATCTCTTCAGGCATTAATGTTTTATCCACATTCCTTTCCCATGTTACCTTCCCAGTCAAATCCATTGCTTGCTAAAAGCATGAGCCAAGAGCCAAATAAACTTCAAGGCTCTTCTCTTTCAGGAAGATTCTATAATAATTTGACGCCATGATGATTTCCACACATTACTTTTAGTTTCTTCTACATTTAGCATTCATAGATTCTGCGTGATACTTTATACTATGTTTATTTTTTATTTATTTTTTTTGAGGCAGGGTCTCACTCTGTTGCCCAGGCTTGAGTACAGTGGCATAACCTTGGCTCACTGCAGCCTCAACCAGCTGGGCTCAAGCAATCCTCCCACCTCACCCTCCTGAATAGCCGGGACCACAGTCACATGCCACCATGCCAGGCTAATTTTTGTGTTCTTTGTAGAGACAGGATTTTGCCATGTTGCCCAGGCTGGTCTCAAACTCCTTAGCTCAAGCAATCCACCTGCCTCAGCCTCCCAAAGTGCTGCAATTACAGGTATGAGTCACCACACCCAGCCTTATCCTACATTTATAATCTTTTTAAATTGCTTTCAAAATATTATTGACTTTGTCTCTCAAATAATAACAAACATCTAAACTGTAGAGATTGTCTGCCATCATTCAGCAACTTGTAATGAAAACAAATTGCTCTAGAAATTAGAAGACATGAGTTCCAATCTAAACTCTGCTATGAGTTTAAGGCAGAGTAACCTTGAGGAGGTCACTAAGCATCTCTTGGCTGGAGTCCCCTCATCTGTAAACCAAGATGGAGCTACTTAATGGCTAAAATGTGCTTATTGGTTACCCTGTGTGAGATTCTGTTCTACAAGCTTTACATATATCCATTCACTTAATCCTTAGAATTTGATAAGGAGGTACTACTGTATAGAATAAACAAAGGGGCAGAAATGTGAAGTTACTTGTCCAAGGCAGGCTTGCAAGCAATGGAACCAGGATTTGGACCCAGGCAGTATGGTTCCTGAGTCCATGTTCCTAACCATTACATTAAACAGGCTCATAATGCATGCTGCATAATTCCAAGCAGCTCCAAAGTTCAGTAATACCACTTTTAAAATCACCTTCAGTATGCTCTTTATTATAAACATAAGGACCCAATAAATGTTTGCTAAAATAAGTCAACTACTTAATTTCAGGTTTGTTACCATGATGACCTGTCAGGTTGCCTAAGCATGGTGGACTAGATTTGACCGAGACCATTTTCACAGGTCACTAGTTGTATTAGTCCACTTTCATGCTGCTGATAAAGACATACCCAAGACTGGGCAATTTATAAAGAAAAAGAGGTTTCATGGACTCACAGTTCCATGTGGCTGGGAAGGCCTCGCAATCATGGTGGCAGGCGAAAGGCGCGTCTTACTTGGCAGAAGGCAAAAGGCATGTCTCACACGGTGGCAGACAAGAGAGGATGAAGTGAAAGGGGTTTCCCCTTACAAAACCATCAGATCTCATAAGACTTATTCACTACCACATGAACAGTATGAGAGAAACTGCCCCCATGATTCAATTATCTCCTACGAGGTCCCTCCTACAACATGTGGGAATTATGGGAGCTACAATTCTAGATGAGATTTGGGTGGGGACACAGCCAAACGATATCACCAGTGATGGATTCTAATCTGACGGACTTTCAAGCACTAACTTGGACATGAAATGCCTGTCTACATTTCATCCTATATTCAGAATTTAAGTTACTTATGGGTCAGCTTTTATCAAACACCATTTGTTTCTTGTAACGTAAGATGAAAAGATGTCCCCAGAATTTTTTCTACGGCAAGTCCTTTGAAAATGTATTACATGCTACTACTGATCATATAGTTGGTGCCAAAATAGGCAGTTCCAGCTGATGACACAACCCCAGAATATAAGAGGTAGCTTTTGCCAATAGGAGCAGAAGCAGTGACCTTAAAACATGAGCGTTAACCTGGGTATGGCAGATGCTGTCAATAAACCTCTCATATCCCCCTCTCCCCATGTAGAAGTCTTCAGAAAACAGTACCCACAAATACCAAAAGATTCTAACCTTAAGCACCTGTATCTCGCTACCCAGTGGCATGTTCAGCCCAAGCTTAGGAGAGACCAGAAATGCCAAAGAATTAATGTGCACAGGAGCAACCCCCAACCAATGAAGAATAAATAATCAACTTCCTTCTCCATCAACAGGCCAGTTCTGAGGCATGTTTCACCTGTTTTCTTAGAGGATACCAGAGGAATTGAGTCCTCATGCCCAGAGTGGTCATCAATATATCTGTTGTTGACTTCCCCCTTCTCTGTCTCACCATCTCATTCTTTCACCAGGCTTCCTCGGATTATTTCCCAAATAAATGACTTGCATTCAAATCATTATCTCAATTTTGGAATCCATCATTTTTAAGAAATTTAAACTAAGACACTGAACCTTCCATTCCATGTTTGTTCATTCTTATATCTCAGTTTTAGGAGCTGAGATCTTCAAATCAATGTGGCATCATACCCCCCATATCAGCCATCTAATAGTGCTTTGAGTTTGCCACTTGGGGAAGCCACCAATTATGCATGACAATGCTTTGCAAGATTGTATAAATATACATTGAACACACAGACACACACACACACACACGAAGCAAAATAATTTGGAGCAACACTTCCCAAAATACATTCCAAGGAACAGTAGTTTCCACAGAATTTTCAATAAATTTTACTTGAAAAACCATCCTAATGTCAAATAAATTTTAGAAATGATAAGTTACAGAATAGAGGGATGTTATATACACCATGATTCTGTTGCGCAAAGAAAAAACCACATCTATTTTCTATACCTGATCTCATCTTCTTTCAGGGCCTTCATTCCCACCAACAGGAAAAAATTAAACTTTCCATTTAAAAGTACCTCAGTGTTACCAATTTTGAAATGGTCTCTTTGGAGGTAAATATTTAGCTAAGTCAAAGTTCAAACTCCTGGCCGGGTGTGGCGGCTCACGCCTGTAATCCCAACACTTTGGGAGCCCCAGGCAGGCAGATCACTTAAGGCCAGAAGTTCAAGACCAGCCTGGCCAATATGGCGAAATCCTGTGTCTACTAAAAATACACACACACACCAAAAAGAGCCAGGCATGGTGGCACACACCTGTAATCCCAGCTACTTGGGAGGCTAAGGCACAAGAATCACTTGAACCTGGGAGGCAGAGGTTGCAGTGAGTCGAGATCACACCACTGCACTCCAACCTGGGTGACAGAGCGAGACTCTGTCTCAAACCAAAACAAAAAGTTGAAACTCCCTATCAGAACTTTTTCTCCCTTCTCAAACAGTGTCACCACCACCATCTCAAGGTGGCTTCTGTGCACAGAGTGAAGTACACACATATCCTCATGGCGGATGGAAGACAAGGAGGGCACTCTGCTCCACGTGCTGTCCTCTGAATGGCCCTCTATGCCCTTTGCTGAGGCAGACCCTCTGCCCAGCAGAATTACCGAGAGAGACTGTTAAGAATACAGATCCCCAACTCCTTTCTCTGGATGTTTTGATTCAGGGAAATTGGAGGGAAACCTAGGAATCTGTGTTTTTAACAAGTTTCCCAGAGGGTTTTGATGTAGCCAGGACATAAACTGGCATTTGTGAACCATTAGTATACCCCACCCTGTTTCCTACCAAGCTTTGAACTTCATTCTGTACTGTGAAATAGACTCATAACCCATTATCTCACATTAAGGTGTATATACACGGTTTAGTATTGTCATCATCTTTATTCATTTTGAGGCATACAGGGGGCAAAGAATATAAGGTATCCACAGTGAATCTTGGCACTGTTAGCAATTTGGCACTGATACTGCAATTTAAATACAGTAATCACAGAATTTTCAAAACAGAACTGAGGAGACAAAAGGAGAAATAGGATCATCTGGTATTAATTCTGGTTATTTCAATACCATTAAGAAGGAGGAGGTTCTAAGAAAAGCCACACAAAATCCCTGTGGGAAAGGAGGAGCAGTTTCATAAAGAAAGATAAAAAGATTTAAATATAATTTACTTTTACTAAAAAACACATCTAAAACCCTGAAAATTATATCTCATTTAAAAGCTGCTGATAAAAGAAATTTGCTAATATTTTTCTATAATTTTGTACCTTAAACGTTACATAAATTATTAGTTGTCTCTCTGGTATTTGTATAATAAAGGAGTTTATAATATCACACTTTTGAAGCATTTTTAAATTAAGTATCACATTTAATGAATAGAATTTTTTATATCACTTCAAGTTGATTTCAACTAAATTTCCACCCCCAAGAAATCCTTACATTTCAAATCCTATCAAGTGAAATTTAACCTTATAAAAATCTGATCCAAAATATTATGTCAGTCTATTTTTTCAAGAATAATCTTTTGTATCAATCAGAACATATTAAATTGGACTATGGTTACAAACAATCCCAAGATTTCAACAGCTTGACGCACCAAAGTTGTATTTCTTGCCCACATAAATGTCCAACATGGGTCAGCTGGGGGTTCTACTGACCCCAGTCTCTCAGGAGTCAGGTAGACACGGTTCCATCACAAGTGCTTCCAAGGTCTCCACAGCAGAGGGAAGGAAACATGGCAAATTGTGACAAATTTCTTCTCACATTTCATTGGTCAAAGTAAATCACATCATTACCCCTAATTTCAAAGGGTGGGAGAATACAGTCGTACCTCCTGCCATCTTGCAGGAGGAGAATTGGAGTACGCATGACCGGCCCTACTGACTACCACACTTGCCTTTGGTTTTCATTTCCTTTGGACCTTGGCACCATGTAATAATCCACACTGTTCCCGTCTGGGACTCATATTATCAATCCAACAAATTTATATTATCATATCACCAACAACAAACATTGAATTATTTTAGAACTATCATATTAAAGCAAAGTTTCCTTTCTTTTTCATAAAAGCAGTAAGTCTAGTACATCTAATTTAGGCAGAGTCAGGGTACTACATGTAAGTTTTTTTAAGAACAGAAGTTGGGTTCAGGCGCAGTGGCTCACGCCTGTAATCCCAACACTTTGGGAGGCCAAGGAGGGTGGATCACCTGAGGTCAGGAGTTCAAGATCAGCCTGGCCAACACGGTGAAACCCTGTCTCTACTAAAAATACAAAAATTAGCCGGGCATGGGAAGGGGTGCCTATAATCGCAGCTACTCGGGAGGTTGAGGCAGGAGAATCTCTTGAACCTGGGAGAAGGAGGTTGCAGTGAGCCGAGATCATGCCATTGCACTCCAGCCTGGGTGACAAGAGCTAAACTCCATCTCAAAAAAAAAAAAAGAGAAGTTGGTAGCCTGGCTGTGGCAGAGATGACTAGTTATTCACCAAAGACCGGCCCTCTGTCTCCACCCCATCCCCACCCCCACCATAGGTAGAGTCACTGCTGAACTGAAACAGGAGCTGTATTTCTCTGACCCCCATTCTCACAATAGTCAATGAAATGTTGATGGAAGCGGCATTTCCCATTGTTAGACCCAGCCCTAAACCTCCTGCACCATCCTCCACTCTCATCTTCTGGCCTGGTATTGATGCCTGAGGCTTTCTTGAAAGCCACGTGTTGAAGAAAGCAGAGCCCCTGTCATCCCAGTCTCCAAATGACTACATCACACAGACCTTCCACCAGTCTCCCTCCCTGCTGACAGTACATATAAACCTATTACAAAAAATAGTTTCATTTTTAAAGTTCACAAAAATAAACTTTTATTATGGTAAACTTTCATAGTGATGGGGTAGAAGAATAAATTGACAAAACACTTCAAAAGTGTGAATTTAAAGTTTCTGGCGCCTGGGCGCGGTGGCTCGTAGCTATAATCCCAGCTCTTTGGGAGGCTGAAGCGGGCAGCTCACTTGAGGTAAGGAGTTCGAGACCAGCTTGGCTAACATGGTGAAACCTTGTCTCTACTAAAAATACAAAAATTAGCCAGGCGTGGTGGCAGGCACCTGTAGTCCCAGCTACTTGGGAGTCTAAGATCTGAGAATCGCTTGAACCTGGGAGGAGGAGGTTGCAGTGAGCCAAGATGGCACCACTGCACTCCAACCTGGGCGACAGAACAAGACTCTGTCTCAAAAAAAAAAGAAAAGAAAAAGAAAAAAAATTTCTGGGGTTAGCCTTGACAATGACAAGTTCTAACAATGTAATCCCGTAGCTACCTATTAATCTCTCTTCATGTTATGTGCACCGTCTGATTAGAACAGAATTTCCTGGCGAGTGAAGGAAGAACTGCATCGTTATAGAACAGTTTGGAAAAGGCAACAGGGTAGGACTGCCAGTTTCTAGTTTTGTAAAACCCTTTACTTATCACTTCCACTCAACATAGAGACAAGATATAATCATGACATCAATGATTGTCTAATGGTGGAAGGCTATAATTCTAAGTGTCTCATGATAGAATTCATAACACGTGAAATTAGATGTAGGATAGTACTTAAATTTTATCATATTCATAAAGTTCTATTATGTATAGTATTTTCTTGGCAAACATAATGCTATGGGTTTGCCAAACCTATTTTCTTTTCCCTCTAGTCACATAGATAGGCTGTATTTCCCAGCCAATCCCATGGTTAGATGGGTCATGGTGACAGAGTTCTGGCCAACGGAAAATGGGCACAAAAATGTGAGCCATTCTCAGACCGAATGGAGAACTCAAGGCCCAAGGGAAAATCAGAACCACCAACTAGAAGGAGGCAGGTCCAGAATGAATGATTAGAACAGCTCCTCTCCATCCAACCTGCATGGGACTATAGGGTGAAAAAGAAATATGCCACTGAGATTTTGTTACAGCGATCAGCACAGTTAGCATAACATAATGAATATGTTAAGACTATTTCATTTGTCTCAGAGAACTATGTCAAAGATTAAAACTGGCAGGGGTGGGGGTGGAATGTTAAGTATACTTGAATAAAGCCATGATTTTAAAAAGAAAGCAGGGGGTCTTTAGAGATGTACTGCATCCCCTCACCTACTCCCACTTCCACCCTGTTCAATTTAGTTCTTCGTAATTATTTACCAATGTCTACAAATGAAGGCCATGTTTCTTGCCATGGCCTTCTCAGGAACACCATGGCTTGACCAGAGCCCACCCTCCTTGGGCCTCCTCTCCCATTCAAGGCTACTTAAGTGAATGAATTTCACTCTTCTGAACTTTGGCTGCCTTACACTATTCCCTCTCTGGAATGCTCTTTCCCCTCACCCCTGCCTAGCTGAATTGCGCTGTTCTCCCTGCCACTTCTACTGCGGCCTTTCTGCTGGAAGGCTCAGTTGGAAAGGGCAGCATCCTGCTGTGACTCCTGCAGCCCTTTCCCTGTACAGCCCGGAGGACACTTCTTACATGCCATGCTTTGTGATGATGACAGGTGCATATCTTCTCTGCCCTGCTAGGTTTCAAGTTCCATGCACACAGAAACTCCATGTGCCATTATATAAGATATTCAATAACAAATGCTTAATGAATGCATGAACACAATGCACTCATGGCATTCATTTATTGCATAAGTCAATGAATAATTGAATGGAATGCCACAACATCAGCTTGAATGGAAGACCCCTTTCCCTCCAAATGAGTCTGAATTACCCGTGGCCCCCAGCTAATATAAAGATGGAGCCACTATGCCAAGGGCAGAGCTTATGAGAGGCAAACCCAACAATTCCAAACTAGGCTCCACTTGAAACATCAAGGTTCACATGGAAAGGAGTCTGCAAGAATGTAGCAGGAAAAGGAGGGTGGGGTGGGCGAGGAACACTCTTAATTGTTTAAGAAAGTATGGCCAGGTACAGTGGCTTATGCCTGTAATCCCAGCACTTTGGGAGGCCAAGGCTGGAGGATTGCTTGAGGCCAGCAGTTCGAGACCAGCCTGGGCAACACAGCGAGACCCATTTCTATGACAAATTTAAAAATTAGCCAGGCATGGTGGTGCACCACCTCTAGTCCCAGCTACTTGGGAGGCTGAGGTGGGAGAAACTGCTTGAGCCAGGGAGATGGAGGCTTCAATAAGCCCTGTTTGCATCACTGCACTCTAGCCTGGGAGACACAGTGAGAACCTGTCTCCAAAAAAAAAAAAGAAAAGTATGAAAGTATGGAAAGTAGCTTAAATCTTCAGGTAAAATTAATTTTTGACATTCACATACAGAAAAGTGATCATTGAGTGCACAAGCTTTGTATGTGCCAAGCTTCATGAACTTCCACAAACTGATCATAAGCTAGGCCGGCACCGCATCAAGAAACTACCAGCAACCCAGAAGCTCCTCCCTTTCAGGTTGTACATACTATTTTAAAAGAAAAGGAGGCAAGAGGGGAGGAGGAGAGAATGAAAAAGGCTGGAGGAATGGAGACTGCCAAGGCATCTATTTGAAAAGAAAATGAGAACCGCTATGGCAGCAGAGGGGCACACCCGGGGGAACTCGAGCCCTCACTGAGACACACCCTGCAAGGCATTTCCCAATCTGCAGAAAATTCTCACTTGATTCAACAGACACACATGATGGGTAATTCCAGAAAATGCAGGCCAAGCTTTGAAGGCAAAAATATTCCTCCTAGGTATAGAGCAAGGCAGGTAGAGATCCCTTCCTGTCCCGCCCCAGGTCCCTGCAGGAGCTAGTGCCCGTGGCCCGCAAGGTCCTTGTCTACCCATCAGAGAAGAAAGCAGTACAGAGGCCACTGGAATAAAGTTGATTTTTGCTTGAAAAGAAGAAGAAGGAGGTGCAGGGCCGTGGCCTCACAGTGACCCGGCTCACCCTCCTGGGGACCAGAAAAGCACTTGGCTCCCGGCCAGCCCCAACACCCACTTCCCAGCCCAAGCCTGCTTTGCTCCTGTGACCTTTTTCTGAACCTGGAGAGGTGGGGCACCCTCTTGGCTTCCTTCCAGCTGGATGTGACTCCTGCCAGACTCAAAGCTGAGAACCCAGGGCTTTGGAAGGAACAATGTTCCCTAAGAAGGCCTGAGAAGCAGCTCCTATTATAATCTCCCTTCCAGCCTCAGGGCCAGGGATTTGAGAGCAGACTCCAACTAAGCTGGTCTACTCATTCTTCCTCTCTCCTAGGACCCTCTGCTATGCTCTTGAACAGGGAAAATCCTATGAAGGAAGGAAACAGATTTGGTTCGGAAACTACTCCCTTATTGCAATCAGCTTTGTCTCTGTCAGGATCATGGTGTGTGTGTGAGACGTGGATGAGACAGTTAGGTAGGTGACTAGATAGGTGCATAGGTAGGTAGATAAAATTCCTTAGCAGCAAGCAGGTAATTCTGAAGGCAGGGACTCAGGGATGGGTCTGGATATCCATTCCATGGGAGGATTTCTGGCTCACAGGACACGGTACCAACGGTCTTTGGTCTTATACTTCAGTCAATATTAGGAATGGAACAACAAAGAAAACTACTAAATTGGACCAAATAAGAGCTATAAAGGAGATGTTTCTAAAGGATTGTGGTTTCTTATAATGTCAAACTAGGTTCCCTCCTAAGTTCCACACCCTACAGACCATTTTCCTCCCAAGTTTCACATTGCAAGGTTTGAAGAGGAGGCAGATTGGAGAGTTTTACGTTACATGGTTACATGGAAGGGAGGGGCTGTCTGGGTTTTGGTTAGTCTGGGAGGCTTTGCGAATATCACTCAGTACTCCCATTGCTTCCTGTAAATACAAAGGAATCCAATGGCTTCCAAAAAGAGAGACTCTATACAAACTAACCATTCCACCAACATTTATCAAGGCCTTGGCTTTGTATGTGGCAAGCACTGTATTAAGCTCTGGGGAATACAGCGAGTCAATACAGAGCAGTCACTCAAAGAACCCAGTCGGGTAGAGGAGGCAGCCCAGTCACCAGCTGTCCTCACCCAGGAGAAGTGCTATGATGACTGCCACTTACCACCTGTGGCACCAAGGGCAAGCCACTCAACTTCTCTGTGCCTTGCTTTTAGCACCTGTAAGTGGAGACAATAGTAGTGCCTCTCCCCTTGGAAGGATGTGAGGATTAAATGAATGAATGTACTAAAGTTCTTAGATCAACGTAAGACTCAAAGAAAGTGCCATAAAAGAGTTTGTGAGCCAGGCACAGTGGTTCACGCCTGTAATCTCAACACTTTGGGAGGCCAAGGCAGGCAGATCACTTGAACCCAGGCGTTCCAGACCAGCCAGGGCAACATGGCAATATCTCATCTCTAGTAAATATACAAAAAATTAGCCGGGTATGGAGGCTCACACCTGTAGTTCCAGCTACTTGAGAGGCTGAGATGGGAGGATCACTTGAGCCCGGGAGGTCAAGCCTGCAGTGAGCTGAGATTGCACTACTGTACTCCAGCCTGAGCAACAGAGTGAGACCCTTCCCTAAAGAAGAGCTTCCACTTATTGGTGGTGATATTGTTATTGTGGTGGTTACTATTGGGAGAAAGCTTCCCTAACCCTATGCTTTCCTGACCAGAAAGCCCTCTCAGTGGAGGTTACTCACTCTGAATACCAATGAAGCAGGAGCTGGTCAAATGGCTGAGGGGATGAGAGAAGGGGGAGGGAGAGGAGAGAGAATGAGGGGAGGGAATAGGACATAGGGAGTGGCACACAGAGGCACAGAGGTGTGGTGGAACACAGAAGGTATGAAAGCAGAAATTGGTGGAATTCAATCATGGAAGGGAATTGGAAGAGGAGAATCTGGAAGAAAGAGTTAAGGATAGTTCATAAGGGATAAATCATAAAAGGTCTAAAGTATTATGCAGGCCAGGTGTGGTGGCTCACACCTGTAATCTCAGCACTTTTGGAGGCTGTGGCAGGTGGATAACTTGAGGTCAGAAGTTCAAGACCAGGCTGGCCAATGTGGTGAAACCCAGTCTATACTAAAAATACAAAAATTAGTTGGGCATGGTGGCGCATGCCTATAATCCCAGCTACTCGGGAGGCTGAGGCAGGAGAATCACTTGAACCTGGCAAGTGGAGGTTACAGTGAGTTGAGATCACACCACCGCACTCCAGCCTGGGAGACAGAGCTAGACTCTGTCTCAAAAATAAAAAATAAAATAAAAATAAAGTATCACGCAAAGATTTTGGATTTTTAAAAACCAATTTATAGAAAAATCTTTTCCAGAAATTTGTGAAGTGCTTACTACTATGTATTGTCAAAGTTTAACTAAACAAGGAAACAGAAAAATGTGCTCAATGGTCAGTTTCTGATACTAAGAATGGAGAACAAAGTGGAAGGTCCCATAGGGACCTAGATCTGGCTGTAGGTCCATGGAGTTGTGTTGACTGTGACTGATTTCCCATAGCTTCTTTTCTCAGAACCTGAAGTGGCTCCCCTCCACCCACATGGCATAATAATAGCCTACATTCCTAATGGCATCAAGACTGTGGTACAGTCTCCTACAATCCTCCCTAATCCCATTTGTCCTTACAGTCAGAGCCCTGACATTTGGTTCTGGTGTCCACCACTCTCTAGCCAGCCAGAACTCAGGGGACAAATTCTGATTAGCTTAAACCATTCACATAATTCTATCCCCTTTCCTATTGATTGGCTGAGGTATCAATGCGCCCTTGCCACAATTCTGGCCAGAGACATAAGGGGACCCAGAAGACCTTTGGGAAAGTCTTCCTCTCTCTGAAAAAGAAACACACAAGATGGCATGGACTCTTCTTCCTCTGTGTGTCGTGTTGGTGTTTGACACCTGGAATTCTGTACCTTCTAGAGTCATCTAACATAATATCTTACATAGTACGGTGAGATAAGTTTTTGTTCCATTGAAAACTGAAGATTTATAACAACTTCCTGTGAAATATGTAGGGTGGTTGTTATCATTTGGTAGATTAGGAAGCCAAAAGAAATGAAGGGGCATATATGAGGCCTAAAGAATGTGCAGAAATAAACCTAGGTCTCATGAATGTGTGTGTTTCTACAATACCAGGATGCTTCTCTTAAATCTTACCAAATACAGACCAAAAAATATCAGGCACAGCTTCATAAAGGTTTGCCTTTGTGCTCGGACAACAAAGCAAGGTATGAAGGTGAACTAAACTGTCAGATTAGATTAAAATGCCTTTTTGCATTTTTATCACAATGTATAAATCATCTGAAGCTGAGCTAAAAAAAAATATGACAAGATGATCATGTTTTTTCAAGATGAAAGATTCCCTCGAGTCTGAGTGACATAGCTACTCCAACAGTAAATAACCAATAACAGAGTTCCCAGCCAGTATGCCCAAAGCGGTGAGGTCCTTGGGGATGCACCCGTTGTCTCACGCTTTGAGGAGCTTCCTCAGTTCACCCCAGTGTGCCATACACATGTCACCACTATTTACATGTGGCAACACATGAAATACGTATGGGAAGCACACACTTGTCTGGCCATGTCTCTCCCTGTCTCTCACACTGCTATCTTTCTCAGACTCTCCATTTCAGTGAACTGATCTGTTCACTGTCCCACAGATGCCTTCTGGCTTGAGGACTTGCCCCTGTGATTCCTCTTGCCTTGAATCCTGGACCTTCCCCTGCACATTTAAAACAAAAATTTTCAAATCTCACCCAAAGTGAACTCCTCCAGTAAACTGTTGGCTTGCATAATGAAAGTTACATCACACAATTAAACCGCTTGGACTGCATATGCTAACGCATTGCACATGTTATTCTTTCCTCTGCATGTTCTGTCTCTCCAAGTAGACCATAAATAATCTCTCTGAAGGCTGTTGGAAAGAGCCTTCCTCAAAACAAATAATTTTTAATGTCTATTGATCACTGATACTTCCTACTGTGTTCTTATTTTCTAAACTGTTCTATCTTGTCATTGCTGTGACCACTGATATGATATAGAAGGTCAGAGCCTTTGATTGTGTTTTTTTTCCCAACCAAAATGATTTCTGTGTCCACAGATTCACAGAAGGGAAAAATATTATTAAAATGGGATATTAATGAGGACTGAAGGTCTTCTAAATATTCTGGGGATATAAAATATTCTTACTCGTAAAGGATGCCTCTACACGGAGGAAGTATCCACAGAGGAAGGAAATCTTTGCCATTACTTCTTACTGGGAACATTTACTACAGATAGTCAAATTTTAGTGGCTATATTAAGATTTGGGGAAGAGCAGGGTACTTTTAATCTCAAGCCACCAATAAACCTGACATATTTGCCAGTTTAGTCATAAAACAGAAAATCCTTTGCCTAATCAAACTTAGCTTAATAGTTCCTTCAGAAGCAGGCAGGGCCAAGAGGCTGAGTCTCGTGTTTCTGGAATAATGTGGCATGTGTGTGTGTATGTGCAGTGCCAGATTGGGACTTGGCCCCCTGGAAGTGACTGAGCCAGGACAGGGAAGGGATCTATTGAATGGTCTGGGGAACAGGGCTGGCCAAGCTCATGGTCCCTCTGAGGTCAGCCCTCCCACCCTCAAACCTCCTCCCACTCCACCCACCCCCAGGAACCCTCCCACACACTCTGGGTAAAACACAGCTTGGCAAGCTCTCACATCATGGCTTGGTGGCTACAGTGTGTTGATCTTCCCTCAGGACCAACCAAGAAAGCTAGCCTTGGTGCTTCTAAAGCTGCCAGCCTCCTAAGGGAGTATTCCTATATAGGAATATACTTTGAGAAGCTGATAAGACCCCTCTAAATATTTGGGAGGCAGCCTTTGAATTAAATTATTTGCCTGCTGATGTCAACTATTAGAGTGCTATTTAAAAGTTAAAACCCAAGAGGCATATGTAAAAGGAAATAAGTCAAATCAATCATTTATCTCAATATCAGAGTAATTCAGAGGAACTCTTAATTACATACCTCCAAGAGACTTGTGAGGTCAACTCCATTCTATCTGCTGCCCTTGAAGCTCAGCTGGAGTCCCTCAACACCCCGATTGGAGGATGAACTCTAGCATAGGGAATTCTGAGATGGAGGGAGGGGGCGCTGGTTCAGGATGCTTGGAGGTTCTAGAAAGAACTGAGGTCACCTGGAAGATACAACGCTACTCTAAAAATGATTCAGGATGGCTTTTCTATGCATTCTCTACTCCCATAGGAATCAGGGGCCACCTCCCAGGATGGAATCTGCCTGATGCTGTAACAGTGTTCAGCTCCCCAATTTCCCCATGATAACAGGCAACCTCCTTCTGTTTTGTCTACAGTTAATTAATCAGTCATTGCTGACAGTAAGGCTCCATCCTCAACACAGGATATTTTCTGAAGCATTAATTTTTGTTTCAATAGTTGATCCTTGTTTGGAATATAATGTGTTACAATGTAGTGGTACTTAGTATTAAAATCAAAATACCTTTTTATTCATCTTTCAATTTTAATACTTTTAGCATTTCAACCATTATTTGAAGGGTTACTTACTGCAGTATGTCACATTTATATACACACATGCACATGCTGCAGTGCTTTCAGTTTGAGCCAGTGATATTTTAGGCCCCAAATGCTCTGAAAAAATAGAGAAAGCTCTCACCAAGCTAAGGAAGTGAGCTTGCAGACCATGCCTTTAAAAATTTTCAGCTTGATAACTTAGTCCTCAAGATGACTAGGTTTCTCTTCCCCCACCCCTCAGTTAGCATGTGCGAACAAGGATTCTTTTGAATTCCCAGGAGGGGAATGAGTTTAATTTGACTGGTAAAAGTCTTCCTAATAGGATACCTAATACTGTGGCTCTTAGAACTAGCTACAAAGATATTTCATATGTTTATGTCTCATAATGGGTAATTTTGGTTTGGATTTATGTCATTTTGTCTCAGTATCACAATTTTTGAAAAATTAGTTCAAAGAGAAAAAAAAAAGAAAAGAAAAACCATGGTAAACATTGCTCAGTCTCATACTCCTACCCTCTCTATGCTAAAACAGGAAATGCATTTCTGACACTTTTAAAATGAGCAATCACACGTATAATCAACTTGGTTAAAACTTCCTTCCTGGTAACTGCAACACTTCCTCTGCATCTGGATATGAAGGGAGCCCCAGAAAAGCGGAAGAATTTAGACGCACACTGGGTAGGTTTGAATTTGTTTTGTTTTCAAAAATTAAACAAATGATCCTTCAGCATCATCGCCTCCGCTGCTTTATCAGGTATTGCTTCCTTCTATTTTTTGCTCTTTGTGGGGTCTGACTCGGAATAGTGGCACTTCCTTCTCGGCTAGATTATCTGAAACTGTTGTCGGTTCTTGAGATGATACTACCACCGAATGTCTGTGTTTCATTGTCTAGTCCAACCTGTATTGTGGATATCTACAACGTTCCGGCAATAGTTTTGCAGGTGCATCACATTTTTGTTTTTGTTTTGGGAGGAAAAGGGAGGGCACGGCAGCCAGGCTTCATATTCCTACAAGTGCATGCTTCAAGATTACTGTACTTACAGTGTTTCCAACATCTTCTCATAAAAGGGGAAAGCTTCATAGCCTCAACCATGAAGGAAACCAGTGAGTATTAGTCAGCCTGTTTTCCTCTGCATCTTATAAGATCGTTTGGTATCACTGAGGCAGAAGTTATTGCTGTGTATTTATATGCTGCCTAAATTTGGACATGTTTTATTTCAAGTTAGTGTCAATATCAATGTATCTTACAGTTCTCTTCTTTGTTAGTTATTCTATAATGTAGCAAAAGACCAAAATGAATGTTTTAAGCCACAAGAGACAGTTCTTTGGGACAGTTGGTTTCACTTACTAAGTATAACTTCATATTTTAAGAGAGGGAATATTGGTTTTAAAAGTTAAGCCAAGATTTGAACATAAGTTTGGATCAAATGAAATTTGTCTTTCTTATCTTCTTATCAAGCTCTCCTTTTTGGTATACATCAAATGCTCCACTATTTCTTAAGGAAATAATGTAGTTTTAAGTCTAACATTAGTTATTTAAGAGAGTAAACGATATTTTCTGAAACATTAATTTTTTGTTTCAATAATTGATTCGTTTAGAATATAATGTATTACAATGTAGTGATACTAAACATTGAAAGCAAAATACCTAATCTTTCAGTGTTAATACCTTTCAAATTTCAATTATTATTTGAAGGATTTCCTATTGCAGTATGTCCTATTTATACATAAGTGCTTTGTGAAGGGTAGGTACTTACTGAATTTTGTGGAAAGAGTGAGTAGGTTAATGAGAATAAATTTGTGAATTTGTGTTACAAAAATGAAAATATTAGAGCAAAAAAGAAGTTAAATGATTGGGGGTCTTAACAGAAGGTCACTGGAGTCCAGAAATCCTGCCTTCCATCCTGTAGCTCCTCCATTATTAAGTAGAGACAGATCAAATGAATTTTAATTAATTAATTAAACAATGTTAAAATTACCTAAATGTTCCTATTGGGAGAGTACAGCCTTGGGTGACTCTTCTAAGATACTGCCCTAATATAGCAGTGACAGCCAGAATGCTGACAAATTCCATGATTCAAAATTTTACATATCTGCAAATGGTTTTGACTGTAACTTTACTAATTCCGATATGTTTTAGCTTTACAAATGAAATGACTTGCTTTCCTAATTAGAAAGAAAAAATGAAACCAAGAGGCAGGAAATTTATTAGGGAGTAGATCCTAGGTCCAGGCAGTTTGAAAACAGGCAACGTGAAGCAAGGCTGGGTGAGGTGTCTGGGTTCCAAGAAGTGTGAGACTTAACAAAGAGGAAGTAAGTTAAAGGCCTGTTTTCAAAGTGAGATTTTTTGGCATCTCGTGTTGCACCTTGTAAACTGGGACTTGAACCTTAACTGTACTATTTTAGTAATCTATATGTTTCAGTATGTTTAAGAACAATGTCCATTCTGAGCCATTATAATGTGTCATGCGCTGTGCTGGATGAGTGTTTTACCTACCTCTTTAAAATTTTCAAAGTATACAAAAGTAGAACGACCAATAAGCCCCCATATACCTGTCACCCATATTGAACAAGTATTACTTTATTTAACTCTCCCTCTGGGGCATTCATTACTAACCAGTTTGAGAGATGAGAAACAGGCTCAGAGATTAAGCAGCCCAAATCACCCAGAAAGTAAGTGGCTGGGCCAGGACTCACCGGCCCGACTCCAAAGCCCACGCTCTGAAGGGCTGTAGTGCTTCCAGTTTAAAATACTTGGTCCCTCTGGGTCCCTGTGCACATGTACGCCGCCTATACCTCCTCTTCCCTCATCTCACCAGAAAATATAAGGGGAAAGTGCCTTTCTTGTGACAAATCCCTGTGTCCCTCCGCTCCCAGGTCGCATAGGGCATGGAGCTGGAGAACTATAAACAGCCCGTGGTGCTGAGAGAGGACAACTGCCGAAGGCGCCGGAGGATGAAGCCGCGCAGTGCTGCGGCCAGCCTGTCCTCCATGGAGCTCATCCCCATCGAGTTCGTGCTGCCCACCAGCCAGCGCAAATGCAAGAGCCCCGAAACGGCGCTGCTGCACGTGGCCGGCCACGGCAACGTGGAGCAGATGAAGGCCCAGGTGTGGCTGCGAGCGCTGGAGACCAGCGTGGCGGCGGACTTCTACCACCGGCTGGGACCGCATCACTTCCTCCTGCTCTATCAGAAGAAGGGGCAGTGGTACGAGATCTACGACAAGTACCAGGTGGTGCAGACTCTGGACTGCCTGCGCTACTGGAAGGCCACGCACCGGAGCCCGGGCCAGATCCACCTGGTGCAGCGGCACCCGCCCTCCGAGGAGTCCCAAGCCTTCCAGCGGCAGCTCACGGCGCTGATTGGCTATGACGTCACTGACGTCAGCAACGTGCACGACGATGAGCTGGAGTTCACGCGCCGTGGCTTGGTGACCCCGCGCATGGCGGAGGTGGCCAGCCGCGACCCCAAGCTCTACGCCATGCACCCGTGGGTGACGTCCAAGCCCCTCCCGGAGTACCTGTGGAAGAAGATTGCCAACAACTGCATCTTCATCGTCATTCACCGCAGCACCACCAGCCAGACCATTAAGGTCTCACCCGACGACACCCCCGGCGCCATCCTGCAGAGCTTCTTCACCAAGATGGCCAAGAAGAAATCTCTGATGGATATTCCCGAAAGCCAAAGCGAACAGGATTTTGTGCTGCGCGTCTGTGGCCGGGATGAGTACCTGGTGGGCGAAACGCCCATCAAAAACTTCCAGTGGGTGAGGCACTGCCTCAAGAACGGAGAAGAGATTCACGTGGTACTGGACACGCCTCCAGACCCGGCCCTAGACGAGGTGAGGAAGGAAGAGTGGCCACTGGTGGATGACTGCACGGGAGTCACCGGCTACCATGAGCAGCTTACCATCCACGGCAAGGACCACGAGAGTGTGTTCACCGTGTCCCTGTGGGACTGCGACCGCAAGTTCAGGGTCAAGATCAGAGGCATTGATATCCCCGTCCTGCCTCGGAACACCGACCTCACAGTTTTTGTAGAGGCAAACATCCAGCATGGGCAACAAGTCCTTTGCCAAAGGAGAACCAGCCCCAAACCCTTCACAGAGGAGGTGCTGTGGAATGTGTGGCTTGAGTTCAGTATCAAAATCAAAGACTTGCCCAAAGGGGCTCTACTGAACCTCCAGATCTACTGCGGTAAAGCTCCAGCACTGTCCAGCAAGGCCTCTGCAGAGTCCCCCAGTTCTGAGTCCAAGGGCAAAGTTCAGCTTCTCTATTATGTGAACCTGCTGCTGATAGACCACCGTTTCCTCCTGCGCCGTGGAGAATACGTCCTCCACATGTGGCAGATATCTGGGAAGGGAGAAGACCAAGGAAGCTTCAATGCTGACAAACTCACGTCTGCAACTAACCCAGACAAGGAGAACTCAATGTCCATCTCCATTCTTCTGGACAATTACTGCCACCCGATAGCCCTGCCTAAGCATCAGCCCACCCCTGACCCGGAAGGGGACCGGGTTCGAGCAGAAATGCCCAACCAGCTTCGCAAGCAATTGGAGGCGATCATAGCCACTGATCCACTTAACCCTCTCACAGCAGAGGACAAAGAATTGCTCTGGCATTTTAGATACGAAAGCCTTAAGCACCCAAAAGCATATCCTAAGCTATTTAGTTCAGTGAAATGGGGACAGCAAGAAATTGTGGCCAAAACATACCAATTGTTGGCCAGAAGGGAAGTCTGGGATCAAAGTGCTTTGGATGTTGGGTTAACAATGCAGCTCCTGGACTGCAACTTCTCAGATGAAAATGTAAGAGCCATTGCAGTTCAGAAACTGGAGAGCTTGGAGGACGATGATGTTCTGCATTACCTTCTACAATTGGTCCAGGTAGGGGATGTTGGTGTTATCAATGGAAGCCTTCTCAAAAGGAATTGATTTGCATATGCACAGGCACTCCATTCAGTTGTCATCAAATGCCCTTTGTTCAGAGCTTCATCATCGGCAAAAGTAGATATGATGAAGCTGCCTCAAAAAGTAGTAAACTGTTCCATGTACATTTTTACTGTCTCGGAGGGTTTGCTGACAAGGGTTTTGCAGACATTAGTACTTCACGTTTTTAGGAGAATTGGCCCTGTGGGAATACTTTGTTCTCATTTATTATTTTAATGATAGATTGCACTTACTGAATGCTTTCTTGTGCCAAGGCTCCAAGTGACTGACATGCTTTCAGTGTATTATCTCATTTAACTCTTCCAATAACTATGATGGAGGTCAAATTGACATTTGCACTTTTTACATGAGGAAACTGAGGTACAAAGAGGCTAAGTAATGTGCCCAAGGTCACATACTTTGAAAGAGGTAGACCAGAATTCAAACCCAGGAGGTCTCCCTCCAGATCCTGCTCTTTTCACTACCCCAAATCCTTCACAAATCCACCACCATATCCTTCATCAGTCTGGTGTCAGGATTCTGGGGCTAGAGATAAAAGGTCTTATTCTCTGTGTATGTCTGTTACAGTTCACAGAATAATATCTCATATCTGGGTAGAGTCTTGAAAGCTCCTCTCTGCAGATAGGTACAGGACTGTATGTATTTCTGCTCCGTTTCTCATGATGTTCCCTGGGGTCCTGAGAGGACAAGTGATTTTTCTAAGGTTTAGTTAAGAAGTTAAAGAAAGAAGGGGGAACAGTTCCCCTGCTCACTTTAGCAGTTCTCAACTTATATTGTACTGCTTGACAAGGGAAAAGAAGTAAAGGAATTTGAATAGAAATGCTATTTTAGAGCACAGCCTTCATTCATTAATTCAACAACATGTACTGAGAAGACTGGCATTAAATGAGTACACACACAAATAGATGTTTAATACCAAATTGTGACAAATACTTTAGGGAAAACTATACCGTATTATGAGAAAACAGTCCAGGGGTCCAAGGGACACTTAATTTTGATTAAGAGACCCCGGGACAGTTCTGAGTAAGTGACATTTGACCTGAGATCTTTAGGATTAGCCAGACTAAATTTTACACACTAAACTATCTAATCACTATCCGTATTTATAGGAAGTTCTGGAGTTTTCTGATAAGCATTTTGGATAGCCTCAACTTAAACTCTCAATCTTCACCTTCCTGTTAGATACTTGAAACATTACATTTGGCTTTGTTTTCATCCATTAAATATATTCAGTAGTTTTTTCACTAGTTGAGATATTTGTATAACACTAAAGAATTTTAGAATAATTAAAGAATCTTCAGTTTTCTAGCTCTCCATAACAGAAACAACATGAAAAAAACTTGGATGAGCTCTGTTGCAAACCCCAAGGCTAACAGGAATTATTTTTCATTGTCATGTTCACAAGTAAACTTTAAAGAGCTGGAAAATGAATAATGTTCTTTTTAGAAATGTGTTAAATGAAAGAGGTCAATACATAATATTAACATTGAATTTGTGGTCTTAAATCTGAAGAAGAATAGTCATTTGTAAAACTACTTGAGACATTTTCAGCTATGGCTAAATGACTCATTCCTGATCAAAATGGTCTCCTAGTTGAGATCTGCACTGTCTTTACAGAAGTGAAACCTGAAGAAGGTCAGAAAGACTCACATCTGGCTTAGAAACTTAAAACATTGCGAAAATGAGTACTGGTGGCTAAAAGACCACATTCTCAGAATTAAGGCCTTTGATGCAGCTACAGTGGCACCTATTTGACCATACTTTTGAAAAGCATTTTTGTAAACACTTGTATAATTGAAACATGATGAAGCCACTAGTGATCATGTCCAAACTGGAAAACCAGAGGAAGAATTATAAATCCTTCCAAGAAGCCTCCAGTTCCTAAAATATAAACTAGAATGTGAATTTCTTCCGTTCCTTAGGAAAAAAGGATACACCATTTCTATTCATAAAGTGTATACTCTGAGATATTTAATATTAAGTCTTTCTTCATGTTTACATATAACATCTATCCTCTAACTTTATATATGCTTTTATAATAATCTGAACAATGTTAGTGTTGCTGCTTTTAAAATTATGAACTATTTCAAACTTACAGAAAAGCACAGAGAACAATGAAACACCTATGCACTCACAAGATTTAATTGTGTTTTTTACATTTTATCAGTTCTTCCTCATCAGTAATGGAGCTGTACTAAGTCAATATTCTCTAACATCAGCCAAGTGATATGAAAATTACTAAACACTAAAAATGAAGATCAAATTATACTTAAGAAAACATAAAATCAGGGACTTTTGGACAGAAAGCTCTGTACACACCACAGTGTGGCAGAGGGTAGTGATTGCTCTGTGTGGATTGATCTAGAGCCACTGTTTACTTGTAGTTAAGGACCTGTGAGACAGTTCAGTGACTTGCCAGTGAGATGCCGAAAAGGGAAGCTATAGGGCTTTTAGGATCTTTCCATCTAACAAATATTTTTCTCCTTACGTGTATTATACTATATCTCCACTGTCCATTTTCTTTCTCACATTCTCTCTTACCTTCCACTTTATAGATTGGTTACAGTGTCTCCATCTTCCCCCTCTACCCCTCCAACAAAACCAGTAAGACCTAATTAGAGCAAATTCCCTCACCTCTTCACCTTTGAATTTATCAGCAGCACATGACTGTGAGTCAAAAGTTTCATCCTCTAATCCCAGTTATGTCATCGGCTGCTCTATGATCTTAAGCAAGTGGTTCAGTCTGGTCCTAAGTGTCCTCTAACAGACAGGATTAAACTTAAGTGACTGTTAAGATTTTCATCTTTCTAGCCGTGAAGACCCAGTAAAGCAGAGCACCAGTTCTTCTCCATTTCCTTTTCCCTGATTCAACGACATAGAGTACAGTCCTACAAATGCCAATGTGTTCTTCCTTTAGGCTGTGAAATTTGAACCATACCATGATAGCGCCCTTGCCAGATTTCTGCTGAAGCGTGGTTTAAGAGTAAGTACTTCCATTTTGATAATAGCGTGAAATTTTAAGTTGCCAAGAATTAACTGGTAGACCTAAAGCATTAGTCATAATAATTTCAACTTTCTTGTACCTGCCCTCAGAACAAAAGAATTGGTCACTTTTTGTTTTGGTTCTTGAGAAGTGAGATAGCCCAGTCCAGACACTATCAGCAGAGGTTCGCTGTGATTCTGGAAGCCTATCTGAGGGGCTGTGGCACAGCCATGCTGCACGACTTTACCCAACAAGTCCAAGTAATCGAGATGTTACAAAAAGTCACCCTTGATATTAAATCGCTCTCTGCTGAAAAGTATGACGTCAGTTCCCAAGGTACGGTGGCTATATTTTCTGTGTTCTCTTTCCAAATGCCTTCATCTCCAAATGCCATTGTTCCTATAATTCTTTTTCTTCCTGGAATCCAAGTTGCATCCTCCTGAAGGCACCAAGAACACATTTTTGAGTTTTCTGTCTGCATGGAGTAAACAAATTTAAAGTTCTCCTTTTACAAGTTCATAATTTTTAACTATATATTTACATATTCTTAACTGAAAAATTAAGCAGCATTATGCAGATGTAAGATGTAGTTTTTAAGAACAGTTGCATACACAAAGATTAGATATTTCCAAATCTTTACCTTTTTCTTCACATCTCTGAATATGCACATACAGTTTTCAAGTTTACAGTCTTATAAAATGATGAATTTTTGAGAGGCTATTTTAATTTTTTGGCATTTCTTCATCTATATATCTCAGAGTGATATATAGAGATACATTCATTCTTCCCTATCTGGGGTCCTACATCTGTAAATTCAACCAAGCATGGATAGAAAACATTTGGGAAAAAAATTGCATCTGCATTGAACATGTACAGACTTTTTTTCCTGTCATTATTCCCTAAACAGTACAGTGTAACAACTATTTGCATAGCATTTACATTGTATCAGATATTATAGGTATCTAGAGATGATTTACAGTATATGGGAGGAAGTGCATAGGTCATATGCAAATACTATACCATTTTATATCAGGGGCTTGAGCATTCATGGATTATGATATCTGCAGGAGGTCCTGGAACCAATCCTTACAGACAGCAAGAGACGACTCTGTATCTGTGTGTGTGTGTGTGTGCATAAAGGTAATAAACACACACACACACACACCACCTTCTCTCTCAAGCTGTTTCCAATATCTTATTCCTACCCTAAGAAAACCTGCCCCTGCCCTAGGAAAATTAATCACTCCTTCTCTGTATTTCTGTAGATTTTGATTGATACTACATTAAATTAAAGTCTTTAACATATCTTCCTGGTCTGGTAAACTGTATCAACCTTGAATCTAGAGAATATCTCTTTTTCATTTTTATATACCTAGACCTAGCACTATGGCTCATTACATAGACACTTCATGTACTCAACCAGTATTTTAAACTCCTGAATATTTAAAATTTCTTTCTCCCTTTGATTCTTACAATGCTTCCTCCTAAAAATGATGATGGTAATAATAATATTTTATTTGCATTTTAAGAAAGGAAAACATTTGTACTGACCCTCATTCTGTCAGTCATCCAGTAATTTTTAATTCACATATTTTGCCTTTAGAATTTTAAGGCTGTCACATCCATCTTCTCTACTTCTCTACAGAACCTAACTTCCTCTTCTGAAAAGAAATTACAGAACCCTAACCAAATTCCATGTATTATTTTCTTAAAATGTCTGTTCCTCAAATCAGATGGTAGTTTAAAGTTTAATGTGCTGGAAAGAAAACTACAGTATTAATTCCTTAGCATCACCCTCAGAGCATACTTCTCTACTTGGATTGTGTTGGTGTCTATGTGTTATCCCACATATATTCACATATTTCTGTCCCCTGTTGTAGTATGTGTACATGGTTATGTTGCTCACCTTAAGCCCAATGTATCTTGCCACCTCATATGGTTAGCTCCTCAAAGGCAGGGCCCACCCACATTTCTCCTGCTCTACACCAGAACAAATATATAGAATGCTATGAATAAATGTGTTCTCAGGAAATGTAATAGATAATATTGATGATTTCTGGAACTCACATAACTCTTGTGTACTTTTGACAATTACAGTTATTTCACAACTTAAACAAAAGCTTGAAAACCTGCAGAATTCTCAACTCCCCGAAAGCTTTAGAGTTCCATATGATCCTGGACTGAAAGCAGGAGCGCTGGCAGTAGGTATCACTTGGATGTCTCCATGTGGTCTTTATGTCTTGAAGATGTCTAACGTGCTTGCTGGGGCCCAGTACTTAAAAGCTAATGTTTATGCAGAGACAGGGAAGCTGGAGAGTCTCTGGATGGGTTTCTCATAAGCCCTTGTCTAATCACTGGTTATGAAAGCCTCAATACCAGATAATTTCCCTTCCATATTTTTTAAAATCAGCTTGAGATATTCTTTGTATACAATAAAAATTGTCCATTTAAAATGTAGAATTCAGGGAACAGGCGCGGTAGCTCACGCCTGTAATCCCAGCACTTTGGGAGGCCGAGGCAGGCAGATCACGAGGTCAGGAGTTCAAGACCAGCCTGGCCAACAAGGTGAAACCCCGTCTCTACTAAAAAATACAAAAGAAAATTAGCCAGGCATGGTGGTGCATTCCTGTAATCCCAGCAACTCGGGAGGCTGAGGCAGGAGAATTGCTTGAACTAGGACCTAGGAGGTGGAGGTTGCAGTGAGCCAAGATCACGCCACTACACTCCAGCCTGGGTGACAGAGCAAGACTCCGTCTCAAAAAAAAAAAAAAAAGTAGAATTCAGTGAGTTTTGAGAAATGTATACAATTATATAACCACCGCCACAATCAAGATCTAGAACATTTCCATAGACATGTTACAGAAAAAGTTCTGTCATGTCCCATTGCAGTTAGTCCTTTTTCTCCTCCCATTCTCTGTGATAATGCAACAGATCTACTTTCTATCATAAAATGCCTTTTCTAGACTTTTATTAAGAGGAATCATATAGTATATAGTTTTATATCTGAATTATTTTACTTTCCATAATGCTTTTAAGATTCATTCATGTTATTGTATGTATCAGTAATTTGTTTCTTTTTATGACTTAGTAGTAGTCCCTTGTATGGATATACCACAGTTTGTTTTCCATTCATTTTTTGAGTAAATGTTTAACAGTGGGGTAGTTGGGTCAGATGGTGTGTGTGTGTAATTTTACAAGATACCATTTTTCCAAAGTGGTTATACCATTTAAATTCCAGCAATGTATACGATGAGTTCTAGTTGTTTCACATCCTAGCAAGCACTTGTTATCATCAGTTTTTTTTTTGTTTTTTTTTTTTTTTTGAGACGGAGTCTCGCTCTGTTGCCCAGGCCGGACTGCGGACTGCAGTGGCGCAATCTCGGCTCACTGCAAGCTCCGCTTCCCGGGTTCACGCCATTCTCCTGCCTCAGCCTCCCAAGTAGCTGGGACTACAGGCGCCCGCCACCGCGCCCGGCTAATTTTTTGTATTTTTAGTAGAGACGGGGTTTCACCTTGTTAGCCAGGATGGTCTCGATCTCCTGACCTCATGATCCACCCGCCTCGGCCTCCCAAAGTGCTGGGATTACAGGCGTGAGCCACCGCGCCCGGCCTATCATCAGTCTTTTTAAACTTAGCCATTCAAATGAGTATGAAGTGGTATCTCACTGTTGTTTTTATTTGCATTTCCATAATAAGGTTGAGTGTCTTTCTATGTGCTCATTTTCCATTAGAGTACATTCTTCTGAAAATTTTCTATTCAAATATTTCACCAGTTTTTTAGGTGGGTTGCCTTCTTTTTTTTTTTTTGAGACAGAGTCTCGCTCTGTCGCCCAGGGTGGAGTGCAGAGGCACGATCTCGGCTCACTGCAAGCTCCTCCTCCCAGGTTCATGCCATTCTCCTGCCTCAGCCTCCCAAGTAGCTGGGACTACAGGTGCCCGCCACCACACCCAGCTAATTTTTTTTTTTTTTTTGTATTTTTAGTTGAGATGGGGTTTCACCGTGTTAGCCAGGATGGTCTCAATCTCCTGACCTCGTGATCCACCTGCCTCGGCCTCCCAAAGTGCTGGGATTACAGGTGTGAGCCACCGCACCTGGACCTTAGTTTTAGTTATGAGAGTTACTTATATAAACTGGATACAAATTCTTTATCAGATATACATTTTACAGATATTTTCTGTTAGTCTGTGGCTTGCCTTTTTATTTTCTTAGAGGTGTCTTTCAAAGCAGAAGCTTTAAATTTTGATTAAGTCAAATTTGCAACTTTTTCTTAAATGGTTTGTGCTTTTAGTGTCTTATCTAAGAAATCTGTCTAGGACTAGCACAGTGTCTCACACCTGTAATTCCAGCACTGTGGGAAGCCAAGGCGGGAGGATCACTTGAGGCAAGGAGTATGAGACCAGACTGGGCAACATGGCGAGACTCCATCTCTACAAAAAATAAAAAAAAATAGCCGGGCATGGTGGCACGTGCCATAGTCCCCACTACTTGGAAGGCTGTGGTGGGAGGATCACTTGAGCTCAGGAGTTTGATACTGCAGTGAGCTGTGTTTGTGCCACTGCATTCCAACCTGGGCTACAGAGCGAGACCCTGTTTCAAAAGAAATGAAAAAGAAATCTATCTAATCCAGTGCCTCAGCCTGGGGTAATCCCTCTGTCTGCCAAGGGACATTTGGCAATGTCTGAAGACATTGTTGATGGTTATAACTGGGAGAATGCTATTGGCATCTAGTGGGTAGAGGCCAGGGATGCTGCCAAATACCCTGCAGGGTACAGGATAGTCCCCCAGAACCAACACTATCCACCCCAAAATGGCAACAGTGCCAAGGTTAAGAAATTCTGGTTTAACTCAATGTGGCAGATATTTTTTCTTAGAAGGGTTATGGTTTTAATTCTTACATTGAAGTCTGCAATCCAATTTGAGTTAATTTTTGTGTACAGTGTGAGGTGAAGGTCAGAGTTCATTTTTAAATATGAATATCCAGATTTTTCAGCACCATGTGTTGAAAAGACTGTTTTGTTTTGTTTTGTTTTGTTTTGTTTTTCCTGGAGAACTACCTTGGCACCTTTGTCAAGTATCAACTGACCGTATATGTGTGGGTCTACACCTAGATTCTCTGTTCTGTTCCACTGATCTAAATGTCTGTCCTTACATCAATACCACACATTCTTGATTATGTTTAAATAACAAAGCACTTCATATACGTGTGCTTATACAGGCAACAGTATACTTCCATTAACCCCCGCATCCTTTGCATTATTTTTATTATGATTTCAACTTCTATATATGTTATAAATGGCACAATAAGTTACTATTTTTGCCCTAAACAGTTAAAAAATAGACTTAACAGACTTAATAGATGAAATAATTTTTAACTATTCACCTACATATTTACCATTTTTGGTACTCTTTATTGCCTTATATCGGTCCACATTTCCTTGAGCTTCTAACATCTTTTCTACTGCAAGTTTGCTGACAATAAATTCTTTCAGCTTTTGTTTATCTGAAACACTTTTTATTCTGCTTTCATTTTTGAAAAATATTTTCCCTGAATATGGAATTCTAGATTGACTGGTTTTTTTCTTGCAGTAACATTTTTTTCTGGCTTGCATATTTTCTGATGATGAGTCTTATCTTTGATTGTGTCTGCATAATACGTCTTTTTCCCCAGGCTGTTTTTAAGATTCTTTTTTATTTCTGGTTTTCAGCAATTTGATTATGATGTACCCTGGTATGGGTTTCCTTTGTGTTTAGGCTGCTGGAGTCTATGGAGCTCCTTGAATTTGTGAGTTTATAGTCTATCAAATTTGGAAATTTTTCAACCAATTTTTTATGTTGCCTCTTTTCTCTCCTCTCTGAGACTTCAGTTACAGTAATTTAGACTGCTGGACTCTGGGCTCAGTCTGGATTTCCTTCCTCTGTGCTGTAGCCTAGAAACAGCCCCCAGGCAGTAATCTGGGGCAATTACAGGGCTCACTTCATTTGTCTTCCTTTTCTTGGGGATCACGGACCTACACTGCCTGTTCAATGTCTGAAAAGAGTTTTATATATTTTGCATAGTTTTCTAGTTGTTTATGGCAGGACGGCAACTCCCGTAGCAGCGAAGCCACATGAGAAGATGAGGAAGTTCTTCCCCTGAATGTTTAATTTTATATACAATTACCAGCAAACTGGCCCTATAGTAAAAGCACACACTATCCACTGTCCATTATTTAAAGATTGGTAGGAATTATGACATATTAATACAGTTTCAAATTGTGTTTGCTTCTTTAAATGACTACATCACAATTTTGATCTGTGGTGAACTCACCTTTGCCTGAAACACCTACCTTTTTTATGTTTAAGTGAGTAACTGCCAAGCCACATTTCCCCTGCCTTGAATTTATTTAGATGTATGAGGTTTAGGGGGAGGGCGTGTTGTACCTAAATGCCAGATTTTCCATTTATTTCTGTTAAATTTCA
Source organism: Homo sapiens (assembly GCF_000001405.40). Lineage (NCBI taxonomy): Eukaryota > Metazoa > Chordata > Mammalia > Primates > Hominidae > Homo > Homo sapiens. Next base: position 106,879,063 of record NC_000007.14, read on the forward strand.
TCTGCTTAGATGTAGCCTATTGCATCTGATTCTGCAATAATAGTTTTTTTGACATTGTGGTAGCATTAGAATTCTTTTTTCAAATTAAATCTCAGAAGGCGGACAAATATAATAGCCAGGTTGCTGTCTATTAAAGAGGATGTGGGAGTGTCAGAGCTCTGTGTGCGTGGGGAGGGTGAGATCTGCCATACCTCTTAGGCACTTCCAAAGACTCTTGTGGTTCTTTGGAGCACAGTTTGAGAGGCACTGGTTTAAGAGTTGTGAATTCGCTCTCACATGGCATTTCCAGATTTGCTCAAAACAACTTCTGTATTTTTACCCAAATATTGAAAATCATTCTCCAACTAGGACTTTGTCCTTGTTGTTTATAGTGATGTTTTGCAAGAGAATTTGTGTCTCCACCATGTATATTCGTTATTCATTGTGTGTGGGGAATATGTGACTGCTTCCTTACAGATTGAAAAATGTAAAGTAATGGCCTCCAAGAAAAAACCACTATGGCTTGAGTTTAAATGTGCCGATCCTACAGCCCTATCAAATGAAACAATTGGAATTATCTTTAAACATGGTGATGATCTGCGCCAAGACATGCTTATTTTACAGGTATGCTAATTTTAAGATTGTTTTCAATTATCTGAAAACAATTCTATATTACATCAAAAACATGCTTTCTCCTACTGGCTCTATTCCCACTCTCTTCTTTCAAGTGATGAATTGTGATCAAATATTACATCATAGAGAGTTTTCACTTGGGGAATTTGGCTGCAGACTATTAGATATGCAATCTAATGAGCATTATGGTTCTGTCCAAGTTGCATATCTAACACTCCCAAGTAGCCAGATATACCTCCCTCACCTAATGTCTTTTTTATACACCCCATTCTAAGCTTGATAACATAGAAAATAGCCATATTTATCCCCAGCACTCACTTCATTCCTGCCCATAGACATGTCTGCACATCTCTAGGCACTCTTTTAGATACATCTCCTCTGATGCACATAAACAAATCAAGCAAATGATTTTATGGGAAGGAGAAAGATGAACAAGTAGGTCACCACAGAAATCCTGCAGGTAAGTGACAAGAGTGAAGTACTGTTAGGGCAGAAGGTGAATGGTCAATATATCAGTGCTAATTATTTTCATATTTTCTAACATTTCTAGATAAACTTTAGCTTCACAAGTCTGTAAAGTAATATTCTCCAGATTCTAGTTGGTCAGTGTTGTAGAGGTAATAATTTCTAATACTTAATATGGTTTATTTGAAGTAGACAAATTACATTGATTTCAAGGTAGCCTATTTAAAACTGGTCATGTTTCCAATTGTAAGTTTCTGTTTTTACTTATTTCTAATATAGAAACAGGAATACCTTTGCTTTGCCTTTGCTTTGCCTTTGCTTTGCTTTCAAGAATGATCTATGTTTTGTCCAGGAGGTATTTTAGAAAAGAAAAAGAGAAATCCTTCAAACTTTTTGCAAGTTTATTAAATTTCAAATAAATCTGTAGAATATTTTGAATTGTTTGAAGATGGACACTTTAAAAACACAAAAATTACCCTGTTGGTCCTCTCATTTTGAGTGAAAGTTTGCCTTTGCCCTTTATGTACTTTGTGGTTTTGTTTTTTTTTAATTTTTTTAAGATGAGGCCTTGCTTTATCGCCCAGGTTGGAATACAGTGGCACGATCACAGCCCACTGCAGCCTCAAACTCCTAGGCTCAAGCAATCCTCCTGCCTTAGCCTCTGAAGTAACTAGGACTATAGGTGTGCACCACCATACCTGGCAAATTATATTTTTTGTAGAGATGGGGTCTTGCCATGTTACCCACGCTGGCCTCAAACTCCTTGGCTCAATGAATCCTCCCACCTCAGCCTCCCACACAACTTTCACAGTCTTCTCCTTTTCTTTCCCTTCCTCATAAGAAAACCAACAGTGTGGACCTGGAAAATAGCTCTCTGGTCAAAAAAAACCTCTCTGCCCTTCACTCAACAAAAACATAGCCTTTCCTTCTCTGGGCCAGGCACTAGCCCACAATCTCCATTAGACTCTTCATCCTTCTATAGGAATGATCAAGATTGTGAAAGACACCATGACAATTGCCAAAATTGCTGGGATTCTAGGCACGAGCCAGTTAATCGCCAAAATTGCTGGGATTCTAGGTGTGAGCCATCATGCCCAGCCTACTTTGTTTATTTGTTGGGGCACATAGTTTGGCAGCTAAGGGCAAGTTATTTAAGCTCTTTAAGGCTTTGTTCCTTCACCTGTAGAATGGGAATAATAATCCTATCCACATTATAGGGCAATGCAAGGATCACACATAAAGCAGCAATCAGTATATATTCGCTATCATTATCATCATTGTAGTTACTGCTGCTTTGGTTATTGCCTTTGATAAATATGTGTAAGGATGTTAGAGTTTTGTGGTAAAATAGACACAAGTAAAGCAGAACATTTGAACAGAGAGGTGATGAACCACAGCTAAAACCCACTCCAAAAGAAATGTATTGGCCAAGCATGGTGGCTCACGCCTGTAATCCCAGCACTTTGAGAGGCCAAGGTGGGCGGATCACTTGAGGTCAGGAGTTTGAGACCAGCCTGGCCAACATGGTGAAACCCCATCTCTACTAAAAATACAAAAAAAATTAGCCGGGCATCATGATGCGCGCCTCTAATCCCAGCTACTCAGGAGGCTGAGGCAGGAGAATCACTTGAACCTGGGAG